>NC_000005.10:137505722-138154701 GCF_000001405.40 Homo sapiens
TAAGTGCACAATAAATATTGAGTGAATTAATAAATACTCATAGCTCAATTGCATTTGTTTCCTTCCCTTCTTTGAAGCAAAGAAGCTCCAAGGTTTATGTTGAATATTTTAACCCCCAAACACCCCTTGGATAGAAAGTAGGGACTGTGAGGGAATGACATGACCTTCCCACTCCCAGGCTCTTCTGCTGTGGTTTGAAGGTGATGTTGGAATAATTCCTTATCCCAAGAAGAGGAGTAATGAAACAGATGCATTTCTTGACACCACTGAAAGCAGCTCACCCAGCAGGGCCTGTAACTTTTGCGAACACGTCGATTTCACCCATTGATTATATGTATTCAGTAGAGCCAGGCTCACTCCATCTCCCTGCGTCCCTCACAGCCGTTTCCCCCACCCGCCCCCACCCCCACCAACACACACACACACACACACACACACACACACACACATGCCTTCTTGCTTTCTTCCCCCTATGCAGAGCCATGGTGTATGGACAACCCACTTTAGGAGGAAATGATTTTAAGCAAATGAATACCTCACAACAATATGAAAGTAAACACCAGAAAACTCTAATGGCAAAGCAACTACTCAGAAACAGAGAAGAGGATGCCCAAGTCCTGACTACAGAGGAAAAAATCATGAGGGCCACAAAACTACCAACAACATGGGCTGACATGCATGAGCACTTACAGCATGTCAGACACCACAGTCCTGTGTGTTATCTGATGTAATCCTCCTGATAATCCCCCATGAAATAGGCGCTGTGAGAAGCCTCATGTTAAAAACAAAAGCCTGAGTCCCAGAGTTGAGAGATCCTTTATCCCAGATCACTCATTGAGTAAATGGAAGAAGAGCCAGGGACTACTTGACGTCAAAGCTCCCACTATGACCCACTACAGCACTCAGGCACAGCGCTGCCACAGCCCATGGAACCCACAGCATTTCCCTTGATGTCCAAGACTTACGCACTTCATAGTCTGATGGAAAATATGTACACACCTGATCTCTGTTGGCTGAATAACAAGCCCTCTGAGACTTGAAGACAATTTTCTTTTCCTTGCTCAGAAAGGCAATCCAGGTTCTTTTTCCTTTTCTTATTAGCTTTGTATTCATTTACAAAGAGAAATGCAACCGCATGTTGGCATCAGGCTCCACGCAGGCTACAAAGCTCTGGGATAGGCTGGCAGGGCCCTCCTTTCCTCTCAGGGTCAGTGCCAGATGGCTGCCTTTAGAAGGACTGCACAGTGTGGGTGCAATGCGGGCTCATGCCTTGGGGAATAGAAGATGGTGACTGCTGAGTCAACAGAGAGTGAGCCCACAGGACGAGGGTCCCGAAAGAGGCTCCAGCTCACCGAGGATCCCAGGACTGGGAGCAAAATGGAGTTCCTTGAGGAACAAGCGCTCCAAACAGCTTTCAAGCTGGGATGGAAACCAGAGAGCAAAACTGGAGCTGGAGGAGTCCCACACATCCAGAAGGGCCCGGGAAACACAACGAAATGAACCCAACTCGTTTGCAGCACCCCCTGAGAAGCCCCATCTTACTGGAACTCAAAAGGAGTTCCAAAACCACCCACTGAGCTAGCATGAACCAAAACCATACTTCCTGTGAGTATTTCCTAACAAAACTTCCAAAATGGAATACAGATGAGTCAGCAAGGTTCTGCACACTAAATTGAACATGCTCAAGCACCCAGAAATGAACAATACTAGAAACGCATCAGTATTATTATCATTATTATTATTATTTATGCTAAAAACTTTTAACGTGAAATGTACTCCCTTAACAGATTTTTAAGTGTAAAATGCTTAAATATGGTCATTTATGGGCCCAATGTTGTACAGATTTCTAGAATTTATTCATCTTGCATAATTGAAATGTTATACCTGTTGATTAGCAACTTCCAACTCCCCCTTCCACCTGCCCCTTTGCAACTGCCATTCCACTCTCTGCTTCCATGAGTTTGACTATTTTAGATAGCTCATATAAGAATCATGCAGTGTTTGTACTTCTGTGACTAGCTCAGTATCCCCCAGGTTCATCCATATTGTCACATATTGCAGGATTTCCTTCTTTTTAAAGGCTGGATAATATTCCATCATATATATATATATATATATATATATATATATATATATATATATATATGTCACATTTTCTTTATCTATTTACTTATCCATGAACATTAGGTTATTTCCACATCTTGTGAATAAAGCTTCAATGAACACAGGAAGGCTAATATCTCTTTGAGATCCTGATTTCAGTTCTCTTGGATAAACACTCAGAAGTGGAATGCTGGATCATATGGTAGTTCTATTTTTAGTTTTCTGAGAAATCTCTATGCTGTTTTCCATAGCGGCTACACCATTTTGCATTCCCACCAACAGTGTACAAGGGTTTCAGTTTCTCCTCATCCTCACCAACGCTTGTCTTTTTTGTTTTTTTATAATAGCCATTTTGACAGGTGTGGGATGATATCTCCTTGTGATTTTCATTTGCATTTCCCTGATGACTGGTGATATTGAGCATCTTTTCATACATCTGTTGGACATTTGTAGGCCTTCTTTAGAGAAATGTCTGTTCAAGCAAAGATATGGAATCAACCTGAGTGTTCACCAATAGACGATTAAAGAAAATGTGGTGCAAACACACACACACAATGGAATACTCTTCAGCCATAAAAAGGAATAAAATCATGTCTTTTGAAGCAACATGGATGGAAATGGAGGCCATGATCTTAAGTGAAACAACTCAAAAGCAGAAAGTCAAGAACTGCATATTCTCACTTACGGTTGGGAGATAAACAGTGTGTACACATGGACATAGAGTGTGGAACAATAGCCACTGGAGATTTAGAAGAGTGGGAGGAGCATAAGGGATGAGAAATTATTTAATGGGTACAAGGTACACTAATCAGGTGACGGTTACACTAAAAGCCCAGACTTCACCACTATACAATATATACATGAAATAAAACTGTACTTGTACCCCTTAAATTGATAGGATTTCATAATTCTATACCATGTAATTTCTCCTTAAAGTCTCACACATGCAGCTCACACAAGCAGGTTAGTTCACCCCTTTATAGACTGAGAAACTGAGGCTCAGAGAAGAAATTTTAACCATTTACACACTCATCTCCACTAGATTTTTCTTAAGGTCAAAGCATTGGAAGAATTCCCCTGGCTGCACACATATTTGCATATAATTTACAGATGCCTCCAACTATGAAAGACATCCTTAGGCAATTTGCAAGTTAAATTTGTATCATTTCACTCAAGGCATGAAGTGAAAAGGGAATTATCAAGCCAGGGGGAACTGCAGGGGAGACAGCAGGGGTCCCCAGAAATTCTCCCAACATCTTCAGTGGGAGTACACTAAATTCAAGAATTTAGCATCTGCTCAACAAAGGAATATTATGCAGGGCATTAAAATGATGGCTATAAAATCCACGAAGCAACATGAAACATAGAGTGAAAGAAAAGCAAGTTACAGAATTGGGTGCACAGAATGACTTTAGCAGCGGGGAAGGGAAGAGGAAAAGAACCGCACCAGGGACAAGCTGTGACTATGTTAGGGCACAACCGTGGGGAATGTTCTTTTCCTTCTTCCAAAGGGTTCCTAGCATAGATGACCTCTACACGTTTTTCACCCTCTCTGTGCCTCAGTTTCCTTTTTTGTAAAGTGGTAGTCATAATAGCACATATCTATCAGGGTTTTGAGAAGATTAGATCATATACACAGAGTGCTTTGCACCAAATATGACATATACTAAGTGCATGATTAATGTTGGATTGGCAGTAGTGTCTGTTATTCTGTCAGCTCTTAGCCCTCACTTCTGACAAAGATGGTGGAGCAAGAACTCTGTTGGGAGTCATGAGGCCTGGCCCAATCAATGCCAGATTTTCCTGGATGTTCCTAGGACTCAGTTTCTTCTCTTGTGAAATGAAGGGACAGGGCCATGGTACTTCTACCCTGTCGTTGCACTCTGTGAAAAGCTGTATGGTGCCCTTTACATCTACAATTGAAAGTTCCCTGTACTTTCAATCAATTACAAAAAAAAAAAAAAAAAAAAAAGGCTCAAAGAAATTAATGAGGGGCCAGGCTCACGCCTGTAATCCCAACACTTTGGGAGGCTGAGGTGTGCAGATCGCATAAGTTCAGGAGTTCAAGAGCAGCCTGGCCAACATGGTGAAACTTTGTCTCTACTAAAAATACAAAAAATTAGCCCATGCCTGTAGTCTCAGCTACTAGGGAGGCTGAGGCAGGAGAGCTGCTTGAACTCAATTGTAGTGAGCCGAGATCACACCACTGCACTCCAGCCTGGGTGACAGAGTGAGACTCTGTCTCAAAAAAAAAAAGAAAAGAAAAGAAAAAGAAATTAATGAGGAAAATACATCAATGGGAAAATGGGCAAAAGTCTTGAATACACAATTCACCAAAGAACTACAAATAACCAAACTGCCAAGTAACCAAAGTAAAACACATTAAGATAATAAGTCACCGATAAAATTTGCAGATACTTCTAAAAATCATTATTCTCTGGGTTGGCAAAAATGAAAAAAAGTTGCTTTCTTTGTGGGATCATAAACTGGTACAGTCCTCTTAGAGGCCAAGGTTCTTGATATTTATGTTAAGAGCCACAAAATGTTTGTGACCAGTGACTTTGTAACTTCACCCATAAGAATTTAACCTGAAAAGATAATTAAGAATGTTTACAAAGGCTTAGCAACAATTATGTTCTTCTCTGAATTATTTATAATAGTGAAAGCTCAGGAATAACCTAAATGTCTAGAATCAGATTGGTTCAATAAACTATATTCACATAATAGAACATCGTGTGGCCATTAGAAATCTTATTATTTGAGAATATTTAAGAGATGGGAAGTATGACATTAATTGAATAAAAATTCCCAATCAGCACCATCTCTCTAGAAGCAGAGCCTGAAACAAGGATTCTTGAGGAAGTGATTGATTGAGAGCACACTCCAAGAAGGAGAGCAAGGGAAGCAGACAAGTTCAGGGGAAGAAAGCCAAGCAAAGGTGTGGTCTCTGCTAGAGACCACTTCCATCGTGTCCCCAGGGAGCTCAGGAACACAGAGTCATACCCCTTCTTGGTGCCCTTTGAGGGGCTGGTCTTTTGTTTCCCCATGGCATTGGCTGTTGGCTGCCTGGGTGGAGGGGTATGAGGATGAGCAGGGGTGCTCTTTCTTCCACCCCTTGATTCTCTGACTCATGTATTCTGTCTACTAGGGACACAGCACCATCTAATGTCTATTGGTTTAAGGTGTCTATTCAGCCTAAAGGATGTTGCCCCATCCTTGCAGAATATCATCTCTAAACTAGTACCTCAGCTATACCTTCAACAGGCTGTTCCAATCCTTAATCAGGCCAGCAACTTCCGTATGGTATAGTTTTTAAAAGGATCAGTGGATCTCATGAATGTTCTCTCTGCCATAACTTCTTTGCCATAAAAGGCAATGTAATGTGGTATCCCATGCCAGTAGATCAGACACTGATTTGGTCCCTAGCATAGTGGTGCTGGCTGAGACACTGTGGGCAGGAAAGGCAAATCTGACCCCTGAATATGTATCAATCCCAGTCAGAATGAAACATTGCCCATTCCAAGTTGGAAGAGGTCTGATACACAAAGGCTCAGCAATGGTCGGTTTCTGGCAGGTGGAACATTGGGCTGTGGCAGTAGCTAAATTAGCCTTAGGGTAAGGAAACCCATATTGTTGGGACCATACATAGTTTTTATCTCTGCAACCATGGCCACTCCTTTCATCAAACCATGGTGCAAGAAATATAGATGGTATATATGTACAGATTAGTAAAATACATATATTTCCTAGCTCTACGGAGAGGGTCTAGAACAAATGCAACCCAGTATCTACGAGCATACCTAGTGCCTAGGTCTTGATTTCAAAGCACTGTTCTATTCTAAGCACTATTCAATTAAAAGAACTAGGGTTCCTTGAAAAGTGCTTGATTTCAGTGCTAGAGCAGGAAAAATATGAGATAAAGCTGGAACACTTTGTGGTGATAGAAAGTCAGAAAATGCTCACAAAGGATGTGGATTTGTCAAAAGAATAAGGTCTAGATAAATAAACTGTGGTATGTCCAAACAATGGAATATTATTCAGTGCTGAAAAGCAATGAACTATCAAGCTGTGAAGAGACATGGAGGAAGCTTAAACGCATATTACTAAGCAAAAGAAGCCAGGCTGAAACAAGGCTACAGACTGCACGACATTTCAACTATATGATACCCTGGAAAAGGCAAATCTACAGAAACAGTAAACAGATCAGTGATGTCCAGGAAATAGGGGGTGGAGAGGTAAGAATAAGCAGAGCACAGAGCATTTTAGGGCAGAGAAACTACTTTGTATGATACTATAATGAGGGATACATGTCATTAGACTTTGTCTAAACCCATAGAATGTACTGCACCCACTGAAACACAATGCCTATGGATTTTAGTTGATGTCAATGTAGATTCATCAATTGTAACAAATGTACCACTCTGGTAGGGGATGTCGATAATAGGGGAGTCTGTGCATGTGGGGGGGACCAGGGAGTAGGTGGGAAGTATCAATGCCTTCTGCTCAATGTTGCTGTTAACCTAAAACTGCTCTAAATAAGTAAAGTCTATTGAATAAATAAATAATAGAGTCCAAGCTGAAGGAGCTCCTAATGGTCAGAGCTAGAAAAATTTTGGAAAAAAAATAATGATAGTATCGGATTTAACCTACAGAATAAATAAACATACAAATAGGGAAGAAAGGACAGTTCCTCCTTACAGTAGACTTCTAATTAATAAACGTAGAAGGAAAAAGGGAAATAGAAAATCATCATTAGGCAAACACTACAGTAATTGTTGCAGACAAGATCTATCAATGGATGGTAAAATTAGCAGGTGACGGTTTGAAGAAACGTAAGATTTGCATGGTCTCAAAGTATTTCCCCCAAGATATTTGTTAATTATAAAAGGAAGGATAGTAACTTTATTGTGAAGAAACCTTGCAGAAACCACCTTAACCAAGGGATGAACATCAAAATCACCAATAATAAGACATGCTGACATCATGAACCTCTTGATACCATTCACAGAGGATACTTCCTTGGCGTTCCTGCCAAAAATGCATAGCTCATTCCAAGCATGAGAAAACATCAGACAAACCCAAACTGGAGGCATTCCGCAAAATAACTGATCAGTATTCTTCAAAAGTGTCAAGATCATAAAAAATAAGACAAACTGAGAAACAGTTGAAAATTGGAGGAGACTAAAGTGAAATAACAACTAAATGTGGGATTATGGAACAGAAAAGGAGCATTGGTAGAAAATGGGTGAAATTCAAATAAAGTCTGTAGTTTATAGTGTCGTACCAGTGTTAGTTTCTGGCTTTGTACTATGGTTATATATGATGTTAACATTAAGCTAAGCTGAGTGAGGGATATAAGGAAACTACACTATTTGTGCAACTATTACATAAGTCTAAAATTAGTTCAAAATGAAAATTTTTTAATCCAAATAATAAAATACACTTCACATTTTGTAAACCAAGGGAAAAAGAAGAAAGAAAGTATAGACCCAGATAATGCAAACTCTTTTTTATGTTTCCTAAGCCCAAGCAAGACAAATAACTCAGGTAGATAAATAAAAAATCATGTCCACTCCCTAAACCAAACAGAAACTGTATTTAGAGTCTCCACATGCTGTGTTCTTCCATTAGCATGGATAATTGGAAATTGACTGCCTTTAGAAATGATGCCGTTTTTCTCTCTGAGTATAACACAAAATAAATTCCCAGGGCAATGGCCTATGTTATTGAATCCAACAGTAATTAAGTTAATGTATCCTATCTTGTGTGTGGAAGTGTAATTCAGGAGGTACAAATCTTTTATTGAACTCAAATTCAATAGTCATATACAATCCCCCTACTTGTGGTGTGTACAAAGGTTGTAGGAAAATTACAAAAGGTGATACATTATATTTTTATTCTTATGAAGACTGGGTTTATTCACCTGACACAAGCCATTCATGGGGCACCCTTTCATTTGCACAAAGGCAAATGTTCAGATGAGTAAATATCAGCACATAATAAATGGAGCAGAGACCTGAGGTTTTTGCCTGCCCAGTATTCTTTACTTTTTCTTCCACTAAACATGCTCTGATTTTCCTGTGAGGAGCCCCCTCCTGCCCTCCCTCAGCCCATATGATGCAGGAAGGCAGGTGCCTCCCAAGCTGGACAAATGACCCCAGCCTGCCCAACAAGCATATGATTCTCCTGGCCACAGTCATTGGTTCAGGATGGGCACATGACCCAAGTCAGGCCAGTGTGGCTCAATTCTAGGGCTTTCATTGGAATTAGTAGGAAATAGGTGTGTTTTCACTGATGATGCTAAGATGACAGCCAGGAGTCAAAGATGGCCATCCTGCCCTCCTTGGAGGAGATGCCAAACAAGGCCAACAGAGAGAAAGATCAGAGCTGAGGGGGAAGGTAAGCAGCCAGGTACATTTGTCAACACATTCCATTTAGTTTGTCTTTGCTTAAGTCAGCTTCAATTGGAGTATATATATACATCTTATTTGCAATCTCAGAACCCAGGTCCATCTCTGAATTCACTCACTCTGTTGTACCATTATAAATAATCCTATCTTTGTCATTGTTTTAATTATCTTCTCTCCCTGTCTCTCATGTGTCTAGTCTTCCCTCTCACCTCAGACCACAACAAGATTTACAAATCACACCTCTTCCCAGAGCAGTCAGGTGTCCCACCAGCCCCCTTCCCCAGGTGTCACACATTTGAAACCTCTAACTCAGACTTTGAATGTTCTCTCGGCTCTAAACTAAATGGCAATTTTTAAAAGAGAAGAGAAAAATACAGGGAGAAAGACTTTCATCGTCCTTCTGGGGTTACACTTGCAGGCTTATTCTACCAGGTGAGGCAGCCAGACTGGAGGTGCCAGGATCTGTGTTTTCAGGCCAGACACCAACCAGCTCAGTCATCTCAGGCAAGGCCCCTGATGGCACCGGCCTCAAGCGCTTGCACCACGAACGCCATGAAATGAAGGGTCAGGCTAGATGGGAAAGAAAGCTTTTTTCACTGATGGTGTTTAAACCAAGTCAGAGTATCCTCTAGAAGGAGAAGTTGCAGGGCCGAAACCTATCTTCCAATGCACAAAGACACTAGACAGGCCTGCATTTCCATGAGACTGAGTGGCAATGTTATCATTCGACCTTAACATTTTACCCACCCTCCCCCATTAACCAGCATCCTGTAGGGCAGAGACCATCTCCCTGCAAAGAAAAATAGCAATAGGGACAGCAGACACTGTCTATGTACCTCTCGTGTGCCAGGCACTATGCTAAACATGCTTCGAATGGAATCTGCCGTCTTCACAGCAACCCTTTCAGGTAGGTCATCTTAGTTTTCGTTGTTAAGCAAGGAAACTGAAGTTGAAAGAGGTTACATAACTTGACTCAGATCCTACAGCTAGGAAACATCAGCACCATTATTCTACCCCAGGTCTGCCTAGCCACAGAGCCTGTTCCCTTTCCTCTATGTCATGTTCCTCCACAGAAAAACTCCTGCCCTTCGTCAGCCTCCACTTCAACCAGAAAAGCCACAAGCAGTAGCATTGTGTCCAGCTGGTGTCATTGGAAGTGGGCCGGGGGTGCTGGGTCGGCCAAGTGGAGAAAGGCCACATGACCACCTCCAAGCCTTTCATCCGGCAAGCCAAATAAAAGACAACATCCCGAACAGTTTATATTTAACAAGGATGAACAAAAAGTACACATTTACAAGGTGTACAAAGGAGCTGGTCACAGCACTATTTATAATGGAAAAAAAAAAAGCCCAGAATCATCTACCTGGGGAATGGCTAAGCCAGGTGCCATAAATCATTAGAATGCAGATCATATAGCCCTAAAAAATGATATTTGCTGTTGTGCACATGAAACAAGATCAAGCAAAAAAACCGCAGAAATCAAAAGAATAACATCAATTACAACAAAACAACTTTTTCTGATCACTTACCATTTGCAGATGTAGCAACTAGCACATTACATAGATTATCTGATTGAATCCTCAGCTATAACTTTATGAGATAGGAGTTATTATTTGTCCCCATTTTTCACATGAGGAAACTGAGGTTTAGCTTAAGCAAAATATTCAAAGTAATTAAACCGGAACCCATTTTAGAAGCTAGGAAATTTGACTCCAGAGCCTTTTAAGAGTTTATCACTACTGTGTGAAATGCAGGTATGAACATGCATTCAAGGACTAGGTAGGAATTCCTAGATACACCAGCCCTT
The DNA here is from genome assembly GCF_000001405.40 of Homo sapiens. Lineage (NCBI taxonomy): Eukaryota > Metazoa > Chordata > Mammalia > Primates > Hominidae > Homo > Homo sapiens. The sequence goes on from NC_000005.10 coordinate 137,516,043, forward strand.
GCTAGGGTTCTGGGATACAGAATGAACAAAACAGGGAAGGGTATATTTCTTACGGCGTTTACCTTGTGGTGGAGACGGGATAAAGGCAAATGTGACTGGTGGAGCTAAGGACTGTGAAGAAAATCGAGCAGGGTTTGAGGATGGGAGCTAGTGGGGACGGTGCTAGTTTAAACTTTTAAATAGGGTGGTCTGGAAAGGTCTATTTGAGAAGGTAATATTTGAACAGAGGAAGGGAAGGAAGTATCCCGCCATGCAGCTGGGGTAGGGGAGAGGGTGGAAGTGAAGGTGCCCCAGGGGAGGAGACATTGAGTGCAAAGATGAGAAAGGACACACCTGGGTGTTCCAGGAGCAGCCAGAACACCAGTGCGACTGCGGGAGAAGCAGGGATGATGGGAGGTGAGTTCAGGAGGAGGGGCAGAGATGATGGGAGGCGAGTTCAGGAGGAGGGGCAGGGGTAATGACAGGCGAGTTCAGGAGGAGGGACAGGGATAATGACAGGCAAGTTCAGGAGGAGGGGCAGGGATAATGACAGGCGAGTTCAGGAGGGGCAGGGATGATGGGAGGCTGGTACAGGAAGGGCAGGGATGATGGAGGCAAGTTCAGGAGGAGGGGCAGGGATAATGACAGTTGAGTTCAGGAGAGGGGGCAGGGATAATGACAGGCAAGTTCAGGAGGGGCAGGGATAATGACAGGCGAGTTCAGGAGGAGGGGCAGGGATAATGACAGGCTAGTTCAGGAGGAGGGGCAGGGATAATGACAGGCAAGTTCAGGAGGAGGGGCAGGGATAATGACAGGCGAGTTCAGGAGGGGCAGGGATAATGACAGGTGAGTTCAGGAGGGGCAGGGATGATGGAGGCAAGTTCAGGAGGGGCAGGGAGGACAGAGGTGAGTTCAGGAGGAGGGGCAGGGATGACAGAGGCAAGTTCAGGAGGAGGGGCAGGGATGATGAGAGGCGAGTTCAGGAGAGGCATAGATGATGGAGGCGAGTTCAGGAGAGTCAGGGATGATGAGAGGCAAGCTCAGGAGGGGCAGGGATGATGGAGGCGAGTTCAGAAGCAGAGGCAGGGATGATGGGAGGCCAGCTCAGGAGGGACAGAGATGATGGAGGCAAATTCAGGAGGAGGGGCAGGGATGATGGAGGCAAATTCAAGAGGAGGGGCAGGGATGATGGGAGGTGAGTTCAGGAGAGGCAGGGATGATGGAGGCCAGTTCAGGAGAGGCAGGGATGATGGGAGGCAAGCTCAGGAAGAGCAGGGATGATGGAGGCGAGTTCAGGAGAGGCAGGGATGATGGAGGCGAGTTCATGACAAGCAGGGATGACAAGAGGCAAGTTCAGGAGAAGCAGGGATGATGGGAGGCTAGTTCAGGAGAGGCAGGGATGATGGAGGCGAGTTCAGGAGAAGGGGCAGGGATGACAAGAGGAGAGTTCAGGGGAGGAAGGGATTATGGAGGCAAGCTCAGGAGAAGCAGGGATGATGGGAGGCAATTTCAGGAGGGGCAGAGATGATGGAGGCAAGTTCAGGAGGAGGGGCAGGAATGATGGAGGTGAGTTCAGGAAAGGCAGGGATGGTAGGAGGCGAGTTCAGGAGGGGCTGGGATGGAAGGGCCACGCAGCCATGGTAAGGCCTTTGGTTTTATGAAATGGGTAAGACCTTAGGAGAATTTCAGGCCGAGGAATGACATGATCTGACAGGTTTTAGAAATACTGTTCCAGCTGCTATGGGGAGAGCAGACTGGCAAGTCAGGCAAGTGGAAATGGTAAGAATTGATGGGATTCTGGATATATTTTGAAGACCAAATTGACAGAATTTCCTCATTCTTTGGATGTTGGATATAGAGGAAAAAAGACAAGTCAAGGATGACTCCAAAGGGAGATCTATTGACAAGGATCCAAAGGAAACACATAAAGAATATTTTAAGGTAAAGGAAAATTTTCTGTAAAATATTTGAATGTATAATGAATTATATATCATTAGAATTTAAATGATAAAAATAATTATACATAGATTCAGTAAAATGGTGGAGCTGCTATGGAAAACAGTATAGCATTTCCTCAAAAAATCAAAAATAGAACTACCATATGATCCAGCAATTCCACTTCCGGATATTTAACCAAAAGAATTGAAATCAGGAACTCAGGGCCAGGGACAGTGGCTCATGTCTGTAATCCCAGCACTTTGGGAGGCCGAGGCAGGCAGATGACTTGAAGCCAGGAGTTCAAGACCAGCCTGGCCAGCGTGGCGAAGCCCCATCTCTACTAAAACCACAAAACTGAGTCAGGCATGGTGGCAGGCACCTGTAGTCCCAGCTACTCGGGAGGCTGAGGCACAACAGTCCCTCAAACTCAGGAAGCAGAGGTTGCAGTGAACTATAATCATGCCACTGCATTCCAGCCTGAGCGACAGAGTGAGAGACTCTGTCAAAAGAGAAAGAAAGGAAGGAAGGAAGGAAGGAAGGAAGGAAGGAAGGAAGGAAGGAAGGAAGGAAGGAAGGAAGGAGGGAAGGGGAGAGAGAGAGAGAAAGAAAGAAAGAGAAAGAAAGGGAAAGAAAAAAGAAAAGAAAGAAAGAGAAAGAAAGAAGAAAGAAAGAAAGAAAGAAAGAAAGAAAGAAAGAAAGAAAGAAAGAAAAGAAAAGAAAAGAAAGAAAGAAAGGAAGGAAGAAAGAAAGAAAGAAAGAGAAAAAAAGAAAAACAGGAACTCAGATACTTGTACTCACATTCAGAGCAGCCTCATTTATTCACAATAACCAAAAGACGAATGCAAACCAAGTATCCACTGACTGAGGAGCTGAGAAACAAAACTAGTCTATACATTGAACAGAACACTGCTCAGCCCTAAAAAAGGAAGAGAATTTTTTTTTTTTTTTTTGAGACAGAGTCTCACTCTGTGGCCCAGGCTGGAATGCAGTGGCATGATCTCGGCTCACTCTAACCTCCGCCTCCCAGGTTCAAGCAATTCTCGTGCCTCAGCCCCCCAAGTAGCTGGGATTACAGGCCTGTGCCACCACGCCCAGCTAATTTTTTGTATTTTTCATAGAGACAGGGTTTCACCATGTTGGCCAGGCTGGTCTCAAACGCCTGACCTCAAGTGAGCTGCCCACCTTGGCCTCCCAAAGTGCTGGAATTACAGGCATGAGCCACTGCGCCCAGCCCAAACAAAAAGGAAATTCTGACACAGGCTATGACATGGATGAACGCTGAGGACATTATGCTGAGTGAAATAAGCCAGTGAAATAAGGACAAATTCCACTCCCAATAGGTACCTAAAGTAGCCAGATTCATAGAGACAGAAAGTAAGATGGTAGTTGCCAGGGAGCTAGGGGAGAGGAAGAAAGGATGAGTTAATGTTTCATGGGCATCCAATTTTGGGTTTGCAAGATAAGAAAGTATGGTAGGTGAATGGTGGTGATGGCTGCACAACAATATAAATATACTTAATCCCACTGAACTATACCTTAAAAGTGGTTAAGATGGTACATATTTTATTATATGTATTTTACCACAAACAATTGCTTAAGTCATCACCAACCTCCCCTCACCACAAAAAAAAATAGAGCCATTGTCCTGTGGAAGAGGGGTAAGCCGTCCTAACATCTATTGTTAACAGTCCCAGAAATGGCCGGGGCATTTGGGTGGGGGAAGGTTGAGCAGGGTAAAGACCTTGGCTTCCTTCTGACTGCTTAGGTATCTCAAAGAGAAACTGTAACAAAGAGTGCTAATATATGGTGTGTTGTTTAAGTGTCTATTAGAAGAACAAATGACGGGTTCTATTCCAATTTAATGAGGCAGAGATCATCAAACACACATTCCAGGCTATAAAACATCCCTTCTCATTGCAAACTCCCCAGGGGAGGTTGCAGAATAGATGGGAGTTAATATCTGAAGATTAAATAACACGATAACAGATTCGGTATGTTTGACCTACTTTTTGAGAAACTAACAAAGACTGTTTTTACTCCTCACCTCGTAATAAACAGCCTAATAGGTCACTGTTAAGTCCACTATCATGAGGATGGTGGTAAGCGGGAAGATAAACATGTGTGCACCCATTTATTACAAGGACCAGGTGGAATGTGGAGTCTCAAAAGCAGCTGAACACCCCCAAAGCAGGCTGGCAAGGACCCCAGTGTGTTCTGTGGTTCTCCCTCCAGGCCACAGGAGGGGAGGAAATGGCTTCCTGTTTTACCATCCCTCAACTCATAAAAAGAGCCAGAAGTCCCCCCAACACACACATCTTGCTTCCCTTGGGCCTAAAAAGAGTGTATATAAGGATGAATTCCATGCTCAAAATATTTGAAGTCTGTGAGGCCTCTCAAGGGCACCTCATCCATGTATAGATAGGCAAATTCATTCCAAAGCTGACTGACCCAAGATCAAACAGACAACATGTGGGAAAGAGCCAGTTCCTTAGACTACCTGTGTGGACTTGGGAAACGGAAGGAAATGAGAAAAGGAAAGGGGTCTCCACATTTCTCATCAAAAGGAATAAGAGACTGTCGGTCCCCTCCGGCACAAGGTCACTGAGGCCTCTGAATCTTAGTGTTTGCATGTAAAATTGGAATAATAGTTACTTCACAGAGGTTCTTCCTTTTTTTGAGATGGAGTCTTGCTTTGTCACCCAGGTTGGCATGGTCTCAGCTCCCTGTAACCTCCGCCTCCCACGTTCAAGCAATTCTCGTGCCTCAGCCTCCCAAGTAGCTGGGGTTACAGGCAGGTGCTTGCCTAATTTTTTTTTTTTTTTTTTTTTTTTTAGTAGAGATAGGGTTTTGCCATGTTGGCCAGGCTGAGCTTCTTCTAAAAAATAAGACATATATGCTTATCTAGGTATGATCATGGATTATTGATTACATTATACTGTGTTCACCCATTTGAGAAATCTTTGCTGGTTCCCGGTTGTCTATGGGATAGAATCTAAAAGACTGTCATCCAGATCTCATCTTAAATATGACCACATACTTCACCCAACCTCTCCTGGCCCATTTCCTTTCAAGGTCTGTAACCCTCACTGCATCCCTAGGCCTTTCTACCACATGTCCCTGTTTTATTCTCTTGATAGTATTACTGATTTTCTTATTTATTCACCTATCTTGCTTACTGCTGTATCCCAGTACTTAAACCATACCTGTTATGTAGTGTTGTCCTCTGCAATTGTGGATGACTTGGCTTGAAATTAAAGACCTTCCACAAGACTCTTTTGGGAACGAAATTATTCCCAAGAGACATTGTGACACCCCCTTTTCTACCTGGAATGGTTTGAATATGATTCTGCCAGGAAGCAAAGAGCTGGAGCAGAAGACTTCTTAAGGCCCATTCTGCCTTTTAGAAACGTTTGACCTCTCCCCATGTCTATTTGCCACTGGGAAAATCTGTCCTTTGCCAGAAGAAACAATGAGACAGCAGCATGTTCCATTTCCCTGCGAAGCCTTAAGCCTGGGCAAAATTGTACAATCTAGTCACGCAGTTGAAACTCAACTCTTGGAAGGGAAGGAAGGAGAGAGCTTTTTATACTCAAGAGCTAAGACTAAAATATATAAAGATAAATAACAATGCTGGCAGTAAGTATAGGCAGCCTCTCTGACAGCAAAATTCAACTTTTAAAAATTAGGCAATTCTTCAAACTGCAGCTAGACTTTAGGAAATTAGGGTTTGTGTTCAAGTGGGCACATTACAATTTCATAAAAATTCCCTTAGCTATTTCTCTGCTGTGGACTTTCAAAGATAAAGATGCACTCAATGTTTCTGATTATGTTGCTGGGCAAATCAGGGATCATGGAATAATTGGAGATGCAGAGGCTGGAAGCCATTTGGAAAGAAATAAATCAGAGGTCAACCTGCAGTGTCCTCGGTTAATAGGCTGGGCCAGGCCTTCACACCATACCCCTGCCCCACTCCTACTTCTTCTACTTTCAGTCAAGATCCCTTCAGTCAAGTTCAACCAAAAACAGCAGAATATCCTAAGTCCATACCTACCAAAATTGTTCTGTTTTGAAACAGGTGATGTTAAAGGGCAAAAACTCCCTGCTGTGTGACAAATGTCGTAATGGGTGAAAACAGCAGGCAGGCCCTTTAAGAGCAAAGGGTCACTGTGCCTTCCAAACCATGATTATTCCAAGTCAAGGATAAGAATGTTTAACAAGAGAATTAGGTTTTGTCTCCTAGCAAGTAGTCTCCACTAGTTTAAGTCCAGAAATGTCTTGCTTTAAGAATACCCAGCATAAGAAAATCAGATCCTACCAACTTAAAAGTAGATAGAAGAAAGCCTAATGTCAACCCTCTCTCATTTCACCCAAAGGAAGCTAAGGCTCCAACACACTGAATTCCATGTCCCAGGGGGTTCACCTGAGCCCAGACGGGATCCAGGATATCTTTACTCCCAATTACAGTGATCAACCATCCTGGTTTCCCCAGAACTGCACCTGTTTTAGTATGGCAAGGCCCTTATCTGACTTCCAGTTTCTGATCTGACATGTAAGGAGTTTGGAAGTCATCACCTTGTCCTAGTAAAAAGCTAAACAAACTGAAAAATCAATAATTCTTTTCAGATCCGTCAGAGAAGGAAGGTTCATGGGGAAAACCACTGCCCCAAAAGTTGGACATATAGACAGGCAGAGACAGAAAATCACAACTCACCAGAGCAGAAGCCCATGAGCAGAAACCTGTGTGGGAACCAGTACTGCAGTAAGATGACCTGAACTGTAATTGATGAATTGCCAGAGGCTCAGGGTGGACAAGCCTGAGAGTTAAAAATTACAGGGGGCCTCAGTTATAGGAAGGCCCTCACACTTCTGTGAGTCTTATCTCTAGAAGCCTACCAGGTTCTCACAGTGAAGGCAGAAGAAAAATCCCCTCCTGCTTACAGCAGAAAGAGGGGGAAAGCAGCCATTTTGAAATACACCAGGGAATTCTGTACTTCTTAACAAGGCTTGCGCGCAAGAAAAATATTTTAACAGAGCTTACCCTGTTGGGGTTATATCAGAGTCCAACTTAACTGGGGGAAGGAAATACCCAACTGCATCCCACTCTGGCCTTCCATGTGGGGGAAGGAGAATACACAACTCGGACCGCCTCTAACCATCCTGTCCTACATAAGGTGGGGGACAGGGAACACTGGGGAACATTATAAAGGTCACAGTCCAGGGGCACAGGCTCACTAAAAGACCACAATCCAATTATAGGGCTATAGAGCACCTCCCCCAGCCAACACCTCACCACCACACATCTAAATGCCCATTTACCAGAGTTCCCTTCATCCAGGTGTGGCTATTAAGAAAAAAATTGCAGGCACACTAAAAGGCCAAAAACACATTTTGAAGAGACTGAACAAGTGTCAGAACTAAAGTCAGGTGTGGCAGGATGGTTGGAACTATCAGACAAGAGTTTAAGACAACTATGATTTATATGATAAGGGTTCTAACGGAAAAAAATAGACAACATGCAAAAACAGATGTGTAACATAAGCAGAGAGATGGAAATTCTAAGAAAGAATTAAACAGAAATGCTAGAAATAAAAAGCATTGTAACTAACAGGCTAGGCACAGGGGCTCACACCTGCAATCCCAGCACTTTGGGATGCCAAAGTGGGAGGATTGCTTGAAGCCAGGAGTTCAAGACCAGCCTGGGCAACACAGTGATACCCTATCTCTATAAAAATGTTTTAAAAATTAGCCAGGCATGGTGGCGTGTGCCAGTAGTCCCAGCTACTTGGGAGGCTAGGCCACAGGACTGCTGCAGCCCAGGAGTTTGAGGCTGCAGTGAGCTATGACTGCGTCACTGCACTCTAGCCTAGGCTACAGAACAAGAACCTACCTCTAAAAATAATAAAAAATAAAATAAAAACCACTGTAACAGACTTGAAGAATACCTTCCATGGGTTCTTTTGTAGACTGGACATGGCTGAGGAAAGAAACTTTGAGCTTGAGCATATGTCAGTAGAAATTTTAAAACTGAAAATCAGAGAGAAAAAAGACTGAAAAAAAGCAATACAGAATATCCAAAAACTGTGGGACAACTACAAATGATGTAGTAACACGCATGTGATGAGAATACCAGAAGAAGAAAGAAAGGAAAACAAGCAATATTTGAAGCAATAATGACTGAGAATTTCCCCAAAATTACTGTCAGACACCAAACCACAGACAACACCAAGCAGGACAAATGCCAAAAAAAAAAAAAAAAAGAAAAACCACACTGGGCATTTAATATTTTTCTTTTATTTTCTTTTTATTTTTTATTTTATTTCATTTATTTTTTTTTGAGGGTCTGTCATCCAGGCTGGGCTGGAGTACATAAGTGTGATCACCACTCACTGTAGCCTTGACCTCCTGGGCTCAAGCAATCCTCCCACCTCAGCCTCTTGAGTAGATGAGAGACAGGCACATGCCACCACACCTGGCTAATTTTTGTCTCGATAACAAAATACAAAAATTAGCCAGAGTTTCACCATGTTGCCCAGGCTAGTCTCAAACTCCTGGGCTCAAGCAATTTTGCCACTTCAGCCTCCCAAAGTGCTGGTATTAAAGGCATGAGCCTTAAATTTAAACTGCAGAAAACCAAAGATGAAAAACTCTTAAGAAACCAAAGGAGAAAAAAAAATCCTTACCTATAGAGGAGCAAAGATATTAATTACATCTGACTCTTCAGAAAACATTCAAACAAGGAGATAATGGGATGAAATATTTAAAATGTTAAGAAAAAGAAAACTCCCCAACCTGGAATTCCATATTCTGTGAAATTATCCTTCAAAAGTAAAGGAGAAATAAAGACTTTCTTAGAAAAGCAAAAATTAAGAAAATTTGTTACCATTACACCTGCCTTGTAAGAAATGCTAAAACCTCTTCAAATAAGAAAATTATAAAGACCAGAAACTCAGATTTACATTTAAAAAGAAAGAACATTAGAGAAGGAAGAATTGAAAGTAAATTAAAATCTCTTATTTTCTCATTCTTAATTGATCTAACAACAGTTTGTTCAAAATAATAATAGCAACAATGTTAACAATGATTACGGCTTATGCATAAGTGAAATGAATAACAGCAATGATGAAAGAGATGGGAGGGAGAATATGAGTATTTTTTTATTATAAGCTACTAGCATTACCCGGGAAGCAATATAGTATTTTTTGAAAATGAACTTGGATTCATCGTAAATGTATATTGCAAACTATATGCCAACCACTTCAAAATGTAAAAGTATACGCTTTTTAGCATTTGATGGATATGCTAAAAAAAAAAAAGACAGTAGAATCACATAAAGTGCTCAATTAAAACCAAAAAAGGTAGAAAAATAATGGAAGACAAATAGGAACAAAGAACAAAAGGAATAAATAGAAAACAGTAACAAAAAATGATATATATTAATCCAACTATATCAACAATTACTTTAAATGTCAATGGTCCAAACACACCAATTAAAAGACATCATGGCTAGGCACAGTGGCTCATGCCTGTAATCCCGGCACTTTGGGAGGCCCAGTGGGGGGTGGATCACTTGAGGCCAGGAGTTCAAGACCAGCCTGGCCAACATAGTGAAGCCCTGTCTCTACTAAAAATACAAAAATTAGCCGGGCACAATGATGAATTCCTGTAATCCCAGCTACAAGGGAGGCTGAGGCATGAGGATAGCTTGAACCTGGGAGGCAAAGGCTGCAGTGAGCCCAGATCACACCACCACTGCACTCTAGCCTGGGCTGGAGTAACCACTTGTATATGTAACCACTTTATTGAGGTCTGATTGGCATACACAAAGCTGTTTGGATATATGGTGGATATGTTAAATTGCTTGAATGTAGGAATCACTTTACTATGTGTGTGTGTGTATCTATCTATCTATCTATCTATCCTGGGATCACTACAGTCATGTGCTGTATAATGGCATTTTGGTCAACAGTGAGCTACATATACAACAGTGGTCCCATAAGATTATAATGGAGCTGAAAACTTCCTATCACCTAGTGAAGTCATAGCTGTCATAATGCCTAGTCTCTGATAAAACAGACTTTAAACCAACAAAGATCAAAAGAGACAAAGAAGGCCATTACATAATGGTAAAGAGATCAATTCAACAAGAAGAGCTAACTATCCTAAATATATATGCACCCAATACAGGAGCACCCAGATTCATAAAGCAAGTCTTTAGAGACCTACAAAGAGACTTAGACTCCCACACAATAATAATGGGAGACTTTAACACCCGACTGTCAACATTAGACAGATCAATGAGACAGAAAGTTAACAAGGATATCCAGGAATTGAACTCAGCTCTGCACCAAGTGGACCTAATAGACAGCTACAGAACTCTCCACTCCAAATCAACAGAATATACATTCTTCTCAACACCACATCACACTTATTCCAAAATTGACCACATAGTTGGAAGTAAAGCACTCCTCAGCAAATGTAAAAGAACAGAAATTATAACGAACTGTCTCTCAGACCACAGTGCAATCAAACTAGAACTCAGGATTAAGAAACTCACTCAAAACCACTCGACTTCATGGAAACTGAAAAACCTGCTCCTGAATGACTACTGGGTACATAAGGAAATGAAGGCAGAAATAAAGATGTTCTTTGAAACCAATGAGAACAAAGACACAAAATACCAGAATCTCTGGTACACATTTAAAGTGGTGTGTAGAGGGAAACTTATAGCACTAAATGCCCACAAGAGAAAGCAGGAAAGATCTAAAATTGACACCCTAACATCACAATTAAAAGAACTAGAGAAGCAAGAGCAAACACATTCAAAAGCTAGCAGAAGGCAAGAAATAACTAAGATCAGAGCAGAAATGAAGGAGATAGAAACACAAAAAACCCTTCAAAAAATCAATGAATCCAGGAGCTGCTTTTTGAAAAGATCAACAAAATTGATAGACCACTAGCAAGACCAATAAAGAGGAAAAGAGAGAAGAATCATATCGATGCAATAAAAAAATGATAAAGGGGATATCACCACCGATCCCACAGAAATACAAACTACCATCAGAGCATACTATAAACACCTCTACGCAAATAAACTAGAAAATCTAGAAGAAATGGATAAATTCCTGGACACATAAACCCTCCCAAGACTAAACCAGGAAGAAGTTGAATCTCTGAATAGACCAATAACAGGCTCTGAAATTGAGGCAATAATTAATAGCCTACCAACCAAAAAAAGTCCAGGACCAGACGGATTCACAGCCGAATTCTACCAGAGGTACAAGGAGGAGCTGGTACCATTCCTTCTGAAACTATTCCAAACAATAGAAAAAGGGAATCCTCCCGAACTCATTTTATGAGGCCAGCATCATCCTGATACGAAAGCCTGGCAGAAACACAACAATAAAAGAGAATTTTAGACAATATCTCTGATGAACATTGATGCAAAAATCCTTAATAAAATACTGGCAAACCGAATCCAGCAGCACATCAAAAAGCTTATCCACCATGATCAAGTGGGCTTCATACCTGGGATGCAAGGCTGGTTCAATATATGCAAATCAATAAATGTAATCCAGCATATAAACAGAACCAAAGACAAAAACCACATGGTTATCTCCATAGATGCAGAAAAAGCCTTTGACGAAATTCAACAGCCCTTCATGCTAAAAACTCTCAATAAGTTCAGTATTGATGGGACGTATCTCAAAATAATAAGAGCTATTTATGAGAAACCCACAGCCAATATCATACTGAATGGGCAAAAACTGGAAGCATTCCCTTTGAAAACTGGCACAAGACAGGGATGCCCTCTCTCACCACTCCTATTCAACATAGTGTTGGAAGTCCGGGTCAGGGCAACCAGGCAGGAGAAAGAAATAAAGGGTATTCAATTAGGAAAAGGGGAAGTCAAATTGTCCCTGTTTGCAGATGACATGATTGTATATTTAGAAAACCCCATTGTCTCAGCCCAAGATCTCCTCAAGCTGATAAGCAACTTCAGCAAAGTCTCAGGATACAAAATCAATGTACAAAAATCACAAGCATTCTTATACACCAATAACAGACAAACAGAGAACCAAATCATGAGTGAATTCCCATTCACGATTGCTTCAAAGAGAATAAAATACCTAGGAATACAACTTACAAGGGACGTGAAGGACCTATTCAAGGAGAACTACAAACCACTGCTCAATGAAATAAAAGAGGACACAAACAAATGGAAGAACATTCCATGCTCATGGATAGGAAGAATCAATATCATGAACGTAGCCATACTGCCCAAGGTAATTTATAGATTCAATGCCATCCCCATCAAGCTACCAATGACTTTCTTCACAGAATTGGAAAAAACTACTTTAAAGTTCATATGGAACCAAAAAAGAGCCTGCATTGCCCAGTTAATCCTAAGCCAAAAGAACAAAGCTGGAGGCATCACGCTACCTGACTTCAAACTATACTACAAGGCTACAGTAACCAAAACAGCATGGTACTGGTACCAAAACAGAAATATAGACCAATGGAACAGAACAGAGCCCTCAGAAATAATACCACACATCTACAACTATCTGATCTTTGACAAACCTGAGAAAAACAAGAAATGGGGAAAGGATTCCCTATTTAATAAATGGTGCTGGGAAAACTGGCTAGCCATATGTAGAAAGCTGAAACTGGACCCCTTCTTTACACCTTATACAAAAATTAATTCAAGATGGATTAAAGACTTAAATGTCAGACCTAAAACCATAAAAACCCTAGAAGAAAACCTAGGCAATACCATTCAGGACATAGGCATGGGCAAGGACTTCATGTCTACAACACCAAAAGCAATGGCAACAAAAGACAAAATTGACAAATGGGATCTAATTAAACTAAAGAGCTTCTGCACAGCAAAAGAAACTACCATCAGAGTGAACAGGCAACCTACAGAATGGGAGAACATTTTTGCAGTGTACTCATCTGACAAAGGGCTAATATCCAGAATCTACAGTGAACTCAAACAAATTTACAAGAAAAAATCAAACAACCCCATCAAGAAGTGGGCGAAGGATATGAACAGACACTTCTCAAAAGAAGACATTTATGCAGCCAAAAGACACATGAAAAAATGCTCATCATCACAGGCCACCAGAGAAATGCAAATCAAAACTACAATGAGATACCATCTCACACCAGTTAGAATGGCAATCATTAAAAAGTCAGGAAACAACAGGTGCTGGAAAGGATGTGGAGAAATAGGAACACTTTTACACTGTTGGGGGGAATGTAAACTAGTTCAACCACTGTGGAAGACAGTGTGATGATTCCTCAGGGATCTAGAACTAGAAATACCATTTGACCCAGCCATCCCATTACTGGGTATATACCCAAAGGATTATAAAGCATGCTGCTATAAAGACACATGCACACATATGTTTATTGCGGCACTATTCACAATAGCAAATACTTGGAACCAACCCAAATGTCCATCAATGATAGACTGGATTAAGAAAATGTGGCACATATACACCATGGAATACTATGCAGCCATAAAAAAGGATGAGCCCATGTCCTTTGTAGGGACATGGATGAAGCTGGAAACCATCATTCTCAGCAAACTATCGCAAGGACAACAAACCAAACACCACATGTTCTCACTCATAGCTGAGAATTGAACAATGAGAACACTTGGACACAGGAAGGGGAACATCGCACACTGAGGCCTGTCGTAGGGTGGTGGGAGTGGGGAGGGATAGCATTAGGAGATATACCTAATGTAAATGATGAGTTTATGGGTGCAGCACACCAACATGGCACATGTATACATACATAACAAACCTGCATGTTGGGCACATGTACCCTAGAACTTCAAGTATAATAATAAAAAAAAATTAACTCAGAACAGATCATACACCTAAGTATAAACTGCAAAACTATAAAACTATTTGAAGATAACAGGAGAAAATCTAGATACTCTTGGGTATGGTAATGACTTTCTGGACACAATACCGAAGGCACGATCTATGAAAGAAATAATTGATGAGCTACACTTCCTTACAATAAAAAAATTCTCTTCTATGAAAGACATGATCAAGAGAATGAGAAGACAAACCACAGATGAGAAAAGTATTTGCAAAAGACATATCTAATAAAGAACTTTTAATCCAAAATTTACAAAGAACTTGTAAAACTCAGCAGTATGAAAAAAATAACCTGATTAAAAAATAAAAAGACCTGAACAGATACTTCACCAAAGATGATACACAGATGGCAAATAAATATATAAAAAGATGCATCAAATGTCACTAGGAAATTGCAAATTAAAACAACAATGAAATACCTCTACACACCTGTTAGAATAGCCAAAATTCCAAGCACTAACAATACCAAATACTGGTGAGGATATGAAGCAACAAGAATTTTAATTCATTGCCAATGGGAATGCAAAATGTTACAGCCACTTTGGAAGACAGTTCGGCAATTTCTTATATCCTGTTAACGCAGGATCCAGCAATCATGCTCATATGTATTTACTCAAATAAGTTGAAAATTTTTGTCTACACAAAAATCTGTACATGGATGTTTATGGCAGCTTTATTCATAATTGCCAAAACTTGGAAGCAAACAAGATATCCTTCAGTAGATGAATGTATAAGTAAGCAGTGCAGTGATACATCCAGACAATGGAATATTATTCAGCACTAAAAAGAAATGAGCTATCAAGCCAGGAAAAGACATGGAGGAAATGCCTATTACTAAGTAAAAGAAGCCAATCTAAAAAGGCTATATACTATACAATTCTAACTATATAACATTCTGGAAAAGGCAAATCCATGGAGACAGTAAAAAGATCACTGTTTGTCAGGGATTTGGGAGAAAGGAGGGCTAAGTGGGTGGCACACAGAGGATTCTTGGAGCACTGAAACTATTCTGTATGATACTATAATGGTGGATGCATGTCATTATACATTTGTCCAAAACCATAGAATATACAACACCAACCCTGATGTAAACTGTGGATTTGGGGTGATAATAACGTGTCAAAGTAGGCTCAATTGATTGTAGCACATGTTCCCTCTGTGGTGGTTGTTGATAGTGGAGGAGGCTGTGCATGTGTTGGGGAAGGAGGTAATATGGGAAGTCTCTGTACTTTCTGTTCATTTATGCTGGGAACCTAAAACTACTCTAAAAGTATTGTTTATTTTTTTAAAGGGCCCTTATCCCAGGAAACCTCTCAGTCACAGGCAGACAGTGACAGTTGGTCACCTTATTCCCAAGCTGAGATAAGTTCTGCTTGTGCCTCACTCAGAAATGAGGGCAAAGTGTCTCTGAAAGGATCACATTAGTTAATGGAGAAATGTGGCTTGGTTTCTAGAAGTTGGCTTTCATGAGAAGTCTTCTGAAATGGGCCTACTATATAAAACAAGACATACCTATTTTCAAAATCCTCATAAAGCAAATATTTGAAAGTGGATTTCTCAAATCATGGGTTAAGATGAATTACATCAGTACCTCTGTCCTCAGGCTGTGAGCCATTCTCCCAGGAGACAGCATCTCCTAAAATTAGTCTATTCACCTACACACACAAGGATTTATAGATTATTTTTGTACAAACCTTACTGAACAGAGGGAAAAAGATAGACTCACCTTCTAAAATACATGTTTTAAGACTTTTAGAGAAATCATATTTTATCTGTTAAAAAAATCTATGCACCTGAGGTGCCCCCCAGATCCTTTAAGGACTGTAAAATTTGTAATTATTGTATCAGGAGGTGGTGAAAGGGGGTTGGAGAAAGAGAATAAATACCACAAGGACTCTTGTGCTGTGAAGACTGGTACTGAGGAGTCAAGCAGTCAACAAGCGAGGATCCCCATTCACCTGCACCTTCACATCTGCCTTCTCCTGAGGCTGATGCACCTTGCTGGACCTCTGGAGACACCTTTTAGATAATGAGGTGCCTGCCCTTTCCTGTAGAATTTTCCCTAATCCTTTGTTTCACTCTAGCAGACATTGTAAATGAGTGTTCCTAGAAAATTTAAATTAAGCCCATCCTGCAAACACTGAAAGTGAGGTGAGTAACTGTACTGATGAAAATGGCACTTCTCAAACTTCCACGTGCCTTGAAAACACCTGGGATCTTGTACTGTGCATGTTCTCATGCTGTGGGTTGGGGTGGGGTCTGAGCTTCTGCATTTCTGACAAGCTGCCCCAAGCTCCCAGGTGATGTCAATGCAGGAGTAGCAAGTCCCAGGAGTAGCAAGGACTAAAGTGTCTCACCCCAGATGAGCCTGGGACTCACCCTTCCCAGACAAATTGGATTCCACACAACTTTCCATATAATTGGATTCTTATTCCTTGAGGTTAAGAAACTTTGTCATGAGGCTTTAAGATACCTTCTCTACACTGACAATTCCCAAATTCACATCTCCAGTCTACATGTCTCCTCTCAGTTTTCAGACTTATAAATCCCACTGCCTGCTTAATAGCTCCACTTGAATGCCTAACACACTTCAAACTTAATATATCCAAAACTGAACTCTGGATCTGCTCCACCAAAAATTAATGTAAACAGTGAATCAATCAAAAACCTGCTCCACCACTGGCCTCCCCCAACCCATAGAAGGAATCCCATCCTTCTAACTTCTCATACTGAAACCTTGGGGTTATCCTTGAATCCTGTCTTTCTCTCACACTCCCCATCCAATCTGTCATTAATCTTTTCAGCTCCCCATCATTTCTCCTGCATTCACTCTGGCCTAAGCCATTATCATCTGCTTGGATTTCTGCAGTAGCCTCCTAACCAATCTCCCTACCACTGACCTTGTCCCCAGTCATAGGTTGTATGCCCCCAAAAAGATACATCCACATCCTAACCCCTGTAACCTGCGAATATGACCGTATTTGCAAAAGACCTTTTTGCAGATATAATTGAGAATCTCAAGATGAGATCATCCTGCATTATCTGAGTGGGCTAAATCCAATGACAAGTGTCCCCCTAGGAGTAAAGTAGAGGGAGATTTGAGAGAGAGAAGGGTTCGTGAAGATGGCAGCAGAGATTGGAATTATGCAGCCATAAACCAAGGAATATCTGGAGCCACTACTTGCTGGAAGAGGCAAAGAACAGGTTCTCTCCTAGAGCCTGTGATGGTTACTTTTATGTGGCAACTTGACTGGGCCAAGGGTGCCCAGGTATTTTGTCAACATTACTCTGTGTGTCTGGTGAGAGTGTTCTGGATGAGAATAACACTTAAATCAGTAGAAGAGTAAAGCAGATTTCTCTCCGTAATGTGAGAGGGTCTCCACCAATCAATTGAAGGCCTCAATAGAACAAAAAGGCTGACCCTCCCCCAGTAAGATAACTCCTCCTGCTTGACTGATTGAGCCAAGACACTGGTCTTTTCCTGCTTTTGGACTTGTGCTGGAGATACACATTGGCTCTTCTGGGTCTCCAGCTTGCCAATTGCAGACCTTGGGACCTCTCAGCCTCCAAAATCATGTGAACCATTTCCTTATAACAAATCTCTGCATACGTGTGTGTGCATGTGTGTGTGTGTCTATGTGTGTGTGTACACATACATACACAGAGGATGGCTCGATTTGAGCAGGGTTATAATCCGATAAACCCATTGTACATGGAAAATATTGTAAGTCAAAAATGCATGTAAGACAACTAACCTACTGAACATCATAGATTAGCCTAGCCTACTTTAAACGTCCTCAGAACATTTACATCAGCCTACAGTTTGGCAAAATCAGCTAACACAAAGACTATTTTATAACAAAGTATTGATTATCTCACGTGATTTATTGAAAAGATCAAAATTCAAAGTAGGTTTCTACTGAATGTGTGTCACTTTCACACCATTGTGAAGTCAAAAAATTATTAAGTCAAACCACTGTAAGTCAGGGACCATCTATGTACATATACATATAAACACATACACACACACACACACCCTATTAGTTCTGTTTCTCTGGAGAATCCTGATTAATACAGCCCCAGAGGGAGTACACCTCTTCCAACACCTTGACCAGATCTCCAGCCTCCAAAACTGTGAGAATAAATTTCTGATGTCTTGAACCATCCCGTTTGTGGTCATTTGTTTTGGCAGCTGCAGAAAACGAATACACATCCCTATCGTCTAATCTCAACTAGCAGGCAGAAGATTCTGTTGAATCAAAAGTCAGATCACTCCCTTGCTCATAATGGAAGCTCCTACAGTGGCTTCCCATTTCATTCAGAGTAAAAGTCAAAGTATGTGCGAAGCCCTGAGGAATCTGCTTCCACTCTCCCCCCATTTCCTCTCTGATTTCCTCCCCTCCTGCTTTCCCTCCTGCTCCTCCACTCCAGCCACACTGGCTTCCTTGCTGTCCCTTGAACACACCAGCAATGACCCCATCTCAGTGCCCTGATCTTCTCCCGAGGTCTGGGTGGCCAATTCCTTCACCTCCTTCTAGTCTGGTTAAATTTCACTTTCTCAATGTGGAGGTTAGGATAGACAGTTATAAATGTCTTTTGCAAATAAGGTCATATTCACAGGTTAGAGGGGTTTGGATGTGGATATATCTTTTGAGGGGCATTCAACAGGCCAGAGTGAATGCAGGAGAAATGGTGGGGAGCTGAAAAGATTAGTGACAGATTAGATGGGGAATGTGAGAGAAAGACAGGATTTAAGGATAACTACAAGGTTTTGGTATGAGAAGTTAGAAGGAGGAGATTCCTTCTATGGGTTGGGGGAGGCCAATGGTGGAGCAGGTTTTTTATTGATTCACTGTTTAAGGTCAGGATAGACCTCCTCATTGAGAAAGTGAAATTTAATCAAAGACTAGAAGCAGGTGAAGGAAACCTGATTTTTTTCTAAACTGTAAACCTCAGTTTCCAAATATTCTTATCCTGCTCTACTTTCTATTTTTCCATAGTACTAATCATCTTCCAACATATTAGATAATTTCCATATTTACTATATTTATTATCTGTCTCCACTGGAAGACTATAAGCTCCCAGGTGAAAGGAATTTTTACTCCTTTGTTCGCTAACATATCATAAGTGCCTTAAATAGTGCCTGACACATAGTAGGTATCCAATACACATTGAATGAATGAATGAATGAATGAATGAATGAAGCTTTTTCAAGATCACAGTAAATGTAGAGTTCAAATTCAAACCTAACACTGGCTCTGGGGGCGGTTCCAAGATGGCCAAATAGGAACAGCTCCAGTCTACAGCTCCCAGCATGAGCAACACAGAAGATGGGTGATTTCTGCATTTCCAACTGAGGTACTGGGTTCATCTCACTGGGGCTTGTCGGATAGTCGGTGCAGGACAGTGGATGCAGCGCACCGAGTGTGAGCCGAAGCACAGTGAGGAGCCGCCTCACCCAGGAAGCACAAGTGGTCAGGGAATTCCCTTTCATAGCCAAGCAAAGCTGTGACAGATGGCACCTGGAAAATTGGGTCACTCCCACCCTAATACTGCACTTTTCCAATGGTCTTAGCAAACGGCACACCAGGAGATTATATCCTGCACCTGGCTCAGAGGGTCCCACACCCACGAAGCCTTGCTCATTGCTAGCACAGCAGTCTGAGATCCAACTGCAAAGTGACAGCAAGGCTGGGGGAGGGGCACCCACCATTGCTGAGGCTTGAGTAGGTAAACAAAGCACCAGGAAGCTCAAACTGGGCGGAACCCACCACTGCTCACAGAGGCCTGCCTGCCTCTGTAGACTCCACCTCTGGGGGCAGGGCAGAGCCAAACAAAAGGCAGCAGAAACCTCTGCAGACATAAATGTCCCTGTCTGACAGCTTTGAAGAGAGTAGTGGTTCTCCCAGCATGGAGTCTGAGATCTCAGAACAGACAGACTGCCTCCTCAAGTGGGTCCCTGACCCCCAAGTAGCCTAAATTGGAGGCACACCCCAGTAGGGATAGATGGACACCTCACACGGCCGGGTACCCCTCTGAGAGGAAACCTCCGGAGGAACAATCAGACAGCAACATTTGCTGTTCAGCAATATTCGCTGTTCTGCAGCCTCCGCTGCTGATACCCAGGCAAACAGGGTCTGGACTAGACCTCCAGCAAACTCCAACAGACCTGCAGCTGAGGGTCCTAACTGTTAGGAGGAAAACTAACAAACAGAAAGGACATCCACACCAAAACCCCATCTGTACGTCACCATCATCAAAGACCAAAGATAGATAAAACCACAATGATGGGGAAAAAACAGAACAGAAAAACTGAAAATTCTAAAAATCAGAGTGCCTCTCCCCCTCCAAAGGAACGCAGCTCCTCACCAGCAATGGAACAAAGCTGGATGGAGAATGACTTTGAGAAGACGTCTTCAGAGAAGAAGACTTCAGACAATCAAATTTCTCCGAGCTAAAGGAGGAAGTTCGAACCCATTGAAAAGAAGTTAAAAACCTTGAAAAAAGATTAGACGAATGGCTGATTAGAATAACCAATGCAGAGAAGTCCCTAAAGGACCTGATGGAACTGAAGACCATGGCACAAGAACTACGTGACGAATGCACAAGCCTCAGTAGCCGATTTGATCAGCAGGAAGAAAGGGTATCAGTGATTGAATATCAGATGAAGAAATGAAGTGAGAAGAGAAGTTTAGAGAAAAAAGAATTTAAAAAAATGAACAAAGCCTCCAAGAAATATGGGACTATGTGAAAAGACCAAATCTACATCTGATTGGTGTACCTGAAAGTGATGGGGAGAGTGGAACCAAGTTGGAAAACACTCTGCAGGATATTATCCAGGAGAACTTCCCCAACCTAGCAAGGCAGGCCAACATTCACATTTAGGAAATGCAGAGAACATCACAAAGATACTCCTCAAGAACAGCAACTCCAAGACACATAATTGTCAGATTCACCAAAGTTGAAATGAAGGAAAAAACGTTAAGGGCAGCCAGAGAAAAAGGTCGGGTTACCCACAAAGGGAAGCCCATCAGACTAACAGCTGATCTCTTGGCAGAAACTCTACAAGCCAGAAGAGAGTGGGGGACAATATTCAACGTCCTTAAAGAAAAGAATTTTCTTTTTTTTTTAATTATTATTATTATTTTTTTTTTTTTATTGATCATTCTTGGGTGTTTCTCGCAGAGGGGGATTTGGCAGGGTCACAGGACAATAGTGGAGGGAAGGTCAGCAGATAAACAAGTGAACAAAGGTCTCTGGTTTTCCTAGGCAGAGGACCCTGCGGCCTTCCGCAGTGTTTGTGTCCCTGGGTACTTGAGATTAGGGAGTGGTGATGACTCTTAAGGAGCATGCTGCCTTCAAGCATCTGTTTAACAAAGCACATCTTGCAGCGCCCTTAATCCATTCAACCCTGAGTGGATACAGCACATGTTTCAGAGAGCACAGGGTTGGGGGTAAGGTCACCGATCAACAGGATCCCAAGGCAGAAGAATTTTTCTTAGTACAGAACAAAATGAAAAGTCTCCCATGTCTACCTCTTTCTACACAGACATGGCAACCATCCGATTTCTCAATCTTTTCCCCACCTTTCCCCCCTTTCTATTCCACAAAACCACCCTTGTCATCATGGCCTGTTCTCAATGAGCTGTTGGGTACACCTCCCAGACGGGGTTGTGGCCAGGCAGAGGGGCTCCTCACTTCCCAGTAGGCGCGGCCGGGCAGAGGCGCCCCTCACCTCCCAGACGGGGCGGCTGGCCGGACGGGGGGCTGACCCCCCCCACCTCCCTCCTGGATGGGGCGGCTGGCCGGGCAGAGGGGCTCCTCACTTCCCGGTAGGGGCGGCCGGGCAGAGGCGCCCCTCACTTCCCGGACGGGGTGGCTGGCCGGGCGGGGGGCTGACCCCGCCACCTCCCTCCCAGACGGGGCGGCTGGCTGGGCAGAGGGGCTCCTCACTTCCCAGTAGGGGCGGCCGGGCAGAGGCGCCCCTCACCTCCCGGACAGGGCGGCTGGCTGGGCGGGGGGCTGACCCCCCCACCTCCCTCCCTCCCGGACGGGGCGGCTGGCCGGGTGGGGGGCTGACCCCCCACCTCCCACCTGGACGGGGCGGCTGGCCGGGCAGAGGGGCTCCTCACTTCCCAGTAGGGGCGGCCGGGCAGAGGCGCCCCTCACCTCCCGGACGGGGCGGCTGGCCAGGCGGGGGGCTGACCCCCCCACCTCCCTCCCAGACGGGGCGGCTGGCTGGGCGGGGAGCTGACGCCCCCACCTCCCTCCCAGACGGGGCGGCTGGCCGGGCGGGGGGCTGACCCCCCCACCTCCCTCCCGGACGGAGCGGCTGGCCGGGCAGAGGGGCTCCTCAGTTCCCAGTAGGGGCGGCCGGGCAGAGGCGCCCCTCACCTGCCGGACAGGGCGGCTGGCCGGGCGGGGGGCTGATCCCCCCACCTCCCTCCTGGACAGGGCGGCTGGCCGGGCGGGGGGCTGACCCCCCCACCTCCCTCCCGGACGAGGTGGCTGCCGGGCGGAGACGCTCCTCACTTCTCAGACGGGGTGGCTGCTGGGCGGAGGGGCTCTTCACTTCTCAGACGGGGCGGCTGCCAGGCAGAGGGTCTCCTCACTTCTCAGACGGGGGCGTCTGGGCAGAGACGCTCCTCACATCCCAGATGTGATGGCGGCCGGGAAGAGGCGCTCCTCACTTCCTAGATGGGATGGCGGCCGGGCAGAGACGCTCCTCACTTTCCAGACTGGGCAGCCAGGCAGAGGGGCTCCTCACATCCCAGACGATGGGCAGCCAGGCGGAGACGCTCCTCACTTCCCAGACGGGGTAGCAGCCGGGCAGAGGCTGCAATCTCGGCACTTTGGGAGGCCAAGGCAGGCTGCTGGGAGGTGGAGGTTGTAGCGAGCCGAGATCACGCCACTGCACTCCAGCCTGGGCGCCATTGAGCACTGAGTGAACGAGACTCCGTCTGCAATCCCGGCACCTCGGAAGGCCGAGGCTGGCGGATCACTCGCGGTTAGGAGCTGGAGACCAGCCCGGCCAACACAGTGAATCCCCGTCTCCACCAAAAAAATACGAAAACCAGTCAGGCGTGGCGGCGCACGCCTGCAATCACAGGCACTCGGCAAGCTGAGGCAGGAGAATGAGGCAGGGAGGTTGCAGTGAGCCGAGATGGCAGCAGTACCGTCCAGTTTCGGCTCGGCATCAGAGGGAGACTGTGGAAAGAGAGGGAGAGGGAGACCGTGGGGAGACGGAGAGGGAGAGGGAGAGGGAGAGGGAGAGCAAGAAAAGAATTTTCAACCCAGAGTTTCATATCCAGCCAAACTAAGCTTCATCAGTGAAGGAGAAATAAAATCCTTTACAGACAAGCAAATGCTGAGAGATTTTGTCACCACCATGCCTGCCCTACAAGGGCTCCTGAAGGAAGCACTAAACATGGAAAGGAAAAACCAGTATCAGCCACTGCAAAAACATGCCAAATTGTAAAGACCATCGATGCTAGGAAGAAACCACATTGACTAATGAGCAAAATAACCAGCTAACATCATAATGACAGGATCAAATTCACACATAACAATATTAACCTTAAATGTAAATGGGCTAAATGCTCCAATTAAAAGACACAGACTGGCAAATTGGATAAAGAGTCAAGACCCATCAGTGTGCTGTATTCAGGAAACCCATCTCACGTGCAGAGACACACATAGGGTCAAAATAAAGGGACGGAAGAAGATCTACCAAGCAAATGGAAAACAAAAAAAGGCAGGGGTTGAAATCCTAGTCTCTGATAAAACAGACTTTAAACCAACAAAGATCAAAAGAGACAAAGAAGGCCATTACATAATGGTAAAGGGATCAATTCAACAAGAAATGCTAACTATCCTAAATATATATGCACCCAATACAGGAGCACCCAGATTCATAAAGCAAGTCCTTAGAGACCTACAAAGAGACTTAGACTCCCACACATTAATAATGGGAGACTTTAACACCTCACTGTCAACATTAGACAGATCAACAAGACAGAAAGTTAACAAGGATATCCAGGAATTGAACTCAGCTCTGCACCAAGTGGACCTAATAGACAGCTACAGAACTCTCCACTCCAAATCAACAGAATATACATTCTTCTCAACACCACATCACACTTATTCCAAAATTGACCACATAGTTGGAAGTAAAGCACTCCTCAGCAAATGTAAAAGAACAGAAATTATAACAAACTGTCTCTCAGACCACAGTGTAATCAAACTAGAACTCAGGATT
This sequence comes from Homo sapiens, assembly GCF_000001405.40. Taxonomy (NCBI): domain Eukaryota; kingdom Metazoa; phylum Chordata; class Mammalia; order Primates; family Hominidae; genus Homo; species Homo sapiens. The sequence goes on from NC_000005.10 coordinate 137,540,115, forward strand.
AAGAAACTCACTCAAAACCACTCGACTACATGGAAACTGAACAACCTGCTCCTGAATGACTACTGGGTACATAACGAAATGAAGGCAGAAATAAAGATGTTCTTTGAAACCAATGAGAACAAAGACACAACATACCAGAATCTCTGGCACACATTTAAAGCCGTGTGTAGAGGGAAATTTATAGCACTAAATGCCCACAAGAGAAAGCAGGAAAGATCTAAAATTGACACCCTAACATCACAATTAAAAGAACTAGAGAAACAAGAGCAAACACATTCAAAAGCTAGCAGAAGGCAAGAAATAACTAAGATCAGAGCAGAACTGAAGGAGATAGAGACACAAAAAACCCTTCAAAAAATCAATGAATCCAGGAGCTGGTTTTTTGAAAAGATCAACAAAATTGATAGACTGCTAGCAAGAATAATAAAGAAGAAAAGAGAGAAGAATCAAATAGACACAATAAAAAATGATAAAGGGGATATCACCACCAATCCCACAGAAATACAAACTACCATCAGAGGATACTATAAACACCTCTACACAAATAAATCAGAAAATCTAGAAGAAATGGATAAATTCCTGGACACATACACCCTCCCAAGACTAAACCAGGAAGAAGTTGAATCTCTGAATAGACCAATAACAGGCTCTGAAATTGAGGCAATAACTAATAGCTTACCAACCAAAAAAAGTCCAGGACCAGACAGATTCACAGCCGAATTCTACCAGAGGTACAAGGAGGAGCTGGTACCATTCCTTCCGAAACTATTCCAAACAATAGAAAAAGAGGGAATCCTCCCGAACTCATTTTATGAGGCCAGCATCATCCTGATACCAAAGTCTGGCAGAGACACAACAATAAAAGAGAATTTTAGACCAATATCCTTGATGAACATTGATGCAAAAATCCTCAATAAAATACCGGCAACCTGAATCCAGCAGCACATCAAAAAGCTTATCCACCATGATCAAGTGGGCTTCATCCCTGGAATGCAACGCTGGTTCAACATATGCAAATCAATAAACATAATCCAGCATATAAACAGAACCAAAGACAAAAACCACATGATTATCTCAAAAGATGCAGAAAAGGCCTTTGATAAAATTCAACAGCCCTTCATGCTAAAAACTCTCAATAAATTTGGTATTGATGGGACATATCTCAAAATAATAAGAGCTATTTATGACAAACCCACAGCCAGTATCATACTGAATGGGCAAAAACTGGAAGCATTCCCTTTGAAAACTGGCACAAGACAAGGATGCCCTCTCTACTCAACATAGTGTTGGAAGTTCTGGCCAGGGCAATCAGGCAGGAGAAAGAAATAAAGGGTATTCAATTAGAAAAAGAGGAAGTCAAATTGTCCCTGTTTGTAGATGACATGTTTGTATATCTAGAAAACCCCATCGTCTCAGCCCAAAATCTCCTTGAGCCAATAAGCAACTTCAGCAAAGTCTCAGGATACAAAATCAATGTGCAAAAATCACAAGCATTCTCATACACCAATAACAGACAAACAAAGAGCCAAATCATGAGTGAATTCCCATTCACAATTGCTTCAAAGAGAATAAAATACCTAGGAATCCAACTTACAAGGGACGTGAAGGACCTTTTCAAGGAGAACTACAAACCACTGCGCAACAAAATAAAAGAGGACACAAACAAATGGAAGAACATTCCATGCTCATGGATAGGAAGAATCAATATCATGAAAATGGCCATACTGCCCAAGGTAATTTATAGATTCAATGCCATCCCCATCAAGCTACCAATGACTTTCTTCACAGAATTGGAAAAAACTACTTTAAAGTTCATATGGAACCAAAAAAGAGCCTGCATTGCCCAGTCAATCCTAAGCCAAAAGAACAAAGCTAGAGGCATCACGCTACCTGACTTCAAACTATACTACAAGGCTACAGTAATCAAAACAGCATGGTACTGGTACCAAAACAGAGATATAGGCCAATGGAACAGAACAGAGCCCTCAGAAATAATACCACACATCTACAACTATCTGATCTTTCACAAACCTGACAAAAACAAGCAATGGGGAAAGGATTCCCTATTTAATAAATGGTGCTGGGATATTGGCTAGCCATATGTAGAAAGCTGAAACTGAATCCCTTCCTTACACCTTATACAAAAATTAATTCAGGATGAATTAAAGACTTAAATGTTAGACCTAAAACTATAAAAACACTAGAAGAAAACCTAGGCAATACCATTCAGGACATAGGCATGGGCAAGGACTTCATGTCTAAAACACTAAAAGCAATGGCAACAAAAGCCAAAATTGACAAATGGGATCTGATTAAACTAAAGAGCTTCTGCACAGCAAAAGAAACTACCATCAGAGTGAACAGGCAACCTACAGAATGGGAGAAAATTTTTGCAATCTACTCATCTGACAAAGGACTAATATCCAGAATCTACAAAGAACTCAAATAAATTTACAAGAAAACAAAAAAAAAATCAAAAAGTGGGTGAAGGATATGAACAGACACTTCTCTAAAGAAGATATTTATGCAGCTAACAGACACATGGAAAAATGCTCATCATCACTGGCCATCAGAGAAATGCAAATCAAAACCACAATGAGATATCAACTCACACCAGTTAGAATGGCAATCATTAAAAAGTCAGGAAACAACAGGTGCTGGAGAGGATGTGGAGAAATAGGAACACTTTTACACTGTTAGTGGGACTGTAAACTAGTTCAACCATTGTGGAAGACAGTGTAGCGATTCCTCAGGGATCTAGAACTAGAAATACCATTTGACCCAGCCATCCCATTACTGGGTATATACCTAAAGGATTATAAATCATGCTGCTATAAAGACACATGCACACGTATGTTTATTGCGGCATTACTCACAATAGCAAAGACTTGGAACCAACCCAAATGTCCATCAATGATAGACTGGATTAAGAAAATGTGGCACATGTACACAATGGAATACTATGCAGCCATAAAAAAGGATGAGTTCATGTCCTTTGTAGGGACATGGATGAAGCTGGAAACTGTCATTCTCAGCAAACTATCACAAGAACAGCAAACCAAACACCGTATGTTCTCACTCATAGGTGGGAACTGAACAATGAGAACACTTGGACACAGGAAGGGGAACATCACACACCGGGGCCTGTCATAGGGTGGGGGGAGTGGGGAGGGATAGCATTAGGAGATATACCTAATGTAAATGATGAGTTAATGGGTGCAGCACACCAACATGGCACATGTATACATATGTAACAAAACTGCACGTTGTGCACATGTACCCTAGAACTTAAATTATAATAAAAAATGTATATATATAAAAAGACTGGCTCTAAGACCTATACTATTTCTAATCCATACCACCTCACTAGATTGTTGTTACAATACTGCCCCTGAAATGCCTGCCTATGGGCATCTTTGTACGTGAAACACTAAGAGGGGACCCTCTTCGAATTCTCTTGTAAACACACTTGAAGAGAGTGCAGGGCAGACTTACCTTAGCCATGGCAGGAGTTACAAATCAGAGTACGATGTTAGCTGTGTGTGTAAGGAGAGGAGGGTAGGGAAGAATAGAGGTGATCATATTTCTTAATCAGAAAATAAACCAAAAGTAACTTAAGTAACTCCACAAGGCAATAAATCAGAAATGCCCAAAATTAGAGAACAGTCAAATGCCACTAAGACAAACACCCACTAATGCTAGAATTGCCTCTAACTCAATCCCACCAAGAAGGTAGCTCAACTCTTACCTTCAATTAATACCTGAAATTTAACTTTTCTTCCTTTTATTGAGTAAAATATACCTTCTTAAAGTATTCACCATCAACTCCTCCAAATCAGACCTTATTCCCATACATTAGACCTGGAGTCAGCACACTTTTCTTTGGAAAGAATCAGAGAGTAAATATTTTAGGTTTTATGGACCATATATTCTCTTTGGCAACTCTAGTATTGCAGCATGAAAGTAGCCACAAGCAATATATAAAATAGCATGGCTGTGCTCCAATAAAACCCTATTTACAAAAGCAGGCAGCAGACCATAGCTTGATGACCCCTGCATTAGACCACCCAGAACAAATCAAATCCCTCTTTCATAGGTCAGTCCTGCAGATACTTTACAATAAACTCAATAGCCCTCAATTATCTGGGTCAAATAAGCTCAATGCCTTCCCCTCTCATTGGTAGGGTCTCCAGTTCCTCCAAGGGCCTGGACCCTCCTCCAACACACTCCAATTTTCTGTGCAGTTCTCACTGGAGGTTCCTGACCTGAGTAGGATGCTCCAGCATGTCCAGGCCACAATAGAAGGGGGCTCTCAGCTCTTCCACTCCAGCCAGACATCTAATGAAGTAGCCAAAGATCACTTTACTTCCCTGCATCCCACATCCCACATCCCACTGTTGACTCAGAATGTACTCACAATCAGCTATAACCCCAAATCACATCCACACAGGCTAAGTCCTTCCTCCCCCACTCCATGTTGGTGCCCTTGTTAGTTTAGGCCTTACCTTTTCCCCCTTAGCTTTTGCCTTGTTGAATTCCAGGCTTCAGCTCTGTCCAGTCAAGATCTCTTTGATCCCTGAACCTGTCATTCAACATACTGGCCATCTCTCCCATCTCTGTTGCTGAGAAGACACTCTCCATCTTCATTCAAGCCTTTGATGAGAAAACTCTAGGAGGACGTGGCCACTCTCTCCCATAGTCCCTGGCACTTCCACTCTCCTGTGTATCCCCTCTGTGATTCAGTGACACCTAGAGCCATGGCTCCCCTGGCTGCTTTCTCTCTCCTTCAGATGCTGCATCACAGGGGTATAAACACCAGACAGGATAGAATGGAATTGTGTAGAACATGTGCCTGTGTGTGTGGCATTCAGAGGAGAGAGGGAAAAAGGGAGAGGGGCCTCTACTGGATTCTGTGGCAAAAGATATGGTCATTAAACTCCAGCACATTTGAAATCCAAAGATCTACCTGTACCCACTTGCTTGGAAAACAACATGATTGCAGTAATTTCACGTGATTATCTCTGATGTGTTATGGAGATGTGTGATATCTCGGATGTGGAGAAAGTCATAACAGTGGCCTTTCTCTCACTACCACTAAGTCATTGAAAATGGAAGTTTTCCCCATTTTCTAGACTGGCTGGACTTTTATGAGATTGGGAATTAGTGTTTTTTCTTATTTTTTAAGTATTTTTAAGTGAAAAACACTTTTTCAATAGCTGCCAATCATTGGCTTCTTTGTTTTTAGGTTTTGAATATTTAAGTCCCAGGAGAAAAGCAATTCAGAAGAAAAGCTAGTCTCTCCCTTGTCAATATTAATCCCAGGTTTCAGGCTGCAAGAGAACCAGACTTTCAAAATCAGGGAGAACATGACACTTGGATTTCAGTCAGGTGTTTCTGGGCAAAGGCAGGACTATGACGGCCTCTATCACTAAAACCCCAAAGTCTCTCAACCTCTAGTTTCCCCAAAGCCTGCTTGGTGTCCTGAAGCTTGTTTATTCCCTCCAGCATCCACCACCTACCCTGATTCTCTGCATTTCCTTCAGCATTGATGTCCTCTACCTGCTCTGATTTCCTGTTTGAATGTAGAATTGAAGAATTCTTTATTGTAGCCCTAAGAAGTGAGGTTTAAAATTCATTAGCCCTGAGCCAAGACGGGTGGTGGCCTTTATTTCTACGTGAATAGACAGAGACAAGCTTAGAGTGTGCGTATGTGCAAGTGTGTGTGTGCTTCCAGCCAGTTACCCAAATAGAATTTGGTATTCATGAGTTTTATATTTGTCTGTTTAAGGATGCTCAGACATAAATGGATCTTTAATTACACAGGTCTAAATATAACCCCATCTCCTTGCACATGAATCCCACCTTTCACCAAATTTGCTGCTACTAACGTTAGCTTTTCCTGAACTTTCAGAGAAAAGCCTAGGGTGAGTCAAGAAGAAACTCTTGTGTGCAAAGGAAAGACCTCTCCCCAGCAGGGAACCCTCCCCCACTTTTCTGTGAGTTTTCCCCTTTCTAAGAAAAGTGGAGTGAGAGGAGCCAGCGACCGCCTAATTATGGCCCACCCATCTGCTATTTGTGAATGTCAGTGTTTTTCAGGCTGAGTAGCTTCGCCTTAAAGGAGGGGTTGTCAGTAAGTGCAGAAAGGCTCCCCTCTGCTGCCTTGCATAGAAAGCATCAAACCCAGATTTGAGGTGGGTGTCTCTGGGCAAAGGCAGAACCATCAGGGCTCCTGTCACTCAGGCCCCAGGAAAGTCTCTCGGCCTCTGGTTTCCCAACAGCCTGCTTGCTGTGCTGAAGCTTGTTTATTTCCTTCAGCATTGATATCCACCAGCTACTCTGATTCCCTGTTTGAATGTAGAGTTGATTCTGGGCTAATGGAAAGCAGGGGAATCTGGCTACAAATGCCCATTAGATTTGTCACTGAGCTTCTTCTGGAGACACCCCCAAGGCTTTTCTTCCTCTTCCTCTGCTCCCTGAGAACATGTGAGCACAAAACTGATCCCAGGTTCTATCCACACCTTTGTATACTTTCAGCCTAGGCCTTTGAACCCTCTCTTTGCAAGCCTGGCTTCCTTTTCTTTCTTTCCTCCTTCAAATCAGCTCAGATCACCCAAGAAAGTGAGACATGATTCCAATTTGTCTCCTTGAGCTTCAAACCTGAGACTTGTTCATTCCTAGAATTGAACACCCTAATAGCTTGAGTGCCATCACAAGCACTCCACACTGCAGCAGAGGCAATCTGTGCTTCAAAAGTAATAGAGAGTAAATTGCAGAAGAAATATTTTATGCAAATTAACCAAACTTAACATTTTGATAAAGGGCTTTTTTTTTTAAATGAACCAAGGAATCCAATACTCCACTGCAAGTTTAACAAAAAGAAAATTTCAAACGCCTGAATTTTTAAAGTATGTGACAGCAAGAGAGATTTCGCCTGGTATGTAACACCAGGAGACATTAACCACCTATAAGATGGAACACAGGAGCCTAAGTGCCTAAAACTATTAGTTCAAAACAACATTTATGTGAACTTATGGATTAAGGTGTTTCAATAATTTAAATAACTCTCTCTCTCCTTTTCAGTGGACTCATCACTAAGCCAAAACATATTTGCTGTGAGATCAATGCTCAATTTGCATGTGAGCTTGGAACCTGCTATCAAATAGAAGAAGGAAGGAGAGAAGAACAAAGATTTGTTGAGCATGAACTATAGCCAGGCCCTGTGCTGGGCAGTTCACATGTTATCTCATTTAAGCAGGCATGCTTCCAGTCCCCTGAGAGAAAATGGCAAAGGAACAAGGAAAAAGCCATATGCTGATTATTCCGGGTAAAGACATTCCCATTTGGAAAGAAAATGAGAAGAGTATAATTAATATCTTTTTCACCCACTCTCAGGACTCTTCAATAAGATGCTCCTTCATAACTGAAAAAGGTAGGTTGGAGACAAAAGTTTTTTAAAGCCTGCTAATACTCCGACTTACACCATATTCAGGCTTCCTGGAAGCCCCAAACCCACATCCCCACAATTCGCAGCTGAAAGTAGTCTAAAGGAAGGGACAGCTTTCAGAAAAGGGAAAATATCTGAGTCTCAGCTCTACCTTGAAAGGTGTGGTTCCCATTGTGGGTTCCCAAACCTGAAAGGCCTTGAAATTATTACAGGGGATCAAGCATCCTCAAGCACACCAAATTTGTAGACAGAATATGTATTTCACACATAGGTACCCCATTTCCCAAAATGTGTATAAGTGCTGTGGTGATTATTACAATGCAAATTCATTTTTTAAATTTTTTTATTTCAATAGATTTTTGGGAAACGGGTAAGTTCTTTAGTGGTGATTTCTGAGATTTTGATGCACCTATCACTACACTGTACTCAGTGTGTCTTCTTTTATCCCTCATCCCACTCCCGCCCTTCCCCATAAGACCCCAAAGTCCACTGTATCCTTCTTATGCCTTTGCATCCTCATAGCTTAGCTCCCACTTATAAGTGAAAACATAGGAAATTTGGTTTCCCATTCCTGAGTTACTTCACTTAGAATAATGGTCTCCAACCTAAGAAAAGACTTAGACTGCCACACAATAATAGTGGGAGACTTTAACACCCCACTGTCAATATTAGACAGATCAATGAGACAGAAAACTAACAAGGATATTCAGGACTTGAACTCAGCTCTGGACCAAGCAGACCTAATAGACATCTACAGAACTCTCCACTCCAAATCAACAGAATATACATTCTTGTCAGCAACACATCACACTTATTCTAAAATTGACCACATAATTGGAAGTAAAACACTCCTCAGCAAATGCAAAATAATAGAAATCATACCAAACAGTCTCTCAGACCACAGTGCAATCAAACTAGAACTCAGGATTAAGGAACTCACTCAAAACTGCACAACTACATGGAAACTGAACAACCTGCTCCTGAATGACTACTGAGTAAATAATGAAATTAAGGCAGGAATAAATAAGTTCTTTGAAACCAATGAGAAGAAACACAACATACCAGAATCTCTGGGACACAGCTAAAGCAGTGTTTAGAGGGAAATTTATAGCACTAAATGCCCACAGGAGAAAGCGGGAAAGATATAAAATCGACACCCTAACATCACAATTAAAAGAACTAGAGAAGCAAGAGCAAACAAATTCAAAACTTAGCAAAAGACAAGAAATAAATAAAATCAGAGCAGAACTGAAGGAGATGGAGACACGAAATACCCTTCAAAAAATCAATGAATCCAGGAGATGGTTTTTGGAAAAGATTAACAAAATAGATAGACCACTAGCCAGATTAATAAAGAAGAAATGAGAGAAGAATCAAATAGACACAATACAAAATGATAAAGGGGATATCACCTCTGATCCCACAGAAATACAAACTACTATCAGAGAATACTATAAACACATCTATGCAAATAAACTAGAAAATCTAGAAGAAATGGATAAATTCCTGGACACCTACACCCTCCCAAGACTAAACCAGAAAGAAGTCGAATCCCTGAATAGACGAATAACAAGTTCTGAAAATGAGGCAGTAATTAATAGCCTACCAACCAAAAAAAGCCCAGCACCAGATGGATTCACAGGCGAATTCTACCAGAGGTACAAAGAGGAGCTGGTACCATTCCTTCTGAAACTATTCCAAACAATAGAAAAAGAGGGAATCCTATTTAATAAATGGTGCTGGAAAACTGGCTAGCCATATGTAGAAAGCTGAAACTGGATCCCTTCCTTACACCTTATACAAAAATTAATTCAAGATGGATTAAAGACTTAAATGTCAGACCTAAAACCACAAAAATGCTAGAAGAAAACCTAGGCAATACCATTCAGGACATAGGCATGGGCAAGGACTTCATGTCTACAACACCAAAAGCAATGGCAACAAAAGCCAAAATTGACAAATGGGATCTAATTAAACTAAAGAGCTCTGCACAGTAGAAGAAACTACCATCAGAGTGAACAGGCAACCTACAGAATGGGAGAAAATTTTTGCAATCTACTCATCTGACAAAGGGCTAATATCCAGAATCTACAAAGAACTTAAACAAATTTACAAGAAAAAATCAAACAACCCCATCAAAAAGTGGGCGAAGGATATGAACAGACACTTCTCAAAAGAAGACATTTATGCAGCCAACAGACACAAGAAAAAATGCTCATCATCACAGGCCATCAGAGAAATGCAAATCAAAACCACAATGAGATACCATTTCACACCAGTTAGAATGGCAATCATTAAAAAGTCAGGAAACAACAGGTGCTGGAGAGGATGTGGAGAAATAGGAACACTTTTACACTGTTGGTGGGACTGTAAACTAGTTCAACCATTGTGGAAGACAGTGTGACGATTCCTCAGGGATCTAGAACTAGAAATACCATTTGACCGAGCCATCCCATTACTGGGGTATATACCCAAAGGATTATAAAGCATGCTGCTATAAAGACACATGCACACATATGTTTATTGCAGCACTATTCACAATAGCAAAGACTTGGAACCAACCCAAATGTCCATCAATGATAGACTGGATTAAGAAAATGTGGCACATATACACCATGGAATACTATGCAGCCATAAAAAAGGATGAGTTCATGTCCTTTGTAGGGACATGGATGAAGCTGGAAACCATCATTCTCAGCAAACTATCGCAAGGACAGAAAACCAAATACTGCATGTTCTCACTCACAGGCAGGAATTGAACAATGAGAACACTTGGACACAGGGTGGGGAACACTACACACGGGGGCCTGTTGTGGGGTGGGGGAAGGAGGAGGGATAGCATTAGGAGATATACGTAATGTAAATGATGAGTTAATGGGTGCAGCACACCAACATGGAACATGTATACATATGTAACAAACCTGCACATTGTGCACATGCACCCTAGAACTTAAAGTATAACCAAAAAAAAAAAAGAAAGAAAAGAAAAGAAAAAGAGGGAATCCTCCCTAACTCATTTTATGAAGCCAGCATCATCCTGATACCAAAACCTGGCAGAGACACAACAAAAAAAAGAAAATTTCAGGCCAATATCCCTGATGAACATCAATGTGAAAATCCTCAGGAAAATACTGGTAAACCAAATCCAGCAGGACCAATGACAAAAACTACATGATTACATGATTATCTCAATAGATGCAGAAAAGGCCTTCGATAAAATTCAACACCCCTTCATGCTAAAAACTCAATAAACCAGGTATTAATGGGACATATCTCAAAATAATAAGAGCTATTTATGACAAACCCACAACCAATATCATACTGAATGGACAAAACCTGGAACCACTCCCTTTGAAAACCAGCACAAGACAAGAATGCCCTCTCTCACCATTCTTATTCAACATAGTGTTGGAAGTTCTGGCCAGGGCAATCAGGCAAGAGAAGGAAATAAAGGGTATTCACATAGGAAGAGAGGAAGTCAAATTGTCTCTGTCTGCAGATGACATGATTGTATATTTAGAAAACCCCATTGTCTCAGCCCAAAATCTCCTTAAGCTGATAAGCAACTTCAGCAAAGTTTCAGGATACAAAATTAATATGCAGAAAGCACAGTCATTCCTATACACCAATAATAGGCAAACAGAGAGCTAAATCATGAGTGAATGCCCATCCACAATTGCTACAAAGTGAATAAAATACCTAGGAATACAACTTACAAGGGATATGAAGGACCTCTTCAAGGAGCACTACAAACCACTGCTCAAGGAAATAAGAGAGGACATAAACAAATGGGAAAACATTCCATGCTCATGGATAGGAAGAATCAATATTGTGAAAATGGCCATACTGCCCAAAGTAATTTATGGATTCAATGCTATCCCCATCAAGCTACCATTGACTTTCTTCACAGAATTGGAAAAAACTACTTTAAATTTCATATGGAACAAAAAAAGAGCCCGTATAGCCAAGACAATTCTAAGCAAAAAGAACAAAGCTGGAAGCATCATGCTACCTGACTTCAAACTATACTACAAGGCTACAGCAACCAAAACAGCATGGTACTGGTACCAAAACAGATACATAGACCAATGGAACAGAACAGAAGCCTCAGATATAACACCACACATCTACAACTATCTGACCTTTAGCAAACCTGACAAAAACAAGCAATGAGGAAAGGATTCCCTATTTAATAAATGGTGTTGGGAAAACTGGCTAGCCATAGGCAGAAAACTGAAACTGGACCCCTTCCTTACACCTTATACAAAAATTAACTCAAGATGGATTAAAAACTTAAACATGAGACCTAAAACTATAAAAATCCTAGAAGAAAACCTAGGCAATGCCATTCAGGACATAGGCATAGGCAAAGACTTCATGACTAAAACACCAAAAGCAATGGCAACAAAAGCCAAAATTGACAATGGGATCTAATTAAACTAAAGAGCTTCTGCACAGCAAAAGAAACTATCATCAGAGTGAACAGGCAACCTACAGAATGGGAGAAAATTTTTGCAATCTACCCATCTGACAAAGAGCTAATATCCAGAATCTACAAGGAACTTAAACAAATTTACAAGGAAAAAACAACCCCATCAAAAAGTGGGCAAAGGATATGAACAGACACTTCTCAAAGGAAGACATTTTTGTGGTCAACAAACATCTGAAAAACAAAGCTCATCATCACTGGTCATTAGAGAAATGCAAATCAAAACCACAATGAGGTACCAGCTCATGCCAGTTAAAATGGCGATCATTAAAAAAGTCAGGAAACAACAGATGCTGGAGAGGACGTGGAGAAATAGGAACACTTTTACACTGTTGGTGGGATTGTAAATTAGTTCAACCATCGTGGAAGACAGTGTAGCGATTCCTTAAGGATCTAGAACCAGAAATGCCTTTTGACCCAGCAACCCCATTACTGGGTATATACCCAAAGGATTATAAATCATTCTACTATAAAGACACATGCACACTTACGTTTATTGCAGCACTATTCATAATAGCAAAGACTTGGAACTAACCCAAATGGCCATCAATGATAGACTGGATAAAGAAAATGTGGCACATATACATTATACACCACAGAATACTATGCAGCCATAAAAAGGATGAGTTAATGTCCTTTGCAGGGAGATGGATGAAGCTGGAAACCATCATTCTTAGCAAACTAATACAGGAACAGAAAACCAAATACTGCATGTTCTCACTCAAAAGTGGGGATTGAACAATGAGAACACATGGACACAGGGAGGGGAACATCACACACTGGGGCCTGTCAGGGGGTGGGGGCTAGGGGAGAGATAGCACTGGGAGAAATACCTAATGTAGGTGACAGGTTGATGGGTACAGCAAACCACCATGGCACGCGTATACCTATTTAACAAACCTGCACGTTCTGCACATGTATCCCAGAACTTAAAGTATAATTTAAAAAAAAGAAAGAAAAGAATAATGGTCTCCAACTCCATCCAGATTGTTGCAAATGCAGCAACAATTATTTTATTCCTTTTTATGGCTGAGTAGTATTCCACGATATGTATATACCACGTTTCCTGTATCCACTCATTGATTGATGGGCATTTGGGCTGGTTCCATATTTTTGCAACTGTGAATTGTGCTGCTATAAACATGAGTGTGCAAATGTCTTTTTCATATAATGACTTCTTTTTCTCTGGGTAGATGACCAGTAGTGGGATTGCTGGATAAAATGGTAAATCTATTTTTAGTTCCTTAAAAAATCTCCATACTGTTTTCCATAGTGGTTGTACTAGTTTATATTCCCACCAGCAGTGTAAAAGTGTTCCCTTTTTACCACATCCACACCAGCATGTATTTTTTTTATTTTTTTAATTATGGCCATTCTTGCAGGAGTGAGGTGGCATTGCATTGTGGTTTTGATTTGTATTTCCCTGATCATTAGTGATGTTGAGAATTTTTTCATATGTTTGCTGGCCATCTGTATATCTTGAGAATCATCTGTTCATGTCCTTAGTCCACTTTTGATTACATTATTTGCTTGTTTATTGCTGATTTCTTTGAGTTCCTTGTAGATTCTGGATATCACTCCTTTGTTAGATGCATAGTTTGTGAAGATTTTCTTCTACTCTGTGAGTTGTCTGTTTACTCTGCTGATTATTTCTTTTGCTGTGCAGAAGCTTTTTAGTTTAATTAAGTCTCACTTATTTATCTTTGTTTTTGTTGCATTTGCTTTTGGGTTCTTGGTCATGAAGCAGTTGACAAAATTCAGCATCCCTTTATGATTAAGACCCTCAGCAAAAATCTGCATAGAAGGGACATACCTTAAGATAATAAAAGCCATCTATGACAAACTCACAGCTAACATTACATTGAACCAGGAAAACTTGAAAGCACTCTCCTTGAGAATGGGAACAAGACAAGGATGCCCATTTTCACCACTTCTATTCAACATAGTACTGAAAGTCCTAGACAGAGCAATCAGACAAGAGAAAGAAATACAGAGCATCCAAATCAGTAAAGAGGAAGTCAAACTGTTGCTGTTTGCTGATGATGTGATTGTATACCTAGAAAGCCCTAAAGACTCCTCCAGAAAGCTCCTAGATCTGATGAATGAATTCAGTAAAGTTTCAGGATACAAAATCAATGTACACAGATCAGTAGCACTCCTATACACCAACAGCAACCAAGCTGAGAATCAAATCAAGAACCCAACCGCTTTTACAATAGTTGCAAAAAAATAAAATACTTAGGAATATACCTAACCAAAGAGGTGAAAGACTTCTAAAGGAAAACTATGAAATACCACTGAAAGAAATCATAAGTGACACAAACAAATGGAAACACATCCCATGCTCAGGGATGGGTAGAATTAATATTATGAAAATGACCATACTGCCAAAAGCAATCTACATTCAATGCAATTCCCGTCAAAATACCATTATCATTCTTCACAGAACTAGAAAAAACAATCCTAAAATTCATATGGAACCAAAAAAGAGCCTGTATAGCCAAAGAAAGACTAAGCAAAAAGAACAAATCTGGAGTCATCACACTACCCGACTTCAAACTATCCTATAAGGCCATAGTCACCAAAACAGCATAGTACTGGTATAAAAATAGGCACACAGACCAATATGTACCCAGAAATAAATAGAGAGCCCAGAAATAAAGCCAAATACTTACAGCCAACTGATCTTTGACAAAGCAAACAAAAACGTAAAGTGGGGAAAGGACATCCTATTCAACAAATGGTGCTGGGATCATCGGCAAGCCACATACAGAAGAAGGAAACTGGATCCTCATATCTCACCTTATACAAAAATCAACTCAAGATAGATCAAAGACTTAAATCTAAGACCTGAAACCATAAAACCACTAGAATAACATCAGAAAAACCCTTCTAGACATTGGCTTAGGCAAATTCATTTTTTAAAGCAACTGAATGTGTAGGAGTTTTGGGTCATTATATATTCTCCATCAACAGACCCTAAAAGTATAATCACTATCATATGGAGCCCTACAATTTTTTAACACTAAAATGGGTACCTCAACACAATAAGCTTAGAAAACAATGATCTTGAAAGGGCTTAAACAGTTGTCACCAAACTCACACATACTACTATGTGGGAAAAAAAATCACAGTTCCACACTGCAGCCTCATTCACTCTTGTTTAAAAAGAAATTTTAAGATACTTGACTAATCCTTTTTCCAAAATTAAAAGTTGTACATTAGGAAGGCAGAAAAACATAAAAGAAATGCTCAATTGATTTAACCTTATAACTTTTTACAATTTCTGTGTATCACAAATTCTCCATAAAAATTAAAACCATAAACTGGAGGAAAGGTATATGAAATAAACATAAGCATAAGGGTTAATAGCCTTAATATGTATATCAGTTTTTTACCTATTTGATTGATCACAGATGCTTAAAAATAATAAAACTTAATAGCATCAATCTGGTGAGAAGGGATTTACACACTCCTGGTTGGAATATTAACTACTACTTTCCTAGAAAACGAATGCCCAAGTGTAACAATATCTTTTTAAGAACTAGCTTTATCAAAATATAATTGGCATATAATAAACTATACATAAGTGTATTATTTGATAAATTCTGATATATATATGTACCCCTATGAAACCATCACCACAATCCAGATAGGAAACATATTCATCACCCAAAATATTCCTTGAGCCCCGTTGTAAACCCTCTCCACCACTTCTTCCCACTCTTCCATCCCTAGACAACGATTGCTATGCTTTCTGTCACTCTAGATTAGTTTGCATTTTTTCAAGCTTTATATAAACGGAATCACACAGTATATTCTCCTTTTTTGTCTGGTTTCTCTCATGCAGCAAAATGATTTTGGAATTCATCTATGTTGTTGCACATAAAAATAGTTGATTGCTCTTTATTGCTGAGTAGTATTCCATTCTATGAATACATTGCAGTTTATTTATCCAATGATGAAATTTGGGTTTCTTCTAATTTTTGTCTATTACAGTAAAGCTGCTATTAGCATTTATGTAAAAGTCTTTCTGTGGACATATATTTCCTCTCTTCTTGTGTTAGTACCTAGGAGTGGGTCATATGGTAAGACGACTTTGGAAGACACTGCCAAACTGTTTTCTAAAGAGGTTATACCATTTTAAACTCTCACAAGCAATGTATGAGAAGAGGAGGGATGCTGCTATCAGCAACAATTGGTATGGTCGATGAAATTGGGCTTAAAAAAAAACAAGCAAAACTCTAGAATGTGATCAATTAATCTCACATCAGAGCATGTATCTTTTAAAAAAATTAAAAATAAGGATAAAATACCCACAAATATTCATCATAAATTTAATTAGTTTTAAAAATTCAAATTGCCTGAATGTTAAATCATGAGAGATGAGGTAAATTAAAATTGTACATCTTATGATAAAACTCTATTCAATCATTTTGTAAAATAGCTCAATAATATGAAATATATATTAATATATATTCAGTATGATTGAATTTTCATACATATGTGTAATGAGGAAGGGAGGAGGGGAGAACTAGATGGAAAAATGCTTATTCTTCATACTTGTTTGTATTTTCTTCTCCATATTTGTTTGTATCTTTCTATTTTCTAGGTAAGTTTGTTTATTACAATCAGAAAAAAAATTTTTTTTTTTTTTGAGATGGAGTTTCTCTCTGTTCCCCAGGCTGGAGTGCAATGGCACGATCTCAGCTCACTGCAACCTCCGCCTCCCAGGTTCAAGCAATTATCTGCCTCAGCCTCCCGAGTAGCTGGGATTACAGGTGCCCACCACCACGCCCGGCTAATTTTTTGTATTTTTAGTAGAGACGGGGTTTCACCATCTTGGTCAGGCTTGAACTCCTGACCTCGTGATACAATCAGAAAATTTTAAACTTTTTTTTTTTTTTTGAGACAGAGTCTCACTCTGTCACCCAGGCTATAGCGCAGTGGTGCGATCTCAGCTCACTGCAACCTCGGCCTCCTGAGTTCAAGAGATTCTCGTGCCTCAGTCCCCCAGGCAGCTGGGACTGCAGGAGTACGCCATCACACCCGGCTAATTTTTGCATTTTTAGTAGAGACAAAGTTTCACCATGTTGGCCAGGCTGGTCTCAAACTCCTGACCTCAAGTGATCTGCCTGCCTCGGCTTCTCAAAGTGCTAGGATTACAGGTGTGAGCCACTGCACTGCACCAACATTTTTTTTTTTTTTTTTTTTTTTTTGAGATGGAGTCTTGCTCTGTCACCCAGGCTGGAGTGCAGTGGAGCAATCTTGGCTCACTGCAAGCTCCGCCTCCTGGGTTCACGCCATTTTCCTGCCTCAGCCTCCCGAGTAGCTGGGACTACAGGCACCCGCCACCACGCCCGGCTAATTTTTTCTTTTTTTTTTTTTTTTTTTTTTTTGGTAGAGACGGGGTTTCACTGTGTTAGCTAGGATGGTCTCGATCTCCTGACCTCGTGATCTGCCCGCCTCAGCCTCCCAAAGTGCTGGGATTACAGGCATGAGCCACCACGCCCAGCCTGCACCAACATTTTTTAAAAGAGTAAAGAAGTAAAAATGAGAGGGCAAGGCATGAGACGTGACTGCCAAATGCAGACTGGCGTGGAAGGAGAGTGAAAATGAGCAGGTGCAGAACTAGAAAAGCCCAGCTCCATGCAACACAAATTTTGAGACGGAGGGAAATACATATATCTTACCACAGGATTAATAAAAATTGTTCCTACTAATATAATCAATACTCTGATCATAAAGGCAAGGAAGTTTATAATACAATCTTAAAATATCTCCATCCAAAAAAAGTTGTTAAAGTAGAAAAGTTTTTTCTGTGAAATAAATAAATTCCTTGACGGCATTAGGTGCATGTAGAACCTATTACCATTAAGTGGTGGCATTTGACACCATAAAGAGGTTTAGGGAAGATGTGGAATCTATTAGGTGTTACAACAGAAGATGGTCATGTGAGCATCCACTGCCACCCAGCAAAGCCCAGGGCCCTGTGGCAATGGGGCATCAGTTCAAAGGTGAGGAGGGTGAGAGCAGGGGGTTCTGCCCAGGAGGACTGGGAGACAGGTGTGAGAGTCCCAGCAGACACTGGGCACCAGGTATGGTGTGACCAAAAAGAGATAGGGGTGGAGATGGCTGATGGATTCAAAAAAAAAAATAGAAAGAATGAATAAGACCTACTATTTGATAGCACAACAGGGTGACTATAGTCAATAATAACTTAATTGCACATTTTTAAATAACCAAAAGAGTATAATTGGATTGTGTGTAACACAAAGGAATGCTTGAGGGGATGGATAGCCCATTCTCCATGATGTGATTATTATGCATTGCATATTTGTATCAAAACATCTTATGTACCCCATAAATATATATACCTAGTATGTACCCGCAAAATTTAAAAATTAAATAATTTTTTTTAAGTTTAAAAAAAAAGAAAACGAAAAGAGAGAGAGAGACTGGGACCTGACAAGCCCATGCCTCATCTCTGGCCTAAAAGTTGAAAAATCTGCCCACCTGGAACCACGTCTTATTCCTTTTTGGGGAAGGTGGGGAGTAATCACAGAAGACAATGGAAAGTGAGAACTAGCCTCATGGGTGGGTGAGAGCAAAAGGTGGATACACTGAGAGAATGAAAGAGGAGACCCAAGAATCTAGCCGCAGGCTCAAAGTTGAGCCCCTGAGTTGTTGGAAATTGGTGACAGTTGTTGAAACAGACTCAGTGGATCTCAGAGTTGACCAGGCGGCTCTGCCCAGGAGGCCTTCTGGAGCTCAAGCATCATGTGGTAGGCTGGGAAATGAACGGCCCCTTCTCAACAGAGGGCTTCTAGACATTTCTATGCACAGAGTCACCTTACAAAGGAACACTCACACCAGAGCAAACTGCGAGGTGATGAGGTCCCAAGAGATGGGTCTTCAGTAGTGGGCTTGAAAAAACTGGAATTCTAATCAAGAACTTTAGTTCTTTTGATTTGCTGGCTTTTCTTTGCTAGGACCCAGCTCTGAGATGCAGATTCTTGCTGGAGAGGGTTGGGGAGGGAGGGAGGGAGGGAGAGAAGGAGGGAGGGGAGAGAGAGAGAGAGAGACAGAGACAGAGAGAGAGACCCAAAGATCTCTCTGATACTGAAAGCTGGGGAAAAAATTATCAGTTGAGTCCACAGACTCTTGAATTGAGTTTCCTTGAATCCAACATTCAGATAGCTACTTTCATTATCCAAAAATTCCCTGGTCTCTCCAGCCTGTAGATGGAAATGAAGGCATGTTGACCTTAAAAACAGATTCCCTACTCTTGCCTTATCCGGTCCTTGGAGATCCTCCATCTCCTAACATTCCCCAAGGAGTGTCTCTTACAGGCTCATAAGTCCATCTATCATCTGTGATCACGATGCAGGATCAGCCATGTCTTCCCTCTGCCTTATCTACATTCTCCCCCACACTCAACAAGAGAGTCTCATTTCTGTTGCTTCTGACAGTACCCATCACAAATACATCAACATATGCCAACATCCACTCCAAAAGTGCCTCTCCTGGTGGGGCACGGTGGCTCACACCAGTAATCTCAGCACTTTGGGAGGCCAAGGTGGTTGGATCATCTGAGGTCAGGAGTTCAAGGCCAGCCTGGCCAACATGGTGAAACCCCATCTCTACTAAAAATACAAAAATTAGCTGGGCATGCTGGCTCACGCCTGTTATCCCAGCTACTCAGGAGGCTGAGGCAGAAGAATCACTTTAACCCAGGAGGTGGAGGTTGCAGTGAGCCGAGATTGTGCCACTGCACTCTAGCCTGGGCAACAGAGTGAGACTCTATCTCAAAAAAAAAAAAAAAAAAAAAAAATGTGCCTCTCCTGACACCTCCAGTGCTTACAGATTCATTCTGCCTTCTATACCCAAGTGAAAAATCCCCTTTCCCTGACTCTGCATCACTCTGTCGTATGGGACAGGGCATCCTTCAGCAACTCCATAACTTATGGGGTCCTTTGCAAAAATGGCAACTTCAGCTTCTCTCCTTAAGCCTTTTCACCATCACATTTAGGGACTGGGCTGGGACACTAGGGCATTCCTTCCATCACCCTTCCTTCTCCCTCTGCTCCAGGTTCTCCCTCTACCAGAAATCTCCTTAAACTAAAACTCATGCAAATAAAGAACTAAAGGGGTTCAAAGTGATTATGTTTCTGAGACCTGTATTTTTGCTAGATTTCCACTAGTCTACCTCTCCTCAAACCCAATAGGAGTAAACTGAATTCTTCCCGCAAACCTCTCCACCACTACCCCCTTTTCTCTTGATCCTCTCTCTCAACTCCACCTCTATTCACCAAGTCCCAACGAGCTTTTCCTCTTTTCTTCTGTCCTCTTCCATCCTCAGCACTGCAAGGCTCACATCGGGACAATGAGACAACCTCTACCTGGGCTCCAATCTTTCTCTCTGTCTCTCTCTGGTCCATGGGACCAACACTCTGTCAGAGCAAGGCTGCTGTCTTAATCCATTTGGGCTGCTGTAGCAAAATACCCTAGACTGAGTAATAGGTAAACAACAGAAATGTATTGCTCACAGTTCCGGAGGCTGGGGAAGTCCAAGATCAAGGTGCCAGCAGATTCGGTGCCTGGTGACGGTTCTTCATTGATGGTATCTTCCATCTGTTCCCACACAGCAGAAAGGGCAACCAAGCTCCCGGCCCTCTTTTATCAGGGCAGTAATTCCATTCATGAGGGCTCCACCCTCATGACTTAATCACCTCCCCAAGGTCTCAGTTCCTAATAACACTACACTGGGAATTAGGTTTCAGCATATGAACTGGGGTGGGGGGCGGGGGGAGGCCACAAACATTTAGACCACAGCAACTGCTAAAGCACATCTCTGGTTGTAGCCCATTACACGCACACACACTCACGCACAGCGATGCTGGACTAGACAGTCACCCATGGAGCAAAGAAAGTCATGCTGCATTACCCCGTAAGCATCAGTAATAGCAGCCATTTCCCATGCCCCTGAATCATGCACTCTAAATATCGTATTTTATCAATCCTCACCCAATTCTGTAAGATAGTAGCTATTGCTCCATTTTATAGATAAGGAAAATGAGGTTCGGGTACTTACTTTGCTTTTCCTTTATAAACAGAGGCTCTAAACATATTTGGAGTCTCAAAACACTGTGAGAATCTAGCAATAGCTATGGACCCTGTGAAGGCCATCTGTGTGCCTCCCACTACTGTGTCCCAGGTTAAGAATCCCAGCTTGACTCTACCTTTCACTGTCCCCAGAAGCAGGCCTCTAGGATGTTAATTTTATTTTCACTTAGTGAGCTTGGAGGTTTTCTTTTCTTTTTACTTTTCAGCACATTCTGCACCCCTGGAATGGGGTCAAGCATCCAGCTCAGAATTCTAAAACATGAGAGAGAGAGAGAGAGAGAGAGAGAGAGGAATAGCCATTATCCCTGACACTGTCCCTCAACTCCCCACAAAAAGCCAATTCCAGTTTCCTGAAATGTGTAAGAGGCATTTTCCCCTGCACAGCCAATGTGCCTTTGAAAGAGATGAGCAGAAGAGAGGCTACAGCTGCATGGAAAGTAACCCACAGGGTCAAGAAACCAAGGACTTCCCTTCAGGAAGATCAGGAATTAATCTGATTGGTGTCAGAAATACTTCCTCATGGCACTAGGATTTAAACTCATGGCACCAAAAGAACAAGGGCCCTCCAGCTATATAATCACCAAAATGCCTCCTGCAGCCCTGGGTTAATAGGCTGTCACTCAGACAGGTTGAGTCAGAAACCATCCACAGCAATGACAAAACAAAGCCTCTTCCTCTCCTTCTCACTCACTCATCCATCCATCTATACATGCAAACATTTATAGGACACCTATTGTATGCCCATGGGTTTAGCTGTGTCCCTGTTTTCAATGAGCTCACAGCATAGAGGGAGAGACAAATGATTAAATGGATAATTATAGTGCCACATGAATGTGGATAAATGTACATTATAAGGGATGGATTAATCATGAAACAGCCACACAATAGTGTCCTATACAGCCATTAAAAAGAATAATATAGTGTCATATTCATATCACATTTCCATTGATATGGAAAGATCTCCACAGTATATTAAATGAGGAAAGAGGGGAGCAGATTGCAAAACAGTATTTACAGTATTTTACTCTCTTTAAAATTGTATTTTATATACACATGAATGCTGGAAAGATGTTCACCAAATTATCTACTGGTTAGCTCTGGGTTGTGGGTTTTTGAGGGACTTTAATTTACTATACTCTTCTTGTCTTTCTGTTTTGTTTATATAATTTAAATTTTTCTAAATGAAATAGCTTTCTATGATAAAAATAAGAGACGTTCACTGCAGAAAATCAATGTGCCAAGTTCAGTAATGCAGACACTTGCAGGTGCACCCTGCCCCCACCCCATCCCAGCACTCACTTGGAGAACAAAATTCTCTAAGTCTCTAAAGGACTGAAAGGTAAATGAAGATGTCTAGAGTTTTCTTCTATTTTCAGTTAGCTGACTATTACGGATTAGAGTTTTCAATGCTAAAGATTTGGGAAAATAAAAAATGATACCAAATGGCCCACAATTACCTTCAATGGCAACAATGTCTTTATTTCTCAGAAGTGAGTTTACCTTGACAACCACAGCAGCTTTCACTGGATTTTTCTTTTTTTTCTTTTTTTTTTTTTGAGATGGAGTCTTGTTCTATGGCCCAGGCTAGCATGCAATGGCACAGTCTAGACTCACTGCAACCTCTGCCTCCTGGGTTCAAGCGATTCTCCTGTGTCAGCCTCCCAAGTAGCTGGGACTACAGGTGCGTGCCACCACACCCGGCTAATTTATGTATTTTTAATAGAGACAGGGTTTCACCATGTTGGCCAGGCTGGTCTCAAATCCCTGACCTCATGATCCGCCCGCCTTGGCCTCCCAAAGTGCTGGGATTACAGGCGTGAACCACCACTCCCAGCCCACTGGATTCTTTAAGAACAGCAAACCACTCACCAGCACTATGCCTGGGCCCTCACGCCATCCCTCCAGACCCTATCTGTAAAACACACAAAAGCGGGTGAAAGAGTGTGAACCTGATTCCAGACTGCTTCTCCTGCTCTCACACTCATACAAGGTTTGGGTGTTAAGTTCATTTATTTACTTAGCAAGTGCCTTGTGAGCACCCCCACCCTTTGTATTTGGCTTATATTAGGAGCGAAGGCACAGGGCGAACAAAACAGCATGCCGCCATCCCTGTCCTTATGGAATTCAGGATCTGGTGGGGATAGGCGACTGAAACAAAGTGACTCTGGAGTCAAACTCTGAGTTCAAGTCCTGGCTCCTGCTTACTAGCTGGGTGGCCTGAGCATGTTAGTTACACTTTCTGGGCTTCTGTTTCCCTGTCTCACAAAGAAGCATAATAAACTCACAAGGCTGTAACAGAGATTCCCTGAGACAATGCATGTGAAATGCTTGGCACAGGGCCTGGCGCAAAGCAGCCCAGCTGAAGGCTAATTAATATTGTCATCAGCACTTACACTTGTAATTAGCTGTTATGAAAGAAGAGAGTCCAGAGGAGGGACTGGGTGCTCACAGCAGGGAAATCATTGAGCATCTCCCAGCACCACTGCCCACCTTTCCCAATAACAGTGGTCCAGTAGGAGGAAAGAACAACTTGATCAGACTTGGCACCGTTCCTCTCTCATTAAAATCATAGCCATCAGGAACCCACAAGACTGATGCAATTTCCTGACTACAGGGTTCGACTTGGGTAATACGGAAAGGCATGCAGAGGCAGAATGCTAACACCTCCCATTCTAGGGAAATATATTGCAGGGACCCCACCATGCTGACCTTTTCCACACAGAGTATTTTGATTAACTGGCCACTGATTCCTCCCCTGCAGGTCTGGAAGACTATAAACAGAAGAAGGGGTGAGTGGTTGACCAGTCAAATTTTTGGTTCACTGAAAAGGTTAAGAGAGTGCAATAAAGCACAGTGACTGGAGGAGAGAGGAACCTCATCCCAAGTCACGAGAGGAGGAAGCCAGAAGGCGAAGCTGCCCCACACATTTGGCGCTGAAAGAGGCTGACATCTTTGCTTCTGGTCCTGAGCCAGGCTCAGCCTTTCTGCAGGCCAATTAATTCTAGACACAATATCTGCCCTAAATTCTTCAATGTAATTAGCACCACATGTTATCAACAGGAAGCTGGTACCCGCGGGCACTTGAGATAATTGTTTCAACACTGGCATTTCTCTGCTTACCGTGAAAGGTCACTGCAGCCGATATATCTCTGCTATCCCCCATTCCTTTCGTTAAATGACAAAAAGCCGTCCCTTGTCGTTACAGTTACGTCAATTCATGGGTGCAGGGCTCAGGACATCCATACAAAGGCTTCTTAGCAGTAAGTATGCTCTAAGAGTTTGCAATAATTACTTCCTGTGACTTCTGACATCAGCAGTGTCACACCCCCCTCATATAGGCCGTATTGCCTGACATTGTTATATTGCCTGACATCTTTGGGCTGCTGGGGCGGCTGGGGAACGTCTGCACAAGGGAGCCGCCTCTTTGCTGCCCCAGTTGCAGGAGGCCTTTACAGATGGAGCACATAGAATGACAAACAATGGCTGTTTAGAGCAGTACTGAATGTTTTGCTCTGTCTTGTTACTTGACCTGTGAGTGCAGTGGGCTGAGAAGTACATCTTAGTTTGCTGTGAATAGGACTTAGTGTGCTCAGGATGACTGCACTGGACAATTGCCACCAAGACTACTCAGGACGCCCCCACACATTCTCCAGGAGAGCAAGGAAAGTGGAAATCTTACAAAGTTTCCTCACCTCACCCTGCACCCATGCTGCAGCCACACTGAATCCCTCTTTACATTTTTTTTTTTTGAGACAGTCTTGCTCTGCCACCCAGGTTGGAATGCAGTGGCATAATCTTGGCTCACTGCAACCTCTGCCTCCCAGGTTCAAGCAATTCTTCTGCCTCAGCCTCCCGAGTAGCTGGGATTACAGGCTCCCGCCACCATGCCCGGCTAATTTTTTTGTATTTTTAATAGAGACAGGGTTTCACCATGTTGGTCAGGCTGGTCTCAAACTACTGACCTCAGATAACCCACCTGCCTTGGCCTCCCAAAGTGCTGGGATTACAGGCGTGAGCCTCCGCACCCAGCCTACCCTCACTCTTGCACAAGCCCCATTCTCTCACCTCTAGAACTGTCTGTTCTTCCTTTTTCTCCGGGCACTCTTCTCTCACCCCTCATTTCACCTGGCTAGTGCATACTCATTATTCACCCTAGATAGCATTTCCTCTGGAAGCCTTCCCTGAAGCCCCCTGAACTAGGTAGGGGCCCAAACCCTTCAACTTTGACAATCTTGTTTCATGGTCTCTCTCCCACTAGCAGAAGAGCTGGGTAAGAGCAGGGATCTTGCCCATCTTGTTCATTCTCCTATCTCCCATGCTTGGCAAGACATTCAATAAATATTTTTGGAATGAAGTTTGAACACATGGAGGGCATTCCATGCTGCACTGGCTGAGTAACATGAAATTCAGGGGGATATTAGTCCTCAGGGAGACACAATCAACACATTCTTGATTCCAGAGCAAACAGGGGCAAGAAAAACCATACTGTGACCTGGCTGCCCCAGTGCTAGTTTCCCAGCAGGCAGGAGCATCCTTCCCGGGAAACAGTACCTCTGCGTGGAAAGCTGACTGTACCCACAGGTCACGTAATAAGACAGAGCAAAACATTCAGTGCTGCTCTAGACAGCCAGTGCTTATTTGTCATCTATGTGCTCCATCTGTAAAGGCATCCTGCAGCTGGGGCAGCAAAAAGGGGGCATCTCTTGTGCAGACATTCCCCAGTCACCCCAGCAGCCCAAAGATGTCAGCCAATGGCCACACCAAGTCATGGCTTAGGGAGGCTTTAGTGCCTCCCCCATAATCTCCATCAGTTCCCTGACAAGCCACCCCAAAATCCAAACAAAAACAGTGCTCTTGCTCTGCCTCCCCTCTCCCTCCAAAGAGAGATTCTGGATATCCCACTACCCCCAGGATAAATGCCAAAATCCTTCCTGTGGCCAAGCCCTGCTGTCTCTCCAGCCTCCCACGCACATCCCCAGCCCTCACTCCCAGGGCTCTGGCCACACAGGCTTCTGTCCACCCACACCTCCTGGCTCTGGCCTCTCCTGGTTGGCTCAGGCCTCTGCATCCTTCAAAGTGTTCCCTCCCTCCAGGACACCCACACAGAGGGGCAGATCCCCCAGAGCGCCACACTCCTCTCCCACACAGGCTTTCTCCTGCCATGACTCTACACTAAGTTTGTGCTTACTTGGTTTATTGCTTGCCTCCCCCACTAGACTGTCAATGTGAGGAGGGCAGACCCAAGACTAGGTCTGCTTTGGCTCATTTATCCCCCAGTACTCAAGTGGCATGCAACAAAATTCTGTGGAGAGAAGAAATGCATGAGCTAACCTAGGTCAACATTACACAAACTGCCTCTTAATGAAATGCCAATGAGAGCTTGTAAGTAAAAGTTTGAAAATACAGTGAACTCTTACCTCACAGTATGCATTCGCGTAAGAAAAAAAAGAACTCACCATCCTGCAAGAAAGAAACCTGTTTAATTTTAATGCGATGTTTCCCAGCTTAGCTGAGTATGAAATCCTGTTCTCCTCTCCTTCAACTTCCTAGAGAGTAGTATGCCTTAGAACAGCAGTTTGGGAAACACTATCCTAAATCATGTTTCTGTGTTTAAATGTTCTATTTAAACAAACTGGTAAAGACGCAGTTCTTCAAGATACTCTGAGCCACAGAGCCTTGTGAGGTGGGGCAGGATCCGAGGTGCTCCTGCTTCCTGCCTGCCCGTCCCTGCTCTGCCTTCTGTGGTCTGTGCCAGGATGGCTTTGGGAAATCATGTTGCTACAGACAGAAAGCCTCACTTCCCTAGGGGTTAGGCCAGAACTAAGAACCAGGCGGGAACTTGGACAGGCATGGAGTAGGCATCTTTTCAAGTTCACAGTTCCTTCCCACCACATGCTGGCCACACAAAACAAGAACAGCAATTGGTATCGGCACTTTTCCAGTCATGGTTACTGATGTGATCCTTTTTGCCTCGAACAAAACCTAGTAGGTAATTCAGATATAATTTTTCTTATTTAAAAGATTAGAGGAATAAGACCCATGAGGTTCAAGAAATTTGCTCAAGGTCACTTGGCCCCGGAAGTTGCAGAACTTGAACAAAAGTACGAGAGCTGAGGCTCTTTCTTCTATGCCACAAGGTTACTCTTTCAAACTAAAACTGTCCCTAAAGAGGCAGCTGCCGGCCAAGCAGGTCTGCAAGCGCCGAGAGAACTCCTTATGCTGGCGGGTAATTTGGGCTTATCGCTGTGTGATAAGTTGCCATAACTGGCCTAATGCATCTATGGCAGAGGCTGCCAACTGGTAGCCTCAGGACTGGATCTGATGAGTGTGTTTTATTCAGCCACATAGTGGGGTTGTTTTTTAGTTACCTACATTTAAAATTCAAGAAATTTCACCTTACAATCTGGATGAAAACTCAGAGGCCTCCCCCTACCCTCAGCTCTGTGTCCTTGTGATGACCGTCAGCTGGAGGTGCAGCAGCTTCCCTTTCCAATATTTGCTTACTTACAGGCCCTATGGCCATTAGAATGTTGCTCCCCTGCTTTGTAGATGATGGGCACTTGTTCCCAAGACCACCAGACACAGAGATGTGGCAGAACAGGACAGAGGGATTATAGAGAAAGAGGGAGAAACACCAAGAAGAACATCTTCTGAAGTCAGGGATAAGAACCTCCGCTAAAAATAAAAGCAAGCTTCTGCAACAGAGGGAAATTGTAAACATAAATTTCCTTTAACCAGCATCCAAACATTTTAATATTTATGCCTAGACTTTCCCAGGCAATTTTAATTCACATTACACTCTTCCTACAGAAAAGAAAAAGGAAGACAGGGGGTACAGAATGTGGAAAAAAATACTTAAAATGCCATCATTTAAGTGGAAATGAATCCTTTTCAAAACACTGTGTCCAGAGGAGCTGTTGCCTCGAGAGGTGGTTTGTCAGTTCTGTGCACCACTCAAAATCCATTGAAAGCTATAAAAAGCACCTGCCGTCTTCCACAAACTCCAGATTCATTTTCTCCGGGGTTGGATTCTAATGTGGCCCCTTTGCAGCAGAAGCAGAGCTGGGGGCGACAGCTGAGGAACTGCTCAGGCCTGTGACAGGCGAACTTGTTATATTACATTTCAAAGCCACACACTGTTTTAAAGAGAGGCAAAGCCATCCAGAGATGCAGCATCTCAAACCCAACTTTGTCAGGCCTGGCTGGCAGCAGGGGGGAGAATACTGATGCAGAAATAGCCAAGCACACTTTTCAAGTTCTTCAGAGTTCAATAGGTCACGTTGGTTCTTTCTTTCAGCAAATTCACCTCATATTGGCTGCGGAGCTGGATGGCTGGGTTTTGTATGGGGGATGGGGATTAAGTTCTCTCCATCCCTCATACAAAACTCCCCAACCCCCACACAAAAACCCTCAAGTCAGCCCACTCTCCAAATGCAGGTTTACCATTTTCTCCCTGCAAGGAGCCGTCCAGCATCTCTCCAACCCTCCCCACCCTTGCTTTCCTCCCAACTGCTGGAGTCTTTGGTCTTTTTTTTTTTTTTTTTTTTTTTGAGACGGAGTCTCACTCTGTCACCAGGCTGGAGTGCAGTGGCGCGACTCAACTCACTGAACCTCCACCTCCTGGGTTCAAGCGATTCTCCTGCCTCAGCCTTCCAAGTAGCTGGGATTATAGACACGCGCCACCATGCCCAGCTAATTTTTGTATTTTTAGTAGAGACGGGGTTTCACCATGTTGGCCAGGATGGTCTTGATCTCCTGACCTCGTGATCTGCCTGCCTCGGCCTCCTAAAGTGCTGGGATTACAGGCATGAGCCACCTCACCTGGCCATCTTTGGTCTTTTTAACACATGATCTACTGCCTGTCCTTTTTACATGTGGAGCTTTGTGACTTGCAGCTACACAGGTTGATCTCTGAGGGCAGGGACAAGGCCTCCTGTTTCTCTTTGTAAACACACATGGTGTAAGTGTGCAGTGGGAATAACCATCCCTACGCAGTAGGCAGACTGGACAGGAGGCTCAAGGCCCTAGTGTGGGAAGAAACAGCAGAACTCGGACCTAGGGGACCATGTGGCTGGAAAGACGGCAGCTCAGTGGCCAATGGCAGAGCCTTCCCAAGCCCTTGGCACTGCCTGAGGAGAGGCAGTACTCAAGAATGACTGAGCCCAAGTTTCTGCCAGCCTGGTAGGATAGGGACTCAGATTTACAGAAAATGAGACACAATACACCTCTGAGTTTATGACCTGAAACTCCTATCAGCCTAAAATCCAGCTGAAAGGATGACAGAGGAAACAAAGAAAGGAAGTGGAGATTTCAGCCTCAGTGCAGAGGAGGGAGGCATTGAGAACACACGGGAAGGAGGCTGTGACATAGGCTGCAGGAGCAAGGAGTGGGGCACAGCTGAGTCCCAGATCTGAGCCTGGTGGTACATGTGCTTACAAAACCACAGTGCCTATTCGGACAGAACTTACGTATTGATTTCAGCATGGACCTGGACCCCTATTGTCAGTCCCCCAGGACAAACCACTAAAACCCATCTGGAAGCCCCAAGGGAAGTAGGGTGCCTTCTGAGCAAAGTCTCAGCCTGTATGAGTTCATTTTCACACTGCTATAAAGAGCTGCCTGAGACTGGGTAATTTATAAAGAAAAGAGATTTAATTGACTCACAGTTCCGCATGTCTAGGGAGGCGTCAGGAAACTTACAATCATGGCGGAAGGGAAAGTAGGCACGTCTTACATGGTGGCAGGTGAGAGAGAGCATGTGATGGAGGAACTGTCAAACACTTATAAAACCATCAGGTCTCATGAGAACTCACTCACTATCGCAAGAACAGCATGGGGGAAACCACCCCCATGATCTAATCACCTACCACCAGGTCCCTCCCTTGACACATGGAGGTTACGGGGATTACAATTTGAGATGAGATTTGGGTGGGGACCCAGAACCAAACCATATCACAGCCCCAGGGGAAGATACTTGGGTACAAAACCATGTGGTGTCACACCGCAAGTGGCTGTCTCCCACAAAAGCTCCAGGACGTGAACCAAGCTTCCTAAACCTCCTTCACCAGCAAGCAGGGTGTTTCACACATGGTTGAATGCAGAATGAATGTGTCAATGCATCAGTGACACCCACATCTACCACCCATTCATTAAAGAAATATTTATTCAGCACCAGTTGCCTCATGCCACATGCACTGCACGTGCACATGTTCCAGCACAAGGGACACAGCAGTGAACGAGGCAGACCTGGACAGACATGGTCCCTGCCTTCATGGAACTCGCCCTCTAGTTGAGGGAAAAGGCCACCAAAAACTAACAAATGGATTATTTCAGGTAGGGGCCAGGGCAATTAAAGAAAATTAAAGCAAGATGAGAGAGAAAAAGTTTGGGAAGAGGCTGGGCATGGTGGCTCACACCTGTGATCCCAACACTTTGGGAAGCTAGGAGGAGTTCCAGACCAGCCTGGGTAACATAGTGTTATCTCATTTCTACAAAAAAAAAAAATTTTTTAATTAACCAGGCATGGTGGCATGTACCCTTAGTCTTAGCTACTGAGGAGGCTGAAGTGAGAAGATTGCTTGAGCCCGGGAGTTTGAGGCTGTAGTGAACCAGGGACACACCACTGCACTCCAGCCTGGGCAACAGAGCAAGACCCTGGCTCAAATTTTAAAAAGTTGGAAGAAAAATGTATCTTGGTGGTCAGAAAAGACCACCTGCAGGAAGGGTGGCATGTGAGCAGAGACATTTGTGAAGATCTGGGGGAGGACTATTCCAAGCAGAGGGAAGAGCAGAAATAAAACCCCTAAGGCAGTGGTGGGTATGGCAGGAACAGCAAGGGGGCCAGGGTGGCCCAGGTGGGGAGGGGCTGTAGGAGGTGGCTCACGGTGGCTGGTGGTGCCACTCACTCACCACAAGTGTCCTCACAGCAGGTGCTGCCTGTTACTCTTCTTTTATCCCCAGAACGTAGCCCAGGAGGGATATGCAGAGGAAGGTTGTAGCTTGACTGCTCCCACCCCTCATCTGAGCCTCTAGCACCACAAAGTCCCCACAAATCCTGCTGATAAGAGACAGCCCACAGAGCACCCATCCTTAAATGAGATAAAATGGAGTGTTTTCCAACCTAGAACTTTCTGAACATCCCCATCAGGGCCCAACATTCATGTTTGATATCAGCTCAAAGGAAATTTTCTCTTAAAGCATTAGTTACATCTGTTCTGCTATTTTTGCATCTAGGGGAGCAGGAAGCCCAAAAAAAAAGCCTTCCTTTAAAGAAAGATTCCGGAGGTTTCTTCCCCTCCTGCTTGAGTCATTGAAGTGATGCTGAACTCCCCAGATGGAGACAGAAAGCGGGTAGAGAGATGAGAGAAAAATGCTACCAAGGTCATGAATGAAGCCCTTGTGATTGGCCGGAGGTACTGTCTGTGCCTTGGCTAGAGACTGAGGGACTAGACACAGAAAGAGCAATAAGGCAAAGACAGGCTGGGCACAGTGGCTCACGCCTGTAATTCCAACACTTTGGGAGGCCAAGGCAGGCGGATCATTTGAGGTCAGGAATTTGAGACCAGCCTGACCAACATGGTGAAACCCCGTCTCTACTAAAAAAATACAAAAATTAGCTGGGTGTGGTGGCAGTCTCCTGTAATCCCAGCTACTCAGGAGGCTGAGGCAGAAGAATCACTTGAACCTGGGAGGCGGAGGTTGCAATAAGCCGAGATCACACCACCACACTCCAGCCTGGGTGACAGAGCAAGTCTCTGTCTCAAAAATAATAATAATAATAATAATGATAATAATAATAATAATAATAATAATAATAATAATGGAAAGATGAGGGCAGAGGTCAAGGTCCATCCATCAGCCCCAGTGTCCTCCTGTTGTGTCCCCTCCACTCCTTCCCTGAGCTGCTGCCAGTCACACCCGATCACCTCCCTTGAGGCCATTGCGCAGCCACAGCCTCTCTTCCCGCTGCAGACTGCACTGCAGGTGAGGGATGGCTCTGAAATGCAGAGGTGACCTTGTTGCTGTCTGTTAAAAACCCTTCAAAGGCTCCACCCTCTCCTAGGGACAGAGCCCAAGTGCCTTTCGCAGCCCAGTCCTCATCACCTCCCCATCACCACCCAACTCCTGCACTCAGTCCAGCTGAGCTGGCATTCCCAGAAGCCTGTGACTGTGCCCAGGGCAAGAGGTACATTTGCAGGGCCCAGGGTACACACCACATGTGTTTGTGAGACAAAAGTTTCTGGAAACAGTGATCTTTACTATGTACTGTGTGCCCTGATATTTTCAATTCCATCCATTCTATTTGTTTTTTAAAGCAGGTCATGACATGGTAAATCAGTTTCATGACTCACTAACAAACTACGAACTCCAGTTTTTAAAACCACATACTAAATGAATTTGTGCAGTCCCTCTGAATCTTTTCCTCTTGCCCCTCTGAGATTTCATACACAACACTTTCTGGTGGGATTCACTTTCTCTTCCCCATTCCCCCTTTGGCTAATTCAGTTGTTTTCCATCTTAGCTGCACATGAGAATCACAAGCATGCCTTAAAATCATACCAATGACCGGACCCTATCCAACCCACCCCTCAACCCCCACTCCGAGATCCTGATTTAATTGGTCAAGGTGGTCAAGGTGGAGCCCTGACTCCCAGGTGGTTCCTTGTGGGCAGCCAAGGTTGAGAAGCATTTGGCCTTACCTTCAAAATTTATCTGCAACATTCCCTCCAGAAAACTTCCTCTCTCACCCCTGATACACACATGTGCACGCACACATGCACACACACACGCACTCTCCCACCCCTGACACACAAATGTGCATGCGCACACGCGCATACACACACACACACACACACACACGAGTCCAGTTTTGATGACCCTCCCACAAGTTCCTAACCCTCCCTGGTCCAGGCTCTGTAGCACCCACCACATTTTATTGTGTTTGGTGTTCTGTCTCTCTCTCCTCTAAGTGGTGAATGGCTTGAAGGCAGAGATGTGTCACATCTTATCTCTGTAAACCCACCATGCTTAAGGCACCAAAGGTGCTCAGTAAATATTAGCTGCAAGACCTATGAGGCAGGTCTTATTTTACAAACAAGAAAATTGACATCCAGAAGGTTAAGTAAGTTAGCCAATGCTGTACAGCTAGAAGTGTACAATGGGATTAGAACTCAGATCTGCCCAGTTCTGGGGTCAGAGCCTACTAACCAGCACGGGAGCCTCCTTTAATACCCTCAACAGACCAGAGTCACAGTGAGTCCACAGACCCAACCCAAGCTGCTCCAGTCCTTAAGGATGAAGGTCCCAAGAAAGCCATCAGCTTGGCCAGCAGAACTGTTTTTCCCCTGGCTCTTTTCTGGCTCTGGGTTCACACAGGCAGCCCCGCCCCCATGCAAAGGACTTGGTCCTCATCCTCTTGCATTTTCACTCTGCTCTCTCCCAACCCAGATGCTCCAACCCAGCTCCCATACTCCTCATGCTGGTTGGACATTCTCTCAAACAATATGATTCATCCCAAACTCAGTCTCTTCCTGCTCTCATTCCCAAATAGTCTCACATATCTCTCTCTCTCTCTCTTTTAATCCTTCCAATTATCCAAGTTCAAAATATCCCAACCCTGACTTTTCTGCCTGGCCCCCTCCTCCTTACTCCCCTGTGCCATCCTTCTAGGCACCTGGGCTCCTCTATTGCTATTCCCCACACCCTACCCATCGACCTTTCAGCCCACGGCCCTCCCATGCCATTCCCAGGCCAGCCTGCTCCCAGTTCATCACCACCACTCCCTGGACTGAACAGCGGTCTCCAGTACATCTCCCTGCTTCCAGGCTCCCCGCACCTATCGACACCCCTAAACAGGATGCCTGACAAATCTTCCAAAGCCCAACTCTGGCCAGGTCCCTCCTTTATTCAAAATCCTCCAGTGAGCCCATACTAACCCACATTGGTAAATAAAACCCAAGTGTCAAAGTCCACTAGTGTGAGCTGGTTGTAAGGGATCTTTCAAGCCATATCCCACCATGGCTCTGTGACATGTGCCTGCACTCCCAGCTGATGGGTCTGTCAGGCATGCCATTTCTCAGACTTGCCTCCTGCTCTACCCTGGTCCAGGCACCAGTGTCATCCAGGAGAAGGGCTCAAGGGAAATAACAACATCAGCAGGACCATCCTCACAAGCCAAATGATACAGGCATTAAGCCATTGCTGCCCATGTTAATTCCATGTCATCAAGTCATAAGTTGGGTTCATTCATGAGCTAACAGCAGGAAAAGATTCTGCGGCCTCCCTTGTCCCCAGGAAGACTCATAACCAGAGCAGAAGTGGGAAGTCACCACCACATTTTCTGATCTACACCAAGTTTCCTAGAGGAAGGACAGGTAGGTAATGGAGTTTCCTACTCCTTTGGGCCCATGGGAGGCCCAAGGGCCATGGTAATACAGAACCCTTGTCATATTAACTGTGAAAAGAAAGTGGGGAAAGGTTTCTAGTGGAGTCTTGGGGAAGGCAGGTGAGGGTAAGGCAGCACAAAATTGTGGGAGTAGGGAAAGCTGGCATCCTTGGAGATGACACCAGGTCATGGTGTCCCTGTGGGCTATAGAGGATGGAGTTTCTGGTCCCTGTTATGCCCTCAAGTGACTTACATTTTCATAAGGGAAGGAAGTTATTCCAGAGTAATTCTGGAGTAATTAAGGCTCAGAAGTCCAGGGGAACATTCATTAGAAGCACCTTCCCTTGAGCAGGGCTTTCTTTCCTCCTTAAACCTGAGAAGGCTGGGGCCTTCCTTCCCTCTACCATCCCACCACACATGAGGAATCCATCCCTAGATGGGCCATCCCATGACCAGACCTCTTCAATTCAATGCTTGGGGGTCCCTAAGTCAACCCCTCCCCACCCCATACCCTGTCCTTGTTTCAAGTCTGATCCTCCCTTGCACATTGAGCTGATTAGGGCTCCTACTTTGGCATTCCAAATGCCTAATTGGGAATAATTACAACTCTTAATTACACTTCAATCATTACATACCAACACCACAGCTGCTTTTAAGTTTTATATTTCATTAAAGCAATGTTTTCAAGAGCCCATTTAAAAAGGTGGAAAAACTACTGAATAATCATTTATAATTTAAAAGTAAATAAGAGCAAATTATGATCATGTTTGTGAAACAAAACACTCTATCCAATCCAGTTAGTTATTAACCTAAAAATCTTTCTGAGTCACCTGGAGCTTTAGGTTCATGTAGTAAGCTCGGTGACTCTGACTCTAAAATTCCAGGCTTCATTTCCAGTGGTAAAATGCTAGAGCCCAAAGCTATAGAGTTTCCAAGAAAGGATGGCAACAACAAAAAAATGTGGTCAGGGCAGAAGGTCAGGTATCCCAAAGCAAGACTCCCGAAGACAATAATAACAATTTCTTGTATCGATACAGCACTTCCCATCTTAGAATGTATATTCAGGTGTATTTGTGCATAGGTCCAAGCCTCATTTTTTTGATGGCTCTTAACCTTTTAAAGGTGTAGTCATGAAAATTATTTTCCCCAGAAAAATGCACATTCATCAACCATACATAAGATTTTTCACATAATTTTAAGAGGTTCACAAATTCTTACACAAGGTCATCCATGAATTTCTTAGGATTTGTGATTTACAAAGTTCTCAATGTTCATTGTTTTTTCTAGTAAATGATGAAAGCATGGAGGCACCTGCAAATTATATGTACTGTGAAATTTCTAGGCGTGATTCTTTACTATTCATTCTATAGACATTGACTGAGTGCCTACTCTGTTCCAGGCATTGGGCTTGTTGCCAGAAGAGAGTAAAGATGTGGTGATGAATCAAACAGGGTCCCTTAGGGAAATCCCTTAAGTGGGAGAGGCAAGGGAAGGATGTGGGTTACGCTGAGGAGGAAGGAAGAGGAAGTACTAGAAGAATTTTGGTCCCTGGGATGCTGCCAAGCTGGGGCTGGCCTCCCTATAAAAGCTGCAGGAGGAATGGAAAGGCAGGGAAGTGTCCTGGCACCAAATACACAACAATGATATTAACAGCAAGACCTGAGTCCCATACAAGTAATTCCAACCCCTTGAAAGCAAGCTCATAAGCTTAACCCAGCAGCCAGGGAATGTGATCCATTCATCCATTAATTTCCAGGGGTGTGCTGAGTGTCTTCTGAAGACCCTACACACTCAGCATAGGAACGAGAATTCGTGACAGAGATATTTGCTGTAAGAAAGGCAAAGACTAAGTGCAAAAGATGTAGCTAATTCCATAGGTGGTGTAATAGTCTGTTCTCATGCTGCTAATAAAAACACACCTGAGACTGAGTAATTTATAAAGAAAAAAAGGTTAATGGATTCACAGTTCAACATGGCTGGGGAGGCCTCACAACCATGGCAGAAGGTAAAGGAGGAGCAAAGGCACGTCTTACATGGTGGCAGGCAAGACAGTGTGTGGAGGGAACTGCCCTTTATAAAACCATCAGATCTCATGAGACTTATTCACTATCACAAGAACAGCAAGGGAAAGACCCACCCCCATGATTCAATCACCTCCCACTGGGTCCCTCCCATGACACATGGGGATTATGGGAGCTACAATTCAAGATGAGATTTGGGTGGGGACTCAGCCTAACTGTATCAGGTGGTTTATTGCAATGACTGCTCCCATGTGACATTCTAGTACCCTAATTCTGAGCTTGGCTTCTGATGTTTACAACCTGTTATTTTGCCAAGCAAACATTTGTTTGTCTACAATATACTAACATCACTATTTTGTGAAAGACATTTCCTTATTATCTAAGAATAAAAATAAAGGACAGTTTCATAATGAAGGCCACTCCTCACCAGAAAAAAAGAGTTGGCATTTCACACCATGTGTGTACCCACAACACACACAAATACACAGTTTACATTTCCTTATTTTTCTAATTTTTCTAAAGACCAGTGAAATTTTATCACAGCTTAGCACCAGTTCACAGAAGGACATTTGGAAACCACCATAAGGATTTGAAAAACAAAGCAAGAGCAAAGTATCTGCAGAGCAATTTGCCTTGCCAGGATCAAAGAGAGAAGGTTTTCAGTGGCAGAACTGTCTGGGCTGGGTGCTGAAGGATGAAAGGAGCTCGAGCTAGTGGGTTGCTGGAGTCCTGCAGACACACTGGAGTGAAGGCAGGTGGGGAGAAGCACAATAGGAAACCTCATTAGTTTTGTCTACTAACAGCCCTTAATGTCCACATCTAACTTTTGTATCTTATACATTGTCATTTCTAATCTGTTCTTTGTTCTCCAAAGGTAGACTTTCCTAACTAATGGACAAAGATTTCAAGTTATTACTGGGTGGCCTTGTTCCCCAAACAGCAGTTCAGTTTTGTTAGCTTTACTATATTTGTGTGTTGTTCCTTATTTTTACAAATTCTTTAATATTAGATTATAGGGGGATAAAACCAAAGACCTATTACTAGAGGAAAAACAGCATATAAGCACTGTACAGTTTAGAAAAAGATGAAGTTTCCTTGATGATACAAAAGCAGAATAGTACTTGCTGGACCTAAGCCAGTCAACTACATGTTTAATTTTGAAAAAGAACAAAAATATTTTTCAAAAATTTGACCACAAGCATTTGTCTCTTCTCCCTCTGAAAATCCCACTAAAATGATAGTAAAATAATTTTTTTTTTTTTTTTGAGACGGAGTTTTGCTCTGTCGCCCAGGCTGGAGTGCGGTAGTGCAATCTCGGCTCACTGCAAGCTCCGCCTCCCAGGTTCACGCCATTCTCCTGCCTCAGCCTCCCGAGTAGCTGGGACTACAGGTGCCCGCCACAACACCCGGCTAATTTTTTTGTATTTTTGGTAAAGACAGGGTTTCACCATGTTAGCCAGGATGGTCTCGATCTCCTGACCTCATGATCCGCCCTCCTCGGACTCCCAAAGTGCTGGGATTACAGACGTCAGCCACCGCACCCGGCCCGAAAGTAAAATAATTTTTAAGTATAAATAACCAAAAGAAAAGAGAGTGAGAAAGGAGATAACAATGAATGAAAAATTTCTACAAGGCCAGACGCATAACGCATTACCACACTATTATCAATAATGTTTAAATGCTTAAATATGTTAAATTTTTGTGATCTTTCCTGTTCTCTGAAAACAGACTCCGTTATAACACATAAGTCTATTGTTCACCTTGGACCTATTTGATTTTCACCTGTACTTTCAGGCACATGTTCTGTACAAAGGCAAGGATTCATCTGTTAACATTTTTCTAGCACTCAGTAGCTAATGGCTCCCCAGCCCTCTGCAGTTCTGAGTCCAGGCTGGCACCTAATAGTTTCACAGTTGGCCCAGCCAGTCTGGCCCACAAGCTCACGACCCATTCATTGTTTCCTATGATAACAGCAGGCTGAGCCATGGTTTTCAACAGCTGGAGCCCTTAGCAGCCCACCAGGTCAGGTCAATACTCCTGTCTCTTCAGGAATCCATCGGGCCTTCAGCAGGACCTGGGAAGTTACTGGTGCCAGCTTGCTCTTCTGGCTTAATGCTGAGGACCAAGTCCTCTACCAATACCTCCTTCCTGTGAAGATAATGAAAGTGGCATTTTTCAAGTAATAATTCCATAATTGTAGTGATTAATAAACTTCCCAAAATGAATGTCATATCTCAACAAAAAGCCAGCAGCAGTTAGACCCCTACAATCTGTGAAGCCTTCTGGGGCTGGGGACCTGAATATCCATGACACCCAGACCCTCTTTCCTGGAGGTATCAGAGGTTCTCCTTCTGTCCGTTGTGGACACCAGTCTGTGTGATATGATCCTGCCATTGAGTAAACGTCAAGAGGGCCAGGCTTGACTTGGACAGTCTCTTCCCAAATCCAATCATGTCATAATCAGATTTAATTGAGATTAATAACCTCTCACAACTGGCTCTAGGTATTTCATCAACAGACACCCTGCTAAGAAAACTGTTTTGCCAGCCTCCAATCTGGCCAAACAAGCTCATCCCTCCTCCCTCCCCATACTGGCTCCCAGCCCATCAGACCAGCAAACCATTCAAAGACAGAAAAAAGTACCAAGGGTACTTCAGGAGTCAAAGGATGAGAGAAGCAAATACAGAACTACTACTGAGTCAGAAGCATTGAGATGCTGGCACGAGCCTCTTTGCTCTGCTCCAATAGCCCCTACTGGGTAAAGGCAGGAAAGTTCTAGAAGCATTGTGGCCATCATTGCTCCTAGGATGGGCCCGACCTAGGCTTGTTTGCACCGTAGCTAATGCTTCCCAGTTCTGGCCGCCTTGGCTGCTACACTGAACTAAGAGTCAACATCTTATTCACTTCCTCAAAGATACATGTTAAGCACCCACTATATGCCAGGCCCTGTACAGGGCACTATAATTTAGTGGCGACTAAGACAGAAGAAGGTGCAGCCCATGTGAGTTTAGAGTCTAGACATGGAGAATGGCTAAGCCAATAATCTCACACATAAATATGGAAGGACACGTTTTAATAATGGATATAAGAGTATGGGGGTTGATGACAGAGAATAGATAGGGAACCTAATGTAGATTAGGGGTCAGAGAAGGCCTCCCCAGGGCCAGCTAAAAGATGACTAGGAATTAACTGGACGTGGAGGAAAAGAACCTCCCAGTCAAAGTAACCATCTGTGCTGTGTTGCTGGAGTGGGATTATGACAAGTGGTTTGTGTAGCTGAAACAGAACAAGAACGGGGACAGCAGAGCCAGATGAAGCCACAGAGTCCACAGAGGCTGGGCCATGGTGAAGAGGCTGGGCTTTATCTGAAGCTCAGTGAGAAGGTGCTTATGTAGGACAGCTCTTTCAAAAGCTTGGAGAAGATGTGTGGGCATAAATCTTATAGCACAGCTCCTATGTTTCCCTTTTGGGAAACACTTTCCTAGAATAAAGTACATTAATTCATTCATCCAGCAAGAGTGTACAAAGGTAATAAGACAAACTCACACACCCTGGGTGGATCAGTTTTACGTGGTCAATGGTGTAAAGTTTGTCCTAAAGAACTAATGGGTGCTTCACTCCACCCAGCAATGTGGAGAAAACACAGGCTCCTGCCCTCTAGGGGCTGGAGGGAAAAGGCAGGTCAACCTGTGGTTTCCACAGAGGAAAAGGCCCTTTCACACTTTTGTTCTAATCCGGTTCTTTTAACCGAGGACTTCAAATGGAAACAAAACAAATTGAAAGGAATTGAACTTGCTCTTTGGAATGAGAATTCTGAAAATGTACCCAAGCAGTCCTTTTCCCATGAACACACACATACATTTCAATCTCGGCCTAGGGCATTCTTTGCTGAGGGGTGATACAGATAGTCAGTGCTGTAAGAGTTAAGAAGAGGGCCAGGCGTGGTGGCTCACGCCTGTAATCCCAGCACTTTAGGAAGCCGAGGTGGGCAGATCACTTGAGGTAAGGAGTTCGAGGCCAGCCTGGCCAACATGGTGAAACCCTGTCTCTACTAAAAATACAAAAATTAGCTGGGCATAGTGATGGGCCCCTGTAATCCCAGCTACTCGGGAAGCTGAGGCAGGAGAATCACTTGAACCCAGGAGGCAGAGGTTGCAGTGAGCCGAGATCGCACCACTGCACTCCAACCTGAGCGACAGAGCAAGACTCCATCTCAAAAAAAAAAAAAAAGAAAAAAGGAAAAAAAGAAAAGAGGAGGTGTGGATCAGTTAAGATTTCAGATGGAAAGGCAAGAAATACCCCACCTAGTTTATCTCAGCCCCATTAACTCATACTCTGCACAGAAGCTATTCAAAGAGGCACTTTATAGAGAATCATAGCTGAACACTTCAAAAAACTTCAACACTGAAGATGCTTTTTGATGGGGTTAGAAGGTAATAGCTTTAGTCCCAAGAGTCTGCATTGGCACCAACAGTTGATACTGAGTCTTTAAGGTGACCCAACTCTTGGGAACAGCTTTTCAAAAAAAATTGGAAATGGGACCCTACCTTATCCATTGCAACATGAATGCTCTGCCTATTACCCAAACTGCCAGGTATGAAAGGAGAGAACATGAGATGGCAGTCCCAGTGAAAGCTGCAATTACCCACGGCTCCAGCTCACCTTTGTGCTTCCAGTCTCGGCTGCTTTTCATCACATGTTTTTCAAAAGCCGCTGAAACTCAAGAGCTGGGCTGGGTTCCTGCCTGTTGCCAGACCTCTCTTTCCTAAGCCTCCTGGGGAGGCCAGAGGCCCCAAATTCTGGTCCTATCTCACTCCTCTTACCGATGAAACTGGGTGGGGAGTCCAAAGCCTCACCAAAGTTTCCTTTGGAAAGTCAGATCCCGGAGCCTCTCTCTTCAGAGTGTGGGGTTAGAGCAGGTAAAGAAGTGTGAACAAAGGGGCTATAATGAAGCTTGTGATTCCAGAGTTCTCAGAAGCTTAAAAATATACACGAGCAAACAATGCAACTCATGATACAAACTCAAATTGTTTCCTCATCTGTTCCCACTGCCTTTGCCTGAATTTAGGGACTCACCTCCTGCCTTCTGAACTTTCCTGGCAGTGTCCCTGCCTCTTGCCTCTTCAATCCAGCTCCCAGATTGAGAGCACACCTCTTTTTTTTTTTTTTTTTTTTTTTGAGACGGAGTCTTTCTCTGTCGCCTAGGCTGGAGTGCAGTGGCGCGATATCAGCTCACTGCAGCCTCTGCCTCCCAGGTTCAAGCAATTTTCCTGGTTCAGCCTCCCAAGTAGCTGGGACTACAGGCATGCGACATGCCTGACTAATTTTTGTATTTTTAGTAGAGACAGGGTTTCGCCATCCTGGCCAAGCTGGCCTTGAACTCCTGACCTCAGATGATCAGCCCACCTCAGCCTCCCACAGTGCTGGGATTACAAGTGTGAGCCACTGTGCCCGGCCTGAGAGCACAATTCTATCAGTGGCTTTTCTCTAACTCAGTCCTGACCTGTCACTCCTACATTTAACACTCTTTGGTGACCACCAACTGCCTGTTAGAGAGAGTCCAAGCAAGCTCCCTAAGTAGCATACATGGCTTTTTGTGATCCGTCGCCTGTAACCGCCACTGCTTCATTTCCTCCCCTCTCTTCTCCTTCCCCAAAATGCACATCCTTCCCACCCAGCAGAAATGCACCACCAGGGACAATCCCCAGAATGTGCCCTAGGGTTTGCATGCCTGTGTCTTTGCACACCCTGTTCTCTCTGCCTGGCATGCTTTCTCCAACTGCATCATCCAGTCATAAAACTTCTCTTGAAAAACTCACTTCATGTTCCCTTCTTTCGGAAGCCTTCTCTGATGACTGACCTCTTCCTCTATTGCCCAATAGGGCTTGTAACACCAAATGGCAATTGTTGATTTACAGGTCTGTCTTCCCCACTAGACTGAGTTCCGTAAAACACAGATTAAAATTTCATCGTTCCCCAGGCCTTACCCGATACCTAGAATGAAAGGATATTTACATAGTCCATAGTTAGGTATAACCATTCCCATTTTATAGATGAGAAAACTGGGGCTTAAAGAGAAAGAGTCACAATGCCAGTTGGCAGTACATTTGGAACTAGAAATGAGTTTTCTCAACTCCTAATTCAGAGTGTTTTATACTAGGACTTCCTTCCCACATGGGTCAGGACACCTATCTCTACAGAAAATCACATTGTCAACTTTTCGTCCTACTCAGCCAGAATTATATGACACAAAGGTCTCTGAGGTCAGGGTGTCAACACCAAAACACAGAACACCTCCTTGGCATGCCATGTAACCTCATTGCCTTTTTCTCCCCTTTCCAGGGGGCTCACAGACTCCCTGGCAGCAGCTTTGCTCCAGAGACCTAAACTCGCCCAGGCTTCTGAGGGTCTATGGAAGACATCACTCTAAGCACTATTTTCCAAGGACTAGAAAGGTACCCTAGTTGGGTTGCCTTGGCCCTCTGTCCAAGGGAGAGGTTCTGCACAGGGGGCTGAGAACGTCTGTATCACTCACATTATCTTAACCTCCCAGAGTCATAAGCAGGGAAGGCCATCAGGAGGAAGCCTTTAATTACCTGCAGATGATCCCAATTAAGCAGCACTGCCTCCCCAATTAGCAGTCCCTTTCATTGAAAATCATTAGGCTTAATTTCATTTCCCAGGAAACACCTTAATCAAGCAAGCTCTGTCCCCAACTCCTGAGGCAGCCAGACTCCCACTGACGTCACCCTGACCCCGTCTGGCCTGGATGACGATGCTAAATTGAGCTCTGGGTCAATTTCCCAATTAAACCCATCCCTTTAGTTACACTGTTTTCTAACATGTAGCCAGACCAATGGTCTGTGTTCCTTAAATTACTTACTAAAGGTAGAGCATGTTCAAAGAAGGCCCATCCCTAAAGGGGATAAATCTGTAAGCACACTCCAAAAAGGTACCTCTTATAAAAAGTAAGTCTGAAACACCATAGCATGACAGCCACAAAGCACAGCCTGTGTTCAAAATGCAAAGCAGGAAAGGTGCTGGTGCCTTCACTGTCAAAGCGGGAAGAGGTCCAGATTTCTTCTGCCCCTTTTTTCCTTCACTATGCCCCAAAAAGGTGAAAATTAAGGGAGAGAATCTTAGCATGCAAACCCTGCACCACCTTCTGGGGATTGTCACTGATGGTGTGTTTCTGTTCGGTGGG
Source organism: Homo sapiens (assembly GCF_000001405.40). NCBI lineage: Eukaryota > Metazoa > Chordata > Mammalia > Primates > Hominidae > Homo > Homo sapiens. Next base: position 137,583,783 of record NC_000005.10, read on the forward strand.
AAGAGTTCTTTCCAAGGTGCAGATGCCCATAGGCAGCCATTTACGTTCTCAGCCTTTGAATCCTAAACCTTTCACTCACAAGGTGAGGGAGAGTGACTTCAGGAAGAAGAAAATTCAGAGTTGTGCCACCCGGACCACTGTCAATGGAATTGCAGCCTATTACATGTCAGCACTAAAGCCAACTGCTGACCATCAGATTTAGAATTACTGTAGAGAACCTCCTTCTTGTGTCCAGCTCTCTTATTCCAAATTCAGAGCGCCCATTCAGGGTTCAGGGTAAACCAAGGAGTCCGTTTCCCCTGTCAACAACCAGCCTGAGATCCTTCACACTGCTATGTTCCCAAAGTGGTTTTCCTCCCCATCCCAGCAAGGCTCGCCCTCGGCTGGGCTGGCTCTTTTCTTCCTTTTGCTTGATTCTCAGCAGACTTACACCTCCAGGAAACAGGAAAGGAAGGAAGAAAAGTACAAGATAGAATTGGTTCAGTCACAATTTAGAATCCCTGTAAACTTATCCACTAAAACCCTACAAATACATCTTAATTTTCACACTGAAATAGGCTATGAAGTTCAAATCAAATTCTGTTTCCTTTAACTTTTTTCATATCCATGTTAATCACATTCCTGTGAAACTGAAGAGAGAGAAGTGCCCCTCCCCTTGATACTAAATTTAATATGGAGATGATTAGAAGTGCATTTGTCATTGCTGCCTAGAGAGCTTCATGCATTAGCCCTCCCCAAATGAGATTAACACCTAACCATTCCCTGCTGCTCCCCAAGTCCTCACTGCTATGCCAGGCATCTACAATAATCACCTTCTATTGATTTTTCCCGAACTATTTATTTTTTAAACTTTATAGTCAGCTCACCTTAATTCATTCATATTCAGCTTTTGGTGAAAAACCTCAAACGTTGGGGGACTCTGATCCTGTCCCCTCTGGTTGAGATATATATATCTCATATATATATATATATCTCTTATATATATCTCATATATCTCTCATATATATATATCTCATATATATATCTCATATATATATATCTCATATATATCTCATATATATCTCATATATATAATCTCATATATATATATATATCTCATATATATATATATCTCATATATATGTCTGAAGTCAACTGTTTTCTATTGACTTTTACCATTTCTTCCCTCTCTTTCCCAAAGACAAAACTATTTAGATCTGATCAGGCATCTGGCCTGTTAGATGAGCTGCCCTTTCTCCTTTATAGAAATCCTGATTGAAAATGTGGCTGCTCTGATAGTGGTCTAGAAACATTTCCCAGGAGCAAGCCACAATTTGTCACTGCATTAAGTTTCAAAGCCTGTTGGTTGGGGAAAATAGGATTCTTCAAATTTTCCTTAACAAGTACCAAGTCACTCCTGAGAGTCCAGATAACCAGTGCCCCAAGCCTTGCAACCCACACTGCTTGGGTCTCTGTGCTAGCTTTAGGGAGTAAGCCAGGTAAAAAGCTTAGTGATAATACCAGAGGTGGCCATACTACTACTACCACTACTACTACTAGTAATAGCTAACATTTGAGTCTTTACTGTGTTCCAGAAATGTGAAAATGCTCTCCCTACAATTGTCTCACCTATACAATAGATATTATCCACAATTTACCGAAAAGGAAACTGAAATTTAGAAAAGTCAAGTAATTTCCTCAAGAACACACAGCTAGTGAGTGATTGTGCCCAGGATTAAAACCCAGTTTGTTCTATTGCCAAGTTGTCTAATACCTCAGAGTAGGTAAAGGAAGAATTAATATTGAGCTGAGATTAGCATCTATTATATAATAACCCTCTATTTCTGCTTGGCTTAGATAAGTGCAAATTAATTCAATTTAGATCTGTCCCTGTACTCAGGTTCTGACATCCAGGTGAATTAATTCCCTCTGAGTCTTAGTTTTCTCATCCATGCAATGAAGACATTGGACTGAGTGATACCATGGGAAACTCCCAGCTCTTACAGTGTGGGATTCTAGATAAATGTGATATAGACAGAACTATGGACAGACATTTACAGCTAGAGAAGCCCTGGAGATGATCTAATCTAGGTGCATCAAATGCACAGCATACATGCTGCCTCTTCCCTCTGCTGTGCCCATGGTAGACGTCACTAATGGATCACCATCTTCTTTCTTGACGAATCCAGTCATAACTTCAGAATTCTTTCCAATTCTATGCTAAGTAACTAAATGAGACAACTGCACATAAAATAACCCTAGTTGCCATTCCAATTGTTAACCAACCTGCTCAATTTAAAAATGAGGAAACTGAGACACAGAGAGGGTAAGGGATTCAATAAACATCTACTGAGCGATTGATATGTGCCAGATCTTGTGTTAAATTCTGAGAAAGAGATGAATAATAATAGTCTTACCCTCTAACAACTTTCAGTTTAATGAGCGATGTAGGCTGTTAAATAAGCAGTTACAATACTGTGTAATCAGTATTATTTGACCACCTGGGAAATAATCTAACCTGGACTGATTCAGAGAAAGCTCCCTACAAGGAGTAGCACTTAAGCTGAGACTTGAATGGGAATATAATTTTGTCAAATGAATACAGAGTGAGAAGGTCATTCTAAACAGAGAAAAGAGTCCAACAGCTCAAGAGAGCTCAGACTACTTAAAGAGTTGTAAGTTACTAAGGATGGCTGGAGCCTTAGAGCATAAAATGCAATGAGTTTGTGAATGTTGGGCAGGAAGGAGATCAGCAGGAGCCAGCCCATGAAGGGCCACACATACCATGCTTCAGAGGCCATTCTTCACGCTGAGGGTGGTCAGAAGACATGGCTGGAAATTCCTTGACATTTCTCCCACTGAGAGGTCGTGCCTATATCCCCCTCCTTGAAACTCAGCAGGCTTGTAACTGCTTCAACCAACAGAGTAGTATGGAAATGGTGCTACATGGCTTCTGAGGCTAGGCCATAAAACACCATGCAGCTTATACTTTGTTCCCTAGAGCTCACACCTGTGGAGCCATGAGCCACCATGTAAAAAGACCAACCACCCTAAGACCACCATGCTGCAGGGGCCACATGTATGAGCTCCAGCTGACAGCCCCAGCTGAGGCTAGCCTTCTGACCTTCCCCGCAAAGTGCCATATTTGTGAGTGAAGCCCATTACCAGCTGGATACCACTAACTGACCTCTGTTGATGCCCCATGGAACAGAATAATCACCCAGCTGAGCCTTGCCTGAATTCCTAACCCACAAATTATAAAATATAATAAAATGGTTGTTTTAAGGCACTGGGTTTTAGGGTCTTTTCTTATGTAGCAATAGATAACCAGAAAAGAAAAGGAACATTGAAGGTTTTTAGGAAGGAAGGTGACATGATTAGATTTAGTCTGGAAGGACTACTTAGGTTGCTGTGTGCGGAATGGATTGGGAAGTGGGAAGAATGGAGCAGAACAACTCTTTGGGCTACTGCAGTTGTGCAGATAAGTGATGGCCAGGACAGTGGCAGTAAAGCAAAGAGAAATGTTGACCTGATTAGAGATATATGTAGAGAGTAGAGGCAATAAAATGCAGTGACTGACTGATGGGTATATGAGAGAGGAAAGTCAAGAAAATTCCCAGTTTTCTGGCCCAGGTAATTGGGTGGATGGTGGTACCATGTGCTGAGACGGGCACATGGAGAGGGAGATGAGTTTCTTTTTGATGTGTTAGGTGAGATAGTGCAGGATGGGGTAGGCAACAGCTAGGGAATTCAGGAGGTCCATCTGGGCTGGAGACCCGGGTCTGAGAGCCATCCACTAAGGGATGGTGATCCATGAGAGGATAGAATGACCAGGGATCTCACTGGGAGGAATGAGAAGAGGGAAACAGGGCAGAAAACCATAGGGAGTGGCCAGGCTGAGAATGAGCAGGGAAAGAGCACACTCTGGTCCCTGAAGTTGCTCTTGGGTGATTCACTCCAAATTGCTTACTACCTTCCTTCTTCTGTCTCCTGTACCCTAGAAACTGTGGGGCTTTGAACATGGCAAACACTGAGGCTAAGGAAACTGTGAGACTAGACTGTCTTCCACTGTCACTCATCAGACCTGCATAAGCCACTCCATGCCAATTTCTTTAATTTTTAAATGCACTGTTTTATTCTCCTCTCTCCATTCCCTCCAGCCTGATCGTTTTCTTTTAAAATGTTCGTCATTTCTCTCTCATTTCATTTTCTTTCATCTGCAACCTGCTATTAAGGGTGTTTTCCCCACAGCTATTTTGACACCAAAGCAGCTTAATCTGTTCTCCTAATTAGCTTGTGATACATACACAGAGTCCAACATCTCCTGTACAATAGCATTCTCTCCAGTCGTCTCCGTGGCTCTCCACCTCCCTCTTTCTTCCCTGCTGTTTCATGGGCCCTCCAGCCAGACCTTTCTCTCCATGTTTCCAAAGGCAGAAAAGCAGAGAAACTGCAGGGATGTGTTCTTACCCTCAGAAGTAATATATCTGTTGCAGGTTGCTGATCTGAGGATATACAATGTCACCAAGAACATGAGCTTTAGACTCTAGCAGACTGGAATTAAAACTACTAGTTTAGCTACTTGCCAGCCACATGGCCCTAGGCAAATAATAAACATTTTTGAGCTTCTGTTTTTTCATCTATAAAATGAAGATGATATCAATACATAACTCAAAGGATTAAAAGAGAGAACTGTGTTAAGCTCCCAGCACTGAGTATGGCACAAGGGAAGCACTCAATAGCCAATGGCTATTAATACATTATGCTAAGGAAGCATCTTATTACATTTGAGCTTTGGGGTTTGGTGCAAGGGTTGTTCTTGAGATGAGAGAACCAGATGCTTTCCGAACTGGTACTGGGTAGCTTCCATGACCAGCTGCAATTTCAGGAACCATGTTCACTGCCTGGAAATGTGTTGTGGTGTCTTCAGGCATGCCTTCACCTTCAGATTGCTAAAAGCTGTCAGTGTCCTTCACATAGACCCTTGGTCCACTTTAGGTTCCAAAATTGCCATTTTGTTGTGGTATTTCAGAGATGAGTAGATGAAAATGGGCATCAGCAGCCATCCAGTCCAAAAATCAACCCTTACATGTGGGGAAAATAAATCATTCAGTTCAATGAAACACCCGATCTACCTCATATTCCAGACCAGTTCTTCATCCTAAGTCCCTCCTACTCAGCCTCCAGGATGTCAGTGCATTAAATTGGTCAGCAAATATTTAATGTGCAAGGAAACACGGCAGGCAATGGGAGTAACAATAATCAATCAAGTGGGCAAAAATATCTGATCTTGTGGAACTTACATTCTAGTCTGGAAAGATAGACCATCAGCAAATGAATGAGTGGTATAGAGAAAAATAAAGCAGATTCAGGCAGAGAGGGAGTGAGAGAAAGAGTCTTTCAGTTTATGTAGAGACATCAGAGAAGGCCTTGTTCACAAGGGCTTTGCGCAGAGGCCGGGGGAGCATGAAGGAGTGTTATCTGGGGAAGAGTGTTTCCAGGAAGAGGAAGGCAAAAAAAGAAAGATGCCAGGTGGAGATGCGGTTGCAGACCAGCAAGGAAATTAGAGTGTGCAGTGGTATTATCAAAAGTGAAAGTGTAAAAAAGGTCAGAGACATAGTAGAAGACCAGATCAGGTAGGAACTTGTGAACCATGGCAGCAAGTAGGGCTCTAACTGTGGAAAGATAGGCACTCAGTGTGGGCCATGACTTAAGTTTTTCAAGGACCACTCTGGATGCTCTACTGAAAATGTACTGCACAGGTAGCAGGAAAAAGCAGGGAGGTCAGTTAGAAGCCTCCTACATTATTATTATTCCAGGAGACAGAGGATGGTGACTTGGACCAGGAGACGGCAGGGGAGGTGAGAAAGGGGAAACTCAGACCTCACTTGCTACAGGAAGCCTCATCCTCTCTCCTCCCCTGTGTTTCCACCACCCTAGCACTTTCACCCGTATTTTAAGTGTCTTCTACCTCCACTGATTCTGAGCTCCTTGAAGCAAGAACCATATTTCATGCATTTCTATCACCTCGGAACTTAACCCGCTGCTTAGTGCATGAAACACAGTCCTAATAAAATGAACAAATAATTGTTATCCTCTTAACATGCCAGGTACCATAGGGATGAACATGAGTGGCCTGTGGCCCTAGAGAATGTAGCACTGGAAATTTATGCGATCCAAGAGTGACTCTGAAGTCTATGGTTTGTCATTTTGCTGAGTCACAAATTTGAATTATTTGCTTGAAGACTTGTCCGTAAGGAAAAGAGACCTCCTTGGTGACTGAGCCCCAGTGACTACCCAGAAATACACACCTCAATCCAACTTAGTTTTTCTCTCCTTTATTCTTAGTGGTATTTTGCCAGGGGGTTGTTTAGTGGATTCACATATTTCAAGTTCCACAAAGATCTCCCACCTGAAAACCAAGAATCAATTGCAAGATGCAGTCTCTACCTTCATCAGGCTCATATTTTAGTTGGGAGGCACACACTACAATAAAATATAAGTGGAATAATAAGACGGAAAATATGGAAAGAAGACAAGAAGGATATTTAATATATGGAAATAATTAATGTATTATACCATAACAACAGAATTAAAAAAGAAACACTATATGATTATCTCAATAGATGCAGCAAACGCATTTAGCAACATCCAACAGCCTTTCATGATTAAAATAAAAATGTTCAACAAATTATGAATGGAAGGGAAAATCCTCAAAATGCTAAAGGGCACCTCCAAAAAACCCACAGCTAGCATCCTACTTAAGGGTACAAGAACTGTATGCTTTCTCCCTAAGACCAGAAACAACAAAAGGGTATCCGGTTTTGCCACTTTTATTCAACATTGTATCAGATGTCCTAGACAGAGCAATAAGGAAAGAAAGTGAATTAAAAGACATCCAGATTGTAAAGGAAGAACTAAAACTATATTCGCAGATGATATGATCTTAAATATAGAAAATCCTAAGGAATCCACTAAAAAAATTCTAGAAATGATAAATGAGCTCTGTAAGGTTGCAGAATATAAAATCAATATAAAAAATTAATTGTATTTCTACACATTAGCAATGAACAATCCAAAAGTGAAATTACAAACAAAATTCCATTTAAAATACCATCAAAAAGAATAAAATATTTAGGAATAAATTTAACAAAAGAAGTACAAAACTTATACTCCAAAAACTATAAATCATTGTTGGAAGAAATCAAGATCTAAATAAATGAAAAGACATTCCCAGTTCATAGAACAGGAGACTTTATGTTGTTAAGATGGCAAGACTCTCACAAATTGATCTACAATTTCAGTGCAATTTTTATCAAACTTCCAGATGGCTTCTTTTTAGAAATTGACAACATGATCTTAAAATTCATATATAAGAGACCCAGAATAGTCAAAACCTCTTGAAAAAAAGGAATGAAATTGGAGGACTCACACTTCTTGATTTCAAAACATACTACAAAGCTACAGTAATTGTGATCATGTATTGCTGGCATAAGGATAGACATATATAGATCAATAGAATAGAATTGAGAGTCTAAAAATAAATCCATATGTTTATGATCAATTAGTTTTCAACAAGGATCTGTGACAACTCAATGGGGAAAGAATAATATTTTCAACAAATAGTGTTGGGTCAACCAAATGGCCAATGCAAAAGAATGAATTTGGAGTCTTATATCACATGATATGCAAAAAATAACTCGAAATGGATCAAATATCTAAATGTGAGAGCCAAGACTACAAAATTCTTATAAGAAAACATAGGGGTAAATCTTCATGACATTGGATTAGGCAATGGATTCTTAGATATGACACCAAACATGCAAGAAATAAAAGAAGAAAAGTTAGGCTAAGCACAGTGGCTCATGCCTGTGATCCCAGGACTTTGGAAGGCCAAGGAGGGAGGATCACTTAAACCCAGGAGTTCAAGACCAGCCCAGGCAACATGGTGAGATGCCATCTCTACAAAAAATTTAAAATTTAGCCGGGAATGGTGGTGCATGCCTGTAGTCCCAGCCACTTGGGAGGCTGAGACAGGAAGACTGCTTGAGCCCAGGAGGTCAAGGCTGCAGTGAGCCATGATCGTGCCACTGCACTCCAGCCTGAGCTACAGAGCAAGACCCTGCCTCAAAAAAAAAAAAATAGGCATTGGGCTTCTTCAAACACGTTTTTAATTCAGAGGACACTATCAAGAAAGTGAGAGACAACCCATGGAATAGGAGAAAATATTTGCAAACTGTATCTGATGGGAAACTTATATCCAAAATACATAAAAACACATTTAATAATTTTTAAGAAACCAAGTAACTCAGTCAAAATGGGCAAAAAATTCGGAATAGACATTTCTCCAAAGAAGATGCCAGTTGCACATTTAAAAAGAGGCTCAGCATTGTTAATCATCAGGTAAATGCAAACTGAAATCACCATGGGATATAATTTTATACCCAGTTGAATAGCTATAATCAAAAAGTCAGATAATAACAAGGTTGGTGAGGACGTGAAGAAATAAAAACCCTCATAAGTTTCTGGTGGGAATGTAAGATGGTGCAACCACTATGGAAAACCATCTAGAAGATTTTCAAAAAGTTAAATGTATGGTTACCGATCCAGCAATTCTACTCCTAGGTATACACCCAATAGAAATGAAAACGTGTGTCCATACAAAAACTTTTACATGAATATTTATAGCAGCATGGCCAAATAGTAGGGGGAAAAAAACCTATATGCCCATCAACTGATGAATGGATAAACAAAATGTGGTATATCCTTAAAATGGAATAGTATTCAGTCATTAAAAGGAAGGAAGTACTGATACATCCAAACATGGATGAATCTTAAAGACATTATGCTAAGTGAAAGAAGCTGCTCATAAAACAGCACATATTATATAACTTTATTCATATTAAATGTCCAGAACAGGAAATATATAAAGACGGAAAGTAGACTGGTGGTTGTTTAGGGTTAGGTGAGGTGAGAAATTGGGATATGATAGCTAAAGGGCATGAGGTTTCTTTGTTAGGTGATTAAAAGCTCTAAAATTAATTGCCATGAAGGTTTTACAACTCTGGACATACTAAGAAACCACCTAATTGTATGCTTTAAAAATTGTATGGTATGTGAATTATACCCCAATAAAATCTATTACAAAAACAAGGAGACAAGGGAGTAGAGTGAAAAAAATCCAACATGTTTAACCAGAGTTCCAAAAGTAGGAGAGAAGAGAAAATGAGTCAGAGGCAAAGTTTGGAGAGGATTTTCCAGAACATATAAAAGATACCAATCCATAGATTCAGGAAGCCCAACAAATCCCAAGAAGAATACAATTTTTAAAAAATCGCCTTAAAATGTGATATCGTGAAAGCACAGAACACCAAAGATAAAGGGAAAAAAAACATAAAAGCACTCAGAGAAATATGACAAAGGGGAATGAGTTCAACAGACAGCTGACTTAGCAACAAGGGAAGCCTGAGCATGGTGGAATTACATGTAAAATATTCTGAAATAAAATTCTACCAATCTAGATACGGAACAAATAAAGACAAATGAAAACTGGATAATTCAGTTCTAGTAGAATCAGTTGAGAGGGAGCTTTTTAGAGGAATAGTTACTATAATTTTTGTGTGTAGTGAAAGAAGAGCTTTAGCACTGGAACCGCAGGACCTGGGTTTGCATCCTGCCCATTACTACTGGAGAAAATAAGAGTTGGGCAAGTCACAGAACTTCTTTGTAAATCAGTTTTCTTCATCCGTAACACAGGAATGTCTGTCTACTTACAGAACAGGGCTGGTACAGAGCTTGAATAGAATCACATATCCTAAAAGTCTTTGAAATCTGTAAAGAATGGGGCAACTTGATGTGTACTGATATAAAATTATCTCTAAGACATTTTGTTAATTGAAAAAAAAGTTGCATTATAGTGTATACAGTAGGCTATTACTTGTGTACAAAGAGGGAGAAATATGGTAGTTGTATACTTTTATGTGCATAGCGCATTTTAGGATTCACGAAAAATTTATAACTACAGTTACCTCTGGGTAGGAGAAGTAGATGGCTGCAAACAGGAAAGAGAGAGCTACGTGAAATTTTTCATAATAACATTTAAAAATATAAAACCATAAAAGTGCTAGACAAAGTATATGGCAATACGTATTTTTATAATTTTATGACTTTTATAATCTTAAAGTCAAAGCCTTTTTAAAATGACACAAAACCAAGATATAAAAGAACAAATTTAACAAATTCAAATAGCCAAAATTAAATGTTCCTGCATGACAATAAAAACATCACAACATCTTTTGCACATTTTAAGTTTTATATTATGTAATTGCATGTACCACATACCACAAAATAAACAAAATCATATTTGAATACTTTTGAATCTCTGATGTTACATGAACCTCATAAGATCTCTGTCCCTCTCTACATTACTATTAATTCCAGGACCAGATCCTGTGAGCAGCAAAGGATCTCAACCTTCACTCCTCAACAGAGGGCCTCCCCTAATCGTGGCTATTTGGGAAAATGTGCTCTACCCTATTGAATTATCCCTTACTTCTAGGTGATGTTCCTGATACTTAGATTATTACTCTCCCAGCTCTGTGACATCCTGTAAACTAAATAAGCTAATGACAGCAAAATAGTGGCAGCCAATTTGCATGTCATTTGCATGTCCTTTGATACTCTATTCCTGTGAGAACAAAATGTACCCCAGTTTCTCATCCATAACTCCTATAAATGCCCAGATGTCTCCATCTCAGGCAGGCTGACCAAGACCCCTAGGCAAACCACTCACTAGTCTCCACTGAGGAATACACAGCCCCAACTCTGGCCCCAAAACTTCCAATCAAAGTCAACTCTGGCTTTTTCTTCCTTTTTAATCTTACCAGCTGTCACAAGATCCTCATTCCCTGCTAACAGCTAGCAACTTTCTGACACAAATTTTGTCTGGAGTTGTTAGGCTCCTAGGAATAAAACATTTTCTTTCCTAGAACAACGAGGGACATATTAGTCCACTTTCAGCTCTGTAGCTTCTAAATGAGTATATAAACTTTTTCTACAGGTTTCAATCTTGCCCTAAGGTGATGCCATTAAATGCATTTTAATTAAACAGAACGGTGTATCTGGAGAAGCAAGCATGTATGTGGCACTGTCCATGGTTCTGGTCCTGCTTGCCAACCACTCCTAACCTGAGAGATCAATGACAACTGAGCAACCTCTTCCAAGAATTGTAAATATAAGAGAAAGGCAGTGGCAGGAGAGAAGGAAAGCAGGAAAAGGTGGAGGAGGAGAAAGAGAGAGAGAGAAAAAAAAGGCTATTTCAAAAGCAGAGACCACTGAAAGATCAATTAGCAAAATGAAAAAGAAGGCTTCTGTTTTATTTTTCAAACAACTATAGTTACTGAGAAGCCACAACCAACCACAACTGAAATATGAACTACAAAACTGCTGAAGGAAAGTAAAAAGTTTATCAAGGATACTGAGATTTGTTGGTGTTGATACAAGCAAATGAGTTCCTAGGGCTGGATGAGAACAGCAGGTAGGTCAAGATGATAAGATTGAGTTGTACCAGTGTTTTTATGATTTTTCTTTTATATCTTGCTGCAAATTAGGACTTATGTGTCACAATTGACATAGCTTCTTTCAGGCTCTTGTAAAAGTCCTCTCACACCTCCAACAGCTAAATTATTTTTCTCTTTGAGAGACTGAGGAGCACTCCCTTCCTTGTCCCCTCCTCTGCTCATCCTTTCCTGGGGTCAGCACTGACAGCATACACTGCCCAGAGTCACTCAGTCCTGCAGCTGCTGAACGTTGACAAATTGCCAGTTCTTTTGGCAGATAACAATTCTTCATAGCTTATTTTCAAAACACTTGAACTCTATAATGTATGCTCACTCTGCTACAAAGAATTACAGAAAATTGATACACTCCTCAATCCCAAGAAGCAGAATTATTGTTCTTGGACTGGTTGTTTACGTGCAGTCTGGGCTTCAGGGCACATGAGGAGAAACTGCAAAACTGAGGGCAATGTTCAAGGGGCTTGGAGTGTGAGATGGCTGAGAACTGCTCGGAGCCTGCTAGGAACTTTGCTGCAAAGTAATCACAGGCACTGGCATAGAGGTGTCACTGCTAGAAATCAAGGCCATCTGGAGTGTTCTGCATGGGAGAGAATTCTATTCAGTTCGCTTTAGTGGCCCTTTTTATTCTCAGTAGAATTTCTCAGTATTCCAGAATGTCAGAGCTAAAATAGCACTTAAGTCCATTTTTTCCAAGCATGTTTTCCATTTACAAGCAAACAACAACAAAAACAACCCAAAAACAGACCCTGAAACACAGAGAAGTTGGGTGACTTCCACAGTCACAGAATTAGAAGGAGATAATCGAGGCTGAAATCCAAGTCTCTGCTCCCAATCCAAGGCTTATTCATTACACGATGATCACTCCAGCCCTGCCTCTCACTGTCCATGTGTCCCTGAGTAAGCTAATTGATTACTTCCTCTTTGCCCAGATTCTCTCATCTATTAAAAAGGAACACAATTAGCACCTCTCTTTTTGGGTTCATATGAGGATCAAATGAGGTAATTTATGCAAAGTGCCTAGCGCAGTGTCTGGCTCATAGTATTCAATAAATGTGAATTCTCATTATTATTACTAATGTTGTCACTAATTTCCATCTTACCTGTGAAGAAACTAGGTATTAGAGCTTCAAGAAGACTTGGCAAGAGAACAAGATTCTAAAATAATTGCTTTTGAATTCTAAACCCTGACTTGTTATAGATACTGAGATTAGTTCTCTCAGGAACATGCTTCTTAGGACACACATATATTGAAGCCAGCAAGATTGTACCTCAGACACCCCCAATGCCCCAGGTAGTGAGCTGAAAATGCCCCAACAGTCAGGAAGAAAACTGACCTTGAATTGTTCTTCACTCCCAGGTTCTTGATCCCCAGAACCAATGCTGGGCAATGAAGCCATCAGCAGACTGAAATCCTATATTTTGTAATCTGACCTGGCTGTGGCTTTAATTGCTCAAAATCCAAATTTCTGTTCATCCTCTGACCTTACTGATGAAGCACAACAAATGTTTGAGGATTAATAAACATATTAAGGAGAAAAAAGAAATGAATTTACTAAGGATGCCTGGGAGATAAAAGAATAAATGTCATTAGAGGGAAAATATTAAAAGATGCGATTAACTGTACATGAGAAAGACACAATTACCATTGCTGTTTTCAAAAAAAAAATCTCATCACATGCATCAGATCAAATTGCCCCTTTTTTCCTGTAAATAAACCAGAGATTTGACTCTGTAATGGAATTCAACCCTGAGTCTTGTGAATCAGGATCGGATTGTAATGCTCTCATCCAGTAAGTCTGGGATTATTTCCAGCCAGTTCAGCAGCTGCTCACTCTTGGTTATATAGATCATCACCAGAAGCAACACATAGGAAAGAAGTCCCAGCTCTCACACAAATCAGGAAAAAGGGAAAAGAAAGGGGAAGATAACTTGCAGGTGGGAATCAATTAGACCGGCTCATGGCCTTTACATACTTGCAGACTCACTCAAAGAACCAGATCAAACTCCAACTCATACTCCCATGCACAGCTCAATCCTGAAGACCTCGTTCCTCTAGCAGAAAAATCCATGTTACGGCATGGAAGAGACAACATAGATAAGCAGAAAGGATGGTGCCTTCCACTTTCTGGGCATTTTAGACATTGCAGGCCATTTAGTGTACATGATTTTACCCAAGCTCTGTACCAGCCCTGTGAGGGAAGGGAGCCAATGTTCTCCAGTTAGATGTGGAAGCCGAGTTCCCAAGAAGTCCTGCGATCTGTCCAATTTGAGGATATTTTTCCCCAATAGTACCAAGGCAAGGATTCAAATTTAGGTTTTGTGGTTCCAGGGATAAAGTTGTTCATTATGCACATACAAAAATGATATTGATATAAAAATTAGCCAGGCATGGTGGTGTGTGCCTGTGGTCCCAGCTACCCAGGAGGCTGAGGCAAGAGAATCGCTTGAACCCGGGAAGCAAAGCCTACAATGAGCCAAGATCGCCCCACTGCACTCCAGCCTGGGTGATAGAGCGAGACTCCATCTCAAAAAATAAAATAAAATAAAATAATAATAAAAATAAATTATATTGGAAATCCCTGCAGAAATCTCCCTGTCACCTCAATTCAGTAAGAGAAACCTAGCAGAATGTGGGAGTGGCATGCACAGAGAAAGGGAATGAAATTGCCTGAGCACCTGCTACAAGCCAAGCACTGCATACACCAAATCCTCACACCAGCCTGCAAAGGAGGTGTTCATGTCCCTAGTTTACAGATCAGGAAACTGAGTCACAGCAAAGCAGAATGGCTTGCTTGGGTTTCAGTTTCCTCATGTATGAAATTGCAGGATTGAACTTGATGATCCCTCACATCCCATTTACCTCTAGGAGTCTGTGATTTCAAGAAATGCAAAGAAGCTGCCTCCACCACGCAGTGGAGGAGACCCATGTTCACCTTTACGCCACTCCCACCAGCTCGCTTGCTGTTGTGCGGAGCCAACCCCCGTGTCTGAAGCCCTCCCAGACCAAGGAGAGGTGTCTTCTGAGAAGCAAGAAACCTAATGGAAGTTTCTTTTGTCTCTCTCCAAATAAAATATGCCACAGATCTGAGCACACAGCTCAGACCCACTAGCCCGTGGATTCCCATGGAAATGTGGCTCCCAGCCAAGCGGCCCCATATGCTGAGTGGGAGGCCCCCATACACACAACCAGAACAAACTTCCTGAGAGCCCCACAGGGCCACCAGATTTCTGTGTGCCTCTCCACAGCCCACCTGCCTCAGCCCTCCATTCCTCCCAGCAGGAACCCACAGTACCCACACTGCAGAGAGGATTTATGGAAGTGTCGGCCTGACCAATGTTAATTTCCCTTTCCTGACACTAATAACAGCAGCAGCAGCTACCATCTGTGCACCTTACCACGTGCCAAGCACCGTCCTGAGTGCCTTCTATGGCATGCCTCTTTCAGTCCTCTCCACAACGCCATGCTCTGTGCACTATTATTATCCCTGTTTTACAGATGAGAAAACTGAGGATAAGAGGTTAAATAACTGGCCTAATCTCACGCCGCTAGTAAGTGATGGATTCAGAAGTCGCATCCAGGTTTTTCTGACCTGACAGCTTACGCTCATAACGACTCCCCCCAGGGCCTGGCACTGTGCCTGGTGCTCACCAAGGGCGTGACGAAAAGCCAGTATGTCCACATGGCAGGAGGACATGGAACTCTTCAATGGAAGAGTGGTGGATCACACTGAGCTCCGGGAGGACACTCACACGTGCCTGCGACCATGCTGCAAGAAAAGCAGGGAGGCCTGCACACAACACTGGGAAATGTAGCACGACCCTTGCTGAGGATCAGAAATGAATAGGGATGTGGGGTGGGTAGCAGTCCACTGAGCATCTTCTTTCCTGAGTGTCAATTTACTATACAGTCAAAATTTACAAGGTTCAAAACATACAAGGGAATCATCTCCAGAGAAAGTCCTAGAAGGTAGGCTCAATGTATAGAAAAAAGAGAAACTTCCATTCATTCACTCAGCAAACAATCTTGAGCACCTACTGTACACCAGTCTCTATGCAGGACATTCTCCTGGAGCACACAGTCTGTTGGGGTGAGACCCTGCATAGGGCAACTTCAAAATATATATGTCTTTAATGACTGTGATGGATTCCATGAAGGAAAAGCAAATTGTGAGCGTATTTGATGAAGAAATTTGATGGGGTCATGCCAGACCTAACTGAAGACATTTAAGCAGAAACATGAAAGGTGAGTAGGAGTTCATGGAGCCAAGGGAGAGTGGGAGTGAGAAAGCATCACAGGGCGGAGGAAGAGCATGGGCAAAGCCCTGAAATCTGAGTGCCGGAGGAAGGCTGGGGTGGCAGATGGAAGGTTGTTGCAAGGTGGGTAGGAGGAGATAGGCCTGAGAGACACAGGACCTGAGCACACACAGCTCTGGGGGCTGTGTTTAGGGTGTTTTATTATGTGTCAGGCACCGCGGCAAGTCACTAAGCTGGCGAGAGACAGGAGCAGTTTTCCATTTTGGAAAGACCACACTGGCTGTTGTGCAGGGGATGGATGAGGGCTGTGGGAAGCTGGATGCAGAGAGACGAGTTATGAGGCTAATGCTTTCATCCAGGTGGGAGTGGAGGGTGGCCTGGAGAGGATGGTAGATTGAGGTGGTGGTGAGCTATGCACTAAGTCTGGTGACATTTTTGGTGGGAATTGGGAAGGGGGAGTAGCAAATAGGATAGAGAAGAGCTGGAGCCCAACACCTTCTCATCTAGACCCTGCATAGCTCCAGGGGCAATGACCCAACATTGAGTTCTAGGAATGATGTTCCTGAGATCTCAGCCCCTCCAAACACCACTCCCCTATACTTGGAAAAAGCCAAGGGCAGCTCTGGGTGCCTGCTTCCCCAGCTTTCTCCCCGATGTGGGCTCCTTCCCCACTGACAGCTAAGTGGCTGTCCTCAACCAGAGCTCCCTGGGGCAGGGGGAAGGAGGTGGCACCCCTGAGAGGAAAACAGGTGAAAATAAACCTCCCTCCCTTGGTAGAGGGGAAAAGATATATGTTGTCAAAGTGCTTCACAAAAGGGAGAAACAAGATATCAAGAGACAGGGAAATCCAGCCCAAACCCAGCCCAAATCCCAAACAAATACTTTCTTTCTCTTTTTTTCTTTTTTTTTTTTTCTTGTTGTTCTTTAACTTATACTTTAGAATCAGGGGGTGCATTGCAGGTTTGTTACAAATGCATGATGCTGAGGTTTGGAGTATGAGATTTGGAGTATGAATGAACCCGTCACCCAGACAGTGAGCATAGAACCCAGTGGGTAGTTTTTCCACCCTTGCCCCCCACCCCCTCTCTTGTATTCCCCAGTGTCTATTGTTCCCATCTTTAGGGAGGCATGAAATCAATCCAGGTTTCCATCAGTGGTGGATTGGATAAAGAAAATATATTATATATACACCATGGAATACTATGTGGCCATAAGAAAGAATGAAATCACGTCCTTTGCAGCAACATGGACACAGCTGGAAACCATTATCCTAAGTGAACTAACGCACAAACAAAAAACCAAATACCATATGTTCTCACTTATAAGTGGGAAATAAATGCTTTCTAATTAAATAAAAATCCTGATATTGTCAGAAATATATATCCAGTCATTTCTAAGTGCCATCGTTTATCTCATCTCAAACCGACTTTTCTGGGAGCATCCACAAGCACATTTACCCTTATCAAATGCTTGAATTCAGAAAAGAAGAGGGAGCAATAACTCTACCTATGGGAGGTGTAATGCCCAGTGGAGCCAACAGCTAAGGATGAGCCCTCATGGCAGCCCCCAGCCCTCCATAAGCGCACCTCCGCTCATGCTTCACAGAGCAGCCCCCTGTTATCTCACCCCCACATCCACCCCAGGGCTACTAATGATGATAACAACTATAATTTATTGAGCAGCTATTGAAAGCCAGACCAACATTTCAAATAAGCCTTGTACACCAGATGAAGGATCTAAGACTCAGAAAGGTGAAGCAACTCATGAGTGACTTAGTTAGGACTCGAACCCCAGGTCTGTCTGACTTCTGAGCCACACCCTAGCCACTTGGCTAAGCCTTCTACTGGGCCCCCTGGGCCATCTCTCAGGTACTGTTGGCTACATCAGCTGAAGGGAGTGGAGGGATGAAGGAAGGGCCGACAGTTCCCTCTTCAGCAATGAGAATGAGAATGATGGTCCTTACTTCTATCCCCTCGCAGACAGCAAGCCTTCTGTTGCCTGCTGGGCTGAAAAACAGAGAGAAACAACTGCAGAGCTAAAGGCCAAGGGTTCAGGTCCTGGGCCCCCTGAGGCCATTGGAGTGCAGCTCTCAGAAGGGGAAGACCGTGGGAACCCCAAATCCAGGACTAAGGCTGACGGCTCTCCCTTCCCCTCTCCACCTATCTCTAGGGCTGACTTCATTACCCTCCACTTCAAGCCTTTGGAGGGAAGGGCTACCCTGGCATGGTCTCACTGACCCCTAGGTTCCTCTAAGGCACAGAAAGGCAGTGGAGCACCATGGTTAAGAGCAAGGTCCTGGAGTCAGACCACCAGGATTACAGCCTTAAGAACCTTAAGAAAAGCACTTCCCCTGAGTCTGAGTTTTCCCATCTGCGACGTGGGAATCACTGCATGAGGTTTATGTAGGAGATAATGCATGTAAAACCTGGCACCCGGCAGCCTGTGTCAGCCGGCCTCACACCTTCCACCCTGGAAGATGGTCCATCCATCTGGGAAAACGAAGTTGACAATGTCAGCCCTGCCAAGAGACCTTTCTGGGGGCAGCTGTACCCAAGTCCACATGCAAGATGGGGCTAAGCACCATCCCTCCACCTGACCAGCACAGGAGCCTCAGGCCTTCAGGATCACCCTCTCTATGCAACAGATGTGGAAATAGAGTCTCAGAAAGGTGAAGTGGCTTACCCAAGGCTACACAGTCAGTGAGGACTGCTCCGGGAATCAAGCCCTGATCCAGCACATATGCCATTGTTTCACACCCTCTGTTTGTGTCTTTCTATATGGAGCATGCCAATGAGTACTTTGTCATTCAGTTATGAAGTCCATATCTTGGGCCAGAAACTATACTAGGCTCTGTCCTCAAAGATCTCACAGTCTTCTAGGGATAGATAAGCATGCCATAATGAACAGATGATTGCATTTGAGGGTAGAGGTACCTCACCAAGGGCCTGCACAAGGTCCCTTAGGGACACAAGGGAGGTAGCAATCAGCCCTGCTAGGGAAGGAGGGTCAAAAGCAGAGGCTGCCTGGAAGAGGGGCTGCCTGAGCCACGTAAACAAATGTGTCTGGGAAGGGCATTCCAAACCCAGGAATTTGAGGTCTACAACTGGAGTGACCACCTATGTCTTATGTTCCTGTCTCTATGGGTCTGTGGGGTGCCCTGGTCTACTCTTCTAGGATTCCCCCTAATTAATCCACAGCAGCAGTCCCCAGCTCTTTCCTCAGGCCACCTAATACTCACCTGACCAGGAGGCACAAGTTTCCACAAAGTGCCTACCCTCCAAGAGGCCACAAAGGTCTCGGATTGCTCGGCTCCTGATACTGGCTCTAGAAGCCAATGAGGCTCAAGCAGCCTTGGCCTCAGCCTCATTTGGAACCCTCCCTCACCTTGTATTCCCCTCCAGGGCTGCTTCTGGGCTGGGAGCTGGGGACCATGGTGCCACCTGTCCTGGTGATATCAGATTGAGCCCTACCACTTACCCCTAAGGGGCCTTCTTCTCCAGATGCCAGCTTATCTGGCTACTTCACTATTATCAACAACTACTATGATGATTTTGTAATGCTTCCTAGATTCCAGGCCACAGCAAAATTAAAATGAATATTCTGCCCAGGATCTGCATCTCACAGTAACACATTACCCCAGAAAGATGGTGGAGTCAATCTCCTTCCTAACCTTCCTTGACGGAAATCTTCAGCTCTTCCTAGGCTGTTAATATTTTCCTTTGGAGAAATAAAAGATCCTAAATGCTTCTACTCTGGAAAGCACAGATATTTCAGGATTATTTCAGGGACCAAATGTCTCTGTGGTAACAAGAGACTTTCTTCCCCTTCAAATGTGGGCCTGTGATAATGATTAAAACGATAGACAGGCTAGCTACTTTCCAGCAATCTGCGAAGACTGCAGCAATATACCCCAAAGTGTCTCCAGAGAAAAAAGAGTGAGATTAAATAATTTGAAGATAATTTCTTCTGTGAAAAGAATAATGTTGCCATCAAAATGAAAACTCTTGTAATAAAACCAAATTATGCTGAGACTTTGGGAGCACTCTGTCTCTCTCCTACCATTTCGAGGCAGCGCTTCTACAAAAACAGTGCTGGAATTGTCAGCACAGGGTTTGTACGAGAGGCAGATAGTAAGGCAGATGCCCCCGCTGCCAGTCCCATAGACAGTGTGCTCCAACGGGATGGAACACATGGGCCCAGGTCTAATATTACATGCTAATCAAGCCAGCAAGAAAAAAACAGCAATTTGCTCCAGGGCCTAGGTCTAATATTATGTGCTAATATTAAGTCCCAAGGTCTAACATTAACAGAAAGAGCCTGGTCAACACCTAAGAAGTCAAAACCAACCTCTCTCAGGGGCCTCAAGGGAATCAGATCACCAGGATCATGAGAAACAACAGCACTTATTTCTCTTCCCCAGTAGGGTCCAGTTAGGTGGGGTGAAGCTTTCCCATTTGGTTTGGTGTCTGCACATGGAATAGACCCAGAGGCAAATCTATGTGTGTTGGATCCCAGAGGGCTGAAGGCAGAGAAAGGCAGGAGGTGGAACTTGCAGGGGAAGGAGAGAGACAGCTGACAGGATGCCTCCAGAACCAAATTCTGCCAGGCCAGGGATTTGGGCAAATCATCACCAAGGTTCCTCCAAAGAAAATTACATTTCTGTCCCAGCACAACATGCGAAAAGGCTGGAGATATTTTTTCTTTATATTTAAGGATATATTTGAGATAGTCCGACCTAAAACACAGGGACATATCACAGTGATTTTGGGAGCAACATGAGGTGATGCCTCTTCGTCCAAAGCAGTTGAAACCAAAGTACAGCTATTGGCACCCAAGGGCCAGACCCTCAGGTAAAATGTTTCCATGAATAGTAAGACACTGCAGACACAGAAAACAAACAGGAGTGCTCAGTGTGGGTTCTAAACCAAAAATCAGGAACACAGACTCCCTGGCTTGCAGGATTTGGGTTGTGATGGGCAGCTTCTAACCAGGCAGTGAGTAGCACTTACTACCTGATATTTAATAATTTATCTGAGCCTCAAAAGGGATAGGGGAAGGGGGTGTTGGTCTTTGCAACTAGCCAAACAGAGAGCAGTGAGAAAAGATGCAGAGTATGACCTGAAGCTTCAGTATGACCCGGCACCAAAAGGATGCAGCCCCAAAGAGAAGTCTCTTTCCTCACATGCCAGCTCCGCACTCTCCAGCAGCTGCAGGCTTCCGTGTGTACCTGACTTTCTCCCCACTCTGCATGTGACTCCTAGAGGCAGGTCTTAGTCGTCAAGGGATACCCAGAGCCCGGTGGGTAAACAATGAATAAATCTCTCAGTCTAAGGCCTGAAGCTGGTGAGGTTAGTGACTTTGCAGATCCCAGCTCTCCCATGCCCATTCCTCCCCTGCTCTGCTGAGCTCCCTGCCTCTTTCAAATTCTGCTCTCCAGAAGGGACATTTGCTTACTTCTCAGGCAAATTTATCTGCTCCACGACTCCTGCGTTTTAAGCTGCGTGCCTGGGATGAAATATGTTGTTCCTACCTAAGACATGCCTAGCCTTTGCAGACTAGCAGAGGCGGGCAGCAGGTGGGGGGCGTGGAGGGTGCTGAAGAGAGATTGGGATTGAGATGGAAAAGCATTTGATTTAGTGCAAGTAAAACATAGGGAGAAAGCAGGAAAAAGGCAGAGGAGCCTATAAGCCCCAAAACAAAGAGCATCACATCCCCTGAGGGAGAGACCAAGGAGAGGATTAATCAAGGTTTTGATGCCACACAGACCTGGATTCCAATCCTACCTCCGTTTTTTACTAGCATGCAATTTTGGGCAAGTTACTTGACCATTCTGAGCCATTTCATCATGAGCACTATGGGGATGCTAATGCCAGGTGCTCAGGACTGTTATGAAGAGTAAGTGAGCTGGTGCAGATAAATTATTCAGGGGAGTGCCTGGCACACGGAAGAAATTCGAGAGCTGGTAGCTGTTAAGCTATTTGTACTTCTAAATCAAACAGGGGCCTCTGGTGTGCAAGTAAGGTATTTTCCTGTGCTACAGGGCAGAACTGACTGTGAAAATCTTTGAGATCCTCTTCACAGGAAGGCAAAAAAGCTTCTAGTATGTCCCTAAGATCTGGAAATAAAGGAGGAAGACAGCTCGAGGGGCACAGATGGCTTAATGTTAAGTCTGCTCACATAACACTACACGGGGTATTTCTTTTTTAATTTCCAACTTGAAAAAAATTGCAAATTTTACACTGTTACAGGGATGGGGGTTGGAGGAAAGAGCCATAACTTGTTTCTGTTGCATGTAGTCAATTTCTACACTTTTAACAGTTGCAGCATATTCCTAGTATATAAAACTTCAAACCTCAGCCTCCGACATCTGGAACATCAGTACAATATATCGTATTTGCACTAGACAGAAAAACCCAAGGGCAAGTGCTTAAAACTGAAAGGGCAAATAAGTTTCATCCCTGGTGCCAACTCCAACTGACTGGCAGGGGCAGCCTGGTGCCTTGTCTTGCAGGGGTCAGTAAGCCAGTGCCATCGCTGATTAGTGAGTGATGTGTGCCTTAGGCTCGGAATAGGGTACCAGAGGCTTCTTGATACATTTTTTTATATCAGTAGAGTCTATGCCAGTTCTCCAGACACTTAGGAAAACCAGTAATAATGACCACATTCTGCTTAACAGTTGTGACAGCAAAGAGGGTGGCCTGAGGAGAAACACTGCAGTCAGGAGGAGGATGGCCCAATGCTTAGAGCCAATCAGGAGGAGATGGAAAACAGAGTTTGGACAATTGGAATATGATGAAAGTCATCTTAACAAATAGCCACTTTGATCAAGGCAGTCCTTAGAAGAAAAAACTTTTTTTTTTTTTTGAGACAGAGTCTTACTCTGTTGCCCAGGATGGAGTGCAGTGGTGCAATCTCAGCTCACCACAACATCTGCCTCCCCTGTTCAAGCGAAAAAAATGTTTTTAATCAGCAAATGTGGCAACGGGTTTTGCCTGAGAGAATAAAGAACCATTATCTGACAAATTTCCTAACTCTTTGCCATCCTTGTGAAAAAATTAAGACCAGATGGGGATAAGGAAAAGTGAAGACAGGTCCCTGTCACCCTCCCCAAACCTTCATGAGGACTTTGGTTTAATTTCCAAATATTTGTGTTTTTTTTTCCAGATATACTGTTGCTATTGATTTCCAGTTTAATTCCACTGTGGTCAGAGAAAGCATTCAGCATGACTTCAGCTTTTTTAAATTTATTGAGACTTATTTGATGGCCCCAAATATGGTCTGTCTTGTTGTACACATATATTGTGGTAGATGGTTAAGATGGCCATTAATTCTTTACCTCCCAATGAAAGATGGAGTCTTTTTCTCCATACCTTGAGTCTGGGCTGGCCATGTGGCTTGCTTCAGCCAATGGGACAGTAGCAAATGCAACATAAACAAAGGCTCTAAAAGTGTTTGCACATTGGGACTTGACCCCAAGACTGCCATGTGAAAAAGCCTGAGCGAACCTGCTGGAAGATGAGATGATACCCTCTCCAATAACCGGCCCACCACCAGATATTTGAGTGATCCTACATCATCCAGCCGTTAGCTGACCTGCTGGCTGAATACAGATGCATGAGCAAGCCCAGCAGAGATCAACCGAGCCACATCAGACCAAGAGAACTGCCCAGTCAATCCTCAGAATAGTGAGAAATAATCAATAGTGATTGCTTCAAGCCAGTAAGTTTTGGAGCACTTTGTTATACCACAAAAACTAACAGATATGTGAGTATATATGCATGTTATACAATACACATACACACAGACCTCAATTCCCCTTTCTCTCCTTTTTTCTACTTTGCATAGTATATACTGTGGTTGTATACTGTGGTTATGCATAGTATACACTGTGGTTGTTAATTTCACATTTAGGCTTCAGGTTATATGATATTAAGGAAGAATTGTCTCTAAACTAGAGGAGGGATAATGCCACCTAGAGATGCAGTGACTGATGACATTTGAAGCTTTCCCATCGTGGAAGAAGGGTAAGCACGTTTTAATTTTCACAGAGGATAGCTGTAACAGGTTAGAAAGGAGCCAGTTCTTGCCATGGTTGTTTAGGCGCATGGGAAGAAGGGTGTGTACGGAAGTTGAGCAGCCACATGGGAGGAATGTGGCAAACAACGAGGACGGATAGTTCCACAAGCATTCTACCCCGCTTCTATTACCAAGAAGCTAGAAAGCTAAAAACCACATTTCCAGACACATTTGCAGCGAGGGTTTCTGACTGCACTTTAGCTTCTGCTACTCAGATGCATTGAAGCGAAACAGAGTGGGCACTGAGGATTTGTGGAGTGCCCGTGTTCCTGGTGTAGACTGTGGCAAAGGTGGGGACAGGAGCTGTTTCCAGTTCTGCAGGTCCCTGCCTGGGGCAGAGGCAGCACACCGCTGGCACCCTAACTTGGCAGTATAGCTTTGAGAGCCATGGCAGCCTAGAGTGTGTTTCTTTGCCTCCCCAACAAATTCATAAGCCATTAAATATTCTGCTATATGTCCCTCTTTCTGCAACTGAACCCTGACTAGGCAAGAACCAAGTCTACATTTACCAGATTAGACTAAAATTGAAAAGTTTCTCTTCCCACAAGCCAATAAGTGGGAAACTTGTGAGACAAATTAGAACTTTATTAGAGACTGCATTTTTCTCTGCTCATATGACTATATTTTCATGTATGCCTGCCAAATACATATTATCTCATTTAATCCTTCCAACAACCCAACAAGTTAAGAACTATTGTTACCTCCATTTGAAAGATGAGGTAGCAAACTCAGAGAGACTGTGTCCAGGGTTACGCTCAGAGCCAGGCTCATAACTAGACAGTGCACCCCCAGAGCCCTCTTCACCACTTTGCTCTTTCGCCCCCGATTTTCCCCTCCCTGCTCTCTTGACCACCACTCAAGTCCTCAGAGCCCTTTGCTTCCCCCACTGTGGAAATGTGCTTGGGCATTCACACTGAGATGGGAATAACCACTGTGACTGTAACTTGGGCAGCAGGGGTGTTTTCATTTCACTAGCATCAACATCCTCCGTGGCAGTGAAATTGTATCTCCATCAGCCCTGACTTCAATGATTGAAATCCATAACTCTCCCCAGATCATCAACAGAATGTGTTTAGGTATGGGAACATCTGACAGGAAACTGAAATATTGATGAAGATAAGTTTATAATATTTTTGACAAATAAGATGCCTTCTGATACTAGATTTTAGTAGAAACAAGTTGTCAAAGGATAACCAAAAATTTGCATCAAAAAAAGATTAAAAATGAGGAAATGCTGTTTCTTCCGTTAATTTTTTCCTGTGGCTTGGGAGAATACTAGCGCCGAATGTTCACAGTGGAACAGCATCTGTAGTAGATGCCAATTAATCTTTCAGGGGAAACAAATCTGTGAATGAGAGAACATGAAATAGCTCAGAATCATAAGGAACGTGGCCTTCAACCTGAGATAGACACGAGTTCACATTCCTGTCCAAATCGTAGCTAGTTGCCGAGCCCCTGTGCAAGCTGTTTAACCTCTTGGAGCTTTGGTTCACTCATTTAAAGCGGGGGATAATAATGCCTGCCTCTTAGGATTGTCATGGGGATCACATGCTAAAGCGACAATCTGACTGTGGATTGTGGTGGTGTGTAACCCACATCCCCAAAGGCACTCACTCCTCTGGCCTGCTTAGAGTGTCATCTGCTAATACTCACAGCTGAGCTCCTCTCCAGAAACTGCCCTCTGCCAAAGGGAGCTGCCTCACCCAGTTATATGACCTGTGGGGTTTCAGGGTGGGGGGATGCACATTCAGTGACTGTTTTTTACTTGAGTCATCATTTCCATGCCATAAAAAAGCACCCTTTAAAATTACAATTCAGTGAGTTTGGGTATATTCACAAAGTTGTGCAACAACTGTCATCACTATCTCCAGAACATTTTCATCACCCCAAAAAGATATCCCAGATACCCCAAGCCCATTAGCAGCCATCCCCTATCCCCTCGCCCTCAGCCCCTGGCAACCTCTAATCTACTTGCTATCTCTATGGATTTACCTATTCTGGATTTTCATATAAATGGATGCATGAACCATGTGGCCTTCTGTGTATGACTTCTTTTACTGAGCATGTTTTCAAGGTTCCCCCATATGGCAGCATGTATCACAACTTCATTCCTTTTCACGCTAAATAATATTCCACTCTGTAAATACATGACATTTCATTCATCCATTCATCAGCTGATGAATATGTAGGGGTGTTTTTTCACTTTGGGGCTATGATGGATAATGCTGCTATGAAAAGTCATATACAAGTTTCTGTGTGGTCATGTTTTCAATTTTCTTGGGTATATACTTAGCAGTGGAATTGCTGGGTTGTATGGTAACTCTACATTTAACTTTTTGCAGAACTGCCAGTCCATGTTCCAAAGAAGGTACACCATATTATTTTCCCACTAGCAATGTATGAGGATTACAATTTCTCCATATCCTTGCCAATATTTGTTATTGTCTTTTTTATTACAGCCATCCTAGGGGGTATGAAGTGCTATCTCACTGTAGTTTTTATTTGCATTTCCCTGATGTCTAATGATGTTGAGCATCTTTTCATGTGCTTATTGGCCACTTGTATATCTTCCTTGGAAATTAAATCCTTTGCCTATTTTAATTGGGTTATTTATCTTTTAACTGTTGCATTGTAAGAATTATTTATATTTATGGATACTACACCCTTATCAGATATATGATTTGCAAATATTTTCTCCCATTCTGTGGGTTTTCTTTCTACTTTATTGATGGTATCATTTGAAGCACTGAATTTTTTAATTTTGATGAAGTCTAATTTACCTATTTTTTCTTTAGCTGCCTGGACTTTTGGTGTCAATCACTAATTTTGCAAAGATACAAAGGGTTGTCTCCCTTGTGTCAACTCAGAACAACACTGAAAGGCCATCCAATTCCAGAGCTCCCCATGGAATTTTCTGAGGCCTCCGCTGCAGCTTCTTCACCCTCTGCCCTCTCCTGCTTCCCTCATCCCTTCATGGGTGTTATTGCCAAAAGCACTAACCAGTAATATTCTGCATGAAAATCTCAGCATCTCAGTCTGTTTCTTGGGGTACCCAACCTTAGACACTTTTGATGTTCCCTCACGGACCTCAAGACAGAGGGTCACCTCCTCACCATGGTTTCAAGTCCTTTTGTGACATGGCCCCTGCCCACTCTCTGGCCGCATCTCTCTCCACACGTTCTCCTCATTCACTATGATTCAGCCACACTGAACTGTTTGTGCTTTCCCATAAAGGCCATCTCTCTAGCCACCAGGCCTCTGCACTTGGAATTCCTTCCTCCTTCCTCCCTAACACCTACATCTATCCCCTCACCTGGTTGACACCCAACGTCCATCCAAAATTATGACTCAGTTTGTCATCATTTCCACCAGGACACTTGCCCTGACTCTCTCAGTGCTTCCACAGGCCCCTTCACTCCCCAACCCTTATGCTTACCATACCATATTATAATTCCTTGTTTATGACTTTGTCTCCACAATTTGACATGAACCCCAGGAGGACAGGGATCCTCTCATTTACATCCTATCTCTAGAGCTGGCACAGAGCCTGACACTCATGAAGCACTCAAAAATATGCAGTGAATGCATGACACATGCAAAGTACAGAAGCAGCTCAGAGAAGGTGGCAACTAGCTAGGGGCTGCTTCGTGAAGGGGGTAGCCCCTGCCCAGGGCTTCACAGTGGACAGGAGTCCCCCAGGCTGGCAGTGGGAGGGCTCCATGACACCACCCCAGAGTTCTGGAGCTCCCTTTGGCACCCCCGTGATGTATAGCCGGCATTACAGCAAAGCCTAATTCTCTCATTCACCCCACCCATCTCCACCTGGGCCTCCCGGAGTCCACCTGGGGCTGGCCTGCCTGCATTCACAGGCTCCTGGTGCCTAGCAGTTTCCCAGATCCAGATAGAAAATTTCTGCTAGAAGCTGCTAGAAATCAAACTACCCTTTCTAGGACATGCATAAAGCCTCATCTGGCTGCCTAGAGATGGTTTTTTGGGCGTCCTTATCTGGACTCTGCAGCAGTTGCCGGCATCAGGACAGACAGTTCCTTAGTTAATCATTCAAATAGGAGGTCTGAGTTACATTAAAATGATGGGATCTGTAGCTGGAAAATACATTTGGAATGCCCTATGAAGCCTCAGCCTTCCCCTGCACACTCTCACCTCAGATCCAGGCTGCTGCTTGCAGGTGGAGGTGAGGCCCAGAACGAGGGAAAGGCCCGCAGGGGGCTGTTAGCTCCCCTAGAGTGCGGGCTTCCTCACCCTTGGAGTGCGCTGCCTGTGCGGACCTGTTTGTCCTGGGAGGGCCTTTTATCACCAGTGTCACACTACTAGTAATTCACAGGCAGAGATTCAAATCCACGCTGTCCGATGCAGAGCCCGTGCCCTTAACCATTATGCTCTATTGTCAAATGATGTTTTGAGACTAGATCTTCCTGTTCTCACTCTACCCTTTCCATGCTGCTTCACATCCTCCTTATGAGATGGAGGGCAAGGCCCAACCCCCTCCAGCCCAGATATTCCTCCCTCCCTACTCCATGCCAAGGCTAGAGTCAGGCCCACACCTGGGGGGCACAGACCTGGGACAGCCCCTTGGCAGCAAGACTGTTCACATCAGTTCTGTGACCTCCTTCAGCTCAGCTCAGCTGAGGACACCACTGGATGGGCTGTCATTAAATCTGAGGACATGCTGGCGGGCAAGAGGACAAGGTTGTTGGAAAAATTGCCTCCAAGAGGCCAACACCAAATCTCACCCACCTCCACCTCCCAGTTTGTGGCTCAGAAAGATTTATGGTGCTGCACAGATGGGTCATTCTTGAGATAAAGTTCATAGATCTTGCAGCTGACAGGTCTTTTCAATCAGTGCTTCAGGAAAACTTCCACAGCTGATAAATGAGCCGTCACTAAAGCCTCAGCAATGGGCTCCTAAATGTCTCCATGGCTTAGGATTTCTCATTTATCCTGTAATAGGGACATCCACTGTTGATGCCAAATAGAGCAAGGAAGAAGGCTGGAGTGCAGTTGTGAGAGGAAGCCTTCCCTGCCCAGCCCTATTCTGGGACCCCACTCTGCATCCCCTCAGTAGATGCCAAGTGCACAGGGAGCATCCTTAGCACTCACTGACAAGAAGCCCTGCATACAGTCAGTACCCAGCCAAAATAACCTGCAGGGCAGATGCTAGAGGATGGACCAAAAAGACCTGGACTTTTGGATCCAAGAAAGCAAAGTCCAAGCTGAGTGGTGGAGAGGAGGCCACATGGCATTTGGAGACATAAGGCTACAGGGACTCTCCACTATGGCCTCATTGGTAGTTGACCAGCTAATGTCCTTCTTTCTCCCAAGGCAAACTCTGAGTTTGTTTGGAGCAGCAGCATGCCCAAGTAAAAGTATTCATCTGCCCCAACTCACTTGCAGCTGGGGCACTATGAGAATGTAAAGGGTGCTGTATTAGGGATTTCTGAAAAGGTTTTGCTTTCCTGTCACAGGCACTCTCTTCCACCTTCCCCTCCCCTTCTTTTTCATCCTGTTGTGCAAATGTCAGAATACCTATGGAGCACCTATCTCACAACATGCTAAGGATGGAAGAACAAGAAGACAGCAGGACTTGGGCACTGGGGAGCTGCTGTGCCAGCCCTGGAAAGCCAGCCTCTGGACCTGTGGTTATGTGAGCGAAGTAGCCCACTCTTTGGTTAAGCCACTGCAGTCATTTTGCTGTCACCTGGAACCAAATACAATCCTGGGTGATAGAATCCAAGCCTGGAGAATTTCATTGACCTCCTTAACCTCTCTTGAGCTTCAGCTTCCTTATCTATATAAAGGGAATAAGATGATAATATTCGTTCCCCCCAGTAAACTACCCACTATGCACAGTCACCATGCAGAGTGTTTAGCCTGTGCCACCCATGAATTGAGAAAGTGACAACAGGCAGAGACAGTGCACACAATAATACCTGCCAAGGCTACCCCACAGGACTTCTGAATCAGATGAGACCACATGGGAGATTCCTTAGTCATGTCCACACTTACACACATGCCTACCAAAGCCCACGTTCTCTGGTGTGCACAGAGTTGAAACCAAGAAGAGGCCCTACTCTAAAAGCAGGAAGTAAGCTCCTGCAACTCATGCCTTCCACCCCCTCAGAGGAAGAAGGAAAGAAAAAGGGATTTCATCACACTGTGCCAAATAGAGAGCAGCCAAGTGGCCACAGGTGAAACCAGGCCCTGCCAGATGGCTCCACTTGGGGCAACCTTCCGAAATAAGATTCTGCTTATCAAAGATCTAATGTTTTTTGAAAAAGAAAAGAGGTCCTAGGTGTATCTCCTGGCCCAGACAAGACCCTGGGACAGAGAGCTCGTCCTTTGTTGGTGCACCTTCCGTCCACACACACTCCAGCCCCTCGAGCATGCACGCAATCAGCACATCTCCAGCACCAGCACCCACCACCAGAGACTCAGAGTGCCTCATGCTGGAGGCCACTTCTGCCAGGCTGTGCCTGACTCCTGGGGCCTGAAGTGGCTGCCTTCTATGTTTTAGGGCCTTTTCATGTTCATCTCCACAAGCTCACAGACGTGGTGCATCATCCATATTTTATAGATCAGGGCCCTGGCTCTGAGAGGGGAGGAGACTCCTCAAACCCACCTGATCACCCTGCCTGAGCTCAGGCTTGAAGTCTCCTGACTCTAAAACTTCCCATCTGAACCGCCATGCTGACCCGTCCTCTGCCAGAAATGACTCTTGCTCTCTCTGTCTTACGCTCTCGCCCTCTCATTCTCTCTCTCTGGGTCTCTGCCTCTGTTTCTATATGGATGATATCTCTTCTTCCCTGGCCATGTGTGTGTCTTTTTTATGCTTCTGCCTCCCTGTGTTTCTGTGTGTGTCCATCTCTCACATTACGTCTCTTGCTCTGTGTGAGTCTCCCCCCGTTTCCACCGGTCTCTGTGTGTCTCTGTCTTTCCTGTTGCTCCCAGTGACTCTCGCTTGGGGGCATGTGTTTCCCCTCCTCACCCACCCCTGCGCCCGCAGCAGACCAGACTGTACCTGTGTCTTTACCTGATCATGTTCTTTAGAAACTCAAACTTCCATGTCCACAGGGACCACCTGTTCTGTTAGCAGTTGCATCTCAAGTTCCCAGCAACACACAACATAGATGATGGATATATTCTTGTTGAAGGAGTAACTGTTGAACACACTGAAAAGGGAGAATGAAAGACTCCCAACACTGGGAAGGACACTGGGGTCTTTCCCAGAGGCAGCTGGGAACTAGGAATGGGAAGGAAAGAAAAACCGAGGAAAGGAAACAGGTCTAAAGCCAAACTTTCCAGCCTTTAGCTTACAATTAGGAGATTCATCAAAACATTTTCATCATGTTCACTGGCAGGGTCCAGGGGTCTAATAGATTAACAACACGTGCAGCATAGCAGTCAAAAACTACTACCACGGAAGATATGGGTTCAAATCCTTATTCCCCTCATCTCTCAGCCTCTCTGAGCCCCATCTCCTCGCCAGTCACATAGGAGCAAGAACAGGGCCTGGTGAGTGCAGTAAATGCTCATAAGGACACACATTCCTTTATTTGACAGACAAGGAACCAGAGAGGGAAAAGGATGTGCTGCAGGTCACACAGCCAAGAACAAGGCCTCCTTCCACCCTAGGCCAATAGATGCCCTGACACCTGCTAAGGAGAGTTGCAGCCTCCAGCAACCCTGGGAGCCTGGAGCAACCTTTGAAGCTGGAGTGGCCACAGGGTGGGAATCTCAGAGAGACCAGCCCTGCCATGATGGGGGCCACCCCTCCTCTCTGTTCCACCCCGAGGGTCATGGCCCTCAGGCCTGCAGTCGCTGCCTTTCCTCAGCCCCAGAGCCCCCCGCCCCCCCTCCCCAGAGGCAGGTAGGCAGGCATAGGCCCTGGAGCCTCCACTGGACTGATGGGAAACCTGGCTCGGCCTCAGGCACTAGTGGGCAGCTTTGGAGCTGCAAGTAGTCTAGAGAGAAAGCCACATCAAAACTACCTAAGGACAAGAGCCAGGTGCCTCTCTACAGCTCCAAGCCCCAGTCTCCCAACGTGCAAATACATGGGCTGCACCTGACAATGTCTAAAATCCCAGTCAGGGGCCCCTTCCCATGGGCACTGACCCTGGAGCAGTAGGAGAAGCTGTCTGAGCAGAAAGGGATAGACAATGGGGAATGCAGACTCCTATGTGAAAATGCAAACAGAACAGAATATATTTTTATTAAAGTAAAATAGCTTATTAGGGTCAAAAGACACTATTTGTAAACTATAGAAACATAAGTTGGTAGTAAAACCACCAAATATTAAATTACTCTGAAACTTCTCCTGTAAGGAGAAACCAGGCCAACAGCATAGTGGGGGAAATATGTGCGCCCTGAGACAAAGTCCTCACTAGCCATCAAGCCCTCACTAGCCATCAGCCCCTCACCGGGCCTCTCCAAGGCCGGGCGAGGCCCAGAGCATATTGGCCCCAGGGGGGTCTCCAGCCTAGCTCTGGGATCTGCTTCCCTGCCCACCCTTGAGGGCCAGACGTTGGTGACCTCCTAGCTGCAGAATGCAGTCACAGGGTATGGTCTCTGGGATTTGAAGATGACACAACTCAGCAAGCAGCTTCAGCAGGAGGAGGGGGCCTGCACCTCTTCTCAAGGGTCTGTTAATTAACTCCAGTAATCCTGTGAATTAGGCAGAGCGCCATGTGGTCATTTGCCTCCATGAGGTGTTATGGAGATTAACTGGAATTAAAGCATTCAGCACAGGGCCTGGCACACATCAAATGCAAAATAAATGCTGGCTGCTATGATTATTGAAACAACCGCAGCCTGAACCCTCTTCTCAGGCTGATGCTCAAATTCAATTATGGGTGAAAAGAGTTAGTAGGTTTCATCCAGGTGTGCTCCGCCTGCTCACAACACACCCTCAGATAAATGAATTCACCTTTGTGGGCCTCCTCTGTCCAGGGGCACAAATTCCTGCCCACCTGCTCGGGGTTTGTGGGGCTCAAAGAGGCCTGACCTCATTCTTCTGAACAGTCTAACTGCTCAACAGGAGCAGAGGATGAGTGGTGAGAGATGGGAGAACAGAGGCTCCAGCGGAGGCCAGCCCAGGAGAGGGGAGAGGAGTTGGAGGAAGGAAAGATACTGCCACCCGAGCCCTACTCACATGCCTTTCTTTGCTCTCCCATCAATTGTTCCTGAGTGCCAGGCACCAGGAGTGCACAGTAAGTCAAGCAGGCTGTGCCCTCTTGGAGCTCAAAATTTACTTTCCCAAATATGGGGAGGAATCTGGCTAAGGGTTCCCACTGGTCCCTTGAGTTTCTCCAGCTTGAAGATAAGTCCAACACCTCTGTGCTGTCCATCTGTCACCTGGTACAGGCCAGAGCTACTGACATCCCAAAAGGGCCTGGGACTGGTTTGTTAACTAGAGAGGGAGCTAAGGTCTCTGAGCAGGAGGCTTTGAGAAGTTACAGCTGAGCCAGGCATCCACCCCCTCCCACTTCATACAAGGCTTCCCTCCCAAATGGTGATGCCCAGCTGAGCTAGCCATCTTCCCCACCAACCCTGACTCTCAGTGGTTCCCAGTGATTATCTGGCAGTTGTGCACACCACTTAATACCCCCTGGAGGGACTGTCCTCTCTTGGCCTCATTGAAGGTCTTTGTGGGTCTGGCACTCTGCTAGGGTGAGTGATGGAAACCAAGGAACCCAGATATTGTCCAGTAGATCTTAAAATTTTTTTTAATCCAAAGACATACAGGAATAAGTCTGTCCTTTTCATGTTTGAGACATAGCAGAGAGACTGGACTATAGAAATGAAATACTGAGAAAAGTTCACACAGTTCAGCTTTTATTAAAATTAAAGGATGGGAAATTAGAACATGATTCCTGTTAAAATAATACATTTGAGGAAATGTTTCTTCAGCTATTGCTGTAACTGATCAAGCATGTGACAAGTGTTCTTTTACAAGATATACAGTCCCTAACAGCCACGCAGAGAACACCAGATCGAGGATCTTACCTATGCAATATGTTGTACGGGGTGTCAGTGATCAAGTCTGACTGGCTATGACAACCACAGGGACAGAGCACCCACACAGACATACACATTCAGTGTCTTCAGTTTTCTTTCAACGAAAGCATTTTACACATAATATGCAAATTAAACAAGAAGTACAACAAGGGTCCTCTATTGCCACTGAAAATGAGGGGAGGGGAGGATGGGGGAGCGAATAATTTACAATCTCATAACCAAACATGGCACTAGGGTGATTTGATGCTGCAAATGCCACAGTCCTGTGCATTCCTGCCATGGCTGATGCTATATCCATGAGTCACTGAGTCCCATGACGAAGGCTGCACAGGGGCTATGAGGCTGTAATTATCCACTACAGAAGAAATCTCTTCCATTCCCAAATGCTGGAAGTGCTGCTGGCTCTCCTGCTTGGTCAGTAGAAACACAGCACAGCTGAACATGAGGGGCTTAGGACTCTAAATAGTGCAAACGCTTAAAAAAATTACATTCTAACCTCCTTGCTTCTCCAGGCAAACAGAGCCTTTAAAAACTCCAACTAACTGGAATATGAGTTTGCTCAGCCTCCCAACTTGATCCAGCTAGGTGCAAATGGGGAGCATGGAGGCAATTTAAATGGCACCTGTCCCAACAATAATAATAATAATAATAAATTTTAAAAACCATGATGCAAATGGCAGATAAATACACAAAACAGAGCCTGGAGTAGAGACATAGCTCAAGAAGCAAGTTGTAAGTGTAGTGTGAGCACCTGCAAAGCATATGCTTAACACACAGGGATCATGAGGATTGACCCCTCTTTTAAAGGTTAGAGACAAGATGCTCCCAAAAAGGGCATCATCCAGCAGCAAAGGCCTCAAGCTATTGGAAGCTTCAGATCAACAAGGAGATAGAAGAGAATAAGGAATGGTCGGCTGGACCTAGGACACTATGGGAGTATGTGCTGGGGGGGCAGGCCTTTCCCTGAGGCTTCTCCATGCCACAGGGTACCAGGCTCAGTGCCCGTCAGTGGGAGCCACCACGAGACAGCCCGGCCTCACCCCCACAGAAAGCAGACTCCAAAAAAAAAAAAAAAGACACAATCAATACAGACGGGCAAGTGCTGAGTCGAACATAACATCAGTCCCTAGCAATTCAAGAAACACCAGTGACTGCGTTTTAAAATTCAGCAGACTCCCTTGAATATGGTATTTTTAAAAAAAAAAAAAAGGCTCATCTACCTGGAGCTACTGAAAAATATGTTTCTGAAGGGTGAGAAACAAAAGGAAGAGAGCTACAGGCATGAACTACGTTTGAGAGTGAATGATGCAAAGAACACAACATTTCATTATCATGGACAATAAAAAGCGATTCAAACTCTTGAAAAAAATATCTTATAAAAATATCTACGTTAAAATTTTAGCCTAAAAGCTATAGCTTCAATTTTATAAAAAGGCAATCTTTGAAAGGATCTGGCTCAGAAATATACAAACATTACACAACAGATATCAAAGTAAGACAGCTCAAAAAGCATCTTAGGGGATATTGCAACTGGCTTGTCGGGAACTAGAATTAAGTATTCTTATTGCATAGCAGAAAATGAGGTCAGTTTTATTTGCATAATACTGCAACTTTGTAGATGGAGAGATGCCATTGGGTACTTATGAGAAATAACTTTGGAATTCAGAATCTGACTTCTACATTGTTCAAATCAGTATCCAAGTGGCGTCTCGGCTGCTTCTAACCTTGGGCCTCAATTCCATTTCACCACCGCAATCAGATGACAGATATGCCACTGGCAAAGCTGCATTCACAAGCAGCCGTGGCCACCCTAAGTGGGGCAGTAAGAGGCTTCATCTACCACGTGACCAGCACAAACTAGAAAATAGCCTGCTGTGTCCACTGTGGAAAGAGAATCGTACCTGGTGATGAAGAGATAGCAGGTTTTGGTGGCATCTGTGGGCAGCTAGAGCAGATTGGCTTTGGTGATGACGTACCAGTGTTCTGGTCCCCGTGAAAAAGGATACATGAGGATGGAGTGCACATGGCCTTGGCAGCACGCCCAGTAGAGGCAGTGCTTTGTAGGGAGGGAGACATGAGGTGAAACCAATTGCAAAAATCCAAAAACAGAAAACATGACTGGCTAGCTTTCAGTGGAGGGACCCTTCCCCGGAAGACGACACATAAAAGTAGCCTCTCCCGCATGAAAGTCTAGCTTCTCAGTGGTGGGGGAGGGGCAGGGAATTCACCTATCATCTGAAATTGAGAGCTTCTGTGAATGGCATACATCAGATCCCAACCCCAGCCTCATCCCCATCACACAGACACACCGAAACAAGTCTCAAAATTTCCTCAGAGAAGGAGAAAGGACATTTCT
The DNA here is from genome assembly GCF_000001405.40 of Homo sapiens. Taxonomy (NCBI): domain Eukaryota; kingdom Metazoa; phylum Chordata; class Mammalia; order Primates; family Hominidae; genus Homo; species Homo sapiens. The sequence continues at coordinate 137,620,056 of NC_000005.10, forward strand.
CATTCCATCAGCTTCCAACCCACAGCCAGGTAGAGTTATGAAGCCACAGTCATCCCCACTTCATAGTGAGACCAGAGCACTCAACTAAAACATGCCTTGCTTCCTTTGGAGACATTTCTTCCAGGTCCCCCAAAGCTGGATATTTTAGCCTCTTCTGAAGGCTTCTAAAAATTCTGGGTACCTTGTTGTTCTCCAAGCATCTTGTTGAAGTAACATGTGCTTAACATCAGAAAGAGAAGTTTTGTCTTTAGGAGAGTTGCACATTTAGGGCACAATAAATATACAGTAAATACACAAAGTGGCTCACTGGCTGGGAAGACTTCGGGGTTTCTAACTGCAGGGGCTGGGGGATGCCAATCTCCTGCAGCACCTGCTTGGAAGTAGCCCAGTCGTATCAGAAGTCCAACATCAGGATTTATAAAGTTCCTTGGCTTCCTGTAGGTGGATTCTCAAAGTAGGGAGGGTGTCCCAGACTGCAAGGTATGAGACTATTCTCCAGACACAAGACTTCCCCTGCTTATGCCAGAAATTTCAGCATGAGCAATTTGCTAGTTTAGGAACAGCACAACTTTAAGGTTTTTTAAATACAAATTACTCCATGCCCCCTCAAATGCCCGCTCCTCAAGATGCTTGAAGTTCTATTGTTAATAATTTTTACCTGTGAATTAGCAAAGCTCTCACCAAGCTCCCTTTTTAAAATGCAAGCACATCTTAGGAAGCCTCAAATCCAAGGCCCACTGATATCTCCTACCTCACAGGGAAAGCAGTAGTGGGGTTCTTGGGGGTTGGGGAGAGGGTGCACACCCTGGAATAGGGGGAAAGCACAAGAAAAAGAAGACAAGGACATTAGACAGACTTGACCACTGTCACAAAGTGCCAAGGGCCAGCTCTAGTGGTATATTCCTTTGAAGCCATCCAATGTCCATCTGAATCACACACGACCCCATCCAACACAGGCACAAATCTATCTTTGGGTCTGGAGGAGGGTGACCTCTTATTTATCCTCCAGACCAGAACACTTCTGAGTAAAATGGGGTGCTGTGAATAATTAAACTGGGATAATAAGTATAAATGGGGACTGTCCTGTCCTGGGAAAACCTAAAAGTAGGACCCTCTCTGAGACCATTATAGGCAGGAACTGAATCCTTACCACTTTGGTTTTTTGTTTTTTTCCTGTTTTTGTTTTGTTTTGTTTTGTTTTTCAGTGTTACCCGAGGCTTCTCTGAAGAGCTAGTTTTCCCAGCTGAAGAGACATAACACCTCCCAGGCCTGGAATCTATGACATCAAAGACCAATGGCCTAAACCTGAAGACTGGGCAGTTCTCATCTGCTTCCTGTAGGAGAACTCAAGGAAAAACAGTGAGCTGAGAAGCACAGGGAACCCATTTGTCCCTTATTCTAGCACACAGAGGACACGGTGCAGCTTCGAGAATTTTCCAGCTCTTCTGCAGACAAAGTCACAGTAGTTAAAGTACATAAGTGGGTGTGGCCAGAGAACTGCCCCTCTCACTGGTTATTTCTGGACATTCCCAGACTGTCCAACTGGACCTTCAGAAGAAAGCAGCTTTAGTAGTCTCAGGGTCCCCATGGGACAAATCCAGAAGAGAGGTCTCTGTGACTTGATTTTTAACACAGCGAAAGGATCAGTAGTAAAGAAATCCAGTAGACTGTCACACACGCTCACCCCCCAACTTAGAGAAACATAGAGAAACACCATGGTCTACACACACACACACACACACACACACTCCAGGGTCTGTATTGTCCCTGTAGAAACACCAAAACAAAGCCCAAAGGTGCTGCCTGGGGATGTCAAGACCCCCCTTGCTCAGGGCATAGGCCAGAGCACCTCAGGGGAACGGGGGTGGGTAATGGTGTCCACACTGCGATGAACAACACCAGTCTGCCAAGTCAGAGGAGAGCGGTTCTCACAGCAGCACAGACCCTCCCAAGCAAGTTGAATCCAGTCACCAAGGTCCTGCTGTTCAGAGTCACAGGCAGCACCTGCTCCTTCCTCCACCTCCTGGCAGTAGGAGTTTGGGTCACAAGGACTTGTGAATCACGGCAACACCTAATAAGAAAGGGGGAGAAAGTTATCATCTTAGCTTCTCCAAAATTACTCAGAGTCCCAGTGAGTTCATGAATCCAAGATATCCTGAGTCACAGCCAAGGGAAATGTGTGCAATTTTTATCCTAATATTGAAGTGGACTCAGGCTGCTAGCAGCTGGCTGTTCCCCACTCCAACAGCCAAGTCCTGGCAAGACACTTGAACCTACGAGCACAGTCCCTCAAACACCACTGACTAGTGGCCTCACCCTGTGTCATCACATGGACTCACTGTGGTGACTCCCATCCCCAGCCCTAGCACCCAGCCCAACAATGCTCAGCGCCCAGGGGCAGCTATGCAGTTCTAAATTTGAATCACTGTAAGAGAAGCAATGGGTGATTCATCTCTACTTTTAGAAGACACTGGAATGAAGCGGAAAGTACAGCAGGCTGCCTTCATGGGAGCAAGAAAGACTGAATTCCATTCCTAGCTCTGCCACCAGTCAACCTGCACTATGGCCTTTGGCAAGTTCTTTGACCTCTTTAGGCTCAGTTCCCACACAAATGTCATCTAAGAGACCCTGCCAGTGTGACAATCTCGACTTTGATAAATGCTCCAGACATGTATGCTATGTTACTGTTTTAGTCCGAGTGAACCATGCTCAGCACCTAACTATAAATCCACGCATGACCCAAAATCTCACTGTAAGGGACTGAGGCTACATGGCAGATATTACAGGTTGATTCCGTCAACATCCTTCCTACTTGCTATCCTCGACTACAGCCACCAGCAAGTTGCAAGCTCAGGTTCCCAGACTGCCTGGCAGCTAGATGTGCCACGTGACCCAGTGCTGGCCACTAAGACTGTAAAGGCAAGTGTGCCAGTGTTGCAACGCTGGCTTTGTTCTTGTTGTGACTGGAATGCTCACGCAAGGCCAAGGGGAGGCAGCAGCCCTTGATAAAGCTGGCAGAATAGAAAAGAGAAGAGAAACCTGGTTCTGTCAGTCTGAGCCCCCAGGCCAACCTTGGATTTCTTTCTACTTGAGACAAATACACTCACTTCCTTATTTAGGAAAGTATCTGTCAGGGTTTCTGGTGCCTGTTGCTAAATGAAATCCTAACTTACAGGTGTTTACAGGCAGGATATTACTGCAGCCTTATTTTAACATAGTCCCACAACTATGAAATGTTCTGATTGAAGATGAGATTGAGAGAACATGGCTAAAATCAAGCCAGGATACCCCACTGGAGATATTCTGCTAAGACATCTATTTCCTGTTTATTCCTGGCTAAAGGTGCAGACACAGAAGCTTCAAGGCAGGCAGAACCTGAGTCCAGGTGCCTGGTCTTGACAGCATCTTACTTGAATCTCAGACATCTCTTTCAGAAGGTAGCTTTTTTTTCTTGAAAGCAGGCTCCTGTGTTGCTTTTTCATATAACCTTTATCTTAATAATAAAAGTAATATATTCTCATTATGGGAAATCTGGAAAATGCAGAACACAAAGAAAAAATCTTTAATCCCTTCACACAAAGAAAACCACCACTGTCTTTTTGGAATACTTTCTAGCATCTAACAATAATCACAATCATTTACTGCATGGTGTCTAATGCCAGGCAGGCATTGTGCTTAGCTCTTCACAAGTATTACTGCATTTCATTCTCACAGCACCCTAAAAGGCTTAGTCTAATTTTATTCCCATTTTACAAATAAGACAACAGGGGTTCAGTATGATAGAATACCTGGCCCGGAGACCCAGGGCTAGTGGCAGAGCTGGGATTCAAATTCATATCTGACTCCAATATCCATCTGTAGAAGAAGCAGCAGCTATTCAACCCCCACTCCCACTACCACCAATACAGGACTATATGCGTGAGTTCACAAGGTTCATACAACTTTGCATCCTTTTTTAACCTAACAGGCTATTACAAATGTTTTCTCATAACATTAAAAATCCATAAACTATATAAATATCCCATAGATTATTAGCTATTTCCCTCATGTCAGACATTAAGTAATTCTCAGTTTTTTGCTATTACAAGTAAGGCCCCAATAAATTTGTCCATAAATCTTTGTATTTTGGAGCATTTCCTTAGACTTTAAGATAATAGACTCAGTAAGTGGGTTTGAACATAAAATTGCAGGTTTGCTTGTCTCCTTCCTACCTACTTCTGGAGAGGGCAGACAATGAAGAAAGGGACATGAAATATTCAGCATATATATGAAATTCTAACCACCCACACTTAACTCTTCCCCTCTCATTAAGGCACACATGGAGTCAAGGGAAGATTCCTCACTTGTCTCACTCATCCCAGAACAGAATTACTCCAGGACCAAACTTCTTCTAAAATGTTTTATACTTAGCCAAGAAAAGTATTACAAGGTGAAAAAAACTCTAAAGGAAGAAAAAAGTTAAAGTTCATTACAACAGAAGTCTTATGTTGAAAGAATGTGCTGCAAACTCCTTCAAATTTGCACAGCACAATCTTCCTCTGCAGTCAAACAAGATGGAATGACTGACCTTTATAATGCAAAATGGGAATCGGAAGAATATTCCTGGAGTCGTGGTATGGATTAAAAGAGATAATGACTATAAAATACTTTGGATAATGCCTGGTATGTTCTGTGCATGCTGGATCAATAATGTTATCTCTATTCCAGGTTCTGGAAAACCAGATACAAGGAACTGAACTACACCATGGATATATATTTGCTCATCTCCCCATGGACCCAACCTTAGTAGTACCAACTCTGATGCCACCCCTGCCCCTGCTACTCACCAAACCCCTCACACACACTCCCCAAGAAGCTTCCACACCCGCCTGGTGCCTTACTCTAAGGCTTACCCTGAGCTGGGGTAGCACAAAGGGCATGGACTTAGAACTCTGGGTTTGAACTCTGACTTTGCCATTTATTAGCTGTGTGGCCTTCAGCAAGTTACTTAAACTCTCCAAACCTGTTATATCATCCATAAAATAGACGGATAGAGTCCCATTCAGCCCAAGGGTTGTTGAAAAGATGAGAACAAATGCACACTCTGTTCCTAACACACTGCCCCATGGCACGGGGCCAGCCACGCAGTAAAGGACAGCTATTTGTGTGATTGTGATCCACCCTCAAAGTTTAATTGAGCCTATCTCCTCCAGGAAGGGTTCCCTGGCTTTGCCAGTTCTCACCAGTCTTTCATGTGCTAAAACCTGTCTAGCGTATGTCATTTAGAACTTGTATATGCATCATCTTGTCTTCCCAGTTGTCCAATTCGACCCTGGACAACAACAATCGCATCTTATGCCATCTAGGAGCCTGGCACAAAGTAAACCAGGAATGGCAATGAAATTCTAAAATCACTTGTGACAACTCAGTTCAGTTGGAAGTGGTTCGATGGAATGAATGTTATAAATTCTGAGGCTATCTTCAGGTTCACAGGGTTCGGGCAGGGGCAGGGGTTAATAAGTGCTAATTATCAATATCTGTCATGAGTGCAGAATGAAGGAGTGGTGGCCATGTAACAATTACCTGTCATCCCTGGAGGAGGCACTCAGGCCCAAGTTAAGCAAGCTCACATCCCCTCATCCCACTGGCCCACCCAACCCTCATTCCCCCAGTGTGTTGGAGGCCTCTCGGATGGGCATGGAGATGGCACACACTGACCTGCATAGCTCCGCCCCGTGCTCATGTTCGTTGGAAGCAGCGTCCATTTGTCAGTGACAGGATTGTAGTACTCCACCGAAGCCAAGTTGCAGGATCCATCATCCCCTCCAACCACATACAGGAGCCCATTTACTGCACAGACCCCTGTGAGTCAAACAAAAGCCATGGGAGACATCACAGCAGGTGCACTAAGAGATCAGAATTGATCAAGAGACAAATCTGGATAGCCTGGGAGGCTCTTTTCCTCCCTTCATGGCAATACAACAGAGATTTGGCTCCACAGGTTTGAGTTTGCTAAGTGAAAGAAAATATTGACAACAGCCACTGGGCTCCAAGGATCCTTCTTCCTAACAGGATCATTTCTCTGACCAGGGAGTTTTGATTACTTATAACGTGTATGCCCCCCGCCACACACATACCTATACTATAAGTATGTAGAGCATATGGGCACAGACCCCTCTTTAATGGAAAGGTGTATACAGACCTCCTGTGCCAGGCCTGAGCTAGGGAATAAGACAATTCAGGGGACTTCATGCATGCTACTCCTTCTCTGCTGCTAAGTTTTTCCCTGATAAGCCCTATGTTATATTCACACTGTGTGATGCTGATGGTTATGTCTCTAATCCCTTTACAAGACTGGGTCTACATTCACACACAACTCCCAGGGATGCAGAACAGCTCCTACTCTGATCTCAAAGGGAGATGGATTTTGGGCAAGGTCTCATACAGCAGGGTCTAAGGCATAGGAAAATGTAATGAATTATTGCTCATTAAGACTTTCAAAGGCCACAGTCCAATATGTTGTGTATTTTTTCAAAATTAGATTAAGGGATTGGTGATACTCTAAAAAGTAGTAATTATCAGTGTTGCTGAAGGTACTCTCAAATACTGGTGAGACGAAAAAATGGACACCCTCCTGGATGGCGTCTAAAATACATGTGCTTCCTCTGATTAAAAAATTCTACTTCTGGCCAGGCACAGTGGCTCACACCTGTAATCCCAGCACTTTGGGAGGCCAAGGCAGATGGATCACTTGAGCCCAGGAGTTCAAGACCAACCTGGGCAACATGGTGAAACCCTGTCTCTACAAAAAATACAGAAATTAGCCAGGCGTGATGGCGCATAACTGTGGTCCCACCTACTCAGGAGGCTGAGGTGGGAGGATCTCTTGAGCCCAGGAGGCAGAGTTGCAGAGCCAAGATTATGCCACTACAATCTAGCCTGAGAGAGCGAGATCCTGTCTCAAAAAAAAAAAAATCCATTTCTGGCCTTTTATTCTAAAGAAATAATTTTAAATGTGTGTACTAATTTAGCTATAAAGACCATTTATAATCACTCAAGTATTACTTATAGGATAGAAAAGATGGAAATAACCTGTGTCCAATAGTAGATTGGTTGTTTAAATTATGATATAGTCATTTAAAATAATATCATATAAATAAGTTTAGTGTTGTAATAAGACGTTCATGAGAGATTGTAAAGTGAGTTTTTTTAAAAAACAGGTTATAAAATAGTGTTATAGTGTAATTCCATTTTTGTTATTAAAAAATAGAAATATCTATGTATGAATTTTATACAAACACACATTTACATCTAAACTGAATTCCCAGGTTCTAGATAGACTAGCTGCCTTAAGGGTCCTGTAATTCTTTGCTCATGTGGCTTAAAGCCAAATGAGAACTTGGCAGCAGGCTTAGGCAATGAGTAAATTAGTAAATATCACCACCCCCCCCCCCGGTTTACACTTCCAAGTCAGCCACGAATGGGCTTAGCAAACAGGTAATATGAGAATAATGAAAATGGATCTGCCTGAAAGTCACCTGTGTGTCCTTCCAGCCTGGGAAGTTGGGCTAAGCCAACACTTTCCTAAAGCAAAGAGGCATAAAGGATATACTGACACAGTACACGACCCACAAGGCAAAGCTCAAAAAGGAAATAGCTTAAAAGGGGCCTCATGCTCCAAGAAATATAAACCTAAATACACTACAGTAAATCTTTCCTACAGGAAGGCATAGGAGACAAGAAGGAAAGCAAAGACAGGAATACAAAGAAAGCAATAAGGAAAGGAGAACTCATCAAGGGTCCAACTGTCCCTGCAAGGAAGGAGACTGCTTTCAAGTAGGAAGTGAGAAGTTCTCCTAGCCAGGCACTGGCAAAGAAAAGATAGAACCAAGTGCCATTGTCTGGCCCTTGTCCACAGAGCCCTGTCCTTAGCTACCTACTAAAGCTGTTGGGCAGCGGGCACTGATGGCAACCAGAGGACTTTCCCAGGTCTGTGCTCATCTGTGTGCGGTAAAAGTCATCACCCTTCACTGCGGGGAAAGGGGATCCTCTGCATCTAGGTTGCAGGATCTGCAGCTAGCTTTTGGGGTCTCAATTTCTCCCCTCCTCTAATCAAGAGCCCACCTGGCAAATGCACACTCCCTGTTCAGGATATACGCTCAGCTCCAGACCCTGGGAAATCTCCCTGCTGTTTAGAGCCAGTGTCTTCAGGGAGAAAAGGCACACAACCCCCAAAGGGGAGATGGAGAGAGCAGTCATTACCTGCGTTGCGCCGGCACATGTTCATGTCTGCCACTTGCTTCCAGGTATTTGTTCCAGGATCGTAAACCTCAACGCTCTTCCTCACCAAAGGCCCATCATGCCCACCTGTGGCGTACAGCTGTCCGCTAAGCACTCCAACCCCTGAAAGGCAGAGCACAGCATCCCAGCCTCATGCTGACTACAGTAACCAGAAATCAGGAGGCCTGGCATCCAGTCCTGGACAGCCCTGACCAGTGAGGGGACTTGGGGAGTGCCATTTTGTCTCCCTGGACCTCAGTGTCCTCATCTGTAAAACAAATATAATGACACCCTACCTGCCTCCTCATAAGACTAGCAACCTCAAAACTTTGAAATATAATGCAAATGTGACCCAAATTCTGTTTTTAAAAAACATTAAAAAATATATATATATATATACACACACACAGACAGACAGACATACATACATACATACATACATACATACATACATACATACGGGAGAGGATGTTCATAAGCAAAGAAAAAAAGACAAAAAATACTGAAATAAATCCATTAAAATATTAAGAATAATTATTTCTGAGTGGTAAATTACATTCATTTTCCTTTTTTGCCTATCTATATTGCCTAGTTTTCCTACAATGCTGTATTACTTACTCATCCTTATATTAGTTGAGTAAAAAGAGTTAAAAATTGAAACTAGCCACACAGCAAAAGTGCTGAAATTATCATCAGGGAGGCCTCCCTGCTGGTCGTGTAAGCAGAAGCTGACCTTTCTGCCCACTTCTCTCCTCCTGTACTGCAGAGGGCATTATCAGATCACTCACCGTGTTGATCAGCCTGAGCTGAGTGCTAGAATTGCTTCGTTTACAAGTTTTAGTATAATCTTTTAAAATCCTTTTATACAACAAGAAGATGAAAGCCATAAAGAAGGAAGACAGCACAGTATCTAGAAAGTGCAACTGACCTGGTAGCTAGGACACCTGTGTTCTGGACCTGTCTCTCTGACTTGCTCACTGGGTGACCCTTCCCCTTTCTGGGCCTCAGTTTCCCTATTTGTAAAGGGAAAGAGTTGTACTAGATCAGTAGTTCACATGGACCACAGACTTCTCCACTCCATGGGCAGGCTGCATCTCAATCGACTGGGAAGCTTTTTGAAAGACAGATTCCACACTGGTCAGGAGTCAGAAAAAGTTCCTCAGGTGACTGGGATGTGCAGAAAGTTCCTCAGGTGACTGGGATGTGCAGTCAGGTTTCAGACCCAAGAACCAGACTTGTAGACTATAACTCCATATGGATGAGGACTGTTTTTACCTTGTCCTCGTCTGCTTCCCTGTGCTCCACAGCAGTAGGTTCTCAAGAGATATTGCTTGAATAACAAAAATATAAATTAATAAAATCCCTCCCAGCAATTATGCAGGTATGCTAGTAGCTCCTAGCAGTTGCTCTAAACTAACAGCAGATGGTGCTGTTGTACCAACAATGGCTCTCTCTAACTGACAGGTTTAATAAAATTTGTTGAGTTCCAAAGCTGCCTCACCTTCCTTTCCTCCATGCTCAGCAGGAACACGCATTCCCTGAGAGATGGCCTCTTTTTTCCCCTAACCATCTGGTGGCATTGCCCACACCCTGCTGAGGAAGCGAGCTGCGTTCCAGGCACTCAGGCAACTCTGCCTCTGCCCTAGTGCAGCCTCATCCATAAACATTCATGCAGCCGTTTCCTGGACCTAGAGCCACAGGGGCTCCTGGCACCTCAAAGGGCCTCAGGCAGCCAAAGGCCAGGGCCTTTGGTCTCTGGGTCTTCAGCCAAAAACACCCACCTCGACATGCATGTGGGTTCCCAACTCCAGAGGTGAGACTTGCCCAAATCTTACGAAAGTGAAGCACTGAAGAAAGGCTGACCTGGGAGCCTGAGGCCAGGGCTCTGACAGTAACCTCAGGAAAAAGGCTTGGTTTTGATTTCCTAAATCAAGGTCAGTGTGCCTCCCAGGGACACTGGACTCCCAGGCAATAGAGGTGTCACCCTCCAGGTCCTCCAGTGTAGGTAAGAGACAGGACTAGGGCCAGGTGATGTCCACCCAGCAATAACCATTTCAGCAGCGTGGCAGAGACAAAGCAGCTGTAGTCTCCAAAGGCGGCTCCCTCCACAGAGACAAGCCTGAGCTTCCTAAGGCAGGTCTGCCCTCCAACTTCGTGCCTGGCTGCCTCCCCAGGCTTTCGGCCCTAGGAGCAGTCACACATCTCAGGGTGTGCTGCCCCAGGCATGCTGAGCTCTCACCCTTACGTCACAACAGAGGATTTCTAGGGAGTACGAAGACTCTACCAAAACTTTAGAAACCAAAATGTCTGAAAGAGGTTTATGACGGGAAAAGAATCATGGGATTTGTGGATCGACTTGGTTCTTAGGGAACACCTACTACAACCCTACAACCCACTCATTTCACATATAAGGAATTAGAGGCCAGAATAAGGGAAGGGATTTGCCCAAGGAAGGTCATATGGCAAATGACAGCAGACCCAGCACCAAGTCCCGGGCCTCCTGACTTCCAGGCAATGGCCCCACGTTCAGGAAGGGCCAACCTGTCAGAATCAGCAGAGACAAAAATTCTCTAAAAATAGCACTCCAAACACAAACACTTCTTAAATGGAATCATGCAGATTTTATTTTTGAAACCAGTGAGCACACAAAGGCTCTTTAAAAATATTAAAATAGCATACTTTTTAAAGAATGATGAGGAAGTGGTCATATGTTTGGTACTATAAAACGAGATCACAACTCAATCTCCAAAAATACAAAAAAAAAAAAAAAAAAAAAGAGAGAGAGAGAGAGAAAGGAATAACATTGCGGGAATGTGGCTTCCCTTCTCAGAAGTCACACAGTCTTCCCGCCAGGATCAGATTGGTAATCAGTCACCACTGACCACAGGAACCAGCAGTAAAGAGCCAGTGGACTGATGCCTCTGTCTGCCCTCAGACCCTTCCCTTTGGGCCTCTAAGACAATGGATGGGAAGACAAAGCAGGGGAGAAGGGGCTGTTGCTCTGCTTCCTGAAAAATCCCAAAGGATCATAGAGCTTCTGGTTTTCTGACAAAAAGTAGAAGTGGAAAACCTTTTGAAAAGTCATTTTCTTCACATGTTGGGGAATAGGTTGAAGTGAGGAAAAGTGGGAGTGGGGGACATAAGTTATCTCCAGACATGAACACTAATAGCTTGGCTTTCAATTCCAGACAGGCAAGCTCAGCTTTGTCAACTGAAGACTTGTCCTACTACTTCAGAGGAATAAGACTGATAATTTAGGGATTTAAAAAGCTAACTCTGGAGTCAGCATTACTAATTATATGACCTTGGGCAAATTACTCAACCACTGGCAGACCTCCTTTCTAAATCTGATAAGTGCAATTCATATTGTATCCACCTCGTAGGGCTGCAGTGAGGATTAAATGGATTGAGGCATAAAAAGTACTTGTTAGGACAGTGCCTGGCACATAGTAAGCCTTAACTTTCAAAAGATATAAACACCTTCATAGAAACATAAGGTATGATGAGGAGGAGCGTATTATCTCATCCATTCTCTAGTGATCCCCCAGGAAAGGTTAACTTATAAAGTACTGTGTCTAGCTGCAAAGGTGCTAGTAGGATTATATACAGCAAAATGAAAGGAGGAGGAGGAGGTAAAATAAAATGTTAAGTTGTTGAACCAATACCCACTCATGACTGATTAAAGAAATCACAGATTACACAAACTGGAAAAACATCCCATATTCATGGATTGGAAGAATCAATATCATTAAAATGACCATATTCCCTGAAGGAATCTACAGATTCAACACAATTCCTATCAAACTATCAACATCATTCCTCATAGAATTAGAAAAAACAATCCTAAAGTTTATACAGAACCAAAAAAGAGCCCGAATAGCCAAAGCCAATCTTAACCAAAAAGAACAAAGTCAGAAGTATCACATTACCTGACTTCAAATTATATTACAAGGCTATAGTAACTAAAACAGCATGGTGCTGGTACCAAAAATAGACACAGAGAACAATGGAACAGAATAGAGAACCCAGAAACAAAGCCACATACCTATAACAAGCTGATCTTCAAAAAAGTCGACAAAAATAAAACAATGGGGAAAAGACTCTCTATTCAATAAATGGTGTTGTATGTGGCTAGCCACATACAGAAAAATGAAACTAGACCTCTATCTCTTACCATATACAAAAATTAACTGAAGATGGATTAAAGACTTAAATATAAGACCTGAAACTATAAAAGTCCTAGAAGAAAACCTAGAAAAAACTCTTCTGGGCATTGGCCTAGGCAAACAATTTATGACTAAGATGCCAAACGGAAAGTGCAACAAAAACAAAAATAGACAAATGGGACTTAATTAAACAAACAAAAAAAGCTTCTCCACAACATAAGAAATAATCAACAAACAGTCAACCTACAGAATGGGAGAAAATATTTGCAAATTATGCCCCCCAACAAAGGATTAATGTTCAGAATATACAAGGAACTCCAACAACTCAACAAGGAAAAAACAACCCCATTAAAAAGCAGGCAAAGGATATACATACAGACATTTCTCAAAATAAGGCATGCCAGTGTGGCCAATAATCATATGAAAAAATGCTTAACATCGTAATCATCAGAAAAATGAAGATTAAAACCACAGTGAGATATCATCTTACAGATGGCTATTACTAAAAAGTCAAAAAAGGCCGGGTGCAGTGGCTCATGCCTGCAATCCCAGCACTTTGAGAGGCCGAGGCAGGTGGATCATGAGGTCAGGAGATTGAGACCATCCTGGCTAACAGGGTGAAACCCCAACTCTACTACAAATACAAAAAATTTGCCGGGCATGGTGGTGGGTGCCTGTAGTCCCAGCTACTCGGGAGGCTGAGGCAGGAGAATGGCGGAACCCGGGAGGCGGAGCTTGCAGTGAGCCGAGATAGCGCCACTGCACTCTAGCCTGGGCAACAGAGTGAGACTTCATCTCAAAAAAAAAAAAAAAAAAAAAAAAGTTTAAAAAAAAAAAGACTTTAGCATGGTTGCAGAGAAAAGGGTATGCTTATACACTGTTGTGGAAATATAAATTAATACAACCTCTATGGAAAAACAGTATGGGGATTTCTCAAAGAACTCAAAATATAACTACCATTTGACCCAGCAATCCCACTACTGGGTATCTATGCAAAGGAAAAGAAATCATTATATTAAAAAGACATGTACAGTTATTATGTTTAAAGCAGCACTACTGACTACCACAAAGTCATATAATCAATCTAAGTATCCATCAATGGCTGATTAAAGAAAATATAGTATGTATACACCATGGAATCTTATGCAACCAAAAAAAGAGTGAAATCATGTCCTTTGCAGCAACATGGATGGAGCTGGAGGCCATAATCCTATGTGAGATAACCCAGAAACAAAAAATCAAATACTGCATGTTCTCACTTATATGTACAGGCTAAATAATGGGTATACATGGACATAAAGATGAGAACAATAGACACTGGGGATTCCAAAAGGGATAAGTCTGGGAGGAGGGTGAAAGTTGAAAAATTACCCATTGGGTTCAATGGTCACTATTTGCGTGATGGGTACACTAGAAGCCCAAACTCGACCATTATGCAATATATCCATGTAACAAACCTGCACATGTACCCTCTAAATCTAAAATAAAACAAAAAAATTTAAGGACCCACTTGTGAGCAAATCAGACACAGCCAGCACCCCGAGGTTCTCCCATACCTGCGCCACTGCGGCGGGTGCTCATGTCCGCCACGTATATCCATTCATTGGTCGCTGGGTTGTACTGCTCCACAGTGCTCAGACACTGGCGGGAAGCTCCATCATAACCCCCAACAGCATATAGCTTCCCTGCAATAGACAAAGTGGCTGAGTGTGGTGCCAGGGATACTGGCATGAAACCAGAGCTCAGCTGAAACCCTATCTGCAACCAACTGGGGCACCCTTACCTCAGAATTCTGTTCCCTCTTTCTCCAGGGGACCACCAACTTACTCCTCAACCAAGCAAAGCATCCTTCACATTTCTTCACATATTCTACTTGCTCTTAAGCCATGAGCTCCTTAGAAGCAAACACTTAACGTCTTTCTAAATAAGTACCCGCAAATACCCAGCACAAAGCTATGGCCTGGCACCACTGGGGCTCAACATAATCTTGCTGATGAATTAGGTTAAATTTTCTCTAGAACAAGACACCAGCACCAGATAGATGGAAAGCTAGAAGGCCCCCAGCTATAGGCAGGCAGACCATCTTTCTGGCTAAAGGCTTGACATAGCAGATGAAGTAAATATGGAAAATTATTATTCAATGAGAACCCAAAACCTGTCTTAGCCATTGTCTCTACCCCTTCCACAACCTTGGCAGGTAGAGTGTGTGAATGGAGTGTTCTTTGTACATTGTGGGCCAGGGTGGCTGGAATTTTTCTGCAGACTACCCTGTGATCTCTGAGCCATGCACAAGAGCCCTGAGGTGCCGTCATTTACTTTTAAATTAAAATACCATTAAGCTGCTACCCAAGAGCATCATTTCTGCCTGGGGCTGGGGGCTGAGGGCTGAGAGTGAGGTTGGACACAGGAGGAAAAATTTGGCATTTGAGCTATCCCAAAGCAGAAATTCAAACATTTTGGGTTTAAAATTTAGTCTTAAAATGCAATGGGATGGTCTCTTCTGTGGGAACAGGGGGAGGAGTCACACTAGCTGTAGACTAAATAAATATCACCAAATGCAAATCTATTTAACAGGATTACTTACTCAGTAGATTTTTTGGTCACATGTGCTTTCTTGATGGACAGACACCAAGAATACTACTAGTATTTGAAAATCTGCAATTATTTTAAGTTAGAAAGATTCTCAGGCTCAAACCTATACTCTGCTACCAGAACTACTGCTGTATTATCAAATATAAAAATGTTTTTCTTCTATCATCATCGAGCCTGGCTTTGTTTTCTGCCCCAGGGTCCTCTCAATTGACCCATCTAAAAGAAAGAAACACATCGTCCTCAGTTCTGCACTCACCAAAGTCAAAATTTTTTAAAAACCTGACTAAGCAGCTCTTCTAGGGTCCAGGCTACTTGCATGGTATGTGCTGGTTCAGATGCGAAATATCCATAGCACACTCTCTGCTCTCTTAGGAGCTTCTGCCTACACTCCAATCCACAGAGTCTTTTCCTAAATAGGTATTCTTCGAGGCAGCCAGTAGCAAATTATTGTGATTTCCTCCATTTTTTTGTTCAGTGTCATTCAAACTGTATAGCCATGGTAATGAGATGATGAGAGGGAGGAGAGGAAGCCAGACAGTGTGGAGAGCTGTCTCTTCAAGGCCACAGTGAAGAAGACAGAGTCCACTTAAGTCCCTCCCTCAACATTCTCACCACAGCTGTAAATTGAACTCTGCTGCCCCAGGGTGCCCACAGCTGAAAGAGCTTCAGATTCAGGAAGGGCAGAAGAAACAAATTCCCAGCCTGTCTTCCACGTCAACAGGGCATGCTACAAGACAGCACTTCTTCCACATACAGAACATGCTCACAAAAGCCTTTGTCAAGGGGAGTATTTTAAATTACCACCATTATGGCACCTCCTCTAACCCCCATCAACCATTCCATCTGCATCAGCTGAAAAAATATGCACTCAAGGTTCCTCCTTGAGTCTATTAACAGGGATTTGCTATTTTTAACCCCTACTCTATTGTTTGATATTCCTGGCTAAGGAACAAGAGAAGAAATGAGAAGGTGGCTAGACAAAGCACTTACACTTGGCAGACAAATCAATTTCTCTTCCACCAAGAGAATGAGATTGCAAGATACAATTTACCTTGGTAGGAGGACAAAATCCTTGCCCTCACATAGATGACTTATTTAGTATGTTAGAATAGTACACCTTTAAATGAAAACTTAAATTACACAATACCAGTGCAGACTGAGAAATACAGTGTGAGAAAAGAATCTTTCTATTAATGTCTAACTCGCTGGATGTTACACTCACCCCAGGGCACATTTGTGTTTGCATGTGTATTTCTGAGTGTGTACATGAGAGATGGAATGTCTGCATACACGTCTGAATGAACAGATATTCCATCTAAATTCCCACATTACTACAAGTTGATGAATCAGTGTTGTCCTGCAAATGACAACATTTTAGTTCAAGTAATATTCTATGCTTTGGTACATTGAATTCACACATATTTACAGAACTCCTACCTACTGGCATTTGTCAGCATTTTGAAGGAGCATAGCACAGTGGAAAGAACACCGGCTTAGGAGTCAGAAGACCTGGGTTCAAGGACAGGCTGTGTTATTTACTGTCATTGGAATGTGGGACATCTGGAGGATGGAGAGAATCTGAGGCCTGCCTATCTCCTTCACAAGGGTTTTGCAAACAAAACAAGAGACTAGAAATGAGAGGTTTTTTTACAAACAAAAGTGTACCATCTGACCAGGCCCTAGACCTCACCACTCCCTCCTACCTTACCCTACACAGCTTTCCTGACTAGAACTGGACTCAATCACCAGCCTGCCCTGCAGAGAGTCATCAGACCTAAGAAGAGGTGCCTACCTCACTCACAGTTCTGTTAATGTTCAACATATGAATATGAGGACAAAATTAATTAAGCACATTTAACTCTCACTCTACTACATTATCCTCCTGGGTTATATGCTGAATATGGATTCCCTACTCCCTTCCCTTCCCCAACTTCTAGCAGAGCTATTGACACAGGGCCAAACCACAGGCCGGCATTTCCCCTCTAGGCTCCTTCTACTCCCCCAGCCCAGCTCCAACATTTAGCAGCCTTGGGCCAGGAGCTCCACCACCTCTCTGAGTCTCAACTTTCCTCATCCGCTAAATCAGGATAATAGTACCTAACCCAGAGGAGTGATCTCAGGAAAAAAAACACGGTAGAGGAAGCACCAAGCATGATGCTGGACCCAGGACAAGGCCCGTGGGCCAGGTAGGCCTGGCCACTGGCCACTGCCGCCTCCTTACCCTCCACAACGCCCACACCCACACTGCTCCGCCGCGTGTTCATCGGGGCCACAAAGAACCACTCGTTGGTCTTGTAGCTGTAGGCTTCCACCGATGCTAGGCCTGGGAGACAAGAGACTCATGAGACTTCCGTGGCACCAGGCCTCACCCTGCTGTGTGAGAAGCAGTGAGGATGGGGGAGGAGTCCAAATGCATGGGCTGGAAACCTAAATGTATGGCTCAGTACCACCTCTGCATCACCATGCGGCCTGTGGCAACTCCCTGAAACACATCTGCAGTGTCTGCCTGCAGGGACTATTAAGACTTGACTCAGAGAGTGGGCTGTGAAAGGACAAGGGGTGTGTCTGAAATGCATGGCAAATGTAGATCATAAAAACCGCAGAGTGGGATACTTTGATTCCAAGTAGTCACCTGAGGTAGCCTCACTGAACACCTATTCCAATCCCCTTTCCCCCAGCTTCCTCTATCTTAGCAGTGGAAAGCTAAACACTTGCTTCCCAAGACTCCCTTGCAGCTAGGCGTGACCAAGTCAATGAGACCTAAGCAGAAGTCTACGGGGATTTCAGAAACAGCCTTTGCTTTTCTAATATAGATACCATTCCCCTTTTTGATTCTTGCTACCTGGAACACAAATGTGTTGGCTGGAGGTATAACAGCCATCTCACGATCATGAGAAAAAGGCCAAGAGAATCTTAAAGAATGTGGCCTCAATGTCCATGAGTTACTGGACCAACTCAGCAACTGCTAACCTCTAGGCTTCTTGTTTCATGAGTAAAGCAAAATCCCTCGTGTTTTAAGGCAGAGTATAATCAGGTTCTCTACTTATAGCCAAAAGTAATTCCCAAAAGAAACAATGCACCACTACCCTTTCCTTCTCTTTGTTCCACTCACTAAAGGCAGCCTCCAGAGGGGCTAAAGACCCTGGAATTATATGAGTGAGGCAAAGAGAAGGCTGAGAAAGGTCCCCAGATTGTGAAGACACAAATAAAAATTCAGCGAAGTAAAAAATACTGCTTTTTACCTCCCTGGGGGCCAAAGAATATCATATTAGTTTAATAGAGCTACTGTCTGCAGAGACATCTACCTGGCAGTATAAGCAGAGATGAGATCACCTCTCTGAGTTTATGTCAACTAACAGTTTTGGGTTGAAATTTTGAAGCTAGATAGAGTCCAGAGGCAAGGAGGCTCACCTATGGTGAAAAAGCCTGGCAAAGCTTCAGTAGGGTAGTAGAAAGGGCAACAGAAAAAATGGGCAGCCTGGCCCACTGCATGACCTGAGCCAGGTCTCTTCCAAGTGCTGGACTCAGCTCCCTCATCTGTCTAGCAAAGGGTTCAAACTGGAGACCTGAGGCACCCCCTAGCTAAGCATGCTCTCCTTCTAAGTCTCATCTTCTGAGTAAATAGGTTCCCAGACACTGGAAAGTAGGAAAGGGACTCTTCTGAGTCCTAGAAAGCCTAGTACATGGGTAGTTACATATTCTGTCTGGAAGAAGGCCTGGCTCTTCACCCAAAAGCTGGATGAGGAAGAAGAGTGGATATGTCCCTGGGGCAGTAGCTACAAATGGACAGAAAGTTGGTCCAGAACTGGCTGAATAAAACAGGGTTGCATGGAGGATGTGTCCCAGGCTAGGAGGGGTTGGGAACACACCCTAAACCTACCAGTACTGCCATCAAAGCCTCCCACTGCGTAGAGCAAGTCATTGAGCACCGCTGCGCCCAGTGTGCTCCGGCGCTCCTGCATGCTGGCAATGGACGTCCACTGGTCCTTCACGCCGTCATACACATCCACTGTCCGCACCCGCAGTGAGCCATTAAACCCTCCCACGGCATACACGTGGCCAGCCATGAACACCACACCTGAGGCACAGGAAACCAAGACATCAAGGTCAGGTCAGGCGCATGACTGCTCATGTTGATGGATGGCAATGGAGGAGCAAGACAGACACAGGAAAAGTCGCCACCGAAGATACTTTAGGTATTTGGCAGTCATTATGGGATTCACTGGATTTCTTTCCTACTTGCTTTTCTAATTTTGTCTGATTCAAGTAAATATTTGAATCAGCTTTAACTCCCCAAGCTCATAAGAACTGACCCCAAAAGAGCCAAAAACTGTGCAAGTGGCCGGGCATGGTAGCTCACGCCTGTAATTCCAGTACCTTGGGAAGCCAAGGCAGGTGGATCACCTGAGGTCAGGAGTTCAAGACCAGCTTGGCCAAAATGGTGAAACCCGTCTCTACTAAAAATGCAAAAATTAGCTGGGCATGGTGGTGCACGCCTGTAATCCCAGCTACTTGGAAGGCTGAGGTGAGAGAATCACTTGAACCCAGGAGGCAGACGTTGCAGTGAGCCGAGATCATGACACTGCACTCCAACCTGGGTGACAGAGAAAGACTCTGTCTTAAAACAACGACAACAACCAAAAAAAAAAAAAAAGTGTGCAGGAGGGAAACGAATGGGAGCCTGAAATGCACAGATGCTTGAGGAAACAAGGAGTAGCTCACGACTTCTGGCACGGAGTGGGGACCAGCAGGGGAAAAACAGCTTGCAGAACTGGGAGGCTGCTCACCTGCTCTGCATCTTCTGGAAGGAAGCTCAGCAATCTGATCCCACCGGTCCTCCTCGAAATCATAGCACTCCACACTGCGGATTGCCTTGGGTGCCTGGCCGCCAACCACAATCATGACCTCCGGAGAGACAAGTGGACGTTAGCGGGGTCACCCCAAAATCTGGATTTATGGTATCCCTGGTACTTCCACATGGCTTATCGCCCAGGGTGTGTGGATGATCTGAGATGCCAGTTTACAGAGCTACATACATGGGGATGCTGCTCCTGGTCACCAACAGGTATGAGTATTCAAGAAAAGTCTAACAAGCATCTTCCCACAGAAACACAGTCATAAGTTCTGTTTCCCAAATGCCCCACTCGGGGCTATCTTGTGGGTATGTGAAGCCGCACAGGGCATCATCTGTAATCTCAGTGCCCTCAGATTGGGAATGGGGGGTGCTAAATCTTATATCAAAACAAACTTGAATATACTTTGAAAAAGAGTTCAGAATTTGGACGTATGTTTTAAAGTATTACTCAAAAGCATTTCTGAATGCCTAGAATGTAGGGTGCACTTATGCACTGCAGTATAGAAAAAAATTGAAAAACTCCTGTGAGATGTTTATTACAAAAGTTATTAAACTGATGATGTTCTGGAAACTAGTGCTAGCAGTCCTATTTCCACAAGTAAGGTAGTAGCTACCACTGCTAGGTACCATGTGAAATGTGTTGTCATTTACTTGTCACCACAACTGTGAGGTAGATATCATCATCCACATTGACAGATAGCAAAGTAAAGCTCAGAGAACACATGTAAGTGGCCCAAGGTCACACAGCTAAGAGTGTAGGCAGAGACTGAAACCCAAGTCTACCTGACAGAGGGTGAGGCCAGCCACCCCCCCCAACTCCTGCTCTAGAGACAGGATCCAAGCAAACACAGCTTGCTGCATCTATGTTTGTCAAAACACAGGTCGCTTTCCATTAGTAGGTCATGAAATCAATTTAATGGATTATGACCAGCACATATATTTTTAAAAGCACAGAAAATATGATAAGAATATTATTTCATGAAATATTGGTTTTGGCTATACACACTTACATGTGTCTTCTGGATAGCAATTTAAATGCATTTTGTATTGCAAGGGCATGGTCAAACACAATGAAAACTACTGCTCTGGTTAGGTTAATAGAACTGCAGTACTTAATTATGGTATCACTGCTGTGTCTTTGGTCACATGTTATTAATAAATAAAAAATTAAAGTACCAGTTACCTATAGTTTACATATTTTAATAAACATGTACAAATTCATAGCTGTCCCCACAATGATGTCACTCTCACTCAACGGCATTCCAATATGCTTTCTTGAGTGGAGAGAAAGGGTGGAAGTCACAACCAGCAAATTCATTTGATCATTACCTGTAGCTTGTCTTATTTACCCAGTGGTTCTCAAACTTGAGCATACATCAGAATCACCTAGAGGACTTGTGAAAACACAAGCTGCTGGGCCCTATCCCCAGAGTGTGATTCAGTGGATCTGGAGTGGAGCCCAGAGGCTGCCTTTCTAACAAGTTCCCAGGTGCTGCTGCTGCTGCCACTCTAGGGTTCATACTTTGAGAACCACCTTTTTAATCCATGCTCTGTATGGATTTCCTGATGATATGCCATGAACAACTTTTGCCATTATGAATTATCATAGTGCTTTTTACTTCCCCATGATGTATTTTTGGGGAGAGAAGTGCCCATCAAAATCTGTGTGAACTCGCAAAGGCACATCCCTCAAGTGAACACTTCCCACCATACGGGAGGCAAAACCAGAGCTCACCACCATTACTACAGATCAACCATTTATTCCCCAATATTCCAGAACAGGCTCACCCACTGCCATGTGGGTGGTCACTGGTCATCAGACTTAGTCCATAGCTGTCTGTCACCAAAAGTGGGTAACCAGTGTTCAAAAATTCAGAAATCAGTTCTGACTTCTAAAGCATTCCAAAGGAACCCAGGACACAAAACCCAGCCTCGAGCTGCTGCTGCTGCTGCTTCCAGACAGAAACTTGACTTTCCTGGGTGCCTCAGCTCAGAGGGTCCACTGCTCTGTGTCAAGAGTAGCCTTTTTCAGAGTAAACATGAATTCTACATTACTTCCCATTTGTAATTCTTTGCTTAGACAGGCATCCATGAACAGTTCAAGGGGGATGTTAATGAACACAGCCCCTTGGCAAACACCAGATAATGCCTAACCTACTCTTCAAGGGCAGAATGACATGTTCGTAAATATGCCCAGAACTTGCATTGTCTTTCCGGTTTTGAGTTGGTAAAGCTAAACTGAAGGAAAATACTGCAAGGATTTTCTTTGAAATCTGATTTCTGAAGCTGAGTGAGAATAAAAGCAGTTTTAAGTTTTCTTTCTGCAAGGACTTCAGGCACCCCACACCCTCCCACATGCTGTTCCCTGACTCGAAACCTTCCCATCTCTGAGCACTCTGCCTTAACACCTGCTTATCTTTCAGGTCTCAGTTTAAATGTTATTTCCTACAAATGGACTTCCCTGGCCTCCAGGTCAGAACTACATATCCGTCCTCTGAGATTTCACCTGCCCTGTGTGTTCTGCATTGTGCTGGACCATCAGTGTCTTGTCTTTTGCACCTCTAGACAGTGAGCCCTGCCCAGGCAGAAAACGTATCTGCCTCAGTCACCAAGATAACTCCATATACTTATGTTGCCAGGTAAAAGTGAGGGCTCAAGTGTTTATTTGGAATAAAGAATACATGAATAAAAAGTAAATAGCACATGCAAGGAGTTAAACAAACAATACAGAGTTTTTAAAAATGAAAAAAGAAACTAAACTAGAACGTCATTTTCTTTAGTTAAAATATGTTGGAACACCAGGTTAAAATTCTGGAGACAGTGAGGAAAAAGCAAGCAAAATAAAAAGAGAAAGTGAGAGCTTTTCCCATCTTTTGACTCAACCACCAAAAGAAAGTTTGCTTATACTTGGCATAAGCTATCCAGCTTCTTTTGTAAATTAAAAAAAAAAAAAGGCAAAGTTTTCAGGAACCCTCACCATGCCCCAGAAACTATCTCCCACCAGGGAAGTAGAGGGTACATGCATATTGGAGAAAATCTACCACTCATCTCTGAGAATTTTCACAGAAACAGTATTACAGAAATGCAAATTTTTTAATGTTAAAGTAAAGCCTGAGTAGAAATACAAAAATGATACACGACAGCTAGGTGCAGTGGCTCATGCCTGTAATCCCAGTACTTTAGGTGGCAGAGGCGGGTGGATCTCTTGAGTCCAGGAGCTCAAGACCAGCCTGGGCAACATGGTGAAACCCCGTCTCTACAAAAAATACAAAAAACTAGCTGGGTGTGGTGGTGAATGCCTGTAGTCCCAGCTACTTGGAAGGCTGAGGTGGCAGAATCACCTGAGCCCAGGAATTTGAGGCTGCAGTGAGTTGTGATTGCAGCACCACTGCACTCCAGTCTGGGCAACAGAGTGAGACCCTGTCTCAAAAAAAAAAAAAAAAATAGAATACAAGATAAGGTTTTCAAAACAAACTTGGCTTTGAGCTCATAAAACCACTGGTAAGAGATAACTTTAAACAAACAAAACTTGTACAACTATCTGGGAAAATGAATTATGAGGTTTTGTGGGATAGGACCATCAGTTTCAGAGGTAGCTCAAGGCAGCAGGAAGAGCAGGTATACATCTGCTTCTCTCATAGGCATAGGAAACTCAATTTTTTTGTTTTATTTTTAGTTGGCACATAATAGGTACACATATTTATGGGGTACAGTGTGATGTTTGGATACATGCATACATTGGGTGATGATCAAATCAGGGTAATCAGCATACCCACCATCTCAAACACTTATTATTTCTTTGTGGTGAGAACATTCAAAATCCTCTCTTCTAGCTATTTTGAAATATACAATACATTATTGTTAACTATAGTCACCCTACTGTGTAATAGAACTCCAGAAGGTATTCCTCCTCTCTAACTGTAACACAGTATCCATTGATCACCCCCATCTCCCCTCCCTCCTCCCTTCCCCAGCCTCTGATAACCACTATTCAGCTCTCTACTTCTACGAGTTTGTCTGTTTTAGATTTCATATATAAGTGAAATCATGTGGTGTTTGTCTTTCTATGCCTGGGTTATTTCATTTAACATAATGTTCTCCAGGTTCATCCACGTTGTCACAAATGACAGGATTTCACCTTTTTATTTATTTAATTTTTTAGACAGAGTCTCGCTCTGTCACCAAGGCTGAAGTGCAATGGCACAATCTTGGTTCACTGCAACCTCCACCCCCCGGGTTCAAGCAATTCTCCTGCCTCAGCCTCCCATGTAGCTGAGATTACAGGTGCCCACCACCACACCCGGCTAATTTTTTGTATTTTTAATAAAGATGGGGTTTCACCATGTTGGTCAGTCTGGTCTTGAACTCCTGACCTAAGGTGATCCACTCGCCTCGGCCTCCCAAAGTGCTGGGATTACAAGCATGAGCCACTGTGCCCGGCCTTTTTATAGTTGAATAGTATATATACCTCATTTTAAAATCCATTCATCTGTTGATGGGCACTTAGGTTGATGCTGTTTTTTGGCTATTGTGAATACTGCTGAAATAAACATGAGAGTACAGATATCTCTTCAACATGCTGATTTAATTTCCTTTGGATGCATACCCAGTATGGGATTGCAGGGTCATATGGTAGTTCTACTTTTAATTTTTCCTGGACACATACAACCAACCAATATAGAATCATGAAGAAACAGAAAACCCAAACAGACCAATAACAAGCAACAAGATTGAATCACTAATAAAAAGTCTGCTATCAAAGAAAAGCCCAGAACCTGATAGTTTCACTGCTGAATTCTAACAAACATTTAAAGCAGAACTAATACCAGTTATTCTCAAACTATTCTAAAATATTGAAAGGGAGGGAATACTTCCAGATTTATTCTTTGAAGCCAGGACTACTCTAATACCAAACTAGACAAGGGCATGACAAAAAAGAAAACTATAGACCAATATCCATGATGAACACAGATACAAAAATCCATAACAAAATACTAGCAAATGAAATTCAACAGCACATTGAAAAGATCATTTACCGTGATCAAATAGATTCATCCTAGGGATGCAAGGATGGTTCAATATAACACAAATCAATAAAAACGATACGTCACATTAACAGAATCAAAGACAAAAACCACATAATCATTTCAATAGATGCAGAAAAAGCATTTGATAAAACTCAACATCCCTTCATAATAAAAACTCTCAACAAATTAGAAATAGAAGGAATGTAACTCAACATAATAGAGGCCATATATGACAAACCCGCAGCTAACATCATACTAGAAAGGGGAAAGTTGAAAGCTTTTCCTCTAAGAATTGGAACAAGACAAGGATGCCCACTTTCTCCACTTCTATCCAACATAGTACTGGAAGTCCTAGCCAGAGCAATCAGGCAAGAGAAAGAAATGAAGTACATTCAAATTGAAAGGAGAAAGTCAAACTGCTTGCAGAGAATATGATCTTATATATTAAAAAGCCTAAAGACGCCACCAAAAAACTATTAGAATGAATAAATGAATTGGCAAAGTGGCAGGATACAAAATCAACATACAAAACTTAGTGGTGTTCCTATACACTAATAGTGAACTATCTGAAAAAGAAATAAAGAAAAAAACTCATTAACAATAGCTACAAAAAAAAATAAAATAACTAGGAATAAATTTAACCACAGAGGTAAAAGATCTCTACAATGAAAACTATAAAACATTGACGAAAGAAATTGAAGAGGACACAAATAAATGGAAAGATATTCCATGATCATGGAAAGAATTAATAATGTTAAAATGCTCATACTACCTAAAGCAATCTAAAGATTCAATGTAATCCTTATCAAACTACCAATGACATTCTTCACAAAAATAAGAAAAAAAAAAATCTAAAACTCATATGGGAATAGCCAAACAATCTAGAGCAAAAGGAACAAAGCTGGGGGCATCATGCTACCTGACTTCAAAATATACAGCAAAGCTAGAGTAACTAAAACAGCATGGTACTGGCATAAAAACAGACACATAGACCAATGGAATCTAAAATTAGAGAACCTAGAAATAAATCCACACATTTACAGCCAACTGATTTTCGACAAACATGCCAAAAGCACACATTTGACAAGGTGTTAATACCCAGAATATATAAGGAACTCAAACAACTAAATAACAGAAAAACAGATAATCTGATTCAAAAATGGGCAAAAAGATCTAAACAGGTATTTCTCTAAAAAAGATATATGAATGACCAACAAGTATATGAAAAAAAATGCTCAACATCACTATTTATCTGGGAAATGCAAATGAAAATCACAACGAGATATCACCTCACCCCAATTAGAAGGTCTACTGCAGAAAAGACAAAAGATAACTGCTGGCAAGGATGTGGAGAAAGAGGAACTCTTATACCCTGCTGGTGGGAAAGTAAATTAGTACAGCCCAGTATGGTCAAAAGAAATCCAATTTTTATGGTAGGTGTTGCAAGAAGCACTCATACATGGAGCACTACACCCACTACTGTGTTGATCATGCAGAGTAAAAAGAATAAATTTCCTATCATGAGTGCTAATGGATAGTTGTTTCCATGGATACCTGATGTTAGCAAGCAGTTAGGCAAATACGAGTATTTCCCACAGTCTACATGTATCACATCTCTGAAATCACAAACTTCTAGCTACTTAAGAAGACCACAAGATGTTAGAGGAAGAGACTTGAACCATTCTCTCCTATATGCCCTCATTTTATATTCCAGAAACACCCAGGCCCAGGGAGTTCAACAAGCATGTTTCTTTCTTTCCCCAACACTCCTAAACCCCAATATACTTAAGATTAATATGCCTTTATTAGAAATTACTCAATCAAATCAGCTTATTTAATGATCACTATTTTTAACATTTATCTTTCAAGGTAACCCTGAGTAAGAACTATCAGTCACGTAGGAATCACAAACTAAAGAACTGGCTCTAGGTGAACAATTATGCTAGACTGAACATAATTTAATCACTCTCGTGAACTGCAGCATACTTAGGAGTTTGGCAGGGTGCCTCAAAGTTCTGATCCCAAGTCTCAACTGTCACTGTGTTGAAGGCTGCAGAAGTTCTGGTGAATGGAGGTTCTCTGGTTGACAGAATATGAGTGAGCTGAACTCCACTGTAGCAGAGATGGTTATTAGATACCTCCCAAGGAAAACACTGTCATTTTGAAAAGTCAAATAGCCATTTATTTTAGGAAGATTAGTGAGCCCAAGCAAAAGACTACCTGATTCCTTAGGAAGGAAATTTTACTCCCAGCATAACATTTTTAAAAATAAATATATAATGCTCTCTTGTTTACATAGATGATTCTGATTCTACCAGCGTGACTGTGGGATTGAAGGCATGTTGGTCCCTCCTCACCGAAATCACAACCACCCTGTGTCTGAGAGCCATTAGGTGCCAGGGACTAGCCAGGGAAAGGGACAATCCATGAAGAGAATAGAGATTTCCAGCCTACGTGTAGATCAAGACCCTAGCCCTGGCCTCAGGACTACATAGGTCATTCAAATTTCTACTCAGGTGAGAGGAACAATCTGGGCTCTACACACTTTTTTCATCGGGCAAGAGTAGAATGCATGTCCAAACTCTCTTCTGTGACCGGTGAGCTGGGCAGAAGGCAGGCCCAGCCAGTCGGTCCCTCGGGCCAGGGCAGGAAGCGAGAGTCTCTCTTACCCTGGTGCGTGGGGCCGCAGGGCTAACACCAACAATTCATCCGATGGAGCATGTCGAGGTCGAGCCAGAAGACTTGTCCAAGCAGGTTCCTGAGCAACAGTTGCTCTAGGCAAGTACTGATAGCAAGGTGCAGAGAAAATGGGGGTCTGAGAACCAGGTAATATGAGGGCAAGGCCCGGGGGGAGAGAAGAGGAGTGGAAAAAATGGGCTTTGGAATCAGACACATCTGGGCCCAAATATAGTATCAGCCCAGTCACTATATAGCTGTGTGGCTATGAGCAAGACATTGAACCTTGCTAAGCCTCATTTTCATAACTTGTAATATCAGGATAATAGGATGCTTCCCATATGGGTGTCAGGAGGCTTAAATGATATGAAGCACTTAGCACAATGCTTGATAAATAGTAAACACTAAATGTTATCTGATTAACACTAGTGTCATTATTAGCTTCTAAGGCAGGTGCTAAAAAACAGATTCCCAATGAAAGGTAGAAAAGGATACTATGAACCTGTGAGGGAGGGTAAGTACCACTAATTCTAGGGGTGATTATGGGGCTTTTTCAGGACCCCAGGGTGCTTGTCAGGGTGTGGACCAAGGTGGAAGGGGGCAGTGCCCATCCAGGGGCCTGGGCCAAATGAGAGGTCATCCCATCCACCCTGTCAACAGCTTCTTCAAATACCATCTACTGAAAGCAGGACAGCCCAACTCAGGAGCAAGCCACCCACTTCCAGCCCAAATGGCGTTTCAGTAGCATTTTTAAAGAGCTGAATAGAGATGCCAACTGAACTGGAATGACAGTGAAAAGTGCCAGGTTCAGTACATTTCCAAAAGGTTCATTTGCATCTTCCTGAAACCTCATTTCCTTGCTGCCATCTGTGGAACAGGGTAACGTAGGAGACTTCTGAGTGGCTGGGAGACAGCCTCGGGTTGTCCATGGCAACCCAGCCTCAGGAAAAGTGCTGGGCGGTGAATGTGTGGGAGCCAAGATGATGCTGTTAGCTGTTCCGGCTGGGATGTGTCAGTATGCTCTGTGCATATATGGCTCAGGAAAAACACCTTTATTAGCCTCTGCAGCTATCTCAAGGCAGAGTCCTGTTCCTCTCAGGGAAAGGACTTGGCTGGCAAACAGAGTTACTGCTGAGAATTACTGAATATAGTGCAGGTCTCTCTCCACCATGTTGTTTTTCAAAGTTTGCTCTGCCAGAAAGCCTATCTGGACTGAATTTATGAAAGCACAAACCAGCCTGCCCTTGGAATTCCTATGCCTGCTTCTCCAACTAGTCCAATTATCTCCTGATTTTTCTTCTTTCTCTACTTATTTGGTTGTTCATATATGTCTATCTTACTTTCTCAGAGAGACTTCTTAAAATTAAAAGTCCCCAAAGGGCAGGAATCAGGTTTCTTTCAACACAGCATTCGGCTATAATGCTTTTGTGACATTTGGAAGCAATATAATAAAACAGTTCAGAGCACAGGGCCTCGGGCCAGTCATCCTAGGCTTAAACCTCAACTCAGCCATTTACTAATTGTGCTTTAAAGATGGGTCACAAATTCTGTGATACTACTACACTCAGACGTGGAACTTAATACCTCTCCCCTTAAGTGTGGGCTAGACTTAGTGACTTGTATCTAGCAAATAAAAGACAGAAGTGATGGGACATGGATTTTGACATTAGGTTATAAAAACACTACAGCTTCTGTGTTAGATGTGTGCTCTCATTTTCTTGCTCTAGAATCACCCTCTCTGGAAGAAAGCCAGCATGTCATGAGGACACTCAAGCAGCTTATGGAGAGGCCCACATGGCAAGAAACAGGCCTGCCAGCAACCACATGAGTGAGCTTAGAATCAGATCCTCCCCAAACAAGCCTGAAATAACTGCACCCCGACCAACAGCTTGACTGTATGAGAGACCCTGGGTCAAAAGGACCCAGCTAAGCCACTCCAGGATTCCTGCCCACAGAAACTGTGAGATGATAGATGTTTATTGTGTTAAGCCATCGTAGGGTAATTTGTAATGCAGAAATAGATAACTAATGCATAATAAGTGGGTGACATAACCCAAGGTCCAACTTCCTCATCTGCAAAATGGGGATAATTACAGTTATGAAAATCCTATGAGATAACAAATATAAGTCACTTAGCCCAGTGGCTGGCACATGATAAGTGCTCAGTAATTGATATCTGCTGTTATCATTATTGTGGGTACTAGTATCATGTAGTGATTAAAAGCCCAGGCTTTGAGTCAGCCAGACTTGGATTCAAGTCCTCACACTGCCACTTAAGCGCTGTAAAACCCTGGGCAAATCACTCAGTCTTACTCAATCTCACCGATTCTCAGTTGTCTCCAACATTAAAGCCTCCAGAGTTGTAATAAAGACAAAATAAGATAATGGGCATTACATACTTAGGCTAATAATGCAAAGAAGCTGCTCAGTAATTAGTATTTAAACAATACTACTTGTATCATCATCAATACCTTTGGTGATGATGACCAGGACAATGACCCAGGGAAGAAGATGCAAAGTACAAATTATTCTAAGTGGTCACCAGAGGGTGTAAACCAGTTTTCTCCTGCAGTCACCTGAACCAGTTTCTGGATGTTCACTCTCACAGACAATTTGCGTTTTACCTTGGAGACACAGCTCCTGTCAGCTCCTGCAGAAAGCTTTCCTTAACTCCTTACCCCTCTCTGTGCTCCCAGAGTGTTTTTCCTGTACCCCTATGAGGGCATTTACTCACTCCATTGCAATTGTCCTTTCACAACTGTTTCCCCTCCTCCTGGTCTGGGAGTCCCCTGGGGAAGAGACCAGTTCATATCAGCCTTCGTGAATCCAGTACTTACCCCAGTGCCTGGCAATTAGTGGTTTCTCTATGGAAGTATGTTGGATGAGTGAATTAAAAAGTAATGAATTGGCAAGGCACGGTGGCTCATGCCTGTAATCCCAGCACTTTGGGAGGCTGAGGAAGGTGGATCACCAGAGGTCAGGAGTTCGAGACCAGCCTGACCAACATGGTGAAACCCCATCTCTACTAAAAATACAAAAAACGTAGCCGGGCATGGTGGCAGGCGCCTGTAATCCCAGCTACTTGGGTGGCTGAGGCAGGAGAATCGCTTGAACCCAGGAATCAGAGGTTGCAGTGAGCCAAGATCGTGCCATTGCACTCCAGCCTGGGCAACAGGAGCAAAACTCCATCTAAAAAAAAAAAAAAAAAGTAATGAATTAATGCATACATGATTGTTGATAGCTGGATTTCAGATTTAAAAAAAAGAAAGAAAGAAAGAAAAGAAACAAAGAACCTTACAACCCTTCTAACCCCCAGGAACGACAACTGGATTCATTCAAATTTGGACTTGTAGGCTTGAATCAAACATTCTAGGGTCAACCTACATTAGTGGTCAAAGGAGGATATAAAGTAGGATATAAATCCTCACTAAAGCCATGTGAAAACGCAGGTATGAATGCTGATAAGCCCATCAGGAAAAAATGAGGGGTGATATAAATGGTCAGTATTAAGTCTCTATGAGGTTATTTCTTCTTTAAAAATGTATTTCTTTAATTGAGGCCGTGTGCCAAGGACACAGATGAGTAATGCCTGCTGCCATGGAACCTACAGTTGCGTAGAGGAGCTAACACTCTAGAAGAGAGCCCTAAATGCCTGCCTGAGGCATCAGCCTGGGCTACTCAGTAATCTTCTGAAACTACTGTCCTTGTTGTTCAAAAAGCAATGAAGCCATCACCAACCTGACCTCTCCCCCATTAAATAACCTTTCTCATCAATCACATTTCTACCTATCAGCAATAAACAATTAGAAATTGGAATTTCAAAAGAAAACATTTACAATAGCATCTAAAACAATAAAATACCCAGGGATAGATCTAACAAAAGACATGTAAGACCCATAAACTGAAAACTATAAAACACTGATGAGAGAAATTAAAGAAGACCTGCATAAATGGAGTTATGCTGTGTTCATGGATCTAAAGATTTAATATTATTAAGATGGCAGTTCCCCCATTTGATCTAGAGATTCAATACCATTCCAAGCAGAACCCCTACAAGCTTTTTTGTAGATAGACAAGTTGATTCTGAAATTTAATGGAAATGCAAAGGACCTAGACTCACAAAAACAACTTTGAAGAACAAAACTGGAGGACTCATATTGCCTAATTTTAAGACTTACTAGAAAGCTAGTAATCGAGGCAACATAGTATTGGTGTAAAGGTAGACAGATAAAATGGAACAGAAGAGAGTCCAGAAATAGACGAACACATATACAGTCAATTATTTATAACAAAAGTGACAGGGTAATTCAATGGAGAACAGAGAATCTTCCCAATAAATAGTGTGGAACAACTGGACATTCATATGCAAAACAAATGAGCCTTAGACTCTCACCTCATGCACCATATTAAGAACAACAACAAAAAAAAACTTCTCAAAATGGATCCATAGGCCTAAGTGTAAAACCTAAAACTTCTAGAAGAAAGTATAGGAGAAAATCTGTGACTTCAAATTAGGCAAAGATTTTTTATATAGAGCACAAAATAAACCATAACAGAAAAAAATTGAAAAATTAAAAACTTATGCACTTCCAAATACAGTACAGCCACCATGGAAAACAGTGTGGAACTTGCTCAAAAAAATAAAAATAGAACTACCATATAATCCAGCAATCCCACTATTGGGTATATATCCAAAGGAAATGAAATCAGTATGTCAGAGAGATATCTACTCTTGTGTTCACTGCAGCATTAGTTGCAAGAGCCAAGATGTGGAATCAAGCTACATGTCCATCAACAGATGAATGCATAAAGAAACTGTGGTATACATATTTAGTAGAATACTATTTAGCCTTAAAAAAGAAGGAAATCCTGTCATCTGTGACAATATGGATGAACCTGGAGGACATTACGTTAAGTGAAATAAGCAGGGCACAAAAGGACAAATAACATACAATCTCACTCATACGCGGAATCTAAAAAAGTTAAACTCATAGAAGTAGAGAATAGAATGGTGGTTACCAAGGGATAGGGGAAGGGGTTGGCTGGGAAGATGTTGACCAAAGGATATGAAATTTCAGTGAGATGGGAGAAATACCTTCAAGAGATTTATAGTACAACGTGGTGACTATAGTTAATAACAATGTATTATATTCTTGAAAATAGTTAAGAGAATGGATTTTAAGTGTTCTTACCACAAAAAAATAAGTATATGATGTAATACATATGTTAATTAGCTAAATTTAGCCATTCCACAATGTATCTATATTTCAAAACCTCATGTTGTACATGATAAATGCATATAACTTTTGTCAATTAAAAAATTAATTAGTGGCCGGGCGCGGTGGCTCACGTCTGTAATCCCAGCACTTTGGGAGGCTGAGGCAGGCGGATCACGAGGTCAGGAGATTGAGACCATCCTGGCTAACACGGTAAAACCCCGTCTCTACTAAAAATACAAAAAAAAAAAAAATTAGCCGGGCGTGGTGGCAGGCACCTGTAGTCCCAGCTACTCGGGAGGCTGAGGCAGGAGAATGGCATGAACCCGGGAGGCAGAACTTGCAGTGAGCCGTGATTGTGCCACTGCACTCCGGCCTGGGCAACAGAGTAAGACTCCGTCTCAAAAAAAAAATAATAATTAATTAGTTAAAAAACTATCTTCCAAAGATACTGCTAAAAAAATGAAAATATAAGGCACAGGTTGGGAGAAAATATTTGCACAATATATATCTTATTAAAGACTTGTATCCAGAATACATAAAGAATGTTTACAACTCAATAAGAAAACAATAACCCAATTTTTCAAATGGGCAAAATATTTTAATAGACACTTCACCAAAGAAGAAATATGGGTGGCAAATAGGCACATGAGAAAATCTCAACAGCACAGTGATTAGAGAGATGCATATTAAAACCATAGTGAGATACTACCACAGACCTACTAGAATGGCTACAATTTTTAAAAATAGATAATGTCAAGTAGTAGCAGGACTGCAGAATAACTGAAACTCATATATTGCTGGTGGAAATGCATAATAGTATAGCCATTTTAAAAAACAGTTTAGCAATTTCTTATAAAGTTAAACATATACTTACCATACAACCCAGCAATCCTACTCCTAGGTATTTACCCAAGAGAAATTAAAACATATGTCCACACAAAGATCTGTAAGTGAAATCACAGCAGCTTTATTTGTAACAGCCAAAAACTGGATACCCAAATGTCCACCAACTCGTGAATGAATAAACTATGGTCCATCCATACAATGGAATGTTACTTAGTGATAAAAAGGAATGAGCTCCTGATACATGCAACAACGGGGATGAATCTCAAATGCATTATGGTAAGAAAAACAAGCCAAGCTCAAAGGACTACATACAGCATGATTCCATTTATATGACACTCTAGAAAAGGCAAAACCATAGGGACAGAAATCAGATCAGTAGTTGTCAGAGGCTGGGGGTAGAAGAAGAGGATTGACTACAAAGCAGCACATGGAAACTTTTTGTAGTGATTAAAATATTCTATGTTTTGATTGGGATGGTGGTTACATGACTGTGCACTTGTAAAAACTTATCACATTGTATCTCTAAAAAGTGTGAATTTTACTGCATATAAATTATTATACCTCTACTAATCTAAAAGAAAATAATCTCTTTAAACCGCTAACAAAACCTGAAAGCTGTTTCTCAGGAAGCAGTTCGGTGTAAAAGGAAAAGCATGGACTTTGGAGTGAGACAGACCGAACCCCAGCTCTGCACTTAGCCAGTACTTAACTGGGCAAATTTCTTAACCTCTCTGAGTAATCTAAGTAGGGATATGAATAGGACAGACCTATTGCTGTGATGATTTATTAAGACAGTACACGATCTGATAATCCCTAAGTGATCATTTCCCTCAGCATACCCTATTCATTCTTCAAGCCTTCAGTGGGGATCCCCTCACTAATTTAAGTGCTTAAACAATGGTGATGAGAGTATAGTTTAAGAAGCACGTTAGACAACATAACCTTAAATCATTCAAGGATTAAATACAGGAGAACAATGAGACAAAGAGTAGTGATGTCTTCTTTCTTTCTTTCTTTAACAGATTCTAAGGAAGTCATGGTTCCAGTTGCCTGCAGAAGGCCCAGGAATCTAAATGTTTTCATTCAGAAAATAAATGTTTCTTAAGGAGTAGGGATGACAGAAGGATGGCTTTGACCTCCTGAAACAAGGGGTAGACTCTTCTTTCTCAACTATAGATTAAATCCCTGGGATGGAACAGGGGTGATGGTGGAGCAGCTCTCAGCATGCTTAGTCCAGGCTCAGGCACAAACTGGGCTTTAATTTTAAAACTATCTTTTTATGGGTATATGAGGTAAGAGCTAACATGGAGTCCAAAAAAGGAGAGGTCACTAGGTATGGTTTCTACACAAAAAAGCTGGGCCAGTGCTGAACCATTCCCTTAGCTCCAAGCTACACTCCTCAGGCAAAGATGTCATTCTTCTGATATCATAGAGGATGAGAACCAATTTCCAAAGGGAAATGTCACAGACAGAAGACCAGCTGAAAACCCAGGGAAGTAAAAAGGCTAAATAAAAAGCAGCACACTTAGAATCAACATTCTCAAGACATGCAGCTTGTGGAAATTTAGATCATAATAAAGATAGTATTCAAACCAATGGGGGAAGAGGGGAATTAATGAATAAAATAACCTTGAGACAATTGGCTCATCATTTGCAATACCAATAAAACTGAATCCCTGCCCTCACTCCTTACACACAAAAAATAATTCTAAGTGCATCAAAGATTCAAATGTAAAACAAAAATTATAAAGGTACTTGAAGAAAACATGGGGACATTATTTAAATAATTTCAGAGTAAAGAAAATATTTCTAAACATGACACAAAACCCAAGCTATAAAGCAAAAGATAGATCAATTTGACTCCTTAAAAACTGGGGCTTTTTTGGACCAAAAAATTACTATAAACAAGAGGCAAATTGCAAACTAAGAAAAAACATATTTGAAATACATACATTCAAAGGCCTAACCTCTTTCATGTACAAAGAGCCTTTAGAAACTACAAATAAGGCCAGGCACAGTGGCTCACACCTACAATCCCAGCATTTTGGGAGGCCAAGGTGGGTGGACTGCTTGAGCTCAGGAGTTCGAGACCAGCCTAGGCAATAGGCAAAAACCTGTCTCTACAAAAAAATTAAAAGAAAAAAAATTAGCTGGGTGTGTTGGCACACACCTGCAGTCCCAGCTACTTGGGAGGCTGAGGTGGGAGGATCACTTGAGCTTGGAAGATGGAAGCTGAAGTGAGCTGAGATCACTCCACTGCACTCCGGCCTGGGTAGAAGAACAAGACTCTGCCTCAAGAAAAAAAAAAAAAAAAAGGAATAAAAAATATTAATTAAAAAATACAGTCTAATAGAAAAATGAGCCAGGGACATGAACAGAGAATTCTCCAAAATAGAAATACAAATGCCGATAATCATATGAAATCAAGATTAATCTCACTCCCAATGAAAGAAATACGAACTCAAACAATATGCCACCTTTTAAAGGATACTTGACACAGAAATGTTTACATTACAAAAAAAAAAGGAAATTACTGCAAAGCCCATCAGTAGAGGACTGTCCATAATATGCACATAATAGTGCATAAATACAATTAAACACCATGTACCATTACAATTTAAATGCTGATTTCACCTATACTGATAATATTAAAAGCAGTCTGTACCACATGGCTGCATGGGGGGAAAAATAGTTCAATCTGTATAGCAATACACTGTACATTTGTATCTATCTGTGAAAAAGTGCAGAGAGACATGTCTGAAAGAAAATTTTCCAAATAATAGCAGATTTTTTATCCTAGGAGACATTTCAAGTGACTTTTATTTAATTTCAAAATTGTAGTATCCTTTTAATAATCCACAATAAGCACATATGTCTATAATTAAAGAAAGCTAAGTTATTTTCACTTTGAAAAATATGAAGAAGTTTCAATGCAATATTTCAACCAAACAAAACAAAAGGCATCAACCTGCAGTAAGACCAATGTCCAGCCAGACCAAGGCCTTGCCTTGCGGCTGTGCCTTCTTCTAACCTGCACTAGGCAACGTGAGGCCAACAGGCAAGTATGCACTCTCAGGTTTACAAAGGTGAAGCCAGGTGCAGGATGGTATGAGTTCAGAGAACAGGTTTGGAGAGTGATAAAGACTCAGTTCAAATGCTGGTTCTACCACATTAGCTGTGTTGACCTTGGGCAAGTAAATTAACTTCTCTGAAACTCAGTTTCCTCCTTTATAAAACTAGGATAACTATCTCTACCTTGTAGTGTTGTTGAAAAGATTAAGTAAGATATTCAAGTGATAACCTCAGCACTCAATAAAGGTTAGCTGCTTGTATTATTATCTGGGACACTGAGACATTTGTTCACATTGCAACCAATATATTCCCCATGATCCAAGGTCAAGGAGCAGAGGGGAAAGAAGGTCCTGCAAACCTCAGAGAATTCCAACACCTGGTCTTGGAAAACAACATGCCTCTAGCCACTGTGAAACCTTCCTGGAAGAAGCAGGCAGGGAGGATGGCAGCCAGCTGGAAAGAGGAGGAGGAGGACAAAGCAAGGGCCTAAATAATTTCCTGGTGCTGCCTACTGTGTCATCAATGAGACAACACGACCCACTCCTCTCCTCCCACCTTTCCTCCTGGGTTGACTGATTCCTTCCCCCAGACATCAGCATGTTAGACTCCTAAAACGACTACTTTGGTGCCACACCAGACAGGACTTTAGGGATCGAGTGGAGCATCCCTCATTCTATAGATAAGGAGCCTGAGGGTCAGAGAGGAAAGAAGACTCGCAGGGAACCAAAGCAGCCAGCACACACCATAAACTCTAGGTCTCTAGATCATGGGGTCCCCTCCTGTGTCTTCCTTCCCTTTCCCTGGCTGCTCCCTCACAAATTCTCATTTCTCCCATTTCCTTCCTCTGCTTCGTGACCTGTCAAACTCCTCAATTTGACAGGGTCCCTTTTCTTAGAACCCCTTTTCTTCTCTGGGGCAGCCCTAATTGTCCTTTATGTCCTTCCCTGAGTGGGGAAAAGAAACAGACTAGGACTATTCTGACTCAAAGAATGGCCTAGAAAGAGGACTACTATGGCCATCACTAAGTGAAACCAACATAGCCATTCCTCTGCTTCCAACAGAAATAGAGCACAAGCCATGGTGTGAAATGAGAAGTCAGGGTGGGGGTGAGAGGGAGCTCTGAGTTATTCTCAAACCTCCCTGATGACATTGGAGGTTACCTTGAAACTCTTAGGAAAGGAAGACCCCAGAAGAGAGAGGTACCAGCAGATTCAAGAGGAACCAGCAGACTCCATCTCCTAGGTTGTAAATGCAACCAAGATGCAGGGCAGCCATGGGTGAGGAAAGACTTGGAGGCAGGAGTGGAAGGCCACTTTCCCAGGGCACAGTCCTGACTCTTGGTGGTGATTGGGCTGGGGCTTACCTTGGGAAGGCTGACTGGAGTCCTGGGCTTGGTCCTTGGGTTCTTAATCAATAGTCTCTGATCCAGAGGGAGGAGATGGTATTTCATGGCCTCAATGAGGAAGTCTTTACAGGTGTTGTTATTCTTTATCAAAGCTTCTTCTTCAACCGTCTAGAGGTAATAATCCACAGATGATCCTGGAGCACAGCTCAGCCACATTTCCCAAGCTTTCACCCTGGGCTCAGTCATTCCTGCACTCCCACACTCATTCATTCCTTCACCACATCATCTCAGACCCAAAGAGTTACAACTTACTGCTCACCTCCTGCATTTTAAGAGCACAGTGGGATAAGGGATCAAGCTCTGGCATTAGACCAGATCCACTACTTAACGTCTCTGATCCTCAGTTTCCTCATCTGTAAAATGGGCATATTAAAGGTATCTACAACCTCACTAGTTTTGTTTGTTTTGAGGCTTAAATGAGTTTATGCAAAACAAAAGACAAGTAGCCATCCTGAAAGCCTCTAACCACATTTCTCCTGATTTGAATGCATTATAATGCTTAGGGCAAACAGACATCTGAGAGGAGGAGTGAGGGGAAAGAGGAAAGGGTGTGGGAGCCATCAGCCAACCTTTGGAGGCATTGAGTAAAATAAGCTTGTCAAGGAGAAAGATTCATATTCGTTGTCTTATAGTGAAGGTCTCAGGGCAGAAAATCGGCCAGTGAGGCTCCTTCTAACAGAGTAACAACATCAGAGCAGAAAAATTACCCTGCACAAAGTCCCACCTATTGACCTCACCTAGGACTCCATCTAAGCTGGGGCTCTGGCTTCTTTATCTCTTATTCCAGAGCTTAGGACCTAAGCAGGTGCTCAGCACATGTAAGCCTAAAGGTTTCATGAGCAAGACCAAGCATGAAGCCATTCTGGTGCTCTAACTCTCCAATCCCCACCTTTTGGCCCAGGTCAGATCACTGTGTGGCATATCTGGAATGGGTAATGTGGTCTTCTGGGGCTGCTTTGTGTTAGGAAAGATCAATTCCATTCAACAGCTAACACTGATTGAATGTCTCCTGGTTGGGCAGCCCTGTGCTGGTCCCCAGGAAGAAAATGATGAACAAGACAAAATTTCTGACCCTGAAGAATTCAAGTCCAGTCAGAGAATGAGAAGGGCCTCCCACCTCAATTATCTCAGCCCTCAAGTCAGTGATGCACAAGGCATGACTGAGCCTCTCCTGGGTCCCCATCTGTCACTAGGAATGAAAGCATGGCCAGGGCCATCATCTGCTGGGCAGCATTGGAGCTGGCAGGGAAAAAAGGATTGGCAAGAGAAGGCCTCTGTGTACCTCTGACCACCTCCCTCCCCAGAGACAGTCCCCAAGAACTGTTTTCCTTGGAAGGTTTTTTTTTCCCCTCCCAGTAAGGAACTGAGCCAGCTTGAGACAAATCATAAACTTCTAGGGTCAATTACAAAATAAAAAGGGTGGGAGAGGATGCCTGAAAAAGCTTGGAAGGAAGGAGAAATGCATGAGCAGCTATTTCTCCAGAAGAACTTACTCAGCTTGAATTAAAAGTTCTCCTGGAAAGTTAGTGCTTCATGGGTACAAGAGTTTCAACTTTGGGGGTGATGACAAAGTTTTGGAAATCTTTATAGTAATGGTTGTACTGAATTTGAATGTAATGAATGCCTCTAAATTGTACACTTAAAATGGTTAAAATAACAAAGTTTATGTAATAAACATTTTATCACAACATATTATACATTTAGTACAATATTTTTAAATGCTGAGTAAAAGCCTAATAAATGCTACCTTTTGTGAAAGAAAAAAAAACCTCCCCCAGAAGTCAGGCAGTGTTGGTGGAGGTCTGCCCAGGGCTTTCCCTTCCTTCTCCTCCTCCTCCTCCACCACCATCAGCCATCCCAGCAATTATACTCATTTGAAGTTTCAAAGTCAAATGAATGTAATGAAACATCCTATTCCAGAGGTGTTCACTCTGAGAGGCCTGATAAAAGGCCTTTCTGCAAAAAGGGCAAAGGGAGGAGTCCCACACAACAGTTCTCATGCCCATTGCCTCTGACCCCCTTCTTTTCCAGATCTAAATTCTGCTTTGGCATAATAACCCAGGAGCCATTTCCTAATGGTGACGTTTGTTAAGCTTCAGTTGTGGATGCCTGATGAAGTTTGTGACCAACGGTCTCTAAGGCCACTTTAGCTTTCTCTGGAACCCAGGTCCCCAGGTTGCCAACCCTCCCTGTGGAAGCGAGACTATACTGGAGTCCAGGTGCCTCCTCCACCTCCAGCCAGCTTCCCACAGGACAGTGGGAGGTTTGACTGACACTGGATGCTCAGGCAAGTTCACTTCCTCCGCTTAGGGGACCTTTTCTACAGGAAAGATATGCTGCCACCAGGTGGCAGTGGTATCACCCAAAGTAGCATGCATGCCCCATTTAAGAGCTTGCAAGCATATCCCTCAGCACCTGAGAAGGCTGAAGTACGGCGATTCAGGGAACATTTCACTGACCCCTCATATCTGCAATCTACAAGTGTTACCAGCAGACGAGTTTACAAGTGCTCGTGAGGATACTGTGTCACCTGCTACTAAGAATCACAGCAGTGGTCACAAAGACTACAGAGTAAGATCAGTAACATTCACTGAACACTGTATTATAGGCCTACATGGATTATCTCATTTTATTGTTTATCCCCAAACAATCCTATAAAGGCAAGTGCCATTTTTTCCCGGTAAGAAAACTGAGGTTTAAAAAGGTTAAGCATGTACCCAGTATTATATGGCTGGAAAGTAACAAGAGCTGGGCTGCTGGGCTGCTAGGCTGCTAAACCTCCTCTTTATCCTTGCATCATATCTTCCCTTCCTTCCAGAGACTCCTTGGAGACAGCTGAGGGCTAACCTGCTGTCTCGATGTTTTGTTTTGTTCATATATTTTAAGGTTTATTCTCTGCTTATAAAAGTGTCTAATGCCATTTACTGTATAAAATAAGTCACGTAATGGGTATGCAGAAAAGAGCGTATCAATGGTGGCAGCTAGCTTAGCGGAAGAACTATGC
The DNA here is from genome assembly GCF_000001405.40 of Homo sapiens. NCBI lineage: Eukaryota > Metazoa > Chordata > Mammalia > Primates > Hominidae > Homo > Homo sapiens. The sequence goes on from NC_000005.10 coordinate 137,661,177, forward strand.
ACTGCAGAGCCAGAATGACATGGATTTGAATCCTGAGCCTCTCTAAGGCTAGTGACCCCGATAAATCCCAACCTCCATAAGCCTCAAGGCCTACATGTGTAAAAAAAGGAGTTACAATCTTTGCCCCTCTGGGTTATTATAAGGATTAAACGAGAAAACATATGGCACCATAAGGAAACCCCATAATTCTTAATTTTTCTTTCCTTTTCAGAGGAAGTGGAAGTACTCTGTATTCTAGGCACCGTTTTTACAGTCTTGAATTTGGCTTCAAGTTGCCTAAAACTAAGACATAAAGGGAACATAGAAACATTGTGGACATGACCCTTCTTGCTTCAGTCCTCTTCAACAAAGACAGCTAACTTTCATGGAACATTTGTTACCCCAGGCTCCACACGAAGCAGCTGACTTGCATACTCTACTCCTTTAGTCCTCACAACAACCCTGCTGGGCTCTACTATAATATCTGTTCTATGGAAGAAAAACTGAGGCTTGAAGAGGTTAAATAAAAATCCAAAACTAATAAGCAGCAGAGCAGAGACTGAAACCTAAGTGTCCTATTTTCAAGCCTATGCTCTTAAACTTTACAACACCTAACACTTAACCCAGTGGGCTGGTTCCCTCAGCACATACAGAAGACCCACTAAACCCTCAACTACTCCATCCAACCAGGATTGCCCATTGCTATTCCTACAGGTCTGGGTGAACACAGAAGTGCTTGGCTCTTCATACAACACTCACTTGGACTAGGTAGTCCCTAGGTAAGAGAGGAAGTCGGACATGTTCCATCAGCTTTGCCATGTGCTCTAAACGGGTTTCTTTCTCATAATTGATCCATGAGATCACAGCTTCAAACACCTATAAAGAAAAGCAACATGGGCAACTTCAGTAAAGAGACAAAAGCTTTCAAACAACCCTCAATCTGTAAAAAAAAAAAAAAAAGAGAGAGAGAAAAAGTTATGAGTCATCCACAAAGGTGTTTAATTAATCTGAGACTCATATTTAAAATAAAAACAGAAAGGGTTTGTTTACTTGCTGGCCTCAGAGAGTGATCACACACACACTCTACACACACACACACACACACACACACACACACACACACACACACAAGGACAAACCTGCTATCCCAAATGTAGAATCATCATGGTTCATTCTAAAATAAAAACCAGTTCCAATAGTTTTTTAAGGGTAAAAATACAGAGCAGTAACTGTGAACCAAATTTATAGAGGCTGCTCAGGAAGATCAGACCCTGGGGGCAATGTCGTCATCTCCCCATGCCCCCGTTTCCTCACTTATGTCCCGTGTAAAGTTAATGTAGAATAAAAACAGTAAGAATGCCCTCTGCCCAAAGCTGGCTGTGATGGTCAATGTGACACTGAATGACAAGGAATGGCAAACATTTCTCCTTGAGGAGAGATTTCATTTCTATGCAAATCAAAACTGGAGGGCTTAGAACCAAAAAGGCAGACCTATACTTTGGATGTTCACTCTACTCAAGGATAAGTCCAAATTCAAACCCTGTGCCACCACATACACATAGGCAGATAAAATTCAACGTTGGAGGGGCAATGGGGAAACCAGCAGTGTCTGTAAAAATTTCATTAATAATGATTTTTAAGAGGGGAGGGAAGTATTGGCAATATCGATCAAAATTTTAAATGTGCATTCTCGTTGACTTTAAAAATACCACTTCTAGAGCTCTAGCTTATACTCACATCAGTGTAAGAGAACAGAATATGTGCTCCAATATCTTTGCTGCAGCATGGTTGTAAAGGGATAAAAAAATGAAACAACCTAAAGTCCACTAATAGAGAAATTATTAAAGGAGTATCCATACCATTAGATACAGTTATCCCTCAGTATCCTTGAGCACTCGTTCTTTTTTTTTTTTTTTTTTTTTTTTTGGTTCTTACTCTGTCGCATAGGCTGGAGTGCAGTGGCACGATCTTGGCTCACTGCAACCTCCACCTCCCGGGTTAAGTGATTCTCCCGTCTCAGCCTCCCTAGTAGCTGGGATTACAGGTGTACACCACTACACCCGGCTAATTTTTGTATTTTTAGTAGAGACGGGGTTTCACCATATTGGCCAGGCTGGTCTCAAACTCCTGACCTCAAGTGATCCGCCTGCCTTAGCCTCCCAAAGTGCTGGGATTACAAGCGTGAGCCACCAGCCCCAGCCCCAGGGCACTGGTTCTATGACCACCCACAGATACCAACATCTGCCAATGCTCAAGTCCCTTATATAAAATGGCATAGTATTTGCACATAACCTCCGCACATCCTCCCATATACTTTAAATCATCCTCCCATATACTTTAAATACTTTAAATATATATATTTAAAGTATGTTAATAATAAATATACTTTAAATAATTATATAAGATTGCTTATAATACCTAATATAATACCCATACATCACTTCATGCAAGTGGATATGATGTAGTACTTGGTGTTGCAGCAAATTCAAATTTTGCTTTTCGCAACTTTATGGAATTTTTTTCTTCTGAATATTTCCTTAGTTGAATCCCTGGATATGGAACTCACGGATACAGAGTGCCAACTCTATTTTCGCTATTAAAAAGAATAAAGCAAACATCTTATACGTGATTAAAGAAGACATGTCAAAAAGAGCCAGCTGGATGGGGCTTTCAATGCCAATATTTGGGACAATTTAAATATCAGTGAGAATAATGAAGAAATCACATCAGTGCTGCCTCTTTGAGGGGAAGGAGGGTCAGGGAATGGCTGAAAAAGGTTCAAAGGAAACCTTTTGTGGTTTAGGGTGGGCATTACATGGGCATATACATGTGTCAAAACTAACCAAATTGTGTATTTAATATCCATATACCTCAATATAAAATATTCTTAATTTTTTTTTAAAAATTATAATATGGCCAGGTATGGTGGCTCACACCTATAATCCCAACATTTTGGGAGGCCAAGGCAGGCAGATTGCTTGAGCCCAGGAGTTCAAGACCAGCCTGGGCAACATGGCAAAACCCTATCTCTACAAGATACAAAAATCAGCCAGGCATGGTGGTGCATGCCTATAGTCCCAGCTACTAGTGAGGTTGAGGTGGGAGAACTGCTTGAGCCTGGGAGGTCGAGCCTACAGTGTGCCATGAGTGTACCACTGTACTCCAATCTGGGAGACGAAGTGAGACCCTGTCTCAAAAAAAAAAATTAAAAAAAATAATTCATGCGCCCATATGGATACTAAAAAAGTGTAAGAAGGTCTCTTATATCCAAAAAAAAATGCCTGTAAAAGGAATGACGGAATTAGAAAAACACCATTTCTGCAATACCACCAATGTAATAACTGATTGAACAAAGATCACCAATGGATGCTAAAATCGAAAGTTGTTAAAGGCCAGGTGCAGTGGCTTACACTGGTAATCCCAGCCCTTTGGGAGGCCAAGGTGGGAGCCCAGGAGTTTGAGACCAGCCTGAGAAACTTAGCAAGACCCCATCTCTACTACAAAAAAAAAAAATCAGTCAGGCATGGTGGCACGTGTCTGTAGTCCCAGCTGCTTGAGAGGCTGAGGCAGGAGGATCACTTGGTCCCAGGAGGTGGAAGCTGCAGTGAGCTGTAACCATGCCACTGCACTCCAGCCCGGGCAACACAGCAAGAGCCTATCTTTAAAAAAATAATAATAATAAAGTTGTTGGATGGGGAAAGAGTCACAATTCTCAAAGAATCACCCAACAGATTACATACTATTTACATGGAGGGAAAATATCCTCAAATAGAGAGATCTGATAGACAACACCTTAAACAAGGGACCAAATTTACCACCACCCATAAGAGGACAAACTTATATTCCTGATTGTGATTTAATTGAAAAGACACAGTATCTCCTAAGTACAATTCTTCCTAAAATATTAATATATAACCTGAATCTTACGGTGAGGAAACGATCAGACAACTCTATGTTTGCAACATTCTATAGGACGGCTGGCCTGGATTTTCAAAATTGTTAATATTATGGAAGACAAAAAAAGGTAGGGAGACAGTTCTAGATTAGAGAGATTTATAGACAAGGCAACTAAATGCCGTGCATAAACCATAATTAGATTATGGCTCTAAAAGAAATAGCCATAAATGACTTTTGGGGGACTAGTAAGAAAATATGACTATCCACTATATGTTAGATAATATTCCTAGATCAATATTAAATTTCATTGGTATGATAATTGGTTTTATGGCTAGAAAAGAGAATTTCCTCGTTCTTAAGAGATACATGCTAAAATATTTAGGGGTGAAGTGTCATAATGTCTGCAATTTACTGTCAAATGATTAAGCAAAATGAAAGATTAAGTCTAGAGAGATAAAGTAAATGAAGCAAAATGTTAATGGTGAGTTTAGGTAAAGACTACATGAATGTTCATTCTTTCAAACCTACAGTAGGTTTTTAATTTTTCAGAATAAGCAGTGTAAGAGAGAAGAAAAGAAATTCTAAGGAAAAAAACTACAACAAAATTTATAGGATGGCAGAAAGTTGAAATGAAAGCTTTATCTGCCAGGAGGAAAAAAGGACTCCAATTTTTCTTAACCTAAGTACATTTTTTTTGTGCAAATATGTTAATGTGCTTTTCCCCTAAAACACTTGGCCCTGTTTTCTAATTATATACTTAAGTCAGGCTGGACATAACTTGAATTTGGCAAGGAAAGGAAAGGGAAGGGGAAAGGGGAAGGGAAAGGGAAAGGAAGGGAAGGGAGCAGAAAAGGAAAGGAGTAGTATGTATGTATAGTTTGCTCCTATTTCTATATCAAATAACCTATATGTGTACAAACATAAGCACATACACCATAGAAATCCCTGTCTAGTTCATTTTTTATTAGGAACTCTTATCGAGCTATGTCCCTCATCCTCACAGCATTGTTTGAACGACTATGTTTCTTCCACTAGCCCTTAAGATCCATGAGAGACCTTGTCTTATTTGCTGGCACATAACACAAACTCAAATATTTTTTAAGTGAATGAATGGAAAATGAGTTCAGAATAAGCATGGAAGGAGATGTGTGGAAGCTGCCCAGGCTGGAGCAGAGAGCAGGGCTGGGGAACAAGGGGTTGGAATCTTAGTGGGTAAGGCAGAGTCAAAGGCAGATAGTCTGCCTTTGCCAGGTTAGGTGATGGGCAGCCACAACCCCATTCTGCCTTGTATGTGGTTGGTTAGCCACACCTCTTTCTACTTCCCTTTATAGACTGTGAGCCTATGCAGAGTGAGAAGTGTACCAGCTCTGTCTCTGCACGCCATCTCCCAATGCTGCCTAGCACAACACAAGGTAACTGATTGGCAAAGCTTAGCTGAAGAATGAACTACAAGTCCTTAAGCGGGTAGCATTTATTGATCACATTCTTCCCCATCAACCAGCTTAATTTTTGTTATAAAAACAAAAAAGCAAGCTGAATCTACCAAAGTCGATATTTAACCTTATCTTTATTTTTGGCTTCACTTGTGTAACTAGTTCCACTTAGTCACACTGTTTATCTACTCAGCTATGAAAGCCACAGCATTCGGCAACAACAGTGACCTTCTCAGCAGCTAGAGAAGGCCACATATTTTTTTCATTCAGACTTCATGCTTGAAAAATAAACAAGCAAATAAACTTCCAACTTGCTTTAGCTTTCAATGTACCCAAAATGGTTCCCAATAACCCTTCCCACCAAGGGACTCTCCATAAACATCGCCTCCCCAAATTCTCAAGATAACCCAATGATTAAATACTCTTAAGCCTTATTAAATGACTTGCCCAAGTCCCAGAACTAAAAAGAAGCAGAGCCAGCTCTGCTTGGTTACATACAAAACCAACTTCAGTGCTTATGCTCTAAATCCATTATTCTTAGCTGACTCTCAAATGTCTAATAGGTCTAATAGCAGGGGGGTTGCAAACTGCTGCCCACAGGCCAAATCCAGCCTGCCACCTGTTTTGGTAAATAAAATTATGTTGGAAGGCAGCCACACTCATCGTTTACATATTGTCTATGGCTGCTTTCACATTACAGTAGCAGAGTTGAGAAGCCACGACAACATAAAGCCTAAAATATTTACTATCTGGCCCTTCCTAGAAAAAGTTTGTCAACCCCTGGTCTATAAAATCTAAGCAGAGACTATAGATTCAATCATAGGATAGGGTGATATCTACTTAGCTACTACTTTTTGTGATGAAATAATCAGCTGCTCATAGGTACACTTAGGGTTTCACTTTTTAAACAAAGAAATAGCCCCATTTCCTCACTGATTAATGTCCTAGAACCAATTTCTTGCATGCTACAAGACTGTCAAGTGGAAAGGAGTTGGAGAAAATCAGATTCCATAGCTCCCAGCTCACCACACTTCAGATGTAAGCACAGGTCTTGGCCAGAGAATACCAGATGAATCCAGACCTTCCACTCCAACACTCTGGACAGACAGGCAGCCAAGCTAGGCTGGACTTGCACACCCCAAGGAAAATGAGGAGTCCTGGGGTACTTTCCCTGCTTTCAAAATGTGTTTTGAAGATCAAGAAGCACTCCAGTTAAAAAGGCAGGGCACTGACTTGGCAAGGGGAGAAGTTCAATTGGGAGCAATTCTCAGCAAAACATAGGAAGAAGAGAAAGACGCTAATTTTGACAATATCAGGGAAAAAAAACTAGGTTCCTATACATGGACCTGAATTGTTACTCAATCTGAGAAGGACTAACTTTATTAATAACAACAAGCACAGTGCTAGGCATTTTACACATATGATCTCATTTAATCCACCAACAATCTCTGTGAAGTAGGTGTCACTGCTCACATTTTACAGATGAGGAAACAGCCTGAGAGAGGTTAGCAAGCTGTACAAGGTCACACTGCCAGGAAGAATAGATCTGATGTGAATTCACCTCTAACTCCAAAAACCCATGCTCAAACATTATGCAATTTGCATCTCAGAGACACAATTAATTTTAAAAACCTAGGCCAGGCAAGGTGGCTCACACCTGTAATCCCAGTACTGTGGGAGGCCGAGGAGGCCAAGGTGGGCGGATCACGAAGTCAAGAGATTGAGACCATCCTGGCCAACACAGCGAAACTCCATCTCTACTAAAAACACAAAAATTAGCTGGGCGTGGTGGCGCACACCTGTGGTCCCCAGCTACTCAGAAGGCTGAGGCAGGAAAATCGCTTGAACCCAGGAGGCGGACGTTGCAGTGAGCCGAGATTGCACCGCTGCACTCCAGCCTGGTGACAGAGAGAGACTCTGTCTCAAAACAAACAAACAAAAAAAACCCTGGGCAGACTGTTGAGTTGGGGAACTAACTTCCTAAACCTATAATCCTAATTACAATCCTCCACGCCCTCCTGGGACACCTCCCCTAGGTCTCCTATTCCTTTCCCAGGGATTGAGGCAATACCATTTACCAAATCTCCTGCCATGCTTTTAAATCAAGAAGATAGTGCTTCTAGACAAAAGAATGATTCTGTTGGATTCCTGTTTTTGTTTCTTAAATGAAAGCTTAACAAGACTTGTGTTAAGCATACTCTCACCTCATTGCCACACACAACTCCAGGGACAACTGGGAGCAGTGGTGTGCGGCAATTGGAGCTCACTGTGCACGTCTCTTCCTAACTCCACGTTTAGTGACATTACACTGGTAGTTGAAGTCAGCCTTGATGAAAATATTTACACCATGGAAATCAGCAAATGAATCAACAGATGAATCAGGGCTTTTAGAATGTTTTTTAGCGAGCCAGTTGTTAAACATTTACCAGCACACCACTGGCTGAGCGATGTCCTGGTCTGAAGTCTCCCTAGAAACCTACCCAGTTGAATTCTTCTTTCTGACCATACCATCACCATTTCACACAACACTTAAAAGCTCTTTCTTGTAGTTGCTTCATTTCAGATTCACAAGGACCCTGTGAAACTGCTAGTCATTTGCAAAAGGAGAAAGTAAGGCAGAGAGAGACGAAGTCATTTGCCTGACATTACCCAACAAATTAGTGAGAAGACAGCAATTAGAACCACTGATTTCAATCCACACTTTCACAGCACACTGCACATTTCATTCATACCACATCTCTCATTTTATAGCTATATATTTGTGCATATATTTGATAAAATATCTCTCCTCTATGTGAATATAAGTTCTGCAAAGGCAGGTATCTTGTTTTGATCTGTTTGCCAATGTCTCTCCTGTGACTAATACGCTACCTGCCACACAGAGAAATATTTCTTAATAGGATGAATAAATTAATAAAAGCATGAATGAATGTATGTATGGTTCTCTTCCTACAGCAGCACACTGCCAGATATCTGACTTCAGATAACCAAAAATGATGAAAAAATTAAAACGGTAACATCACTTGGCCTGGAAATTGTTCTTCAGCTTTCTATTACTACCTACAGCCAGTAAAAAAGACTTTCACTATGAGTCCACAAAGAATAAGAAAAGGACTGAAGCACAATGGTTTGATAGAAACGTCTACAAGCTGAGAGACGTCAGTGGTACTAATCCTAACCATGAGTGCAGGATGACATACGGATGGAGAATGTCTGCCAGTCAATATGGTAGACTGAGCTGCTCTGGAAGGAATCTTTCCCTGTAGCTCCAAACACGTGAGCATGATGTATTACAGAAAAAATAAAGATTTGAGCCATACGCAAAAGCAAGAAGAAAATGCCTGAGTGTTTTAAATAAGAAGGAATTCAATCCGGGCAGCTGAGTGGAAATTGAAGCCAAAATGGCTCACAGAGACAATTCAGATATGGGCTTTAATTGAGGACTGGTGTCCCATTGGGTAGGGTGCCTAGGCCACAGGCTCCTGTGGACAGATTTGCCCCAGCTGTAAAACTAAGACTAGATGAACTCTGCCCATGTGCTATGAGTAAGGGGAAGGAAGCTCGCCATCTCCTGTGGGCTGAGGAACGCAGTGGCGTGGGAGGCAAGGGAGAAGGGAAAGACAGGGAGTAAAATCTACATCTTCAAGAAACCCAAACCCTAGACTCATGCCACATAAAAATTGAGAGTTTGAACTGACATCACCCAGGTGGTATGGGAAATATCTAAGACAATATCTAATACAAAAACTGTTTCCTAAACCAGTAAACCTGCCCTACAGGGTCCACAGCCCAGGGCAACCTAGATTCCCAGGATATGACATCCTCTGAACATGAAGTCACAATCAAAAATTATAATTCATTTTGGAAATGAATTACCAAAAGACATATCAAAGATGCAAAAAATAGTAGAATATCTGGGACAACCAATGAAAGGTGGCTTAAAGACTCTACTCTATAATGTGTTCCTAAGGATACTAGATGCAGGAGATATTCTGTAGTAAAGGGGCTCAGGGGCCAAATGAGCCTAAGAAACACATCATACTGTATCCTCAAATATCCCTTAAAGGTTCACAAAGCTCATTACCATATAAAAGCTCTGACAACTCCTGTAGTAAAGAAACCTGGTTACTTTGTTCAGCCAGTGTCTCCTAAATGTATCTGACCTGAGAATGCTTAAAACAAACAAACAAACAAAAAAACCTGGCCAAGTGCTGTGGCTCACGCCTGTAATCCCAGCACTTTGCGAGGCTGAGGCAGGCGGATCATGAGGTCAGGAGTTCAAGACTAGCCTGACCAATATGATGAAACCCCGTCTCTACTAAAAATACAAAAAAAAAAATAGCCGTAAGTGGTGGCGGGCACCTGTAATCCCAGCTACTGAGGAGGCTGAGGCAGGAGAAACGCTTGAACCTGGGAAGCGGAGGTTGCAGTGAGCCGAGATCGTGCCACTGCACTCCAGCCTGGGCAAAGAGCGAGACTCCACCTCAAAAAAAAAAAAAAACAACAACAAAAAAGCCCCAAACACCTATAAACATCTTGTAATACTGTGTCTTTATGGGATACAGTTAAGCAAATACTGACCTGAAGAAGAAAGCTCTCACTCCTTAAATCTCTTCACAGACTCCTACCCCACTCCCAGCCTCATTTCCCACCATTCTCCACGGTCCTTGATTCTTATCACAGAGTTTACTTTTCTCCCCAGGTACGAGCTATTCCAAACTTCCAAGTCTTTAGTAGGAATAGTCCTACTATTCCTCCAACCTAAATGGCTTTCCAAAATTCTACCCTCATTCACCAAAGTTTAACTCAAAGACTCTCTTTTCCATGATGTCTTTCCTATACAACAACCTGGAATAAAATATTCCAGGTACTTTCCTTGAACTATAATTATAAGCAATTATTTCTCTTGGCCACGTACTATGGACACATGTTTTCAGTCCGTCTGCCCACCAGTCTATGAGCCCCTGAATAGAAATGACTACCTGTCACTCATCTCTGTACCCCTCATCAGGGTGGGGGTGCATTCATAAAGAGTGGGGCTTGGGAGGCAGACACACACAGCTTCACATCATGGAGCTATCTACGGTTAATGAGCTGTGTCACCTCTCTGAACCTTAGTTTCTTCGTCTGCAAAATGAAGACAATAATCTCTGCCTTGCAACTTGTTGTGAGGATTAGAAATGATGTTCTCTGAATGTCATGCTGGACAGGAAAAAATCAGACACAAAAGCACACACGCACCACTGTTCAATTTATATAAGCTTCCAAAATGGGTAAAACTCACCTAAGGTGTGAGAAGCCAAGAAGGTAGGTGCCCTTCCCAGGGTAGGGAGTAGTAACTGGAAGGGGGTTCTGGGGTTTGTTTCTTGACCTGGGTGCTAGTTATGTGGGTGTTTTACTTCGTAAAAAGTTTAGTTGTATACTTGATTTGTTTACTTCTCCATGAACTTACTTCAATACAAACTTCCTGTTTAAAAAAAAAATGATGAGTGAAACATACCTGGAGAACACTGGTTGGTCATGGTAGATTTGGGGGCACGGTGCTGTCATATTCTGTGCATGGGTAGTTATTGAATTCCACCATCCAAAGGAGAACAGTAAAAAGAGTAACGCCAAGGTAGGGCGTTAACAGATCACTGTTGTTGGCAAGCTGAGAAGCTGGCAACTCTGATAACCTCAGAGTAAGGCAGGGCTGCCAACAGCTCGGCCTAGGCAGCAGGGTACACCTGCTCAGTCACCTGGCAATGCCTCGGCAGCAATCATGCAAGCCCAGCCCACCGGCCAAGGCTCTCCAGCCTGCCTCCCACAGCCTGCCTCCCACAACCACCTTGCTGGAAAGGCAAGGAATTCAGACAGAAGGGCATGGAACACCAATGATCCTGGGAGACAAGGGCCCAGTCCCTCCCAAGAAATAAGATATCAAAATTTGGTCTCTAAAATGCAGTTTAAGGAGACAACAGCGCATTTTAAAATGTGATAATGCAAAGAGAAGTAACCTATAGTTCTTATTCCAGAACATACTTAACACTAATTTTTTAAAAAGACTTAATAAATTTCTTCCTGACCGGTATCTAAAATGCAGGCCATTTCCCTGTTAAGACTCACTCAGAGGTGTCTCTGAAAAGCCTCAATAGTGTTTCATAAGAAGGCAAGAGATCTTGAGATGGAGACATATATTTACCAGCTAGGAAAGCCAAAATTCAAAGAAGTCCAGTAACTTGCTAGGTCCCACAGCAATTCAACAGCAAAACTGCACTCGAACTCAGGAGTCATATCTCTTTCCTTAGAGTGGGTTTGTCCCAGAAGGTTGTTTATTCTGCCCCTGGGTCACTGGGTCACTGAGGATGTTCATGGCCAGAGCTGAACTTTGTGTCTCAAGGGGAAATACAATAAACATGCCGTCAGCTCACAGGCTTAGCCCTAACCCCTCAACACCCACCATGTGGAAGAATCAGATGCCTGGCTTTAATCTTCTTGTCTCTATCCTCAGGGTAGTGGAGTGTATGATAGATGCACCTGACAGCAATAACTTAAGCATACCCTGAGAATGACTCTACGGTCTAAGAAGAATGTGTGTTCAGTGTTCCACGCTAAGGAATCAAGAACCTGGAGATTCATTCCTTATCTATGAGGAACATCTGAACCCCAGCCCATCCTGGGAAATGCAGGCCATATAGGGGATTGAGGCCCTTTGTTTTGTGTTAAATGAAGGTTGCCAGGTGAAGGTCACCAGCAGGAGGGTGTTAAGTGAAAATGCTATATAAACTGCATGCATTTTACAAGCAGTTGCAATTTCCTGTCCAGCCTGCCACCACTGGACAGCCCTGTACGTAAGTGCCCTCAATAAACCCTATGTCTTGTTCGCTGCCTCCGGGCCTCTTCTTCAACCTCTTGAACATGATGCCATCCCTATTGAAGTTAATAGGGGTCTGGCATGACATGAGGAAGGGGAAGGTCCTACACAATGAACTAGTGATTTTGTGTGACTCCCATCACATCCATTTGACCTCTCTCAATAACAAGAATTCTAAAATAAAAACCACATGAAGGAAAAACAAGAGCAAAAATGGCAAGGATTCATGCCCTCCCCTACCCTCTAATTCCCCTATCTGTCCTTACTCTCTAGAAAACTGTTAAAATTATTCCCATAACCTCAGCTGGCTCAGTGCAAACTCCAGCCCCAGTGTACCTCAATCCCTTGGGGGACATCTGCTGAGTCCTTCCGTGGCACCTCCTGGGGCACTGAGTCAGGTACTGCATGTGATACAAAGATGACTAAGGTACCCTCACAGCCCTCAAGGCATCTGAGGGCAGTAGAGGAGATAAGGAATGGGCAAAAGCAAGTGATGCTGGAAGAACAGTCTCTGAGCTCTGGGAGGGGCCCAGGCAGGGCTGGGGACACTGGGGAGCATGAGGTCACAACCACTCTCTGACCCTGCTAGGCACTGGGGCCCCAGGTCATGCCAACAACCCAGACCAACATGGGCACTGGGAAGACTCCCCCTTAGGAAAGGCTCCAGTCAACAGTTATGACTACTACTAGGAGCAGTACTAGTAGTAATAACCATAATAATAGCAGCAATAACAACAGTATCTTACAGTAATGAACACTTCTTATATTCTAAGCTTTTTTCATATATCATCCCATTTAATCCTCATAGCAACCTTACAAGGTAGATACTATACTACCATTACTCACCTTTTACAGATGAGAAAACTGAGCCATAGGGAGGTTCTTTTATTCGTCCTTTCAACAGCTATTTTTTTAGTGTCTACCATGAACCTGATACCACTCCAGCAGCGACAAGCAGACAGACAAAATTCCTGTCTATCTACTTGTATACGGTACATACATTCTTGTGGGAGATAAATAACTTGCCCAGGGTTCTCAGCTTGTTTAAGTAGGGAAGTCAAAATTCAAACTGAGCCCCTCTGACTGTAGAAGTTATACTTGCAAACTTACAAGATGAAAGCTGCCTGTTACTTACACTCATCATTAATAGTAAAATATTACATTTCCTCTATTTTAAGGCGTATGTGTTTTTTACATGTTAATGTCTGAAATCTGGCTTCATTTTATAATATATGTTCAAAGAAATCTGTGGGCTGCATGCAGAGTAAGTCATAATTGCCGTTATGCTGTTAAGTGTGGATTTAGTGGAACACCAGTTACTTGATTACCAACCCAGTTGGGTTTTCTGCAACTGTTAACATTATATGCAGTTGAATTTTAACTTAAGATCCCTAATATTACTTCAAATACATTTTAAAATTCCACTATAAAACAGTATTGAAAGGAAAGGTTATTATGCATGCAAGAGATTGCTTATCACACACAATGTAATTAAAGGGCGTAGAAATCACTAAATCTCCTGGAGCAGACACAGAATTTTCAAAGCCTAAAGGACTAGCATTAAAATGAAAAACATCTAATTGTCAGAAGCTTCCAGCTATTTAACTTCCAGCAAGACATGATCAATTATGGAGAAATAAAACTATGAGGTTAGCCAAAGAGAAAATGTAGACCAAGCCCCACTATTCTTTAATAAACCTCAAAATTACACTGCCAACCTTAAAGGTACTAAAGGGATCAAGATCATGAGTAATCTGCTTTATGAAAAGCAGCACATAATTCTGAAGTTACATATAAGTTCCAAGAAGCAAATATGAAATAGAACTTCGTTAATGTGAAAAATACCTATACTCCAAACTCTGGCTATACAGAAAGAGCAACTCATATGTAAGTATATGAATTATTGAGCAACACTGCAAACAATTTTTAAGTGTATACATTTTAAGTGTATACATTAAGTGAAAAAAGTCATGTTTGTTTCTGGAAAGATATAATTAACTCAATGGCATATTTTACCATTATCAATGGCAAAATTGGTGCCATTATCATTATTAATGGTGCTTAAAAACAGATGATTGTGACAATTACAATGACAACTGCCATTTATTGAGTGCCTGCCAAACACTATATTTGGCGTTTTATATCCATTATCTCTAAGCCTCATGACAACTCTATAGAGGAGGGACTCAGAATTCCCATTTTAAATTTAAGGAAACTAAGGTTCAAAGAGACTAGTGACTTCTCAAGGTCATACAGCCAGAAAGCAGAGACTAGAACCAGGTTTGCCTGCGTCCAGAGCCCAAGTGGTTTCCAGGGCACTATAATGCCTCTCCCTATTAACAATCCACCCCTACTCCCCGCCAGACACAGCAAGCACAGATTAGCCTTCACATGCAGAAAACTTTCTATGATCTCAAGAGCAAGATGGGCCAGCATGAATTCAAAGTAACAGAGTCCCCCAACTCTCAACCCACATATCCCAAGATTATTCAAATCCTGCTGTTTATATGAGTGCTTCCATTTTCTCACTCTACACTTAGAACATGCTCAGGGGGGCCCCAAATTGACCAACTGTCTCAACATTCACATAGCCAATCAACTGACTGGTTCATCCCTTCCAATTGTGCCAATTTGACAGCATAATCCAGAACAGACAGTAAACGTGCTTGGTAAGAAGGAAGGGCATCCTCTCAGTTTCTGACTTTAAGGCAGGAAGGGTCCTATGCACACACACGCATTCAAGGAAGCCAAGGCCTCCCTGAGCCTAAGGGAGAGTCCAGTATATTGTGCCAGTCACCTTCTGGGAATCCATTGCTAATTTCAGGGAAGCCCACAGTTTTAACAAATGACTTTTTTATTTTAAGAAATGTTTTTCTTCTTGATCAAACTTTTCCAGGATGGCAGGCAGGGGTTTGTGAATTTTACCCCATTCTCTGGACGTGTGAATACAATTTCATCTCAGATATAAAATCCTTTTCAATGTTTGTCCTGAAGTATTCCCTCAAGGAAGAGCCTCAAGCTTGGATGCAAAGAGTGAACTAAGACATTCAAAAAACATTTATTGAGCATCTCTGAAGATACAGAAAGGAATAAGATGTAGTCCCTAACATCAAGGAACTCAGCTGAATGTGGGAGGAGGATCAGCTCAGAACTAAATATGTACAATGAAAAGGAGAACAAGGTGAGTGTTATCCTGAAACACAGAGAAGGAAGGGATTAATTCCAGGTGCAGGGTAAATAATAAACTGGGCTAATACTGATTGAACACCTACTAGGTACCAAGGACTATACCATGCATTTTACATATATTATCCCAATTAATTGCCCTATGGAATATGTTCTAATACTATTATCCTCACTTTACAAAATGAGGAAACACAGGAGAGGCAAAGTACCTCACCCAAGGTCACATAACTAATTTGTAAATACTGGAGCTGAGATTTGGACCTGCTGGCCAACACTGAAGCTTATGCTATTTTCACTATAGTAGACTACATCTACTGGCATAAAGAAATTTTTACTGGTAGAAGAGGAATCTGAATTTGCTTCCTCTTCTGTAATGCAGGGACAATAGTAATGTCTGCTTCACAGGGGTATGGTAGAGGTGGAATGAGCCCAAGAACATAAAGCACTTAGCATAGTGTTTGGCAAACTGTAAGTGTTCAGTAAATAGTGGCAGCTTTGTCATCATGATCATCACTGTTATTTCTTCTCTAAAGAGTCTAGAATGTAGCAGTCATGAGCCAGAAAGCCTTTTTATAATTTTTATTTTTAAAGGGATTAAAAAAAAAAGCTGTTGTTTTTCTCTGAAAGAAAAGAAAAGATTGGCCAAGCATGGTGGCTCACACCTGTCATCCCAGCATTTTGGGAGGCTGAGGCGGGCGGATTGCCTGAGGTCAGGAGTTCAAGACCAGTCTGGTCAACATGGTGAAACCCTGTCTCTACTGAAAATACAAAAAATTAGCTGGGCATGGTGGCGGGTGCCTATAATCCCAGCTACTCAGGAGGCTGAGGCAGGGGAATCACTTGAACCTGGGAGGCGGAGGTTGCAGTGAGCCGAGATCACACCATCGCACTCCAGCCTGGCCGACAGAGCAAGACTCCATCTCAAAAAAAAAGAAAAGAAAAGATCTCACCAAACCACAAGTCCTTCCCATGACCACCTGACGAGTGAGGTTCCCGTTTCCCCAGTGAGCCATGTCATACCTTCTCTTCTGAAGAAACGGTCAGCTTGTCGCTGGATATCAAGCTGCACACCTGGTCCAGACTCAGGCTAAGAAATTCTTCTCCTAGCATCACCTCTGGAAAGTGCTGCTCTGTTCCAAAAAAAAAAAAAAGAAGTTAAGAAAACAAAGTTGTAACACACTTCTGCCCTTCCATGACAATCTGTGGGATTCACAGTAGAGTCCTGGAGCAGGCCAGGGGGACCATGGAGGGAAAGGGAGTGAAACAAAGACAGAGACATCATGGCTGGAGGGAAATTTGCCTTTTAATTCAGCAGTGATGGCATCACCCACTATGATCCTCTGTCCTGAACATCAACACAGATGAAAATGGGGCAGACAGATCTGAGTTTGTATTTTTTCCATGCTCCATGAGATTAATAATAGCACTGCAGAAAAGCCTCACTGGGACCTGCCTCCATAATTGAGCTTATTTCCCCTCAGAGTGCAAGCTGGTAGAGTTGCAGACAGTGCACCCTGAAGCTCAGCCAAACAAAAATGGGTCAGAACTGCTGTGTGTCTGAGAGGTCTCTGGGGGTTCTTATAGGAAGTCAACATTAGAAGGTCAGTAGATGGGATCATCCTTTCTTGCCCAAAGTCAAGCCTACTATTGTGAGTCTCTGGTTCATGAGGAGGCCCAACTAAGCATTCATCCAGGTATAGTGGCAACAAGGTGACCCTACTACCCCTAGGAACAGTCCACAGAGCCAGGCCTATGGAACTGTTCAAGACAGAGGGAAATTTGGTGACAACTAGAATAAGATAAAACCCACAGGCCTAAGATCCACAAAAGGGAAATACCAGGGACAATTCCTACCCTGACATTTTTCCAGGCCATCATCCTGCTATTAGAGAATTATATTCACTGAAATGTCATCTACTTCAGAAAGAAGGAGCCTAGGTTCAAATCCTGGCTTTGCCATTTATGATTATGTTTTTGGGCCAATGGCATCACTGCTATGTTGCCCAGGCTGGTCGTGATCTCCTAGGCTCAAGTGATCCTCCTGCCTCGGCCTCCTGAATAGCTGGGACTATAGACACAAGCCACTGCACCTGACTTCATCAACTTCATAAAAATCAAACAAAGAATTTAAGATTTAAATCATTTCTTGTGAAAATCATTTTTAACTTTTTATATTGAAATAATTTCAGACCCAAATAATTCTCATACAAATTTCTACCTTCATCCAGATTCCCTAAACGTTAACAGTTTACTCTCAAATATTGAGTTATAAACAATATTTTCCATCTTCCACTGGACAAAAAGGGCTCCCCACTTGCTCTACACCAGCCTATTGATATTACTATGGTCACAACTAAAGGTTGTCCATCTTGAAACTCAGGAATATTTACACATAACAAGACAAATCTGAAAGTCAGTTTTTTTACGAAGGAAACCAACTGTCAACATCAACATGGTAAGAAGCTGGTCTTTGCTTCTCTGTATATCAAAACAAAAAAAGCCTTTAGTTTTTAAGTTAAACATTCAAAAAACCTTCCTAACTATGGAAATATTTAAGACTAGATAGTACTATTTTTTAAGTGTTCATTGCTAAAGATCTTAAAATAAAAGCAAGAGAGCAATCTTCTTTGGATGGTAAGAATTTATTCTTGGGCTGGAAGCTGGGAAAGTACTGGATTCTCCCTCCATTCCCTTTCTGATCCCAGAAGTCTTTGGACCACAGTCCCCTGTCAATTGGTAACACCCAAGAAACAGCAGATAGAAAAAGCAGTCACCACACAAGCCACCACACCATGAGCAAGCACAGGACATTGAGGCTCTCTGGACCAGCCACAGCTGAGCTCAGCAGGACCACACGGTTCTCAGGAGAGTCCTGCAAACCAGCACCAACATCTCTGGCCCAGAGCCACATCTGGCCTTCCCACATGTATCGTTGGCTGACCAAAAAGCTGACAGCCGGAGAAGGGAAAAGAACAAGAGGAGGTAAGAAAGTAAAATTCTATGCTGTGAAATAAAAATTTCCTTAGAGCTCGTAAGACTGTAGATAGGCTTAGATTTTGAAAGGGAAGATAAAGGAAGTGCAGTAATATACATTCTAGGTGATGTGGGGAACAAATTAGAAATCCTTAGAGATAAATCAAGACAAAAAGTAGTCAGCACCCCACCTCCATCTCTCTGTCCCTCCCCTACTGCAGGGTTTGAATCTAAACCCCTTCTTTCTGAAGTGGGCTGCTTCTCTGCCCATCTGGAACCTTCCACTGAAATCCCATTCAGAAATCCTCCCAGGAAGCAGTATCTGGTGGGGAAGGGGCAACAAGAGAAATAGCAGGCAGCAGCTTCTCACCCAGGGCTGGCACCCAGGGATCTGTGAGGTTTGTAGGGCATAAGCAGAAAGAGACAAAGAAAGCAATCAAAGAGGAAAATGCCTTCCCGTTTCCATTTAGTCTGAGGAGACAGGGGTAACCCCCAAAGTCTTTGAACTAGGGTCCCCTCTCTGTTACCAACACTCAAGAAACAACAGGATAGAAAAGACAGGAACAGGATGCTCCAGCTAACTCCATTTCCTGGGAAATAGGATTTCCCCAGAAGACTTTGTATTCCAGTCAGCCCTCTCCACAGCTGCTTCCTGGAAAGAACCCACTTTGCTCCCAGAAGATACCTTCCTGAATCATCTTCTATTTTGAACAATTATTTGGGGTTTTTTGTTTTGTTTTGTTTTGCTTTTAATGTATTAATGGAGAATGTAGTAAAGAGCCTTGGCTAAGGGTCAGAAGACCTGGGTTCATGTCTTATAGTCACTTCTTCCCAGGCTTCGCCATCCATTTTATGGATGGCATGCTCATCCATAAAAGGCAATCATAATACCTGACATAGGTCTCAAGATTGTTTTGCAGCCCAAAGATAATAATATATATTAATTCATTTTGACAGCTTTAAGAAACTCTTTAGAAATGAAGGATAAATATTACCAGCCTGTGTTCCCACTTTCCAAAGTCCAGTTCTGTGAGCAGCAACACTTTTTCTTTTTTTTTTTTTTTGAGACAGAGTTTCGCTATTTGCCCAGGGTGGAGTGCAATGGCGCGATCTCAGCTCACTGCAACCTCTGCCTCCCGGGTTCAAGTGATTCTCCTGCCTCAGTCTCCCAAGTAGCTGAGATTACAGGCGTCCACTACCACGCCCAGCTTATCTTTTGTATTTTTAGTAGAGACGGGGTTTCACCATGTTGGTCAGGCTGGTCTCGAACTCCTGACCTCAGATGATCCACCCGCCTCAGTCTCCCAAAATGCTGGGATTACAGGTGTGAGCCACTGCGGCCGGCAGCACCACTCTTTAACAGAGAAGATTTTCTATATCAAGATATCCCTTGGGACCAGGCACAGTGGCTCATACCTATAATCCTAACAGTTTAGAAGGCTGCGCAGGAAGATCATTTGAGGTCAGGGGTTCAAGACTAGCCTGGTCAATAAAGTGAGGCCCCTCTCTATTTAAAAAAAAAAATGTTAAGACATCCTTTGGGACTGCAGATCCTATGGGCAAGGCTGTGGACCTGCAAGATCTTAGAGAACAAATTTAATTCTATCGAATTCAACAAACTGTCCAGTGGTATAGGTTATTCAGTTCCTTGAGGCTGCAGGTTTCCCATATATTAAATGGAAATAATAATAGTACATAAGGTGATATGGGCATTAAATAAAGAAATAGATGTGACTCACATTTACTGAGTCCATTGCAGGTGCTAGATAACTCTTAACGTATGATGTATCAAATGCAGCATTTCTTCAAAAATGAAGAAACCAGAACTGATGTCTACAAGGACCCTACTGCCTCACAAGCAAGATAAGACAAGGCATCAATAACTCCATCCCAAAGTCCACCTCTCACATGACTGAGAGAGGTACTTTCAGTACAAACAAAGGCAGGGAACAGGAAAATTCAGAGCATATGTAAAGAACAGTAATAGTGAAGTCTAGCTAGAACCTAGGTGATGTCTTCATTCATCCAACAAAGGTTTGCTGAGCACTCCCTAAGTATGAGGAGCTCTGCAGGCTCTTGGAGATGCAATGGAGAGGCAGACAAGGCTAGATCCTGGGGGAGGGATGCATGTGCCGGGGGCATAGTACCTTTTAACCATGGGTTAAAAGAGAGTTATTATTGGAGAGTTAGCCCTTGAAGGGTAACTCTCCAATAATAACTAACTTTTCTTATCGTTTCGCTTCTTTTTCTTTAAGAGGGGTGGACACAGAGAAAAATAAGTCAGTTAATTAAGAGTTCTGGTTAAGAGTCCTAATTAGCCAGGTTTTACTATAAGTAACAAATATTGTTTAAGTTCCATGTCCTGATTGGTAAAACACAATGAGTATGTTCCTGTCCATATGGATGGGAAATTATGGAGAAGAGGAAGAGGCACCATATAACTTTCAGTCTTTTCCCCATCAAGCAACACAAACATATCTTCCCAATGTTAAAAGGATAATAAAATTTGGGTGATATATTCCCAGGCAAGGGCTTTCTCTGGGGGTACAGTTGGGTCTCGGAGACAGTTGAGGCCATTTCCTAATACTAGCTAACACCATTCTAAGCATTTTACATATATTATGTCTCTCAATCCCCGCAAAAGCCCTACTAAAGTGAGTATCAACATCCCCATTTTACAGATGGAGAAACAGAAGCCCAGAAACTCTAAGACAGGTGCTTAGGTTTACAGAATAGTAAACCTGGTAGAGCCAGGTTTTGAACCAAGACTGCCCAATTATAATAACAAATATTCTGATGAGTATCTTAGGTACCAAGATAAACACCTATCCTGAGCAGTCCACTGGGGTAAAATTCAACACAGACATCAGAAAACCTTAAGAATCCCTCTCAGGGGTGCTGGACATAGAGAGAGAGAGAGAGAGAGAGAGAGAGAGAGGCATAGACAGAGGATATGCATCTAAAAACCTTTCTTTGGGGAAAAAAGAGAATAATCTTAGTCCCTAAATTCCTAACTTCTTGGCATTTTGGAGTCAGTTCTAGGTTCAAATCTCAGACCTAACCCCAGAATTAAGATATTTCCCTAATCCCCCCATCCACTAGGCTAGAGGAAGTGATAGTCTTTGGGGTTCCCAAAGCCCCCCAAACAAGATATAACAATCATATCCCTAATCACCCTGCTTTATTACATGAATCTTTCTATTCTATTCGGACTGGGAGCCCCATGAGGTCAGGGATCAAGTCTGTGTTATTTGAAGCTGAATCCTCAGTCTCCAGCATAATATCTGTATATACCGAGCTCTAAAATTATTACTGCACTTTCCTGACTGTTCTTCAAGACTGCCTAGGGTTCAGGCAACCTCTCAAGCTAGCCCCAGGACTATTCTTCTCTCTTCACGGAATGAAATAAACCTAAACCTTTGATCTGGTTCATCTAACCTACAAGCTCAGAACAAATGGAATGATGACCCATCTGTGACTTCCTTGACTTTGCGGGGATTGAGAGACATAATATATGTAAAATGCTTAGAATGGTGTTAGCTAGTATTAGGAAATGGCCTCAACTTTCTCTGAGACCCAACTGTACCCCCAGAGAAAGCCCTTGCCTGGGAATGTATCACCCAAATTTTATCATCCTTTTAACATTGGGAAGATATGTTTGTGTTGCTTGGTGGGAAAAGACTGAAAGTTATATGGTGCCTCTTCCTCTTCTCCATAATTTCCCATCCACATGGACGGGAACATACTCATTGTGTTTTACCAATCAGAGATGAAATAAACCCCATAAGCCCCATAATTCCCAGGGCCAGCAGCCCCAGGGAACAGGTGTGAGTGCCTCTGAACTGAACCACAGGTCACACCCTCAGGAGACACTGGCTGACACAGGTGGACACACAAACAAAATGGAAACATTTTGGCAGGGTGAAAAAACAAAACCACAGAACTGCCTTAAAACTCTCTCTTCTGCCCCTTATTACTCTATTTTTAGAGGCCAGAGGCAAGCTTCCTTGAATCAATATTTAGCTTTCCAGGCTCACAGTTTCTCTGCTCTAGGGAAAAGGCTCAGTTCCCACAGGGAAGTAACAGAGACCCACCTTGACCTCTTCTCAGAAGGGTCATGACCACCAGCCCTCAGACTCTAAATATTACTACCTCCACACTCCCTGGGAAGGCAGGAAATAAGCTCTCTTTCCATGTTGCCTTACTCCAGAAATATTATGTGTTGTCCTCTCCCTCTCTTTCTCTCTCTCTCTCTCTCTAGCTCTCTTTCTCTCTCTCTCTCTCTCTCACACACACACATGCACGCGCACACACACACACACACATACACACAGCCAAGGGCCATAATAGTGCTATTGATTCAACAGTGAGGTTCCCCATAACCCAGAAAATGGAACAAGTGAAGTTTCCTAAAATCCTAACAAAGAGCAAGCAACGAAACCTATCTGTGTCTGCACGACTGCCTCATTTGCCAACTTCAAATTAGATGCAGAAAATCCAAGAGAGGCAGGAGTGAGGCAACCATCATAGAAAATAGGCTAGGCTGGTCTGGGTGGGTGGGAAATAAGTAGCGGGGCTTAGGACACAGACCTCTGCAGTCAGCTGGCCTCACTCTGGCACTGCCACTTATAAGCTGTTAATATATGATCTTGGACAAGTTACTAAACTTCTCTGGGGTTACAGTTTCTTCACCTATAAGCTGAGAAAATAATAACTCTTATACTTAAATGAACAAAATGAGGCCATGCCTATGAATCATGTAGCACCATTCCTGGCACCTAGCAAGTATTCAAAAATGATAGAAATGCCCATCATTATGATCATCATTATTTCATGGTGACAAGTTAGGAGCAGCAATTTTAGAAGAGGACTCTCACTGAGTCAGAGATTTATGTTTTTTAATGATTTTCCAAATTTTTCTGCTGCCTTAATTACTTCATTCCATGATCTCAAATGACTCAATCAATCAAAAAAAGGCCATTTCTCTCCATAAGCACGTGAAATCCAATGGCTTTTCCATCCCATGGCTGGAGGTTTTTGCTTAGCTTTGGCAGACTGATGTAAACAACATGTCCAAAGAATTTTAATTGCTATTTCATTAATGAAGTCCCATTAACATCCCTCCCAAACAGCTCTGCTGATGGCCCAGTGTATGGCTGTCCAATTACCAAACAACAAAGTCCCCATAACCCTAGGCCCTGGCCTCTGAGGTTAAAGATTAAGCAGTCCCTGGAAACAACAATAATGAGGTATAAGAAACAGGCTGTGAAAGACACTGGGGTCCATTTCCCAGCTACTAGTTGCCCAGGAAGACTGTGATGCCACTAGCTAAGGCAAGAGTCTGAGCAGTCAGCTTCTAAATGCGGGACCTACCCTCCCTACCCCAGAATAACATATATCATAGCAAAGATCTGGGGAACTTCCCTGAGGGGGAAACTGAATCCAGAGGAAGCAGGAGGGACTGCCACAGCAGGAAGAGACAGGGCCCTTCCAAACAGGAAACCAAATAGGCAGCTGGACATAGAGATGATGCTTCAGCCCCCACAAAGTTGTGCTCTCGCTGGAAAAGCCGAGGACCTATCAGAAGGCAAGACTGGCTTTAAAATAAAGTCACATTTGTTTAGACAGCAAGTTGGCAAAATCTATCAAACAACTTTTTAATGTACATTCTCTTTGATCCAACAACTATGCTACTAAGATTGTACCCTACAGGTATACTAGCAAGTGTACTCCAAAATATTATGTACAAGAATTCTCATGGAAGCATTTTAAATAAAAAAACTGGAAACATTAATGTCCATCAACAGAAGACTGGTTAAATAAATTATACTCCATCCATGAGATGCAGCAGACTAAAAGAATAAGATATAGCCATACACAAGGGTGTGGAAATAATTGCAAGATTTGTATTGTCAAACAAAAGTACAACGAGTACAGAGTGCTTTCTGTTGTGTAAGTTAAAAAGCATAATATATAAATTCTGTAAGGATACCAAGGATCTCCCCACTTCAGAGAGACAGGCTGGGAGAAGACTGGCTTTGCATTTTATACCTCTATGTACTGCTTGCATTTTTTGGTCATGAGTATAAATTGCTTTTATTGAATATATTACCTAAATGTTTCAAACAATGGTCTAGAAATGTATCTGCTAACATGGAAAGAAATTCAGAATATACTGCTAAGAATGTTTTTTTAAGAGATGGGGTGTCTTGTTATGTTACCCAGGCTGGATTCAAATTCCGTGGCTCAAGCTACACATGAATGCTTGAGCTATCAACCTCAACCTCCCAAGTAGCTGGGACTATAGGCACCTGCTACTGTACCTGGCTAAAATGTTTTTTAAGCTGGAAAGCATACATATACAATGAAAAAGATTTGGAAGGATATACATCAAGGTGCTGCCAGCAGTTCTCTCTGGGTAGGATTGTGGTATAATTCTTTCCACCCATGTGCTTTTTCTGTAATAGTCAGGGATGAGTTTTTATTAAAATAGCAATAATAACAACAACAACAATAACAACAGAAAAAGAAAGCTTTTTAGAGAAGGAAAAGAAACAGAATTCAGCAGCTAAACTGGAATCTACAGACAAGTGAAGGCAAAGCAAAGCTAGCCAGAAACTGGGAAGAGTAGGGGAGGCTGGACAGGACATACCTGCCTGCACTATACATCTAGATAAAGAGAAAACAAAACCAGAAGTCCTGGAAATCCTTCCTCCCCAAAAGTGCATGTGGTCTGCAGCAGCAGTGACCTGAGGATTCCTGTGTCTCCTGCCTGGACCCAACTGTGAAGCTCCCTCACTGCAGATGATGAGGCTGGCAGGGAGGCTCCACAGCACAGCGCCTGTGGTGTCTACTTCCATAGAATGCTCTCCTCCCCATTCCCCCTGTTCCCCAGATCATCCTGGAAACAGGATAGGATGCGCTACTCCCATGATAGAGAGAAGAAAATAGGCTCAGGATTACTCAGCTCCAAAGTGTTAGCTGGTCTGATTCCTAGTTCTGATCTGGAAGGTCTCCTTGTAGTTTGTTGGCATGAAATACCTTCTAACTCAAGGCCTGGGTCCAGGGAGACCTGTGACCACAGAGACCAATGCTTTCCCTTGTGTGTGACCCTAGTGGGTGCCTGCACCCCTGCACTTACAGTAGAGTGAGGTCACAGGTCTGTCTCAAGAGGCAGCAATGGTAGAGAACCCCAGGCTCCATCTAAAGTCAGGGGTACAAGGAAAAAAGCAGGCCCACGTCAGTGGGTGGGTTCAAGGGAGTAAGCATGGATAATCATTTTCTACTTCTCCTCTAAATACTGCACAATCTAACCTTCATTCCCTTCTTCTAACATCTTTGCATCATGGCCTTATCTTCTGCATTATACTACTTTAAAAATATTACCTCCCTGAGGGGCGCCTCTGCCCGGCCGCCCCTACTGGGAAGTGAGGAGCCCCTCTGCCCGGCCAGCCGCCCCGTCCGGGAGGGAGGTGGGGGGGTCAGCCCCCCGCCCGGCCAGCCGCCCCATCCGGGAGGGAGGTGGGGGGGTCAGCCCCCCGCCCGGCCAGCCGCCCCGTCCGGGAGGGAGGTGGGGGGGGTCAGCCCCCCGCCCGGCCAGCCGCCCCGTCCGGGAGGGAGGTGGGGGGATCAGCCCCCCGCCTGGCCAGCCGCCCCGTCCGGGAGGTGAGGGGCGCCTCTGCCCGGCTGCCCCTACTGGGAAGTGAGGAGCCCCTCTGCCCGGCCAGCCGCCCCGTCCGGGAGGGAGGCGCGGGGGGGGGTCGGCCAGCCGCCCTGTCCGGGAGGGAGGTGGGGGGGTCAGCCCCCCGCCCGGCTGGCTGCCCCGTCCGGGAGGTGAGGGGCGCCTCTGCCCAGCCGCCCCTACTGGGAAGTGAGGAGCCCCTCTGCCTGGCGAGCCGCCCCGTCCGGGAGGGTGGTGGGGGGGTCAGCCCCCCGCCCGGCCAGCCGCCCTATCCAGGAGGTGAGGGGCGCCTCTGCCCGGCCGCCCCTACTGGGAAGTGAGGAGCCCCTCTGCCTGGCCAGCCGCCCCGTCCGGGAGGGTGGGGGGGGGGTCAGCCCCCCGCCCGGCCAGCCGCCCCATCCGGGAGGTGAGGGGCGCTTCTGCCCGGCCGCCCCTACTGGGAAGTGAGGAGCCCCTCTGCCCGGCCACGACCCCGTCTGGGAGGTGTGCCCAGCGGCTCATTGGGGATGGGCCATGATGACAATGGCGGTTTTGTGGAATAGAAAGGCGGGAAGGGTGGGGGAAAAATTGAGAAATCGGATGGTTGCCAGGTCTGTGTGGATAGAAGTAGACATGGGAGACTTTTCATTTTGTTCTGTACTAAGAAAAATTCTTCTGCCTTGGGATCCTGTTGATCTGTGACCTTATCCCCAACCCTGTGCTCTCTGAAACATGTGCTGTGTCCACTCAGGGTTAAATGGATTAAGGGCGGTGCAAGATGTGCTTTGTTAAACAGATGCTTGAAGGCAGCATGCTCGTTAAGAGTCATCACCACTCCCTAATCTTAAGTACCCAGGGACACAAACACTTCGGAAGGCCGCAGGGACCTCTGCCTAGGAAAACCAGAGACCTTTGTTCACTTGTTTATCTGCTGACCTTCCCTCCACTATTGTCCTATGACCCTGCCAAATCCCCCTCTGCGAGAAACACCCAAGAATGATCAATAAAAAAAAATAAAATAAAATAAAATAAAATAAAATAAAATATTACCTCCCTAGTGTGCAGAGCATAGTGGGCTGCTGAGAAAGCCACCCAGGAGAGGATCACAGGCACCACAGAAGGCCTGCATAACAGGGAGGAGACTCTCAGCCTGAAGATCATGCTGACCCAGCCAGGAAAAGTAGGAGGGCCTGCTCACTCATTCAGTGAGGGAACAGGCTCCATGTGTCTGGGAGGAAGTCACCCGACAGGGAAGAGAAGAAGACACCCACATGGCGCTTCCTCTATCCCAAGATGATGACATACCCTGTGTCTAGCGGACAGCTGGATGTCTGTCTACACTGTCTGGTTGTTGGGATTTGGTGACTACATTGCACAGGCTTCCAGGAACATGCTTTCAATGGAAAATGCCAACTCTAGCCACATGCACTCCTCAGTTACTGATTCACAGGGCATCCTTATGTCCAAACTGGGCCTAGAAGCTGTAGAATGTAATAAACACTGGCTCTGGAGTCAGCACCGTCTGGGCTTGAATCCTGCCTTCTGTCCCTTCTGTCACTATGTGACCTCAACAAATTACTTCACCTCTCTGTGCCCTGGTTTCCTCAGCTATCATATGCATTAAACGGGATGTTGCCAATAAAATGCTTAGCATAGGGTATGACCCAAAGGGAGAGCTCAATAAACACTAGCTAAGAATAATTCATCAGGATGTCTGCATACACAGACCCATAATGCAGACAGAACTCAATCACTATAACAGCAACAGGACCAAGGAGCACCAGAAAGATGGATGTGTTCCCAGCTGCATCTGCTGCACTCTCCCACAGATGAGTCTCATCATCAGATAGTGAAAGGGGCAAAGGAGAAAACACAGACGTTGAAAGTTGGGAAAAGCCAGGCCAGAAGAGCCTGGGAGCCCTAATAAAGGTGGGGATTCACATTAGAGAAATGCACATCAAAACTACCAAGTGATACCATCTCATACCAGTCAGGATGGCTATTATTAAAAAGTCAAAAAACAACAGATGCTGGCAAGGTTGCAGAGAAAAGGGAATGCTTATATACTGCTGGTGGGAATGTAAATTAATTCAGCTACTGTGGAAAACAGTCTGGAGATTTCTCAAAGAACTAAAAATAGAACCACCATTTGACCCAGCAACCCCATTACTGGGTATATACCCAAAGGAGAATAAATTGTTCTACCAAAAGACACATGCACACATATGTTCATTAAGCACTATTCACAATAGCAAAGACATGCAATCAATCTAGGTGCCCATCCACAATGGATTGGATAAAGAAAATGTGGTACACCATGGAATACTACGCAGCCATAAAAAAGAACAAAATCATGTCCTTTGCAGTAACATGGACACAGCTGGAAGCCATTATCCTAAGTTAATTAACACAGAAACAGAACACCAAATATCACGTGTTTTCACTTGTAAGTGGGCTAAACCCTGGGTGCCTATGGACATAAAGATGGGAAAAACAGACACTGGGGACTCCAAAGGGAGTGGGGGCAAGGGCTGATAAATTTCCTATTGGGTACTATGTTCACCATCTGAGTAATGGGATCAACAGAAGCCAAAACTCAGCATCACACAATATACAAACATAACAAACCTGCATATGTACCTCTTGAATCTAGAATGTAATTTTAAATTTTAAAAAAGGTGGGGATTCAGTATACTCCCCAAACCTCAGACAACTGTATCAGCCAATTAGGGTGGGATATGTGCTAGGTGTACACACACATGCATCACACACTATGTGGAAGGAGAGGGCTGGTAAGAGGAGACACAGAAGAAGGAGACAGAATTTCTGACATCTAAGCACTCTCCCTTTGCCACTGCACTAGCAAACGTTTGTGAAAAGAATCTGCAGGCCAGGCACAGTGGCTTACGCCTGTAATCCCAGCACTTTGGGAGGCTGAGGCAGGCGGATCACAAGGTCAGTAGATCGAGACCATCTTGGCTAACACGGTGAAACCCCATCTCTACTAAAAATACAAAAAATTAGCCTGGCGTGGTGGCAGGCGCCTGTAGTCCCAGCTACTCGGGAGGCTGAGGCAGGAGAATGGCGTGAACCCAGGAGGCGGAGCTTGCAGTGAGCCGAGATTGCACCACTGCACTCCAGCCCAGGCGACAGAGCGAGACTCCATCTCAAAAAAAAAAAAAAAAATCTGCAGAGAAAATGCTTGCCTTAGCACACCCATCCATCTAGAAAGTGACCTCTTCAAAGGCTTCACTGGGAGCCCTCCCCAGGAAGAGAAAGGGCTCCCTAAGTGAAGGTGGAAAGGCAGTGGAGAATATGCAGGGAAAAGAGAGCACAGGAACGGCAGAGAAGCAGAAGGGTCAAGGTTCAGAGCCAGAAAGAATCAGCAGGACTCAGAATTGAGGCTACTGGGTAATGTCCTTCACAAAAATCATCATATCAAGACTATCTTTACAAGTCTTCAGAAAGAAGACTTGTTTGTGCCTTCAGAAACAGGCTGCAGGGAGACATGAGAGTCTCTGCAGGCTCCTGGGGTCAGGGACTTAATCAGAGAGAAAAAGCATGCCAAGAAATGGAGCAAATGCTTGTTGCTTTGTTGACCAAGAGGCTAACACAGCACAGGTAGCTAGCTGGCAGGTGGGCAGCCAGTAGGTCCTCAGCTAATTTCCAGACACTGGCCAAACAGGAGACACGGAACAGAATAGCAGCCATGACAGTGCTTGAGCAGGGGTAAGAAGGAGGTGTTTTATTGCAAGGGAAGAAGGTGGCCATGACTGAATTTATCAAGTTAAATGATCAGACCTATTTCCTAGTCATTCACCATCTTTCTTCAGGCTGGAACAAGTGGCAATGAAGATTTCTTTCCAGCTAGCTAAATAAACATAATGGACTGAATATAAATGTTCATTTCTACTCCCTCCCAAAACCCCATTAAAATAATAGAATGACAAGCTCTAGTGCAGAGAATGTCTCCAAGAAAAATAAGTGAACCAACAGATTATCTGATGTATTGAGGACTGTTCTAACAAGAATTAGTGGTAGAACCATACACTATGCAAGAGAAAAAGACAATTATTAACTGCCCTTCTTATTAAAGTTTTCTGATTTAAAAAAACACTATAATTATAATAGATGGCTTAGTTCAGTTGTGGAAATGGTATTTGGACAATAAAGAGGGGGGTGGCTGCATGTGTATAAAGGGAAAGTCTGCAAAAGCTCAATCTTATTCTTCTGGAGAAGTCAACAAATAATATCTAAAACTAATCAAAAAATAGCAGTTGCACATATTATTTTGATAAATGGAAGTGAGTAGCAGATGAAGTAGCTTTTAGCTGGATCAGAACCTGCATTTTAATTCCTTAAGGATTGAAAATGAGTGGCTCTGGAGCACAAGACTCAGTGTGGAAAGGTGGAGCAGGGCACTCCTCATCGTTATAAGCCCTGCAATAGTACGTGACTTTTTTTTTTTTTTTAGATGGAGTCTCGCTCTGTCACCCAGGCTGGAGTGCAGTGGCGAAATCTCGGCTCACTGCAAGCTCCGCCTCCCGGATTCACACCATTCTCCTGCCTCAGCCTCCCAAGTAGCTGGGACTACAGGCGCCCGCCACCAAGCCCCGCTAATTTTTTTTTTTTTGTATTTTTAATAGAGACGGGGGTTTCACCGTGTTAGCCAGGATAGTCTCGATCTCCTGACCTCATGACCCGCCTGCCTCAGCCTCCCAAAGTGCTGGGATTACAGGCGTGAGCCACTGCGCCCAGCCAGTACGTGACTTTTAAAAGAATGTTTATGGAACGCTCAGATAAAAACAAAGCTTTTCTTAACAATAACAAGACGTAGCTCAAGACCTAGCTCAGTTTGCTCTCCCCACTCCCCAAATCTTCTTGGATCTCCTTCCTCTACTCTAGTGAAAATTACTGTCTGTACCATCCCCTTGGCAATTAATCATTTTCCACTTGGCAATGAGCTAAACTGTCCTATCATTAATTATCTTTCCACCTGTATCCCTAACTAAATCATAGCTGCTTCACAGCAGAGACCACTTCTCATAATCTTTGAGGAGTCTGCAGAAGACCAGGTGATTAGATCCACAAACTCGGAGGAGGTGCAGCAGTCCGGCTCCCCCTTACCTGCGTAGGCATTGGCCTGCTGCAGAAGGTCAGTGCAGGTGTGTACATCTGCAAATGCACGGATGCCCAGGCAATTGGTGGGATGCAACTGAGACTGCAGGAAGTCACAGCAGTTCTGCCGAACATCCATGAGCTGCAGCAAGCTGGCTGCCGGGAGCAGCACCTGCAAGAGAAGGTGACATTCTCAGATATTGGATCCCACTGGCAGAGACTCATCTGCCTTTTCCTATCATATCACTCCCATGCTCAAGATCTTTTCATGGCTCTCCACTGCCCGCCAGTAAGTCCAAACTTCCTAGCCTGCTTTCCAGCCTTATTTCCCACTACTCTGCCCTTCACGGACCCTAAACACCAGCAGATTCTCTGTATCCCTACAGCCATGCTTCCCAGTCTTTAATCCCTGGGGATCTTATTAAAATGCAGATTCTAATTCATTAGGTCTAGGATGGGATCTGAGAGCCTGCATTTCTAATAAGAACTCAAGTGATGCTTGCAGTTGCTGGTCCACAAACCACACTTTGAGTAACAAAACTCTACACACACACACACACACACACACACACACACACAATGGTTCTCATACTGGGCTGCACACTGGTATTACCTTAAGAGTTTTAAAACTACTGATGTCTAGGTCTTGCCCTAAAAGAATCTAACTCAATAGGTATGGAGTGTGGCCTGGACATTAAGATGTTTTTTAAAGCTCCCCAGGTGCTTCTAATGTACAGCCACGTTTGAGAGCCACTGTCCCACAACCTTCAGTGTACTGTCCTCATTCAGAAAGGTACTTAATGAATGATTAATTACTGAACATCTATGTGCCAGGCACTAGTTTAGGCTCTGGGATTCAGGGGTAAGCAAGAGAAACCAGATCCTGTTCTCCTGGAGCTTAGAGTCTACTGGAACAAGATTCATTCCAAATCCCTCAGGACTCAGGCAACGACACTTTATTCTCCCATCAAACAGATACAAAGCAAAGAACATCTTTAGGTACATTCTTAGAGAAAGGAGAGCTAAGTTTCCATTTAAAAGGTCACAGGACACATGACTATTTATACTATATCCTGAAAGACAGAAATAGTTCTTGCTCAGGTGTATATGCATGTGTTTTTCCTAAGGGTCAGGGAAGACTGGCTTGAGCAGGCCCGCTGGGTGCTCAGACAGCCAACCTCTATCAATTTTCCCTAGGACTTTCCCTCAGCTGCTGAAGCCTGCCTCTAGATCAAACATACAGGACAAAAGGCCAAAGTCCTGTCCCACTCCAGCTCTGCTACCCTGCCCTTCACCTATGGAAGCAGCAGGTAGTCTGAGAATGATTTTCCAAAAAGAAATTTAGAAAAAAAATCACACTACAGAATAGCTTGATTTAAGGCTGCTTATCTTGGGGACCCTGGCATCCACTTCACCCCAAAATAATCCCCTTGCCCCAGGCCTTTGCTCTCAGCTGCTGCCCTGGCTCTGAGAGAGTGACTGAGCCAGCTACACTCTAGCTGTTCCCAGCCACAAGGGCTTGCCCAGGAAGATATGGGCTGCAGATGCATTTGTTTTCTTGATTCAGGACACTTGAAAAAGACTTCTTTTTTTTTTTTTTAAGTGCTTTAAATTCTGGACTCTTTCTCCCAAGACAGCTCTGAGTCCTCAGCTCTGACTCTCATCACTTTTATGTACTCAGGCCAAAAACTCTGCCCCACTGCCCATTTGGGGGCTTTGTCCCTCCACTGGGTTTACCAACAGTCCTAGTTTTTCCAGGACTGGGGGTTTCCCAGGACTTTCAGGGCTAAAAATGGGACAGTCGGTCACCCTTCATTATCCCTGCCCACAGACAATAACCACCAAGAGCCACCACTATCAGTGCTCGAACTCCTGAGCCAAATGCCTACGCTCAACAAGGAAAGCTGCTCCTACCCACAGGCTTACACTTCTCTCTCACGACAGCTGAGTTCTAGAAAACGTGCTCCTTTTCCCTTCCTCCATCCTCTCTTCCACTATCCTATATCCCCAGCAGGAAAACAGTAAATTAACACCATGTCTGTGATATTTTCTGAACCACTAATACATTCCTGAGAAAGAAAAAGATAAAATCACCCTCTTCTGAAAGTTTTGGACTATAAATGAACACAGCCAGGATCCAAATCTAACCACCTGAACTCTCTCCCCACTAAGCAGCCATCATCTCCTCTAAGCAGCCATAAACTGGGAAACTCAATTAACCTGTGAGCTTGCTCAGCCCGGCCGAACAGATTCCAGGACCAGATTAGTCTCTGCCTGCTAGTCAAATGGGGATCCATTAACCATTCTTGCTGAATGCACACCAGGAATAAAAAGCTCTGCTCCCAGTCTCCAAATGACCTCCATGACACCCCCTGGCCAGTATCAGCTAGAGTTAAGACTGGTGTCAAGGCCATAGGTTGACCAATCATGCTGATTTACCTGGGACTTTGCCATTTTTACCACTGAAAGTCCCCCTCTCAGAAGGCCCCTCGCTTCTGGGCAAAATAGGATAGGTGTTCATCCTAGGGAGGAGTAACCTCTAACCAGTGACCCTCAGAAGCCCTGAGGGAGAGGAAGCCATCAAATGTTGGCCAGCACAAACCCTACTCAGAGGTGTGGTAAACTCCAAAAGGGCCAGATGTGAGAAGAGGCAGGAATTCAACAGCAACCCTCTCCCCACCACCCACCATCCAAGAGGATTTCTGAGAGTCCAATCTGCCCTCAGACTGCATTCCAGCGAGCTCCCCAACCCCATACGCATATACAAGATCATGCCAGTGACACACAGTCCCTTCCCCCTTCCCCTCTTCCAAGGAGACAGCAGCACAGTGTGGTGCTTAAATTCTCAAGCTCATGACAACCAGCCAGAGAAATGAAATAATAAATATTTCCTGAATATACTCCTTAGGTTACACTTTCCATTTTTAAAACCTCCCTGGATAGAGCTACCCACATGGCTTTCAACTTCCCTACTGTTCACAATACCCACTTAGTAGGCAAAAATTATAAGGCTTTCTACCTCTCCACACCCCTTATCCTGTTTGAGTCCACTCCTACCCAAAAGCCTTCCCAAACCGACTTCCTAAAATGAATGGGCCTTCTGGTTTCTCTAGTTGCTCTTTCCCTCTCTTTGACTCTGAGACTAGCTTAGAGTCAAAGGCCATTTTCTTCCTTCTACTTGCTTCATACAGAAAAGTGTGGGAAAAAAAAGTCAAGGAAATCAGAATGCTGAAGGGAAGGCTTGGAGGCTGGAAGATGTATCACTGCTCAGACTCTGGGTCTCAGGGATAAATTAGGGCCCCATCCAATGGGGTTCTGGGATCTAGACACAAGTACAAAATACATTCCCAGAGGCCCTGAAAGAAAAAAGAGCAATACATCCATGAAATGACTGTCTTCAGTTCCCTCTCCCCACATCAACAGGGCTTTGAGAGGACTTCCTCTTCTCTTATCTTGCCTGAAACTCTACTTCTTCAAAGCAGCAGCAGTGACAAGATTATGAACAAAAGGCCAAGTGCAGGTCCTCAGCTCTGAAGCAAGACCATCCTCATAGAATAACTAAGGCAGTACTGCCTGGTCCCTGGAGGGAGGAGGCTGAGATCAGAGGAGTAGTTGGCCAAATCCACCCATCAGGATGGAAGATTACCGTAAGTCAAAAATCTTCTAGCTTGCCTTCTGCCACCTCAGCATTACAGTTCTTGGAAAACAGGCCCTGAAATGGCCCCCAGCAAGAGTCTACAGGTTACCCTTCAGCTTGCAATGGCTTCCCCTCCATTTTTCATGTGCAGGCCCCGTTTTGTTTTTTTTTCTTCCTCAGATAACATGAAAACACAGCAGAGGATATCCTGCCACAGAGTTTGCTTCCTCTAGCAAAAACAAAAGGAAATGCCCTGCCTCAGAAAGCACCTTCTCCTGGAATTGCAGGGAGGCAGGGCCATGCACAGAGGGAGGGCATCAGCCAGGGGGCGCAGGTGTTGGGGCCACCCAGGGTCTCTGCCCCAATCACACAGTGGGTCTGGCACAGAATCAGTGCCACATAAAGAAAGAAAGGAAAAGAGGTGGGGGGGTATATAGATGAACAGGAAAGCTGGCAGAACAGCACTGTGATTAAGCGTCATTTTGAATTTTGACTCCTCCACTTACCAGCCATGCAACTGAGGACAAATTACTTAACCTCTCAATGCCTCTGTCTCCTCAAAAATAAAATGAGGACAATAAGGTTTGTTATGAGGATCAAATGAGAAAAATTTAAAGCAGTTAGCACAGTGCTTGGTACATAGGAAGTGCTCAGTTGATGTTAGTTTTTATTATTGTAAATAATTATGAGCCAAAGTCAAGGTTCTGATCATTCATTTCATGAGAAACTAGAATTCATCATAGCCACAGAGCACAGTGAGTCAGAGGGGGCTGGCTTCAGCTTCCAACTCTACCACTTACTCTCTATGTGACCGTGGCAGTTTATTTAACCCCTTTGAGCACCAGTTTCTTCAGCTGTAAAGGAGGAATCATATTGGTATGGTCCAATGGGTGATTATAAAAATTGAATGGAATAATGCATGTGAATTGATGGGCACATGCTTGCTTATAAAAGTATGACTGCTGGTACCTCCACCACGGAACAGGAACTCAGGGTCCCTCCAAGGTACGTGTGCCTGGGAAGGGACTCCAGGTGTAGCTCTCACAGCCATTTAACCAAGCCCCAGATCTCTGACCCTTGTTTCTAAGGCTTTCAGGAAAGCCCCAGTGCCTCCATGCTCATCTCCTCGGTGCACCAAATCCTCAATACCTCCTGTCTTCACAGACAACCTGTGAGCAACCGCCTCAGCAGATACATAACAGCATGAAGAAGAATCCATGTTTTTATCCAAACTCTCTTCTTCCCAATCTTTTTTTTTTTTTCTTTTTGGAGACAGAGTCTCGCTCTGTCATCCAGATTGGAGTGCAGTGGTGCAGTCTCAGCTCACAGCAACCTCCGCCTCCTGGGTTCAAGTGATTCTCCTGCCTCGGCCTCCCAAGTAGATGGAATTAAAGGCACCTGCCACCACGCCCAGCTAATTTTTGTCTTTTCAGTAGAGACAGGGTTTCACTGTGTTGGCCAGGCTGGTTTCGAACTCCTTACCTCAGGTGATCTGCCTGCCTCAGCTTCCAAAAGCGCTGGGATTATAGGTGTGAGCCACCATGCCCAGCCCCTTGCCAATCTTTCTTGTTTTTTCTCCAACATCACCCTTGACCTAACCACAGTTTAAAGTGAAGAGATTAAAAGTCCCCAAACAATGAGGTTCAGAGAATTTTCAGTTTGGTGAATGCATCCACATGCTGGGAGGGTGACATAACCCAACCTCATAAGACAGAAGCTTCTGGACTCAGGACCACCAAACAGTGAACATTATGTCCACATAAACTGTACCTTGCTTTATGTACCTCTTAATCCTAACCAGGCAATAAGGATCCAGAGTAGAATATCTTCTAATTATCCAAGTTTGTAAACACTTTGTATTTTACAGGAAAAAAAAGTTATTAAATAAATACATGATGAAAAGAGCAAAGAGAGCTGGTTCCAATTATAGACTTCTACTACCTCCCCTCTACTCATTTTATGCCAAATTACTTTGCACTTACTGTTAGTACCCAAAAGTTATTCACCTGTTTGAATTCTGAGATGAGACGATGACCTGGGGAGAATAGGAGTCACCTAAGCTCCCAGCTTTTCCTTCACAAGATTTTGAAGACATGAGTTAAAGATCTTCTACTCCCGGGGCCCAGGCTCATTCAGGGATATCATGGCCTAGTGGCTAAAAGCATGGGTGCCCAAGCCAGGAAGGCATGAGTTTGAGGACCAGCTCGACCACCTCCTGGCCATGTGGCCCAGGGCAGGTCACCTGACCTCTCTGGAGCTTTAGTTTCCTCTTCAGTAACCAACTGAATTGTTGTGAGGGTTAAATAAAATAACGCTGTAAAATGGTGGGTCCTGAGTGTGCAATACACTGAGCTATTAGTGAGCCTGAGTTTACCTGGACATTCTCTTCAGTCACCTCGATTTCAGCAGTATAGATGTAGTCAATCAGCTTACTCAGCGTCTGCCCATCCACGTCCTTGATTTCTATCTTTTTGGCTTTACTCTCAGACATGTCACCTAGAGTTTACAACAAAAACAAAATGACATAAATGTGGTACCTGGGATATGTTTACCTTCCAGATGGTCTCCTGCCCTGTCTTGGAAACATAAAAGCACTTCCTGGGCTCCAGGAGGCAGCAGAAGGGATTCAGGCACAGAAGAGGATAAACCAGGTAACATCAAGGTCACATCAGCTTTGGGTCTGTGATCACCTACAAACCCAGCCTTAAGCATTCCTTACTCTATCTATTGCCCACTTCCATTGTGAAGGCAAATCTGTGTGCAATCACTCATTTAACCAACATTTACTGTAAACTTCCATATACAAGGCCAGAAAAAGTGAACAAGATATGCACCTGTCCTTAAGGAACACAAGTCTAGTAAGGCAGATATACAAAAGTGTTTATAAACAGAGGTGATAAGAGCTTAGTAGACAGTTATACACAAAGTATTGTGATAACAACAATAATAAGTAACATTTCTTGAGAGCTAACTATGGCCACACACTTAAGCACTTTAAAGTCTTTTAATCCTCACAACAACCTTGAGGTTTATTAATATTATTGCCATTTTACAGATGAAGAAACTGAGCACAGGAGGGTAGGTAATTCATTTTGCCCACAGTCACACACCTAGGAAAGGCCAAGTTGGGTTGAAACCCAGGGAGTCTGACTCTAGAGTCCATATTTGTAACCACTACGCTATACTAAATCCCAAGAACACAGAGGAGGGAGCAACAAATCTCTCCTGGGAACTCCAGTCAGGCATCCTATTAAGAGGTCACATTTGAGAGAGGTATTAGAGGATGAGGACGAGTTCTACAGGCAGCAAAGGTGAGGAAGGATGAGCTGAATCTGGGATCCATTCGTGCAAAGAGAAGAAAGTACCAAAAGAATAAATTTTGGTGAAATGGCGAGAGGTTGGTGTGGCTGGTACATGGAGTAACAGTGAGAAGAAGGAAGCTGGAGAGGTAGATGGGGCCAGGGCTTGACAAGCCCTGTAAGTCAAGCTGGGACTTTATCCCAGGTGTAGCACCATTGAGAGGTTTTCAACAGGGAAATGACATCAACAGATGGGCATTTTTGAACGAAATTTTGGATGCAGGGTGGAAGCTAGATCACATGCAGGGAGAACAGCTGGAGGCCCTGATAATAATCCAAAAAAGAGAGAAGGCAGGGCTGTAAATAACGGCAATAGCAGCACCACATTTCCACGGTCCTGAGGCCCCTTGCCTTCAGCCTGCACTCTATATACAACACACGGGTTTATCGAAAGCCAGGCCCATTCAACAAGGGCTGCTGATTTCAGGAAAGACAGGCAACACATGTCTTTGTAGACTGAAATAAAGGGCAACCTAACTGCAAGAAACAAGAGATCCAGAAGCCTCAATGTGAGTGTGAAAACAGAGCCTGGGCAGTTGTTTTCTCTCTGTGGAATTCATACACCAGAGCCAAGAAAATAAAGTACAGTACAGCATGTGGGCTGCAGACACCCACCTCCAAGCTGCACGGACTGCACATGATTCCTCCACCAATCCAAAGTCCCATCCTGACACAGTTCTAGAGCTGAATGACTGGAACGGAGAGAAAAGTAGCGGGGGAGACATTCCAAACCCCGCCTGCTCCCTTAACTGCCAGATCAGGTGGACCTGAGACCCTCCACCCTGTTCTCTCTTCTCTGACTGCCAGTGAAAGCCTGTGAAAGGCCTCAGCACAGTGCCCTGGGGCAGAATGAACAGGTAAAGAAACAAGGGAAAAACAGTATATTACTCCTCCACCCATAAGACAGGATCCACAATCTCTCTCTTGAGTTTATTGAGACACACAAACAAAAACATGCATACACAAGGAAATCAGAAGTTAAGCTATTAAAAAGTTCATTGATGAGGGTCCAGTTGGTAATTACACTGCAAAAGATAATCAAAGATAGCCAATTCTTTGTTTAAGGAGTTAGCCCTCAAAAAATAAGACTTAAAAAATAGAGCAGCCGGACTGTAAGAACCAAGAGATTCAGAAGCCCTCACAGCAGTGTAAATCAGAGCCTGGGCTGACTGTTTTCTGCCTGTGGAATTTGTGGTTGAAAGTCAGGTTAGGGTTTTGTAACTTTGGGGTAAATAAATGGAAACGCCTGGAATTGTAAGAAAATATTTTTATATATGTGCAAAAGTTCACTTTTTCTAGGGGGATGACAGGTCATTTTTATCAGATTCTTACAGGCGTCTATGATTCAGAAAAGGTTAAGACACAGTTTTCTAGACAGTAGGTCTTTAGGAGACTTCTCCTTGCTCCTTTACATGACCCTCAAATTTCTAATTTTCTATATTAAGTACTTAAAACTTAAACAAGCAAGAAAAAAATGATGTGAAAGAAAAACTAAGGGCTCAAAGACACCACTTATTTTCTGAGAAAGCTTGTAGAATCCAATCTTATTATCTCTTATGAACCAGCAAAAATGACTACACCAAACTAAGACTTTAGTTTAAATGGGCCCTAAAAATAGTCATACTAATAGTCACTACTGTATACCTGACCTTCTGCTAAGGTACACTAATGTGTATCTGACCCACATTATTTCATTTAACCCTTGAAACAAGTCCAGGAGGTAGACAGTATTATTTCCATTTTACAAATTATAAAACTGGCATTTCTTTTTTTTTTTCGAGATGGAGTTTTGCTCTTGTTGCCCAGGCTGGAGTGCAATGGCATGATCTCAGCTCACCGCAACCTCTGCCTCCCGTGTTCAAGTGATTCTCCTACCTCAGCCTCCCGAGTAGCTGAGATTACAGGCATGCGCCAGCATGCCTGGCTAATTTGTTTTTTGTTTTGTTTTGTTTTTTAAGTAGAGATGGGGTTTCTCCATGTTGGTCAGGCTGGTCTTGAACTCCCGACCTCAGACGATCTGTCCTCCTTGGCCTCCCAAAGTGCTGGGATTACAGGCATGAGCCACCGTGCCCGGCCAAAATTGGCATTTCAAGAGGGATTTACACATAGATACTAAGAGGCAGGACTGAGATTTGAACTTTGGCCTAACTCTAGACCCTGTGTCATTTCTAATACATCCCTCAATAAAATCTCACCCTAACTAATAACCTTAAT
Source organism: Homo sapiens (assembly GCF_000001405.40). Classification (NCBI taxonomy): domain Eukaryota; kingdom Metazoa; phylum Chordata; class Mammalia; order Primates; family Hominidae; genus Homo; species Homo sapiens. The sequence continues at coordinate 137,701,486 of NC_000005.10, forward strand.
AAAAGTATTCCCAAACTCAAGGCATTGGTCCAAATTCTGAGGACAAGTTAGTACTTAATACCTAGCAAAGAACCAAGCGGCTTATCCTCAACACGTAACAAAGTGCTTGGCATAAAACAAGCATTGAAAAAGTATTTATTGGAGTAGAAAATTTAAAAAAAAGAAGGGAGGTTCTCTTGACATCTCATAATTCCATGGGCTTCAGTAATTCTGGAGGAGGAAAACCATCAAGGACTTGGTCACTCTTGCTCCTTCACTCATCTCTAATAGTTTGAGAAAATATTTCCAGAAAACAGAAGATGAGCCCTGTAAGCCCTTCCATGTTTGTGGTCAACCCAAGTGCTCTCTTCTGCTAGCTCTTCCCAAGAGGCCCAGACAGCCACCTCAGACTCTGAACTTTCAGAGAATGTCTGTCAACTGCATATCTTGTTAGCCCTTTCCATCTTCCACTTACATCTGCTAACATGCATGTCCTGTTTCTCCAAAGAGAACATGATTCTCTCTAGGGCAGATATTTGCTCATTTATTCAATTCACCAAACACATATCAGATGTGTCCTCATGTGTCAAGCACTGTGCTAGGCCCAGAGAATACAGTGGTTAACAAGTCACAGCCCTGCCCTCATGGAGCTCAGTCTGGTGGAGAGAGAGACAAGAAAACCAACAACTGCAAAAGATGTCAAATGTTAGAAAAGGGGATGTAGCTTTAAAGGTTCTTAAGCCAGGGATTCCTGCACCCTAAAGCTGCATGCAAAATGATGAGCACACAAGAGCACCAGGTTTGCTCTTCCAGAGATAGAGTCCATTGTTTTCATCAGATTGATGCATAATGGTTAAGAGTCACTGATCTGGAGGAGTCATAGTTATTCAGAAGAGAAGTGAGAATGAGGGAAGAGTATCCCAGACAGACAGAATAGTATATACAAAGGTCTGGAGGTAACAAAGGGTGTGACCTGTCTGGGAACCATAACAAGTTCAGTCTGGCTGGAGCACATTAGGGAAGAATGATGAGACAAGGCTGTAGATGAAAGCAGGAGCTGGACCATTTGAGGGACTTACAGGCCACGCTAAGGAGTTTAGACTTCATCCTAAGGGCAACAGGGAGCCCCTGATAGATTTTAAGCAGGTAAGGGATACATCAGATTTTTATATTGGGAAAATCACTGTAGCCACAGTGTGGAGAATGGGTGGGGAATGGGAAAACAAAACAGGTGGCAGATTGACCAATGAGAAGACTGCTGCAGAATATCAGGTAAAAGATGATGTTGGCCTGACTGTGTCTTGAACTTCTTTAAATACGTAGACCATTAGGGCCTTGCACTTAGCAGCCTCTGAGAACCACGGAGGGCCCAGAAGAGCAAGCAATCCCAGAAGCCTATTAGGTAAAAGCATCCAAGTCTTCATTCTAGATCCTAACAAGCACACTATGTGCACAGCTGAGACCTTTTTAGGTGGAAGACTGCCAAAGAAGAGCAAGAGGGAGAAGGATGGACTGGAGGAGGGAAAGGAAAATCTTTCATTATCACAGAAGACTCAAGATGTCCAGAAAAATCACTAGCTCATCTTCCAGGTTATTAAGTAAATAAAGCCTTGAGAATGAAAATGGAATAGATTGGTTGGCAGGTCTCTCTGACGAACACCACAGCTAAACCACCGACCACCCCTACATAGTTATATGTCCTTAAAGACAAGAAAAGGGAGTGTTCAAGAGTCCTTATGTCACAGAATACCTTCTTGCTCCTAACTTGAATTAGTACTGTAATTTAGTCTCATGTTCTGGGTAGAGAGAACAAAGGAAAATCCTTACCCTTTGCGCAATGATTCTTCATGGGCACTAAGATGGTTATGGAACTTTCTTCCCCCCAACCCTCATCTAAGTCCTAAAATCTGGGCTGCCAACTCATTTGGCTAGAGCTGAGCACTAAGGCCAAAGACATTAACCTCACAGGAGAAAAAGAAATACTCTGCCATCTCCTTGAATCCTGACCAACCCTGTTGCAGGTGAGTGGTCTGGGCCATTTGACTGCAGATCAGGGAATGTCCTTAGTTCACAGGTCCTTATGTCACATTGGGAGTGAACAGCAGTCTGTATTCCTAAGTGCCACACAGTCCTCTGTTGAAGCACAGGTCACCCTATATCACCTGTGAAATAAGGACATTCTCTGTTCTGCCTTTATCCCAAGGTTGTGTGAGAATCAAAGGAGACAATGAGATTGTGAAAGGTGGGACAGCAGGATCCAGCAGAACCACAGTGATAGACACCGCCTCATCACCCGCCCTCCCTGGAATCTCATCCCTCCTCCACCTGGAAATATCTTTCTGCTCAACTAGAAGCACGAGAAGCACAAAGTCAGGAAAAAAATGCCTCTGTGTCATTACATAGTGACTACAAAAAAAAAAAAAATCAACCCTAATCACCTCCACCCCCGACATCCACAAGAATTTTAAAAACTATGACGTGCTCTACAATAATAAAAGTAGACTTTATTAACTATCTACACAGTGCTGAGTGCCTTATACCCGTTACCTATATTTGTTCCCTACTTATTGTTATTATTCCAGTCCCTTCAATAAGAAAGCTGAGGATCAGAGAGGAAAGTGAATTCTCCACGCACCTATGCAGTTAAGATTGGAATACAGCCTGTAATCCCAGCACTTTGGGAGGCCGAGGCGGGTGGATCATGAGGTCAGGAGATCGAGACCATCCTGGCTAACAAGGTGAAACCCCGTCTCTACTAAAAATACAAAAAATTAGCCGGGCGCGGTGGCGGGCGCCTGTAGTCCCAGCTACTGGGGAGGCTGAGGCAGGAGAATGGTGTGAACCCGGGAAGCGGAGCTTGCAGTGAGCCGAGATTGCGCCACTGCAGTCCGCAGTCCGGCCTGGGCGACAGAGCAAGACTCCGTCTCAAAAAAAAAAAAAGATTGGAATACAGGTCATTATTACTCCAAAGCCCTTTCCAAGATACCACACCATCTCCCAGTGCAAGGCGGCATTACCACACTTGTGTTTAATCCTTAGTAAAGAGGCCCCCACATCACCAACTCCAAACCTCTTCTATGAACATTCATAAAATATTCCTTACCAATAGTTTATCTCCAATGGTGGTCTCAATTTTAAGGCTGAGCTACTCTAAACCCAAACAAGTCTACCTCAGACCATCTTGGTCAAACCAGTTGCACCTTAATGGAGAAACCACTGGAAGTGAATAGCAGTCTCTATTCCTGAGCACCACACAGTCCTCTGTTGAACCACAAGCCAAATTCCTGCTCAAGAAACTTGCCATTTCTGCATCAAGGGTAACATTATTAGACAGGACTACTGGCTCCCTCACCTTCAAATCTGGGTATCTGGGTCTCTTGAGCCAGAAAAAGATGCCTGACTTTATTGTGGTATGATAGGGACAGGAAGAAGAAGCCCTATGTCACTGTCACTTAGCCCAAAAGTGACTAACTCTAGAAGATAGCCACGTGGAAGGTGAAGCCATTGCTCCTTCATCCCAGGCAGCCTCTGACACCGCCATCCCTTTTTCTCTGAACTATTCTACCTAATCCCTGACTCCTCAGGGGCAAAACTCTCAGAAACCAGACCCTATCTACTACCACTATTACTCTGCAACCTCCCTGAAGGCCCACTTTGTCTAAGAAAAGAATTCTATTCCCTAGTTCTCCTTCTCTCATTGTCCATTGCCTTGTATTCAGTTTTGCTGAGCTGCATGTTATGCAGAGCTCTTCAAAGGCATCAATATACCACACAAACACTAGAACACAGACACAGCCACAGGCCAGGGCCTGGTAGAGTCTGGCTTGCAGCAAGGGTGAAACAACAGTTCTGTGGAAGGAACTTCATGCCTGGGAAGTGAATAAGACAGCCAGGCCCTCATGGTTCTGCCTTGTGGATGATTCCTGCCTACTCCAAGTCTAAGCCCCTTGTCTCTCACCCCCAGCACATTCCTGAACTCTCCTCTCTATTTCTACTTACCATATATTCAAAGATACCAAACATCAGCCTAAATCTAATAAAAACTGGACAGTAACTCCTCTTTAAAAAACAAAAACCAATCTAAATCAGCCACTACATACAGTACAATATGACCAGATGAGTGGGACAGATCACTCCCAGGGCTTCATTTGGGATGGAAGCCCAAGTGTCTTTTAGCCATGATTATGGGCATAAGACCCTGAGCCCATATATTCTGTAGACCTCAGTTCCTTTAACACCATAAAATAGGGGCTGTATCTGGATGACATGTAGGCAGGGACCCATATGGAGTACAAATACTACAGTATACAGAAGCCATGGTAAAGGGCATGATAAAGAGAGAAACACTGATGAGGAGATTTTGGGAAAATTGCTTCCCTTGGGATGGAGGTGCTGGATGGGGAGGATGGGGAATGAGTCCTAGACATTTCATCTTTATAGGAAAAAGATGGGCAGAACACAGCACTACTGGCCTCCCCACTCAAGTTATGCTGAAAGCAGTAAAGGGCAAATAGGTTGACTGCTCACCCCAGATCTTCTTATAGACTGGTTGGATTGGGACACTCTCTGATGGGCACTCAGACTTCAGTTTCACATTTATTCCAAGTTATTGTCCACAGGACAATGGTCAAGAAGTGTGGGATTGGTATTTGGAACCACCTCAGGACATTTGGGCAACATGAACTCGGAAGACAAAAAAATAAAAACATTTAAGCTTGAGTAAAAGACCATAATCACACAACTCAAGTCAGAAGAAAGCCATGTGTATTTTACTTTCCTTTTGGCTTTAAACACACTGATAGAAATGGATCTAACGAGAGTCAGCCTCTTACTCTCAGTACACAATGCATTTTACACGTTTTGAAGCTGAACCTGATAATTAGAACAAAATTTTGCAATGTTACTGGAGATTTTTAGTATCTGTTTACCAAGGTTTAGGCAAAGCCAATGGGCCTTAAAAATATATAAATCTTAGATATCTTGCTGATGGGAGCATAAGCTGGTACAACTGTTCTTTAGATCAATGCGGCACATGTCTCAAAAGTCTTCAAAGTGTGCATACCTTTTAATCGAGTACTTCTTATTCTAGGAATCTATTCTAGTAAAATAATCAGGAATGTACATAAAGATTAAGATGCAAGGATGCCCATTATATCATTATTTATAATAACAAAATATTACATAAAACTATAATTTCCAACGAAGGAAATGAATTTTCAATTAGAGTATATATAATGGAATCTTATGAAGGCATTAAAATTAGGTTGTAACTGCAATTTCATTGACATGGAAAGATATTCATTATATATTGCTAAGCTCAATTAAACAAATTTTTATTGATCACCTGCTATATGGAAGACCATGCTAGGCAGCAGGGACATGGTGGTGAATTTTAAAGGTATAGTTCTTACCCTTATAAAGAGTATGATTGGCCAGGGAAATCAAACATTGAGGAAGTAATAAGATGAGTAGTAATACTAAAGAGAAGTATAAAGTACCATGGGAGTAAGTAGCAAAGGAATTTAACCTAAGCCAAAGAGGTCATAAAAGGCCTTCCTGAGGAAGTGATGCTTAAGCAGTAATGAAGGATGAACGGGAGTCAGACAGGCCAAAAGATGGAGGAGAGAACATTCCAGGAAGATGAATAGCAATTTAAAAAAAAATACATACATCAAAAAAGGCTATTTAGGCTGGGAGCAGTGGCTCATGCCTGTAATCCCAACACTTTGGGAGCCGAAGCAGGTGGATCACTTGAGGCCAGGAGTTCAAGATTGCCTTGCCAACATGGCAAAACCCACTCTCTACTAAAAATACAAAAATTAGCCAGGCATGGTGGCACACACCTGTAGTCCCAGCTACTCAGGAGGCTGAGGCACAAGAATCACTTGAACCCAGGAGGCGAAGGTGGCAGTGAGTTGAGGCTGCACCACTATACTCCAGCCTGAGCAAAAGGGCGAGACTCTGTCTCAAAAAAAAAAGACTATTCAACTGTACACATTAAATGAACTTATGTTAAAATATATATTTTGTATATGTATACATTTATAAATATAAAATCTAAAAAGATATAAACCATACTCTTACCTAGATGTTGTAGTACACGTAATTTTTTACTTTTTGCTTGCCCACAGTTTCTGGTTTTTACCTGTAATAAACACATGTGAACAGTATTTGGATGGACGGGTGAATGGATGGGTGGAAGGATGGATGGTAACCAGGTTTAATGGAAGGCTTGGGCTGGGCATTGCATTACACTGCTTTCTTCTCTTGATTCTCCCGTCCCTTCCATTCCTAGAATCTAAGAATGCCCCAGAAGCACTTTTTCTTCCAATTTGTAAAATCACTTTGGTTTTGCTATGACACTTCCGCTACTTCAGAGGCAAGTTCGTTAACAAAAAGTGGAGCCAGCATGACAATTCATTGCAATTCCAAACAGATTCCTCTCTCAACACTGAACTTTCCAAACTCCACACACAAAGAATAACTGGCAGAGCTATTTATTGAAGTTACAGCTAAATAACTATTACAGACAAGATGAACTATTTTAAAATAGAGATTGATGAAGGAAAGGGGGAAAAAAGGAAATAAAGGCCTTGCAGCTAGGGTTTAGGACAACTCAAAAGGGAATGCAGCTCAAAATTTCCAGATACTGAACTTAGCTAGTTTTCTGGGCTACAGTGTGAAATTCCTGGCCCAAGGCTGAAAGTAAGGTAAGAGTAGCCTGGTCCACTTAGCAGAGGCACCACTCCAAGTTGAGACCAGTTCCTTCACATGACAAGCCAAGGGGGACACACATGTGACAAACTCTCAGTGCACAAGTGCCAAGTCTCTCCCAACAAAACCAGTCTTGCCCAGCTGTGTACCATATTAGGAAAAGGGTCACAGCCCATTCAGCAAAAATGTGCCTGCACTCACCCCTCCTTAGCAAGCTTGTGTTCATTCTTCAGACATTCACTTATTCACCGCCTCCTGTGGTGGGCATGGAGGATTCCACAGCAACAAGACATGTTCCCCAAGTGCCCAAAGCTCACAGTCAGGTGCAGGAGATACTTCACTCACTCATTTAAAAAATATTTGTGTCCTACCATGTACCAGGTGCTCAGTATATGGTAACAAACAAGCCCACCAAGGTCCCTGTCCTCATGGGGCTTATATTCTAGTGAGGAGAGACAGGTAAAAAACACATAACAACAAACCAAGACGATTTTCAGATGGTGATAAATGTTATGAAAAGATGAAGTCAAGTTATAGGATAGAGAGAGGCCTGGTGTGGAACTATGGCCAGAGTGGTGAGAGGGGGCCTGCCTGAGGAGACATTTGCAGGATAAAAAGCAGTCAGTTACATGAGATACAGGGCATGGGCATTATAGATTCCAGGAAACAGACAAGAATGCAGGGTGACAGTCGCCATACTCAGAGCAGGCACAAGCACTTGGAAAGCATGTAGAAGGGACACCTGACCCAGTCTGGAGGTCTCACCAAGCCCAGATGGCCTCCTTCTGTCGGCAGTGATTTATAGAGCACTGAAAGTACCTGGTTCAGGGGAAGTGCTGAGAGAAACTACAGACAGGAAGCTCAGCCTGTGGGTTTCAGGTAATTCAATCTCAGAACTAACAGATGGGAAATATTTGGACAAGACTATTGGGCATGCCCAGTAAACAGGGACCCTGGAAAGTTGGCAAAGGTGCTGAAACTGAATGCCAGATATTGATTATACCTATTTCTCATCCCCCTCAAAACCCACCATCATTTTTCCAAATCTCCTCCACTCCTGTAAAGACTAGCGGAGGTCCAGGGCCCCTGTCTGGAATGAAGGTCTAGGGAAGGACAATAGGTAGGCCAGCTAGTAAAGCACTGGGCCAGGTGCCAGGAAGCCAAGTCCCACTCATTCACTGTGACCTTGGGCAGGTCTCTTCCCTTGTCTCAGCCTCAGTGTCCTCCATCTGCAAAGTGAGAGATCAGAAGACCTGGCCATGTGCCCAGGAGTCTACATTGTTAACAAGCTCCCCCACATGATTATGGTGCAGGGTGAGTTTTGAGAACTAATGGGCTATGTGAGTCTACCTTTTTTCCTCATGGTGGACAAGGGCTACATGCCCAACTGGCCTGGACCTGGTTCCATCAAGTCCTCCATGGCACAAAGCACACTATCTGGCGTAGAGAAGCCCCTCATAGTGGGCTAATGGCTTTCTCTTTCCTCCCTCCCCTCATGTCACCACCCCCAACATTCTCCCAGTGGGGCTGCAGCCCCATAACCATGGGTTAATGGTGGCCACTCACCATACCTGTGAACATCGCACAGAAGTAGGGGCTGCAGGCTGCCAGGACCACACGGTGGGCTTCTATCTCGACATCTTCTGCCACAATCATCACGTCACACAACAGCTGTTTACTGTAAGACACCAGTGAGAGGACAGGATGGGTTGCAGCAAGGACACCTACCCTCATCTTACAAGGGTATTTTTTTCTCCCACCCAGATTTCACACTATCACTATACAAAGCTGTCACAGGGACTTGCTCTATCTTGAGTTAGGGAGGGGGGTGGATTCATTGACTTTTCCAAGTCCCTGATAAACCTGACATTCATGCTTTCCTAAGGTCCATGGAGAGATCCAACTACTCTGTGGCTGTAAATTCCAGGCTGCTTCATTTGTCTTCACCTCTCTGTTCCCCAATTCTATCAGTTCAGATTGAGAAGTAGGGGTTTTGCGGCTCAGGGAACAGTGGCAAAAGCTTGGGGCTGTCATTCGAGTGACTGAATGAATGCTGAGGAACATGAGCATACCAGTGAAGTGTGTCACCAGCAAGACCAAGTACTAACAATTCCCCCAAGGGACCCACTGTATATGCAACACCAGTAAGAGGCAAGCCGGCCTTAGGTATTTCTCTTTCGACCCAGATTTAACGCTTTCAACAAGAAGACTCTGCCTGCAAACACAGTGCTCCCTAAAGACCCTGTGCAAACTCCAATCACTGTAATTATTAAAAATACTGTAATTACCTTTCTGTTTGTCACCCCAACTCAGAAAGGGACTTGTCTTATTTAATGTTGTATCCTAGACACCTGGCTGCATACCTAGCACATAGTAGACCCTAAATTTTTACTGAATAAATAAATTAATGAATGAAATGTGATCAATCCACATTCATAGACAGAATAGGGATCTGACTACTTTAGAGATTGATAGGGTGCCACAAGCTCCCATCAACCCAAGAATTTTTCCTTCATCATTCTTCTAAGCTCTTATCATGCCTGTTATCAATATAATAGTTAATATTTATTGAGTTATATGTGCCAGGCACTGTTCTAAGCACTTTTTTACACATATTACTTCATCCTCTCTACCACCCCATGAGATAGGGCTAATTGTTATGCCTATATTGAAAATGAAGAAACTGAGGTCCAGAGAAGTAATTTTCCCAAGGTCACACAGAAAAGGAACAGTGGAAACAGGATTTAAATGAAGGCAGCTGAAGCCCAGAACCCATGCTCTTCATTGGTATCCTGATCACCACTCATCCCTCCTTGAGATTAAAGCACTAGAGAGAGTAGGAAAGACAAGGAGGACAAACACACTTCAACTGTGAGCCAATGGTAGTGGTTACTTGGCACACTACCCTGGTTTGAGAAGGCTGAGGTCATGACTAGATTCTGTGTGAGAATGTTGAGGCCAATTAATGAGTCTGCCATGGTTGACGGATGGAAGAAAAGCTACATATTTGCTATCTCTGGTGTAGCACACTAAGTCACTGTCAACTACTAAGATATTTGTTTAGGTTCACATATCAGAGAAATAGAATCATAAGGCCTGAAAAGGCTGGAGCTGCAAATGCTACTAGAGATCATCTGGTCTATGAAACTCAGAGAGGTGAAAAGATGCCCAAAGCCACAGAAGTCTAAGTCTTGAATCCAGTTCTCCTTACTCCAGACACAGTGACTTTTCCATGGTATCACAATGCCTCATGATTGGCTGACATTCAGAATGAGAAAAGACAGAAGACAGGTTAGCCCCAACAGGGAGAAGTGGACAGGAAGTAGAATAAAGTATCGTTAAGGAGGCTTCCTGGAAGGGTGAGACCTTTGGACAGCAAGAGGCAAAACCGGGGGATTGAGACCTTACCCTGCAGTGGACAGCAGACCTTAATCACCAACTGTATCAGGATAAACCAGTGCAACCAGGAACAGAACTGGCTCTTCCCCTAACTGGCTATGAGACCATGGGCAAATAAGCTCACCCCATTTTTCTCACCTGTTTTAGCTGCCTTTGGGACATATATCATGGGGGCCAAATGGGATTACAGGTGCCATCTGAAAATGGCCTTTAGTCTCATTAAATTTTATTCTAAAATTGTATTTCCAACATGAATAGACTCATCTTGGACATTTTTACTTACATTTAGGAAGAAAATTGAGTTATCACTGCTATTTAAGAATAACCACACTTTGGGAGGCTGAGGAAGGCAGATCACTTCAGGCCAGGAGTTTGAGACCAGCCTTGCCAACATGGTGAGACCCCTTCTCTACTAAAAATACAAAAAAAAAAAAGCCCGGTGTGGTGGCAGATGCCTGTAATCCCAGCTACTAGGGAGGCTGAGGCATGAGAATCGCTTGAAACCCAGGAGGCAGAGGTTGCTGTGGGCCAAGATCATGCCACTACACTCCAGCCTGGGTGACAGAGCAAGATTCTGTCAAAAAAAAAAAAAAAAAAAAAAAAAAGAGTAACCGGTTATATTTTTTGGTAACTAATAAGAAAATTGTTGGCAGAGAAGAGTCAGAAATGCTGAACAAATGTTCAGTGCTAGGAGCTGAACAAACAAATGTCAGGGTGTGTTATCTTGCACAAACCCAGGGAGCCTGACAATTTTTGAACAAATGGGAAAGAAACACAAGGGAATGAAGAATAAAGATGGAGAATCCAGTTAAGCAAATAAATGACAGCAGTTCTGATGGGTGGAAAGTGTATCTTAAGGCCAGAGAAACACTAACCTGGGAAATTGGCCAAAAGAAACTTGCCAAATAGTTAAGATGGGCTTTCCCTGGGGGTGGGGAAGCCTGTCTGCACACTGGAGACATCTTTATGTATCCATGCTACATGGAAGAGGGAAGTAGTAGCTCTAAAGCACTGCATGGCTCACAAGCACTCCTATTCAATTTACCTGGGATCCTATGGGATCCTTTTTTCCGAGCTATCACACTACTCCATCTTGAGGGGAGAAAAGTAGGACTAGACACTTTGCCATTTGTGGAAAAGTACAATGTAGCTGTTAGGAAGGAGCTCAGGCTCTCAAATCAAACTCACCTGAGTTCAAGCCTCTCAAACCTCTGTCCCACCACTCTCTAGTGTAGACAAGTACACAACGTCCCCAGAGTGTCACAGAATTGACATGTGCTGTAAATCAGATAATGCATAGTGCTAATAGTAAATATTTAGCAAATGTTAACTTTTCATATTTTGAAAAAAAATTTTAAAAAAATGGTTTTTTTTCAATTGTCTGCTTCACTTTTCCTCCATATCTTCTTTTTTCCAAATAATATTTCATTTAAGATTAGAGGTTAAGTTTTGAACATGTTAAGTTTGAGCTGCCCACTGGACACATAAGTAAGGTTACCAAGCAGGCAAGTGGTTACATGGTCCTGGAATTCAGACATGGGAGATGGTTAAGAGGTTGAGGGGAGGAATAACCAGCAAAAAAAAAAAAAAAAAAAAAAAGTGTGTAGCTGGGTGCAGCAGTACATGCCTATAATCCTAGATGCTCAGGAGGCTGCAGCAGGAGGATTGCTTGAGCCCAGGAGTTCACGACCAGCCTGGACAACATAATGAAACCCTATCTCAAAAAATATGACAGTGTGGTACTAGTATAAGGATAGCTATATAGATCAATAAAATAAAATTGAGAGTCCAGAAATAAACCTTTGTATGTTCAATTGATTTTTGACAAGGTAGCAAGATCATTCAACTGGGAAAAAAACAGTCTTTTCAACAAATGGTGCTGGGACAACTGGATATCCATATGCAAAATAATGAAGTTGGATCCCTACCTCACACCATATACAAAAATTTACTTAAAATGGCTCAAAGATCTAAAAGCAAGAGCTAAAACTATAAAAACTCTTAGAAGAAAACATAGGGGTAAATCTTCATGACTCCAAATAAGGCAATGGTTTCTTAGATATGACACCAAAAGCACAAACAATAAAAGAAACAATGATAAATTAGTTATCAAAATTTAAAACATTTGTGCTTCAAAGGATGCCATCAGGATAATGAAAAGACAATCCATAGAATGAGAAATAATTTTTTGCAAATCATCTACCTGATAATGAGCTTGTATCTAGAATATGTGAAGAACTCAAACTGTTACAACTCAATAATAAACAGAAAAATAACCTAATTAAAAATGAACAAGAGATTTTTTTTATTATTATACATTAAGTTTTAGGGTACATGTGCACAACGTGCAGGTTTGTTACATATGTACACATGTGCCATGTTGGTGTGCTGCACCCATTAACTCGTCATTTAGCATTAGGTATATCTCCTAATGCTATCCCTCCCCCCTCCCCCAACCCCACATATTTCTCCAAACAAGATATAGAAATAGCCAAAGAGCTCATGAAAAGATGCTCGACATCATTAACAATCAGAGAAATGCAAATCAAAACCACAACAAGATACCACCTTACACTCACTAGAATGGCTATAATCAAAAGCACAAACAATAAGAAGTGTTAGAGAAGATGTGGAGAAAGTAGAAGCTTTGCTGTTGATGGAAATGTAAAATGGTGGCAGCTGCTCTGAAAACAGTTTGGCAGTTCCTCCAAAGATTAAAGTTGCCATATGACCCAATAATCCCACTCCCAGACATATACCTAAGAGAAATAAAAACATACATCCACACAAAAACTTGTACATGAATGTTCATAGCAACATTATTTATAATAGCCAGAAGTCAAATGTGGTATATCTATACAATGAAATATTATTCTGCAATAAAAAGGAATGGTGTACTGAGACATGCTACAACATGAATGAACCTTAAATGCATTATGCTAAATGAAAGAAGCCAGATACAAAAGGCTACCTATTGTATGATTTTAAAACAGGCAAATCTATAGAGACATAAAGTAGACTAGTGGTTGCCTAGGGCTGATGGGGAGTGGTGGTAAGGATGGGGTAAACTATGGAGGGGATGACTGCTAAAGAATACAGCGTTTCTATTTAGGGTGATGAAAATATTCTAAGATTGTGGTTGCACAACTCTGTGAATAAACTAAAAGCCATTAAATTGTAACTTTAAACGGGTAAATTGTATGGCATCTGAATTATGTCTTGATAAAACTGTTACCAAAAGAAAAACAGAAAGCAATATGCTAAGATGGTTCATAACAATAATAAAAGCATAGTGACAGACCATCAAAAAAAAAGATGAGAGCAGAGAACTGTTTGCAATGGTGAAATGGGAGATTAAAATTGTCAAAATGAGAAAAGAAAGACTGCATGTGGATTCTACTCATTGGTTGTTCCATTCTCTCTGCCCCTTCTTTTCAGGCCTGGTTAGGATGTGCTATTCTAAGAAGGCCCACAGCCCCATTTGCTTGCTGGATGGTAAGTCAGGAGTAAGAGTCACTAGAGCTCTGCCATCCAGAAGCAGCAGCTGTGGTCTGGCCACAGCAGAGCAACAAAGTGCAAAAGGAGGAAGAAGGCTTGGCAGTGACTATGCCAACAGCCATTCTCTACCATGGAGGTAAAAAGAATAGGAAACTCATGAATTGTGTGATTCATAAATTGCAAAGAACATGTGTGCTTGAACTAAAATAGCTTAAAATTAAGGGAAGGGAATGTGAAAGCAATGCAAGAAATAATCCCAAATCCCTGGAATATCATGTAACATTTCATTAGCTTAACCCCTGGATGGCAAGATGCTTTAGCCCAGGCCTCCATAAGTATACCCAGCCTCTCTCTAGTTCCCATTAAACTCACTCAGATCAATAAAGTATCAATGCAGACCCCCTTCCTCCCTGCCTCCCCTTTCCACTCTATTTTTCATAAGTTAGCCATTTAAATACCTTGGAATTTGATGTAGCCTTTCAATAACATGCGAATACAAGCTTCACTAAGGGCAAGATTTTAGTCCTCTTATCTCCTGCCATGTTCCTGAACCTAGCACAGTGCTTAGCACATCATCATCATCATCATCATCATAGCTAATGCTTACAGAATATTCATTATGTGCCAGGATCTCACAACAATATCTAAGGCATAGTTATTATTATTATTCTACAGGCTGTTCAAATCAGCAATTCTACTTCTCTTCTATACAAATAATCATGAATGTGTACAAGTATTCAACAACAGTAATATATGTGTTGTCACTGTTTTAAGCACTTCATTCATTAATCTTCTTAACAAGCCAGCAAGACTGGTACTCTTATTAGCCTCATTTTATGGTTGACAAAAGTGAGATCAGAGAGATTAATTAACTTGTCTAGGGTCACACAATAAGTACTAGAGCCAAGATTTGAAGTCAGAGTCTATGTTTGTAATCACTATGTTATATGGCTACAAAGATAACCATAGCAGGGGTTATTTATATGAGGAACTGGGAAAACCTAGACATCCAACAACAGGGAACTGTCTTTAAAAAATAACTCAAAAATAGAATATCATTGATCCACTTAATATTGTAGAACAGTTAATGACATAGAAAAATGTGTTCAATATAGTGTTAAGTTAGGTTGAGACGTAAATTTCTTTTTTTTTTTTTAATGAGATGGGTCTCACTATGTTGCCCAGGCTGGCCTCAGATTTCTGGGCTCAAGTGATCCTCCTGCAAAGCTGGGATTACAGTCACAAACTCCAATGCCCAACTAAGGCATATGTTTGTTTGTTTGTTTGTTTGTTTGTTTGTTCATTTGTTTGTTTAAAACAAGAGGAAACTTTATTTCTTATAAAGGTTACAGCCTGCAGGGTGGCTATTCTGACAGGCTGGGAAGCACAGCCTCCAGCCAGAAGCCAGAAACAAGATACTTTGAGAGAGGGGCAAAGGAAACAGGAATTTATGCTGAGCAAGGCGGCCAAATACACATATTCAATAAGCTATAGAAGGAGCCATGAATATTTATGAAAGGAGAAACATGCACATGTGCAATTGAGGTTCTTGCTCTCCAAGTTCAAAAACTGAGGTGATCAGAGGGCGGAGTTTTCAGTCCTCTGCCATTAAAAAGTGAAGCAGAGGCCATGAAACCCCTTACTGCGCAATCTCAAAAAAGACTAGCCAGAACCACTCCTGTGGTCAGTGGTCTCTTATTAGGCAAAAAAGTAAGGGCAGTGTCAGAAAATTTGTTGATATCAGTGGTGGGGTCTTTTGAAAGGGCTGGCTTTTGTTAGAACCTTAGGGAGGAAAGCTTAGTCACGGTTACCAAGAGAGGGGGTCTAACCAACCCCCCTTCCCATCATGGCTGAGAACTCCATTTTCAAAGTTAATCAAGGGTCCCCTTGGCCAAAAGATGGTCTGTTCAGTCCCTGCGGGGCTTAGAATTTTATTTTTAATTTACGTTCTCACCCTTTTAGACAAGATCTGCCAGGGGCAGCACTGATGGCCAAACTTTCATTTTGTCCTATCTCTGCCAGGGCAGTGTGCCTGCCTGCCCCAGGTCCATCTTGTCCCTTGGTGAGACCCCTATGGCCAAGGACTTAGAGCCAAAAGACTTACAGCCAATTTAAACATTCCCAGTCAGATGGGAATGGAGGTGGGCCAGCACCCATCAAAACCCACAAAACCTTTTAAGCAACATAGACAAAAACCAAAGCCAAAATGCAAAGTTACAAAATCTGTAAGTTCTATACATTGAGCTACTGTAATCTTGGTCTTAGCTACAGACTTGTCGCCATTAGCTATAAAAAACATAAACATTTGGCTGGGCATGGTGGCAGGTGCCTATAATCCCAACTACTTGGGAGGCTGAGGGAGGAGAATTGCTTGAACCCGGGAGGTGGAGGTTGCAATGAGCCGAGATCACACCACTGCATTCCGGCCTGGGCCACACGAGTGAAACTCTGCCTCAAAAAAATAAAAATAAATAAATAAATATTTTGCTAAAATGATTTAAGCTAAGGAATGTAGAGACTTTTATTGTGCCACAATGTCTTTTGCAATGAGACATATATTCTAAAGAAGAGAGGTATACTGTCCAAAGTATTACAATGGTTACCACTATGTAATAAAATTATAGATGACTTGTTGCTCATTTGTATATTCTAAATGTTCTATAATAAATATATTCCTTTTACAAAAGAAAAATTAAAAGAAAAATGATAGGAAAATCTATGCCTAAACCTGAATTAAAATTTTCCTAGCCAGTCAAATATATATAGATTGTGGTCCATTTGAAAAAAAACAAAAAGAGGGAGAATAAGATTATTCACTTAAATTTCAGCAAAGGACTATGTCTGGTATTAGAAAAGTGTTTCCCAAAACAAATTTCACAAAACACTTGGTCTATATGCAACAACCACCAAAGGCGGCTCTATAGTCAAATATGTGTGGAAAACCTTTGGTCAGACAAGTTTAGTGCAGGACTTCTCACAGCGTTTAATATGCCAGTATGCATTATGAACCTCAGAGAGGGGTACAGTATATAGCATTCTTCAAACTCATTGGGGCACAGAGCTCTTTTTTCTCACAGAGCATCTTAAGGGAACTAGCATTTCTCAGAACAGAGTTTGACAAATGCTGAATTATACAAAAGAGAAGAAGAAGCAGGACTGTTAGAGATGGCTAAATCTAAGTCAATGCTTTTGGGGAAAGAGAAAAACCTAGTAACTTGTAACAGAAGTAATGAGAACTCAGGATGTCTTTTTAAAAAATTATTTAAAGAAAAGGGGGCTGGGCATGGTGGCTCATGGCCATAATCCCAACATTTTGGGAGGCCACGGTGGGAGGACTGCTTGAACTCAGGTGTTCAAGGTCACAGTGAGCTGTGACTGGGACATTGCACTCCAGCCTAAGTGACAGACCAAGACTCTGTCTCTTTAAAAAAATAAACAAACAAAGAAAAGAGGTTAGTAATAGAAAGTAAGGGTGCAGGGAATCTTGTGTACATATCTATTCCTAAGTTCTCCCTTTCAGGCATCACTGGAGTTGACTATAATACCAGGCAAAATAAGGCCTGGTGAAAGACTCCTAAATCAGACAAAGGGCACAAGCCATACCCAAAAGAACTAAATGAGGAATTTCAATAGTGTCTAGGAAAGACAAGACAAATTCTTCAGTTAACAAGAGAACCATGCCCATAAGCATGGACATCAGCACAGCCTGATGCCTAAGACAGCTATGGGCAGAGCTTCCAGGAAATCTGGCAGGAGGCCTGATAAAAATTGAGCAGTGGAGCATAAGACAAATTTAATTTAACTTGGTTATTAATGCCAAAGACTAGGCCCTGTAGAAAGGAGACATAAGAAAACAAACATAGAATCAGGTAGAACTTTTGTTGAAAAGTAGTTCAACTCCCCACTCAACACACACTTCTTTGGCTATGTGCCATTTTCTCTGCCTGGAAGGCTTCTCCCTATCCCCACTACCCTTCATTTCTCTAACTCTTATTTGTCCTTCAAAATTCAGCTCAAGCATCAACCCTCTTCTCCAAAGTTCCCACCTGTCATACTTGCTTCTGTAGCCCTCTTTAAGAAACAAATAATTATTGCGTACCTACCACCTGTCAGGCACTGGATGCATTCCTCCATCATAATACCTATTTGTACTATAGAAAGATTATTTTCATTGATCTATTTATATTTTTTACTTTGTACCCCAATGACCCATTCCAGGGCCTAGCCAGTGCCTCTGGGCATCTTTGGTGAATCAATAGAAGCTCCTATGAAGTGCCAGGTGCTAGAGATAAAAATTACTCAAAAGTTGCCTCTGCCTTCAGAGAGTTCATGAGCTACAGAAAAAAGATGAAATAAACAATTACACCTCACAACAGGATGAAGTAGGCAGTAAATAACTGCATGGGCAAAGGAAGCTTCTGAGCTCTCTGGTAAAGAAGAGATCGTGTCCACAGGCTTTGTACAAAAAAACATGTACAGAAACACATGTTCAGAGCCCCGAACCTGCCTTGCAACAAGCTTGTCAAACATGCACATTGGCCTTACAAATAGCCTGTGTACCCCTCACTATTAGCTCAGAGAGGATGAGTATATTCACATTTCATTTCTCTCTTTACATTTAAGGAGCCAGGTATTCTTCCACCGATGTGGCTGTCTTGCCAACCTAAGTTCAGACCAGTGAAAGAGAGAGTGAAAAACCAGAAGAAAATACATGACATCCAGTCTTTAATCTGCAATTGTGTGTGGGTGTTGCAATCATTCTATTATTGGTTTTCAAGCAGCTCGTTCTGTTGGAAATCAAGTTTATGAATAGACTTGCTGTAACCATAAAGGATTTTTCCCCTGTGATTAATCATTAAAATGATAGGTGTTAAATACATACAAAGGAAAGACAGTTTTCTGGCAAAGTCATTCTGTCTCAAGCAGAGTTCGAAAGGGGAAACCTGCCGGGCGCGGTGGCTCACGCCTGTAATCCCAGCACTTTGGGAGGCTGAGGCAGGCAGATCACAAGGTCAGGAGTTCAAGACCAGCCTGACCAACATGGTGAAACCCCGTCTCTACTAAAAATACAAAAATTAGCTGGGCGTGGTGGCATGCGCCTGTAATCCCAGCTACTCGGGAGGCTGAGGCAGGGGAATCACTTGAACCCGGGAGGTGGAGGTTGCAGTGAGCCAAGATCATGCCACCTGCATTCCAGCCTGGATGACAGAGCAAGATTCCGTCTCAAAAAAAAAAAAAGAGAGAAAGAAAGGGGAACTCAAGTGACTAAGAATGGATGGAAAGAGTCAGAATTCCCTAGGTGGTCATGTTCTGACTTCTGTTCTCAGTCCTTGATGAAGCTCATGGACAAGTTCCTTCTGCAAGGGCACGGACAAGATAGAAAAAGTACCTCCGCAGTTCATTCATAACCTTGAATGCTTTCCCCATGTGGGCAGGGTTGACAGTGATCGTCCTCTGGTTCTTCTCATCATCCCCAGCCTGTATCAGAGTCTGGGAGCTCAGCTTGACACTGTGAACAGGAAGGAAGAGGGAGGGAAAGAGAATCACTCATTGGTAAACCCATTCATCCAACTGCCAAAAGCCCATGCATTTACCCACCTACCAGAGGCATCTATCAGCCTGTTCTCACACAGACCCAATAGGAAAGACAATGTACTGGGAATTTCTTCATATCTTCCAAAGCAAAGTGCATTCCTCTGAAGGAAGGCAGGTCATAGCTCAGCTTCTTCCACCAAGTACTGTGTGATTTTGTGTGAGGTCCTTATTCTCCATCTCTCCATCCTGAAAACTGAAGGGGACTAAGCACTCTATCACTCACTTCACAGGTTTGTTTGTTCATTAAACAAGCATTTACTGGAGGCTACTATGTGCCAGGCACTGCGTTTAGATTTAAGGGAAACAAAACAATAGGCAAAGCCACCATCACTACCCTCACAAAGCTTAGAGTTCAGTAGAGGAGAATGCCAAGTAAACATTTAAACATCACATTTCAACTATTATGATTTCATAGGAGCTACAGAAGCACAGGGGATGGCCAACTCGTCCCAGTGATAGCAGGTTGATGGAAAGCTTCCTAGAATCTGAGACTTGAAGTAAGAGCAGAAACGAGTCAGGTAAAGAGAAAGAAGAGTATTCCAGGCAGAGGAAACAGTATGCACAAAGACCTGGAGGAGAAAAAGCACAAAGTGTGTTCAAAGTACTGGCAGTTCAGTAAAACTAGAGGAGAGCACAAGAGGGAATATCAAGAGAAAAAACTAGAAGACCAAGCAGCCTTTTAAGTGTCATGTAAGCAAAGCTAAGAAGTTTGGATTTCTTTCTGAAATAATGAGAAGCCATCAAAGGGTTTTAAACAAAGTAGGACAGAAAGCAGGTAAACAAATCTGTGTTTTAGAAAAATCACATTGGCTACACTCCAGGAAGCAGTCGAACAACAGCGAAAGCTTTTGGGAAACTGTAATCCCATAGAAAGACAAAGGATTATAAGTATTATGGAAAGAAAGGCTATCTATGTAGACTAACTGAGTAAGTAGAAACTAGCAAGAGTCAACCATAATCTCAATGCCTTCTGTACTGAAATCAAGAGACAAGGGTATGGTGGCTCATGCCTGTAGTCCCAGCTACTCAGGAGGTTGAAGCAGGAGGACTGCTTGTGCCCAGGGGTTTCATGCCATTGCACCCCAGCCTGGGCAACAGAGCAAAACTCTGTCTCTTGAAAAAGTGAAAGAGAAAGACAAAATACTCAAATCCCTGTGGGGTGCCAGCTAGTTACCCAACAACTCCTGAGCAACATCTTTCAAC
The DNA here is from genome assembly GCF_000001405.40 of Homo sapiens. Classification (NCBI taxonomy): domain Eukaryota; kingdom Metazoa; phylum Chordata; class Mammalia; order Primates; family Hominidae; genus Homo; species Homo sapiens. The sequence continues at coordinate 137,721,874 of NC_000005.10, forward strand.
TTTATGGAAGGTGGAAATAAGGAATCAAAAGAATGAGCAAGGAAAGGTGTTTCTCCCCAAATTGGTGAAACTATTCAGCTCCCAGGAGTAGTGTGAGACCTTGGAGTTACCGGTTTGATCTAGGCTAAGCTTTGCTTTGCTACTAGGAAAACAGAACCTTCTCCACTTGTATAGATTTGAGGACCCATAGTTCACTCCAACTCTAGGACAATGAGGGTACTCTCCTTTGATTTTCCCTAGTGAGCCTCTATCCATGCTACCACTTAACTTTGCAAACTGGCTAGAGAAAGAGGCTTCTATGCTTTAGAGTATATTTCAGAGGCCTGAGAATCACTATAGATCTCACACTGGAATTCGTAACTATTGGAACATTCAAATACGACCAGCGTGGCAGACCCACAGCTTGTCTGACCGTAACAGACTCCTCTTTTGGCTCCCTTCCCCACCATCAGTTCATCATGCAAACGTAAGCCACAAATAACTGAACTTTGGGGCTGTTTGGATTCTGTGCACAAGGAAGTTAGCTGAGCAGAGGAAGATATGCACAAAGGAAGATGCTTAGAGTTGTGTGTTTAAAGCAGGTAAAGAAAGTCTCAAGCCAGAAAATGTGGCTTGAGACTTGAATCAGAGAGGGGAAGCAACCAGCAAAGATGAAAATTTTCTTCAAAAGATGAGCTATTCCATAAGCATAATTTATTTTATGGTGTCTTTCTTTACTATAAAGCTAGAAAAATGTTAACTTCTATGTTCTACTAAAGGTTTAACATTTTTGCTTTTGGTATTTAAGCCCTTATTTCATCTGATACTTATTTTTTCTCTTTTTTTGAGATAGTTTCACTCTGTCATCCAGGCTGGAGTGCAGATCTTGGCTCAACCTCCGCCTCCTGGGTTCAAGTGATTCTCGTGCCTTAGCCTCTCAAGTAGCTGGGATTACAGGCGTGCACCACCACAACCGGCTAATTTTTGTATTTTTAGTAGAAATGGGGAGTTTCACCATGTTGGTCAGGCTGTTCTCGAACTCCTGGCCTCAAGTGATCTGCTCACTCCGGCCTCCCAAAGTGCTGCGATTACTGGCGTGAGCCACTGTGCCAGGCCCTGATACTGATATTTATGTCAGGATATGAAATAGGGATCTAATTTTCTCCATAAGTTTGATGTATTTAAAACTTTTTATTTTTCTCATGCATCTGTCATGCCATCTTAGGTCACATATTAAAGTTCCAGATACAAAGAGATTTCTTTCTTGACTTACTAACTTATTCCACTGGTCAGTTTGTCTGTCTCTGTAACAGTACCACATGATTTCTGTAGCTTTATAATAAGGTCTGATATCTGACAGGGAAAGTCCCCAGTCCTATTATTATTTTTGAGAAGTGTCTTCACTAGCTTGTCAAATTCCATAAAGAACTCGAATGGGATTTTGATTAAAAAACTGCATTGAATTTATAGATCAATTTGGATAGAACCATCATTTTTCTGATACTATGCCCTCCTATCCATGAACATAGGATATCTCTCCATTTAAGTCCTCTTTAATATCACTCAGACTTTTAGATTTTTCTGTATGAAGACCTTACACGTTTGATTAGATTTATTCCTAAGTACTTTATGGTTTTTATTGCTCTTTTGTAATAGAAATGATGTATTTTTAAATTATGTTTTCTGATTGTTATAGTTTATAAAATGTAGTTTTTGCAAATTCACCATATATCCAGCCATTGCCAATGTTCCTATTATTCCTAACTATTTGAACATAAATTAGGTGTCCTATGTAGACAGTCATATTATCTGCATATAATGCCAGAGATTTTTCTTCTATCAAATTCTTAGGCCTCTAATTTCTTTTTTGAAAAAAGTTTGCACTGGCTAGGATGGCCACACAATGTCAAACAGAAAGGATGCTAATGAATAGTATTGTCATATTCCTGCTTTCAAAGATGTTTCTAATGTTCCCCCATTATGTATGTTTGTTACAGGATTTTTGTAAATGATTTTTGTCAGATTAAGAAAATTCCCTTCTATTTTTATTAAGAGTTTTTAAGTCATAAAGTAATGCTAAATTTTATCAAATGTCTTTGTGTATCTAATGAGATGTTCATATGGGTTTTTTCCTTTAATCTTGCCTGTGCATCAAGGGTGGAAAGGGCTCTGGATGGATTTGGGGAAAGCGATGTCTTTCCTTTAATCTTGTAATGTGATGAATGACACATATATTTTCTAATACTAAACCATACTTGCATCCTTCGGATAAATCTATAAACTGTAAAATACTCTACAAGTATTCATTATAAATATTGTCTTCAAACTGTGGAGAGACTTAAAAGCCAGAATGAGAAAGCATAATTTGGTATAGATCAGGAAACCACTGAAGGTTCTTGACAGGGAACTAGTAAGATTAAAGCACGGAAAAGCCTAGTGAACAGATATTATTAGCTTCACTTCAAAGATATATAAACTAAAAAGAGCCATTTTAGAAGCACTGACACAATCTCCAGTGTGGCTAGTGAACAGGAAAGCTCACTCTTCTGGTGTGTTGCTCTTTGCACTTTCCAGAATGGTCCAATAATGATGTATCCCCTGTTGTGTTTACCAATGTTGTGTTTACCAAAAGGTCTCAAACACAGATTGCCTATTATCAGAGGATCAATGTTCAACAAAATATAATTCACACTAGAGCCTCCGTAAAAGAGCAAGTGACTTGCTGATGACCATAGGGCTGGCTAGGGAAAGACATCAGTTTCCCCAAATCCATCCAGAGCCCTTTCCACTCTTGATGCACAGGCAAGGCTTGACATCTGAAGGAAGCCAAGGTTCCTTTCTTCCCCTGCTCCTCCATGAAAAGACACAGGAAGTTTGGAGGAGACTCTGAGTCCCTGGTCTCTGGAAGGTACACGCTTCTTGGCAACTCTAACCTTCCAGAGAACAAGAAATTAAGAAAAGAACATCTGAGGGCCCAGAGAAGTTCAAAAATTCTTCACAAGACTGTACAAATAATAAGTGGTAGAGATGGGATCTGAGTTTAGGTATCCTGTACTTGAAGCTCACAACCTATACCCTCCAGCAATATAGTGCATGCATGTACATAAATGCACACACATATACATATGTCTCAACCTAAGGTCACATGCCCAGGCACAGAGTTGCTAGATCTTACCATTTCATCCCCTAAACCTTTTTCCCTCCATTCATTCCAGATCTTAACTACTTAAACCTCAATAGATTGCCCCATCCCCACCCTATCAAGTCCCAATCCCAAGCATTCTCAGTTCTTATTTCCAAATAAGGCTAGTGGATCCCCTCTCCTCGCCTGTGAAACAGACCACACTAAGGTATATTCCCACTATCTTGTTCAAGTCTAACACCATACTTTTCACCCTACCCAGACCCAGCCAAAATCACACACACACACACGTGCACGCACACAAATTTTCCAGGCAGACTCAGCCATGAGATGTTTTCTGTTGAAAAGCATTTCACAGTAAATGCCCTTACTCTAAGCATAAAATGGTTGATTTCTCCAAGAGCAAAAACTGGCCCCAGATTCTACTAAAAACTATAGTCAGTGTTAATTCATATGTGCCCCTCCCACCAGACCTGCAGCTCAAGCTACTACACAAAGGAACCTTCATCTGTATCCCAGTGTCCAGGGTTCCAGCAACATTCAAGTTGAGCAGCCATATTTAAGATTCAAATGGGTCAACAATTGTAGATGTAGTGAGAAAGTATGGGCCAGGCAGAATCTCTGCTCTTTGCTATAGAAATATACAGAAATGATCATCTAAGCCATTTTCTAAATAAACTCTAGCAGAATCAGAACACATGAATCTAGTCAACTTTGTCAAAGCACCAGATATCTGGCTCAATACTTTAATTAATTTCCACACTGGCCTGTTACTAGTAAACTTGCTTATATGAACCACTACTGGTGCCATGATGAACCCACTGCAGTGGATGGTTCAACAGCCCACAGAAAGGGTGTTGCAAATTGGTTCTGACTTATCTCACACTCACAGATACCCACTGACCCCATTCAGGAAGACATACATGTGAGACAGTCAAGCTTCATAGCCATAAGGATAGACATAGTTGGCCCTTCTTTTCTGGGCTTTCAGCTTCTCTTTTCCCCTGACTTAGACTATTACAGTGGCCTCCCACCTGCTGTTCCCCACTCTAGATACTCTCCCTCCAAGTATTTCCTGCACACCATCGCCAAACTGATCCTTCTAAAATGTCATCTGACCATGACTTTCAGATCCTCACTGCACACAGGTCTCTTCGGGGCTGTGAGGTTTATGAGCTGAAGCTTCAGTCACAGCCCTCTGCCTCCATTTGTTCTATATGTTGAGGGTCCACATAAAATTTCCTTTCAAAGGACTCTATAGCTAAAAAGCTGAAAAATCATCAGTCTACAGGATAAAGTCATGATTCTTGACTAGTATTCAAGGACCTCCTTGACCTGGACTGAACCTAAATGCCAGCCTTACCTCTCTCACTTACTCAAATATTTACTAAGTACCTATTATGTGCCAAGCAGATGAACCGTTCACTGCAGACACCTATATTTCCCTTCTCTTTCCCTGTATCATAATCTAAATACCTGTTCTTTGAGGACCAATTAAACTTTACCTCCTCCATGAAACCCTCGGGATACATCAGTTCTAAGTGAGCTCTTCCTTCTCTGAATTCCTGTAGTATTTCTGGCCTGTAACTCAACTGGCACATAGAATTCTGCCTTGTGCCTGATTACTTTTTCAGGGTACAAATCCAACCACCTACCTGCCTCACACTAGATTCAACATACCCAGAGGGCAAGGAACATGTGTCTGAGGACTCTGTATAGCTTAGCCTGCCCAGCATGAGGTCATGCCCACAGTAGGTCCTCATGACATATTTGTCATCTGAACTCTACCTGAAGACCCTTCACTTGTCTTTACAAGCGTTAGATGGTAGAGTAGAAGGGGATAGTCTGACCAACACTTTTATTTTTTAATGAAAGCAGAGTTGGCCTTCAGAGTTAAATTATAAATAAAATATACATAAAATAGTAATTATAAAAGTTATAAATAAAAATATATAAGCTCTAAAAATTAGGCCCTCTTTTAGCACAGCACCTTCCAAAGCCTTCTTTCTTGCCCTCCTCTATCCTCTAAATTACAGATCCACATATCCAATGTCTTATTTGACTCCCCTAATTAGATTTTACACAGGTAATTCATACTTATTCAAAATTTATGTTCCCCACCCTCCCTTAAGCCTGCTACTCTTTCTGTATTCTCTATCTCAGAGGCATAACCAACCACCCAATCACCTATCCAAGCCAAAAACTGGGGTGTTATCCTTGATATCTTCCTCCCTCTCTCTCTCTCTCACTCCTCACATACAGCCATAAATCGAATCAATCCTATGTCCATTAATATCCCTGCACCCCATTTCCTTCTCACTTTCGCTACCATTACAACCCCATTCCAGGTCATCATTGTCTCTTGCCAGGATTATTATAATAACCTCCTCCCAGACTCCAGAGGGACTTTTCCAAAATGTCAATGTGTTCCAGGCATGTTCTACATGAAGCCTCACTGATTCCTCACTGCATTCAGAATAAATCTCAGGGACCTAGCCTGGCCCTTAATCCCATCGTTGCCCTGAAGACTTCTTATTACCGTAATACTAAAATACTTGCAATAGCCAAAATACACTAGGCTCTCTGCCTTGTGAAGTTTTGTCTCACTAGAAAACTGTTCTATCTTATTCCCCACTCATTCTCCCGTGTCTAGCTAGTTCCTACCAGCCTTCAAGCCTCTTCCCTGAAGCCTTCCCTCTCATTCTCCACTACTCACTAGATTAGTTAAAATCTAGTGGGAAACTAGGTTAGTTTCCCCAGTTCTGTATTCCCACAGTACTGTGCTTCCTTCTGTATTGTATTCTAATTACCTCTTACTTATCTGTCTGCCCCACACAGTGTGTGCTGGTAAATGTTTAACAGTTGATTGGGAGGAAAGGAGCCCTGATTTGTAACATTTGCCAATTTCCAGACTGTAAATACTCCCACCATGGCAGATTTTAAGCTACCAACATGATGCCACCGAACATGAGATTTGGGAAGAGATGTGCAACAGCACACCATCATATCACTGTATAGTATTTCTACACCAAGACACAATAGACATAACCTCAAAGCCCTAGAAGATTACAGTAAAAAATAATTAGAAAGTGATGAGTTTGGGGTATTTATTACATTCATTTTTAATATAATTTATAAGTTACATAATTTGTTAATAATGGCTATATTTAATAACTGGCTCCGAAAATTCCTGAAAATTTAACAAACAGCTTTTCCAAGTGGGTGAGTGCTGACTCCAGCACACTGCTGCCCCCTCTAGATTGTGAGCTCTCCATGAGAACCAAGACAGTTATCTTAGTTGCCTCTGAATTCTTAGCTTCTGTCACATGACAGGTGCTCAATGAATGATTACTGAGTAAATTAATAGGTAGATAAGTAAATTAGGTTTAACTACTGACCACTGTAGCTTTCCTCACTCCCCTTCATTAAAATACTGATGGCTTTGTCCCCCTCAACTTTCTCTCCATGACCCCTCCACCTCACGTTCAGAGAGGAGTACTTTCTTAGGCAGCCCAGTCCCCTGCATTGATGACACAGAATCAGGAGGATGGGAGTGAGAGAAAGCCAGCAACAACTAGAGAAGAGGGAAGAAAGTGAGATAGGTTACTGCTTACTGTGTCAGTTCTTAGACTCTTTCTATTGCTGAGGAAAATGGAGGCAGTGAATGGAAAGGAAAGGATACTAAAAAACATGCTAGAAAGGCAGGGGATAGAAGAGTCTCCAAGCAGGCTGATTGTGCAGCAATGTTTGGGGGAATCCAACAAATGAGGAGCTCCAAGTGATGAGAACTCACGGACACAAAGAAGGGAACAACAGACACTAGGGCCTACTTGAGGATGGAGGGTGGGTGGAGGAAGAGGAGCAGAAAAAATAACTATTGGCTACCTGGGTGATGACAGGTACTAATCTGTACAACAAACCTCTGTGACACAAGTTTACCTATATAACAAACCAGCACGTGTACCCCTGAACCTAAAATAAAAGTTAAAAAAAAAAAAAAGAAAAGAAAAAACAAATGAGGAGTTCCAGAACATCTTGGGTGTGCGAGAATGTAGAGGGAAGGAAAGTGGAGTCTGAGAAATGCTGTTAAAGGTTATGATCTGTTTCACCTCTAAAGGTCTCCAAGAGATGCAAATAAAATTCAGAAGTCATGAGCTGATACTGGCCACATACAAGAGGCCCAAGCACATTATGTTCAAGCTAGAGATGAGATGGAATAAAGAGGCAAAACCACTCAATGAAGGCAAAACAACTGTGAGCCAGGGCAAAGCTGTGCTGAATGCATTAAAAACTCTCAACAAAGAAAGTGTCATTTAGAAAGGAATAACCAAAAACTAAGAATCAGACAGAGAAGAAAGCCCTCGGTCCAACCCATCACACTCTGTCTAGGAAAGTGATTTAATCATCAGATATCGTCAGCTGGTTCAGCCTCAGGTCAGATCCTCATGGTGGAGTTTGAAGTCTGTAAATACTCCAATGCCATAACTCAGTCCCTAGTTTACTCTGCAGCCTTTTGACCAGTTTGGCCTCCCCCGTGGTTGTCCTTCAGAGAGGTAGAATGTGGTTGCAGGCCCTCAGGAATATCTTGCCAGTAATATTTTACTGCAAATCAATAAACTGATGACATGTTGACTATTGTATTTTAGGTTCTCATGAGGTCATTGGCATGACTCTGCTTCTCCAACTCTGGACAGCAATGGGACCCTATATAGATAGGATTTCTGAGCCCCTGGCACTCTGGTCAAACTGCAGATCTAGTAAGTATCCCAATCCTAAAGTTCAAGACCAAAATGATCAAACTTAGATTTCTACTTCTGGATTAATGAAGAACCTGACTCTTGAAGATGTCCAGCCAGCAGGATTCAGGACTTGGTGGTGCAGTCCTGCTATCACAAAGTACCATTTACACACAGGTTACCAGAGAGCCCCATACTCTTCATCCTCTTTCAGCAGTGCCACCTCAGTTCATAGAATTAGGCTGAATCGCTATAATAGCCCACATGGACACGTAGAACACATGCATTAGTAAGGTACAGATCGAGTTAACATTTCCTGAAAGTTGAGGGTATGTTAAAGCACCTTACCTCCATTTTATCTTCAGAACAACCCTAGGAAGTAGGTAGCATTATCTCTTAAGGTACAGACATAAAGTCTTCCCAAAAGTCCCACATAACTAGTAAGTGCAGAACTGGCACTGAAACCCAGGTCTATCTGACTCCAAGGCCTGGGCTTTTAATAACAATGTCCACTGACTCGGGATAATGTCCATAGCCCATCAGGCCAAGTGAGGCACAACCCTTCATGTCCCACTCTCTGACGTTCTTCCTTGTGCAACCAAACCAGGCCAAATGAAAAAAGACCAAATCTCCTAGGACCTGTGATATAGCACTACTTCACTTCTGATTATGGGAAATTGCAGTGTGTACTGGAGTCAGTGTTATTAATTGTATTGAACTTGGAGTTTCCACACTGGGGCCTTCACACAAGCCAATCATGATTCACCAAAGATGACCAGCAGATGCTGTCATTCTTGTAACATGCTCCTTCATAAACAAGCTCAAGAACAGGTATGTTACTAATCACATTCCTAAAACCCCAAGTCACAAACTGCTTTCTTTAAAACTCAAGGGGAAAACTCTTAAGTGGGCTGTGTAAAAATGTAAAACATTTTACACAGACAGATAGAATTAGACAAGAAGAGAGAAAGACTAAAAGAAAACATGCTCCTCATTATGTGGCATTTTGGAAGCCAAGCTTATGTTTGGTTTGAATAGGAGAGCTGAGCCCTTGTATGTGTGTGGTTTTGATAGTGGCTATGATATACTTTCATAAGTGAAAATGAAAAGTCCAGGAAAGTTGTGCTAAGACTCTGAAAATCCTCATAAATGATAAAAAGTTAGATCTCTGACCTGAGAGGCATTGAACTTATTTAACAGAAAAAAAAATCTACCAACACATGTTCAAGCTATTTTTTACATGGTTTATTAGTGCTCTATTCCGTTTAACCTAGTTTGAACATTCATCCAGAAATTGAAAAAAAAAAATAGGTCAGTTTGATGATGGCAAATTTCATCAAATAAAGCACTTGCTTTAGGAAAACTTACACAAAAATTATCTTGTCCAGATCTGTTTTACCAGTTCAAAACTTAGCAAGCAAAATCCTAAAAATCCAAATCTGGGTGCAGGGATATCAAGAGGTTTCTTTCCCTGACTTTGTTTTTGCAGTTGAAAACCTTACTTTGTCAAAAAGTATTTCCAAAATGGAAAAATTTGGTTTCAATTATCATGGTTGAAATGCGTGCACATCTGCTTCAGGCAGCAGTGATGCCCAAAACTTTTTACAGAATTTTCTATCCCTGACTTCTAAGGTTGGGGGAGGACTAAGTGACTTGCCGCTGGGAACAGAAAAAAGGCTAGGTTGCTCAACACTTGCTCTTCCCTGGGTCTTGCCAGCATTCAACCTGACATTACAAAACTCAACATTTAAAGTGTACTGGCTTTCTAAGTCTTGTCTCCTCAGAAAATATTCTCTATCTGTCGTTCCTGGATCAAGGGTAAATAGATGAGCTCCTTTTGCTCAGAAGTTCCCTGAGGTCCAAAAACAGACTCTCCTTCATAAAAACCAGCCATTAAGAACCATCCTCTGAGGACACCTCACACAAAATCACAGCATAGTGCCCGGTACATGGTGCCCCTCTCAAGCAGGGGCATCTCTGTGCTTCTGATGAAGAAAATAATCACAATTTTAAGAAAAATAGACAATTAACTTCCCCTTTTTATGATGCTTCTTCCAAAGTTGTGGTGCTCTGTAACTCTTGCAGATCTGCCACAGTCTGGGCCTGAATGTTTTTTATTGTGGTAAAATAGATGTAACATAAAATGTATAATTTTAACCGTTTTTAAGTACAGTCATACTGTTGTACAACCATCACCACCACCCATCTCCAGAATTATTTCATCTTCCCAAACTGAAACTCTCTATCCATTAAACAATAACTTCCCCACTCCTCCCTCCCTCCAGCTCCTGGTAACCATTTTACTTTCTGTCTCTATGAATCTGACTAACCATTTATTTTGAAATTTTATTTTAAGCTATCCACAAGGCTGATTTCCAGAACTGAAATAAAATCCCAATTGCAAGGGCAACTGCCATTTCTGATATCTATCTTCTCTACATTCACACTCACACAGAAACAATTTATCATTGTAATAGCTAACAGCCAGAGACCCTTTCCCTTTGCAAAACAGAAGACAAAATCACCTTCCTCTGACTGTTCAAGCCACAGTGATTCTCCCATGGAGGGAACTGGGGAAGACTTAGCATCATAAGGTCCAGGAGAGACCTGGAAATCTAGAAAGATACAGCAAAGGCTAGTGCAAATTCACAAGTTCTTCTTAAGAGATTTTGGCCTGAACAAACATGCATCCAGCCCATGGTTCCAACCACTGAGGCAACTAGATGCCACAGGTTGTCTATAAAAAGAAAGATTAAGGTAGATCTTGGTGAAACCTAAAAGAAGAAATGCCAAGCCCTATGGGGTAACTTACTATAAGGAGATAGTTTTAGATAAGAAGCAAGATGACGGCCTGATAAGCTCCCTCATTTCCTCATGGAAATGGTTCTACATAATCTGCTTTGGATGATAAAAAAAGAGAGGTCCTAAAATATGCCTTGGTTAGTAACCCAGCAGCAAAGTATAGGGTACAACATAGCAATAGGTGGATACCAATGATAATAGCAACTACCATCTACTGAGTACTCACTCTGTGCCTAAAAAACTTTACTAGGTACCTTACACATATTGTACCATTTAATCTTCACAACAGCTCTATGAAGTGTAAGTACTGTTATTATTCCCTTTACACAGAAGAGAAAAATTAGTTCTGAAAAAAATGTGACACACTCAAGGTCACACTGTTTGTAAAGCAGATTCACCGCTAGGTCTATGTTACTCCAAAGTCCATGCTTTTAATTAATAGCCTTTCAAGGTAGAAAGTATTTTCATACCCTCATGGCAAAGAAAAAAAAAATTGTTCATTAGCAATCCCTTGGTTGAAATTTTGTAATGCTTAAAAACAGCCCCGATTAAGATTCAGCAGGTTAAGTGTGGAATGAGCACCAGATTGAGGATCCCTCCAGTCTCTGGAGGTTGGACATGTGATCCTAGGCGAGTCACTCAGCTTCTCTGGACCTCAATTTCCCAGGGAACTTGTAAAACAAGGCTACTTCCCTCTGTTCTCCCCCTACCTCAAAGCATTCCTTGAAGTCAGTTACCCGTGCTAAGATAATAAGGCTGATATCCAAAGATGAGGCTATTGGCCAAAGGCTTCAGTCTCTTCTTTCACCAACTTTCTTTTTAGTTATCAGAGCCTCACACAAAAGTTATTAGCTAATCAGCTAATAACTATTCAGCACCTGCTATTTGTGTACCCATGCAGTAGTCAATGGGGGTATTTAGAAGTACAAGGCACCAGCCTTGCCCTTGAGGACCTGTCTCCAAGTCTGGGGACTGCTAAGATATATGAAATAAAAGCACTGAAAGATCTGGTGGGCCTATTATTCAGTGTCCAACTATGAGATACAAACCAGAGGTATTAGAATTCCGAAGAACATCAGCCAGGACTAGAAAAGCTGAGTTTCCAAGATAAAGTAGAATTTTAGAATAACCTTGATAGATAGATAACTTTTGCAAAATTGGAAGGGAAAGACATCCAGCAAAAGAAACTCTGGGAGCTAAGGATATGAGGCTAGATGGAGTAATGTATAGGATGGGTGATCATGAAAGAGATCAACAGAATTCTCAGTAGGTATATGAGTGAGCAGTGGAAATGGGAACAGGAGTTAGAGTTCAGAAGACTTGAACGCGTGGCATGGTAAGCTGGACTTGGAGCAGGAACAAAAGGTATGACCTGGGTGACCTGGTGAACATTGGAAGCTGCTCGGTTTGGATTTCTTGTCTACCATCTGCCTTCAGCAGAGGAAAAGTACAAGAACATGTGCAACCTGGTGTTCTAAAGCCATAGACATCAGCCATCCCAGCTGAGAGGCCCCAGGACAGGGGCAAGGACTCACTATATTTCTGAACACAGAACTGGGAACACAGTGCCCAAAACTGTTTGATCCGCTGCTGGTAGTCTCACACTGACCTCTCAACCCCAGTTACACCACAGGTCAAGCAAATAGGCATGGCCCAGAATCTCTAAACCTTCATCGCATCAACCCCATTCTCTGCCACCTACCAGATCAATGGGACACTGTTTTGGGGACCAAAGACACTGCTCACCTCTGCCCCACACTTAGGAAATAGGCCTTCATATTCTGCTGCTCAGCAGGCCTCACAGAGTTCAACACTAAACTCCTGTTGCAAAGAGCACCCAGAAAGAGAATGCACCAGCAGCACAGTCAGTCCCAGGCTCTTCCTGTGGGAGTCATCAAGAAACACAGTTCCCAGGGCCTCTACAGACAAAAGAATGACACCCAATCATCATGCTAGTTCTAATAGGGTCTAGAGATGTTTAATGGCATCACTGTGCCCCGTGAGACACAGAAGTCACAACAACTCATGAAAAGGAAAGTGTTCATTGAGATACTCTCTAGTGTTGACTTAGTTGAGCCTATTATTGTTAACCAGATGGTTACTGTCTGCATCAAACTGGCAATCTGGAGCAGCAGGCTTCCCCTCAGTGGTGCACTGCCATGGCCGGACCCCTCCCTGCAGTCTTCTCTCCTCAGATAAAATGGCAAGCCTCGTACTCTACCAACTGCAGACCAAAGAATGAAGAGGTTGGCACTCAAGAGATATTTTACTTCATAGACAGAGGAATGTCACCTCTGCACTGCGCTGAGCACCTTCACAATGAAAGATTCAGATCTTCAGATAACAATTTAAAAATTTAGATGTGTGTGCCTGCCAGGATCTAACTGCCTCGCTAGTTAGATCCAGCTCAACAAAAGTACTTAAAATCTTTTCTGCTGGTTCCTATTTCAAAAGAAATCCCTGATGGAGGAAGCACAGACCTTCCAGTATCACTCATAAACTTTTCAATACAAATATGAAACTCAGTTCAGAGCAAGTATCATCTGACTGGGTTTCTCTCCTTCATCCCTGAATGTGTGTGTATACAGGCATACACGGCGTGCACGCGCGCACACACACAGCCATCAGCATGGCATGCTTGCTGAAGATTCAAGCACTCCTGCGTGAAAATGCAAGTACACTATGTCAGGTCAGCCCCACTATGACATCAAAAACCCCCCACCAAAGAAAAAACACCCCGGGAAAGGAGCCAGGAAAGGGAAACGCCTCCTTGAAACAGCCTGAGAAAGGCAATCTGATTCAGCCTGTGCTGAAACTATTCCCGAACACCAGCCAGGAAGTCCCTTCTTTCAGGGTGCTCCGCTGCCTAGCAAACCCAGACCTGCCTTTGCGGAAGCCAGATCTCTGGAGATTCAAGCCCTGGAACGGGTGATTTGGAAAGCGGCTTTCCTGCTCTTGTTCTGGCGCCCTTTAAGATCCATCAGTGGCCAGGTCTTCCAACTCTGCCTAGCCAATGCAAACACAAAAGCTGGTGGCTGCACCGCAAGCACACATACACTTACATACACACACAACACAGCACACACTTATACATACATACCTTTCACCCTCCATTGTGTGAGGCCCAGCCAGGGTGGTAGCTGCTGAACTGTGTATGCACTCGGGGATCCTAGTTCTGTTCTTGATTCTCCCAGCAGACCAGTGGGAAATCTGATCAGCAACAGTGATTCAGCATGGCTGCAAGTGAAGCCTCCTCCCTTCTCAATCCTCCTTCCTCTGACTTACTCGCAGCAGCTTCTACCGCAAAAGCAGCAGCAACAGAAAATGTCTTACCCAGAGCTCCCTGCAGCCCTTTCAGCTGCTAAAAGCAGCAACCCACTTGCTCCCCCTCCCCCGCAGGCTTGCTGCTCCTTGGTCTCCTAGGAACGGCGGCAGCTCCAGCGACCCAGGTGCACTGCCACCTTTCCAGCTTCCTCTGCATCTGCCCAGGCATCCCCAGCCCAGGCGATTAGCCCGCCCCTGGGGCTCCTGCCTCCTCTGTCTAGGCTGCAAAGAATCAGGCAGTTCGTCACTAGCCCGAGAAATACTGGCCCCTACACCCTCCCCTGCTCCCATAGGCTATGAGTCTGTCAGCCTGGCCAGATTGCTGGAATGAGGAGGCCCCTCTGTGGCCTGCAGTGGAGTTTATCATCCACCTGGGGAAATTCACTTGTAGGTCACAGTTTATGTTCCAAATCCTCCTCCCAAATTCTGTAGTAGCTCTGAGTGTCTGATAGATGGGGAGAAGTTAAGGGAAAAGCACCTGACAGAAGTGAGAAAAACACAGAGAGAAATTAAGAGAATACAGAGAGAAATTGGAAAACTAGTCGAAAAAGAGAGGTAGTACAAATAGGTGAAACTGAAACAAACCCTATTTTACTGCAAGAGGCCAAAGACTACTGCAGTAAAGCTATCACAATGAATACTAAAATATCTTAGCACAATCCTAAAATATCTTCCTAAAATCTGTCATATTGGAATTTAACTTAAGCAGTGGCTCCAACTAGTAAGTCTCCCACTGAACCCCCATATCCAGCCAAAGATCTTTCACATCCTGTAATCTCCAGCTGCTGAGCTTCAATTTAGACTAATTTAACTCTCCCTGCCTGAAATGCCTTCTCCAATCCCAGTCCTTTAGTCTTTCTGGGAGTCCAGTCAAATCCCATGTCTTCATAAAACCTTCCCTAATCACACCAATGACAGTCAATCACCACCAAAATACACAAACTATACTTTCCTGTATCGTCATCTCACACCTAATATACAGTCTTGGCTAATTCATTATTTATAAATCTTCTTTCCCAAACTAAAACATAATCTTGTGGAAGGCATGAGGCCAGTCTGTATATCCTAGCCACAGAGGCTTAGAGGTAACTGGGACAATTAGCTGCAAAAAGTGGTGCAGAAGCTATCCTAATGCCTCAGAAAAAAATCAGCTATGAGCATCTCTCTTCTGGGACACCTCATGGCACCCCTGGGCTTTTCCGAATCCACACCAGCACTCACTGGGTGAGTGACTTTCCTGAGTAGTGTTCTCCACACTCTGGACCTCATGCTCAGCTACTCATTCACAATATAGGGTCAGACCAGACAATCTTTAGAGTCCCTTTCAGCTCCAAGATCACAGGATTCTAAAAATGTTTTAAATGGTCCGTTTTTCTTCTCAGAGTAATCCGTGTGATTGTTTAAGAAGAAATACTAGGCTCCAATGTGTTGTAGGGGGCTTCAAGGAGGATAACATGATGTAGGTGAAAGTACGAAGAGACGCTCAGTAAATCTATCATCCTTATCATTTTAACCTGTTAAATTTCTTCACTACTACAAAGCCCTAAAACCACAGAAGGAAGAGAGGAACACTGAGGTGACAGAAAGTAAAAGTAACTAAAACTTTATATAGCCTCCTGAACTCAAACTGGCTACAGGGTTATTCTCAAAGATTACCTCCCCTGGCACCTCAGTGTTCTCTTAGACAAGGCCATTACTCACACTCACTCTTTCTCAAGTGAGAAGAGGCCTGGATAATTTCATTTACACCCCACAGGGCTGTATCTTCACTTCTTCCTTGCACAACAATACCCCTCATATCTTGTTCCCTCTATGTCCCTTCCTCCTCTAATCAGCCTTGTGGCCCTGCTCCAGATATTTCCTCTTGAGGCCAATCACAGGGACCACAAAAAGCTGAACATCACAAATAAGGAAACTGAATCTCGGAATCCGTGCCAGAGTTCAGACATCCACCAGGAACACAACTGGGTGATTCATAAAAGGGACATAAGAAAGAGATGACTCCTCCTTTGCACATACCCACGTTTACATATTCGCCATACAGGAAGGTGTGGAAATGCCACATCTAACAAACCAGACAAAGAAAAAAGATCAGAAAAGGAAATATGTAAGGGTTGTATGTATTCAAGTTTCAAAATATAACTATTAAGAGCCAGTATAAAACCCTGCTAAATTTCCCTGCAAAACCATACGACTACACCTTCATACTTTATTCACCACTCATGATTCACAGGAGGTAGACAGAATAGAGAACACTCAGAAGAGGCCATTTAGAAAAGAAAGGTCATCTTAAGCAAAAAGAACAAAACTGGAGGCACCACATTAACTGACTTCAAACTATACTACAAGGCTACAGTAACCAAAACAGTATGGTATTGGTACAAAAACAGACACATAGACCAATGGAACAGAAAAGAGAACCCAGAAATAAAGCTGTTCACCTACAACCAACTGATTTTCGACAAAGTCAACAAAAATAAGCAATGGGGAAAGGACTTCAATAAATGATGCTGGGATAACTGGCTATCCATATGCAGAAGAAACTGGACCCTATCACCATATATAAAAATTAACTCAGGCACAGTGGCTCATACCTGTAATCCCAACACTTTGGGAGGCCAAGGCGGGCAGATCACCTGAGGTCAAGAGTTTGAGACCAGCCTGGCCAACCTGGTAAAACCCCATCTTTACTAAAAATACTACAATTAGCCAGGTGTGGTGGCATGTGCCTGTAGTCTCAGCTACTTGGGAGCCCGAGGCAGGAGGATCACTTGAACCTGGGAGGCAGAGGTTATAGTGAGCCAAGACTGCACCACTGCACTCCAGCCTGGGTGACAGAGCAAGACTCTGTCTCAAAAAATAAAATAAAATAAACCCAAGATGGAGTAAACAATTAAATGTAAGACCTAAAACTATTTAAAAAAGGAAAAAAACCTAGGAAATACCCTTCTAGCAATGCAGCAAAAGCAAAAATTGACAAGTAAGACCTAATTAAACTAAAGAGCTTCGTATAGCAAAAGAAACTATCAACAGAGTAAACAGACAATGTACGGAATAGGAGAAAATATTCATAAACTGCATCTGACAAAGGTCTAATATGCAGAATCTATAAGGAATTTAATTCAACAAGCAAAAAACATGTAAACCCATTTTTAAAAGTGGGCAATGGACATGAACAGACGTTTCTCAAAAGAAGACATACAAACAGCCAACAAACATGAAAAAATGCTCATCGTCACTACTCACCAGAGAAATGCAAATCAAAACCACAATGAGATACCATCTCACACCAGTCAAAATGACCATTATTAAAAAGTCTAAAAATAACAGATGTTGTCAAGGCTGTGGAGGAAAGGGAATGCTTATACACTGCTGGTGAATGTAAATTAGTTCAGCTACTATGGAAGGCAGTCTGGAGATTTCTCAAAGAACTAAAAATAGAACCACCATTCGACCCAGCAATCCCATTACTAGGTATATGCTCAAAAGAAAATAAACCATTCTGCCAAAAAGGCACATGCACTTGTATGTTCATCGCAGCACTATTCAAAATAGCAAAGACAAAAAATCAAGTTAGGTGCCCATCAATGGTGGACTGAATAAAGAATGTGTGGTATATATATACCAAGGAATACTACACAGTCATAAAAAAAGAATAAAATCATGTCCTCTGTGGCAACATGAAAGCAGCGAGAGGCCATTATCCTATGTGAATTAGTGCAGAAATAGAAAACCAAATGTCACACATTCTCAGTTATAAGTGGGAGCTAAACATTGGGTACATATGGACATGAAGATGGGAACAATAGATACTGGGGACTACTAGAGGATGGAGGGAGGGAAAAGGGGTTATATGATTTGGATGTTGGTAGCCTCCAAATCTCATGCTGGAATGTAATCCTCAGTGTTAGAGTTGGAGATAGGGCCTAGTGGGAGGTGCTTGGGTCATAGGGGCAGATCACTCATAATAGTTTCACACTGTCCCCATAATAAAGAGTTTTCACTCTGAGTTCACTCGAGATCTGGTTGTTTAAAAGTGTGTGGCACCTTCCTCCTCACTCTCTTGCCTCTGCTCTCATCACGTGATATACCAGCTCCCCCTTTGCCTTCCACCACAATTGTAAGCTTCCTGAGGCCTCCCCGGAAGCAGATGCCAGCACGCTTCCTGTACAGCCTGCAGAGCCATGAGGCAATTAAACCTCTTTTCTTTATAAATTACCAAGCCTCAGGTATTTCTTTATAACAACACAATAACCACCTAATACAAGGAGCAAGCCTAAAAAGGTAGTTGAAAAGCTACCTATTGGGTACCATGCTCATTACCTAGGTGACAGGATCATTCATACCCCAAACCTCAGCATCATGCAAGATACCCATGTAACAAACCTGTACATGTACCCCTCGATCTAAAATTAAAGATGAAATTTAGGAAAAAAAAAAAAAAGGAAGAAAGGTTATCTAGCAAAACCAGGGGCAGAGCTGAGTCAAGAAGCAAAGTCTCCAGACTCCTGGCACAAAGTTCCTACCCCCAATATTTTCCAGTTTCAGAAACACATTTTACATTTTCTACCTTATTATCCAAATGTTCTCTGGACCACAGTCTGAACCTGTTTGCTCTATGCTAATTTTCCTGACTGGACTTCAGATTAAGGACAGTTGCTATTGGAGTCCTGCAGTAGAGGAGAGTCAAAATAATCAATGTGGTATCTGTCTGGAGAAAAAGGTCCCATCCTCAGATTGCTCAGCAATAATAGTGTCTTAGTCCAGCAGGCCCCAACCTTTTTGGCACCAGGGACCAGTTTCATGGAAGGCAACTTTTCCAAGGATGGGGGTGGGGGGTCAGGGGGGATGATGGTTTCAGGATGAAACTGTTCCACCTCAGATCATCAGGCATTAGATAGCTTCTCAAGGAGCGCACAACCTAGATCCCTTGCACACACAGTTCACAATAGGGTTCATGCTCCTAGGAGAATCTAATGCCACTGCTGAGCTGACAGGAGACAGAGGTCAGGTGGTCATGCTCGCTTGCCGGCTGCTCACCTCCTGCTGTGCATCCCAATTCTTAACAGGCCATGGACCAGTACCAGTCTGTGACCTAGGGACCACTGTCTTAGCCCAGTCCTTCCCACACCCCAGCCTTCTTCTACAGCTTATCAAAAGTCCCTAGTGGCCCCAGATCTCTACCCCAAAGCAATGTATTCAGCCATCTACACCAACTTTGTTTAGAATCATTCAGCTCTTATGTGGCTTAGGAAGAAACCATGTTGGGAGGAGAAACTTTTTTAAGCTAGGTTTTATCTAGAAAGTTCTCTCTTCCATACTCTATCTCTGTACAGGGAGCCAGTTAAATTTATCTGAAGACAGCTAAGCCAATCATTCTTCCTTGTAAATGCTCTTTTTCTTTTCTTGCCTTTACCCTCCTTCTCCAGGACATCAGTTCCTCACATTTGCAGGCACCATAACACAGTACAATGGTCCCACACCTAGCTGTGCATCAGAACCATCTGCCCAGCTGGTTAAAATGGTAGGTGTCAGATCAATAGGCATGAAGAAAAGTTTTTAGGGTTATAGAAATGTTCCGTATCTTGACTGTGGTAATACCTACACAACTGTATACAAGTACTGCATTTCATTAAACTATACACTTAAAATGGGTTTATTTATGCAAATTATACCTCAATAAATCTGGAAAAATGAAAAAACACTACAGGGTCCGGCTCTTCCTCACACCCATAGAATCAGGGCCTGAGGAACAGGAATTTTTTTAATTTTTTTCCTTTAGTTTTAGAGACGGGGTCTCTCTATGTTGCCCAGGCTGGTCTCGAACTCCTTGGGCTCAAGCAGTGCTCCCGCCTCAGCCTCCCAAAACGCTGGGATGGACAGGTGTGAGCTATCGCACCCACTAGGAACGGGAATTTTAATGAACTTCGTAGGTGACTCTAATGCACAGCTAGATGCAAACATCACCTGAACAATGAAAAGAGCCCAGACCATTAAAATCAGACAGGGCAAGGTCCAAATGTACTTACCAGAAACATGACCCTAGGCAAGTTACAAGCTTCGATTTTTCTCATTCGAAAAAAGGTGAGAACAATAGTACCTACTTCACAGCATTGTTAGGTTAGAATGTAAAGCACTTAGCTGAGAGCCTGGCCTATAATAAGCACTCAGCAACCATTAGTAGCTATGATTTTCATTGTCTGTGCCAATGCTACCGAACCTGAGCACTCGGTCCTAGGTTCAAGAAGAAAATTAACCAGGGTAGGGCCTCTCCTGGAGCTATTTTCACATCTCCACTGGTTACTATTACCAACAGGTCAGCAAGGAGTAGACAAGACCAAAGCTAAATTAAGGTCCACCCACACCTGTATCACCAAAATGCCCTCTCATATTCAGGAGCACTTGCCAAGTGCCCTCAGACAGCCAGGCAGAAACTGAAAAGGAACTTGAGACCCCAAAAAGTCAAAAGAGAAACAAAACAGCACCTTATCCAGAGGAATAAGGACTCTTCCTCTGAAGGTAAAAGAATTCACGCCAAGTAGATTCCAGAGTATAATCACTCATGCCATTTGTGTTGCATTTTTAAGCTTACAAAGTGCTTCATATCCATCATCTCCTTTGACTTAAGACAACATCCCCTGAATGGTAATAATAGCTCCCATTCCTTGAATATTTACTCTGGGCCAGACCCTGTATTCCACACTTCACATGTACCCTTGTCATTTAATTCTCACAACCCTGTAGGACTATTATTTCTCTTTTAAACATGAGAGAATCGAGGTTCTGAGAGTTAAATAACTTGAACCAAGGCCCCACAGTTAGTAAATGGCAAAGCTGGAATTTGAACCCAGGTCTGCCTGACCTAAGAGACCACTATTAGCTATACACAGAATGTACTACCCCTATCTTACTGTCTCCATTTTAGAGATAAGCTAATTGAGACAGAGAGAAAAGGTAACTGGCTCAAAACTACTTAGAGAGCCAACCTCAGTGCAGAACCAGACCCTCAGATGCCTGGCCTAATGCCTTTTTCACCTTACCTCTGGATGAGGAAAAACAGCTTTGAACCCCTAAAGATATTACATACAAGCTGGCATCCAAGGCTTCCAAACAGCTACTATAATAAAGTCCTTCCACCTGGATTCATCTGGGCACCTAGCTTATTAACCAGGACTAGCCAAAGAATGCTCTTGGGGAAAGCTGGAAGAGTACCACTGGAACCCAAGGGAATTAAAAAAAAAAAAAAAAAAAAGGCGGGTGGGTGGGGGGCAGACCAACTAAAGCAACAAGCAGAGTGCTTCACACAGACCAGCACACTGGTCTCTGAGTCTTCCCATGAATCTGCAACCTACAACTGGTGCCCTCTGCTGGCAAAAGTATACATCTCTTCATAACAAAAGTAAAACCTAATTACTACAACTGGGGCTTAAGAAGGAAAAAAATATATGCTTCCTTCACAGACATTCTATTCAGGAATGAACATTATTTCTTACTTACAACTTTCCAATAGGCATATGCAACTTTAAATTGACTGCAATGATCCTCTCCTCTATCTGCTGCCCCTGCCTCACGCCTGCAGTTCTTTCCTTTCGGGATCCAAAGAAAATTGGGCTGTTTTACATAAAAAGGTAAAATATAAATGAATGATGCAAAGCCCTAAAGTCAAGAATACAGTGATGTGTATGTGGGTGAGATCAGGTCTGCACATCTAGCAAGTACAGAGAATTGAGGCAGGCACACACTTGAAGTGATATAAAACCCATGGGCACGTATGCTCAAACATTTTGGTAAATCTCTACCTTCGTAAAATAGCATGCTTATGATTCAGTCAACTAAGTCTCACTGAATATCTACTATGCAGGCTGTACCAGAGACTGACAACATAAATCCTATATTAATATAATTCCAAAGAGCACACAAGCTGTTTGAGAAAATTAGACATAGGCATATACAATGGTAAAAAGTATGAGAGTCAAGTACAGAAAGGGTATCATGGAAACTTGGTGGGAGAAGAGGCAACTTCCAGTTGGGGAGAGGGTGGATGACATGAGAATAGAAATAAATTGAGAACTTAATAATTCTATGGAGTTTTTAAAAGGTATTCATAATTGTAAATATTTGCAAATAGGTAATTTCAACGTCCCATGATTTCATTTAAAAAATTTTTTTGGCCGGGCATGGTGGCTCACACCTGTAATCCCAGCACTTTGGGAGGACAAGGAGAGAGGACCGCTTGAGCACAGTAGTTTTGAGACCAGCCTGGGGAACATGGTAAGACCTCATCTCTACAAAAAAAATTTTAAAACTTAACCAGGCATAGTGGTGTGCACCTGTAGTCCTAGCTACTTGGAAGGCATGGGCAGAGGGATCACCTGAGCCCAGGAGTTTGAGGCTGCAGTGAGCCATGATTGCACCACCACTGTGCTACAGCCTGGGCAACAGGGCAAGCCCTTGTCTTTAAAAAAATATTTAAAAGATACAATTTTTTCATCCCACTACTTTAATATACTTACATATTTATTATGTTAAATAATATATTTTTTCATTACAATTTCTATTGTGGTAAAATATACATTAAATTTGCCATTTTAGGCCAGGTGTGGTGGCTCACACTTGTAATCCCAGGATTTTGGTAGGCTGAGGTGGGAGGATCACTTGAGCCCAGGAGTTCAATACTAGCCTGGGCAATATAGCAAGACTCCATCTCTACAAAAAGATTTTTTAAATTAGCTAGCTGTGGTGGCGCGTGCCTGTAGTCAGTTCTAGCTACGGGGGAGGCTGAGGTGGGAGGATCACTTGAGCCCACAGTTCGAAGCTCCAGTGAGCTATGATCATGCCACTGCACTCCAGCCTGGGCACCAGAGTAAGACCCGGCCTCCAAAAAAAAGAAAAAAAGCCATTTTAACCATTTTTAAATATACGATTCATCAGCATTAAGTACATTCATAATGTTGTATAACAATCACCACTATCCATTTTCAGAACTTTCTCAACATCTGAAAAGAAATTCTGTATCCCTTAAACAGTAATTTCCCATTTCTATCTCTCTGAATTTGCCTACTCTGGGTACCTCATTTAAGTGCAATCATAGTATGTCCTTTTGTGCAGGCTTATTTCACTTGGCATGTTTTCATTCATCTTGTAGCATATACCAGAAATTTATTCTTTCTTATGGCTGAATATTCCATTGTATGTATATACCACATCTTGTTAATTCATTCACCTGATAACACTGAGTTAATATTTCACCTTTTGACAGACCACAGTTAACATTTCCCTAATATTTGACATTTAGTTTCCAATTTTTTGCTACGTCATAATTTTTATGCAAAGACTGTTTTCCTTTCAATAAATTTTTCAATAAACTGTTCTGTTAAGGTTAAATTCCTAGTAATGGTGTCCCAGAGCATATGAATACTTTAATAGTTCTTAATAAATAAATCCATAATTTTACTCTCCTCATTTGCCATTTTTCATAACCTGATGGACAAATTCCGGTCAGCAGTTTGTTACAAATGTATAAAGTGTGACAAAACCAAATGGAGGGAAGCTTTTGGAGAAAGAAAAGGAATTAACAAAGCAGAAACAGCTCAGAAGAGCTCTCCACTAGACAGAGCTGGCTGACTTCTGTGACAGGTTGCCCAACTGCTCCTTCTATCCATAACCTGATGTTTTCCAATTAACTTGGTGACTCTTTGAAAAAAAAAAAAAAAATCTGCCTGTGTCAGGGATCCCCCGGACCAAGCCCATATTGAGATTTGATAGAAGGGTTCACAAAACTCAGCACTGCTAAGTATCGTACTCATGGCTAAAGTTTATTACAGTGACACAGTAAGTGTACACAGTTGGATCATACAGGAAAAAGACATAAGCAGAATCTGGAGGAATCCATGTGCAGGCTTCTTTAGGATCTCTCCCTCCCATGAAGATTCACACAGAGCACATTTTTATACGAGGGATGTTTCTGCCTAGGGACTCAGTATGCAAGGTTTTCATTGGGAGTTTGGTCATATAGACATCCTTTACCTGGCATGTACCAAAATTCCATACTCCCAGAAGGAAAGCAGGTGTTTAGCATAAATCATCTTGTTTGAACAGTCTAGGTACAGTGAACCACCTTTATTAGTGAACAGTGAGAATACCCCTAAATCCACGTGTTCAGATAAGGGCCAACCATGCAAGTAGGCCACTCTAAAAGATACCAGCCTCAGGCCAGATATAACTTTTTCTGCACACCCCCAATTCAAGATTCATTTTGGCCAAAAAGCAGCATCTCTCAACATATATATGTAGATACCTATGGTAGAGTTGAAAAGATTGTGGATCACTTATACCTTATCCAAGTAGTTCTGATTGCTTTCCTTATAAACCTTCATTGAAAGCAGCTGTATGAAAGGAATAGGAATTTTGGGAAACACATCTTTTAAAATTCAAATCAGATCATGGAACTCCTCTGCTCAAAACTGAAATGGTTCACCATTCATTTAGTGAAAACCAAAATCCTTACAACAACCTACAAATCCCTACATGATCTGGCCCCTCTGGCCTCATTATTCCTTTCCTCCTCTTCCTTCAGGTCCAACAACCCTGAACAATTTGCATTTCTTCAGAGGCCAGACACAGTCCTGCTTCAGGGCTTTTGCTCTTCCTAATCCTCTACCTAGAATGCTCTTCCCATACCTATATTGCTCACTCCCACATTTCCTTCAAGTCTTTGCTCAAATGTCACTTTCTGAGAGACCTACCCATACCACCTATTTTAAAGTATGCTATCCTCACAAACATCCCTTGCAACAATCGCCATTCCTCACCCTAATTTTTTCTATACTTCTCATCTTCTAACATACCATATAATTGATTATGTCTTATTGCCTGTCTCTCCCCAGTAAAATATAAGCTCTTTGAGGGCAGGGATTTTTGTCTTTTTCTTCTGTATTTCCAGCACAATCACCCAGCAGAAGAGTAACAAATTTTAACTTGACATACTAAGAAACAGGGAGGCACTGAATTTAGGGATAGTAACCTAGTGCAAATAGCTAGATCTTCACGTTTGGTGGTGTGGGAAGATCAAGTCATAAGAAAATGTGAAAGAAGTTTTTTTTTTTAATTTCACTGAAGAGATGACCACAGTATATTCAGTTATTGAAGAGTTTTAATAAAAGGAACTATTTACAAGGGTATGGGCACAGTTAAGGCAAATCAACAAGGTTTGAACCTTCTTGGGACTAGAGAATCTAGCAATAGGAGACAGTTACGAGAAGCCAGAAAAGACCTAGAGCTATAAGAGGGCCACTGGAGCAGAGCTGTGGCCACTCACAATCTCTTGCTAAGTATATGAGAAAGAGAAGGAGCAAATATTTCAGCCTCACTTTTCTATCACTGTCCAAACCCACCATGAATAAAGCCAGAAAAGAGAGTATGCAGTTCTTTATTTGTCAGCCTCCCAGGAACACAGAACAAGAGAGATAAAGATGGAAAATAGATCAGGAAGGGCAAAAAGAATATCCAGCACAATGGCCATTTTGTAAAGCTATATGCGCAAGACACAATGCTTCAATGTGCTACCAGCATCTTCAACTATGTCCAAATCTTCCCTCTAAATCTTCTCTTCCTATTACCAGTGGCATCACCATCCTCTCACACAGTAATTTTGATTAATCTACTCTCTCTTCCTCATTCTTCATATATCCAAATATTTGTCAATTATGCTTTCACAACTTACCTCAACTTCTTTGTCAGTCTATTTCCATTGCTCTTTGTTCATGCTCTCATTCTCTTACCTGGTTAACATCAGTTGTCTTAGCAAACTTGCCACTTTGAAACATCCCCCACTGCCATTTATGTTACTCAGTGCTACTGGACTAATCTTTGTGAATTAGTTTCACTACCATTATTGTTGCTCAAAAACCTTTAATGACTTTTACTGCCTACCCTAAGTCCAAACTCCTTAGCCTACTACTCAAAGACCTCAGTAACCTGGTTCCAACTTCATTTTCTCAATTTATTTCTCACAACTCTCTTTTATCTTAGTACAAATTAGACATTTGTTAGCTGGAAGTCAATGAAGCTTAGTAGAAGGAGCGAAACAACTAGAATTGGTCAAACTTGGATTCAACTCTCAGTTCTACCATGTCACCAGCTGGGGGTCCTTGGGAGTTACTTTTCTGGCATGAGATTTAGCAACCTTATCTGTGAAGGTTACTGAATGATGCAATGAGAACATTTGTAAATGTACCTAGTGTTTGGCATCCAATATGCATACTTCTCCAAATACGCTCCATGTTTCTGCCTATCTGTCCTCCACCTAAAATGCCCTCTTTCTCCTCCCACCTTCTCTATAAGACCTATCTTTTAAGGTTAAATGTTATATGCTCCACAATGCCTCTCTTGATCCTTCTTCCTACCTGAAGTCACCTCTCCTCAACACTCACATTATTTATACCTTCCTAATATTAACAAATACTTAAAACATTACAGATGGCTAGCAGAATTCATCTCTCTCCTACTAGAGTTGAAGCAGCAGTGATTTAGAGAACTACCACATGGAAGCTCACCCAGCAAGTAAAGAGCAAAGCCTAAAGACCATGCATATCTCGGGTACTAAGATATAAAAGTATGCCTTTTGCTAGTCTGTCCCACCTCTTCATTAGGGGCCATATAGTAAAATTACTGTGTACCAGAGACTACAGTAAGCCCTTCTTTATATGCATTCTTTCACTGAATCTGCCCAACAATCCTATGTAGCAGGTATTACCATAGCCTATTTTTTTACAAATAAGGCAAGTGAGGCTCGGGCCAGTTTGTCCAAGGTCGCAGTGCTAGAAAGTGACTGTGTCAGGAACAGAATTTGGTCTATTGGATGCCCAAATTTACGTCCTTAAGGGCTATGAAATATTAAATCAGATACCCACTATGAAGCAAATTACATTTGCAACGTAAGCATCAAAGACAAAATACACCTTTGATTTCTAAAAAGTAATCAATTAAGGAGAAAAGAGTCTTAATTTTCATCAGAGAATGTACATTCAATGACAATGGAGCTAACTCCAATTTTGATGGTGTGAACAATATGAGATTGTGACACAATGCTGTAAAGGAAAAGATGCATCATCTCAAAATAAATTGAATTCCCATTTCAAAATAAATTGAATTCCAACCAGAACGCAAGGTATATGAAGACAGCAACCATGTTTGTCTCACTGCTGTGTACCTCCACATTATAGAACTGTCTTACACAAAGGTGCCTAACACCCAATGAAATTGACGGTAAACACTGGGAAATAAGCACACTGTTTAAATGGCAAAAGTTTACACTTGAGAACTTTATAGCAGGAAATGATAGCTATTTCAGATAGATTTTTTAAGTAAACCATACAAAGTGGTAAAAGAATTAAAGAGACAAAGAAAGCCTGCCTGAATAGAGAAGGAAACAGTTAAGAATAACTACCAAAGGTGTCTTCCTGAATCCTTTCCCTCTCTGAAGGTTCAAATCATCTGGCTTCAAATCAAAGTAAAAAAAATAGGTGGAAAATAGAGAATTGCCCTTCTAGTCTTCCTACTTTGGAATTCCTTTTTAAATAGCAGCTTTCAAATATCTTTTTATAATAAATGTTTTACCTTGTAACATTTAAATTCTCATTCAAGGCAAATATGAAGTTCACTCAAAAGCAGGACAGCTAAGGAGTTATTTGACTAGGCAGTCTTTGTTGCTGTTTCAAAAGGCCAAAATAAGGCTGAGGAGGAAAATTTCCCCAATGATCACTCTTAAAGTGATTCAATAAATTGGTTACGATGGAGAAAGACACTTAGCCTAAGTGCAAGTGCTGTCTTTTTGGGTAAAATCCGTGTAGTCTAGATGCAGTTCTGCTCCAAATCCAACATCCAAATGCCTATCTGCAATCAGCAGACGCGGGCAGACAAAATTTAACCTAAAATGCAAACTCTCAAAACTTAAGCACACTTAAAAGGTAAACTAAGTTTACAAATCCAATAACTGATACCATCACTTCTGGTTTTGAAGGAAATCATAAATGCAAATTTCTCAAGTATCCTCAATCTTTTAGGTTTACTTAAAAATTATGAAAATTAGATTTGAATATGAAACGTTCCAAATCACTAAGTTAAAAATGGATGAATGGGTACAATCAGTATAGTCATTCTGATTTGATAGTTATCACTGTGAACCTTAACCACTTGCAGGCTTTTTTTTGGATACAGTAAATCAGTACCAATGAGAGCTTTTTAAATGACCTGAAAAACACTACAGATATTCCAATCAAAAAATCTAAAATGCTCCAAAATCCGAAATTTTTTGAGTGCAGACATGACATTCAAAGGAAATGCTCATTGAAGCAGTTTGGATTTTACATTTTTGTATGAGAGCTGCTCAGCTGGTAAACATAATGGAAATATTCAAAAATTGAAAAAAATCTAAAACTCAAAACACTTCTGGGCCCAAGAATTTCAGATAAGGAATACTCAACCTGTATCATCTCTAACAGCCTTTCAAACCACTTTCAACTAATGACTACTGAATTTATACTTTTAAAAGAATGTAAATGCCAAAGATCTTCACATTAAGATGAAAAATAGGAGGTTCACTTTTATTTTGCTAATCCGTCAAAATACATTCAAGCATGGCACAAAAATTATATTCAACACTAGGTTCTGTACCACCTGCTCCCATGAACTCTTAAATCTGAATAATGTTCAGATAATTTTCATAGGTGGAAGTGGTCAAAACATACAACCAATTGTCCCTCCTCCCCAAGTCCCACATGCCAAAATGTTTGCATATAAACTGACAAGAGGAACCCAGAAGTGACTAAATACCACTATGCTTTTTTCTTCACTACAAATAGCAATTTTAAGGGTAGACACATGACAATGAAGTGTTAATATACCATGAACAGAACAGGTTGCCTTCCTAATACACAGAAAATCCTTTTACATAATTCATTTGCAAACTTTAGAAGCCACTATATTCCCATGTTGGGAATAATATGACAACCTTATTAAACTGAAAACCCTGAGAAAGGTGTACTATTCCAATTGACCCAGATCTTCCCACCAAAACTGAGTAAGTCAAGCAGAGTAGTATTTAACAATTACAACGAAAAATTTCAGAGAATCATTTTCTGTATCCTAGAGGCCACTCTACAGCCACCAAAAAGCTGGACCAAATTACCAAATGAAGTAGCCCACATGTAATTTGTGTATCACTAGAATTAAAAAATAAGACAGAAATGTATGGAAAGTGTACAACTATTTGAGAGCAAAGGATTTGACTATGTATTACCTCAATGTGTAAAAACATCCACCCCGTTTGTCATAGAGGATATAACACTATTTGTACCAACCATCCGCTACCCTTTGTCAAAATGACTACTGAGCAGCTATAACCTAGCCTAATAATCTTAACCTTTCTTCTTACTTCTTTAAAAGCCCTGCCAATCAGGAAAAAAAAAAAAAAAACTGGCAAGAACTAGACCTTAGGAATTGAACAGTGACAAGAAGTTAAAAAATGGTTCAATATTAAAATATTATTTTATTTTAAAGCCCAATCTTTCAGAAAGCTTCTTAGTATAGCTTTGAGCCTTCAACGTCAACATGTAAGTCAAATATTTAAGTTAAATATTAACATCAAGTTAAGCATACTAGATTAAAAGGTACTCTGAACCCACCCACCAGGTTATACATACTCTCACTCAATCATGTAAAGAATTGAATTCTTTATTTGTGATATCCATAAACGTTGCTATTCTCTATTTCTATCCAGAAAGGCAATTTTCACCTATTATCACTTTTGTTCTTCTCTTATAAACAACAACTTGAATGCTATTGCAGGAAAGGGCTACAAATATACATTTGTTAACCAAGCAGAATACACAGATATTTTGCTTTACAACTTGCACCTAAAATACCAGTATACGTAGCTGGTTCATTAGTTGTCATAGCAATTTAGGGCTATTGCCCAAGCTATGCATAGCAGTTTACATTTTCAAACCTCATATAGAAAGGGCTATTGTGATATGAACTGGCAACTACATTCCTGTGAAGCCCATCTCAGTTACAAGCAAATGTGTTAACTTCCAATTCTGCAAAGAATTTTGATGGCAAAACTTCCAAATCTGATGCAATTGTCTTAAGCAAGTTTTTAAACAAATTGTTTCGCAGCTACTCTGCCATTCTGCCAGTAGATGGTGCTACAAAGATCGGGAAAGGGATTTCCATGAGGCCAACAGTTCGGATATAGGAAAAAAAAAAAAAAAACGTTTAAACCTGCTCTGAAAGTACAAAAACGCATTTGAGGGTAAAATATAACCCTTATTTTTAACCATTCATTACAGACAAACCAGTAAGAGGGATGAAACTAGGCCATCTGAAAAATTTTAAACAGTTTATATGAATGACATGCTTAACACAAACTATATAGAACTACACAGTACACAGTTTGAAGTAAATTGTCATAGAAATGACCAACCATGTCAAGATGATAAACAATTCGCTTAGTACAAGAGATGGATGCACAGAAACTTAAGAGTTTAAAAAGCCACATCCACCACTTCAAAAGTTTTGCCTGTAAGGGATATAATTCAACACGCAACTAGCAGGGCAACAGGAGAGGGGAAAAAAACCACAGGACCTCTTAAGTTTCTCTAAGTACACATCAAGAATAAAGAATTAACACGTAAAGTCTTAAACAAATATCCCTTAAAAAACGGTACGGAATGGATCCTAGAAAAAAAATGTTAGACATGTACGGTCAAACACAATGATTTATTAAAAATAAAACGTAAAAATGATTTTTGTACATATGCTTCCAAATTTCAGGCATGGGATCCAAGTAGATTTCATAGAAAACGCTGTAGCCAGGTTATCAAGTCCTTACAACAAAGTAAACTACCCCCCACCCCAACCCCCACCCAGGTTTTGCTACAGAATCAGCAAGTTCACTCCCTCCCTCCCCCCAAAAAACACAAATTAAAACAAGACATTTTGCTAGTATAAAAACGACCAAGGTCCAAGTAATAATAAAAAAATAGAGTCCATCAATGACTGTAACACAAAAATGTGTATGTGGGGCCGAGTCCATCTTCAGAGGGAGAGACAAGAGAGGTGGCAGGCAAATAGAGGAACACCCCCAAGGGTAAGCAGCCTTAGAAGTGGCTCCCCCAAGGGCAAAACAGGGAAGGCGGTGTGTGTGAGGGGGTGGGGCTTAGGAGTTGACCCCACTTGGGCTGTTGGAAAGAGCTACCCCTATAGCCACTCCCAGGCATTTTAAATTTTCTTTTAGAAGGAGCTGCCTCCATAGCCACCCCCACCGCCATAGCCGCCTCTGTAAGGTCCACTATTACTGCGACCGCCCCAGCTACTGCCTCCACCGCCGCCGCCGCCGCCGCTCTTCATGGGCCCATAGGAGGACTGATGCTGGCTGTAGCTGCCGAAGCCGCCGAAGCCGTTACCGTAGTCGCTCCCACCGTAGGACGAACCGCCGCCGCCGCCTCCGTAGGCATTGTAGCCGCCGCCTCCGCCGCCGCCGTAACCACCGTAGCTGTTGTAACCGCCGCCGCCGCCCTTGGAAAGGCCGTTCTGGTCTCGACCACCGCCGCGCCCCCGGCCGCCTCGGCCGCCCCGGGAGGATCGGGAGCCGCCTCCACCCCCACCGGAGTAGATATCCTCCTTGGGGACTGCTTTCTTCACCTCCACGCGATGGCCCTGAATCGGATGGAACTTGACCACCGCGGCCTTGTCTGCCGCGTCGTGATTCTGGAAATACACGAAGCCGAATCCACGCTTCTTGCCGGACTGCTTGTCGGCAATAATCTCGGCCTTTTCCACGGTGCCAAACTGCGAGAAGTGCTCGATCAGGTCGCCCTCAGCCACGTCTCCTTTAAGGCCTCCGACAAAGAGCTTCTTAACCTTGGCGTGGGCACCGGGCCGCGCCGAATCCTCCCGGGACACCGCCCGCTTCAGCTCCACAGTGTTGCCGTCCACGGCATGGGGCGAGGCGGCCATGGCGGCGTCCGCCTCCTCCACATTGGAGTAGGTCACGAAGCCAAAGCAACGGGAGCGCTTGGTCTGGGGATTCACCACCACCACGCAGTCCGTCAGAGTCCCAAAGGCCTCAAAGTGGCCGCGCAGGCCCGACTCACTCGTCTGCACATTGAGGCCGCCGATGAACAGCTTACACAACTGAGAATTCTCCATCTCCAAGGCCCGGGCCTTGCCCCCGCCCTGCGAGCTCCGAGGTTTCGCCGTCGCCGCCGTTATCGTTGGTTAAGGCCTCTACACAGCTTGGGCCCAGCCGTTGCTGGAGCCACCCCCGCCGCTCACCGACGGGGAAGGGAAAAAGGGAAGGGGAGGGAAGGAAGGAAGAGAGGAAGGGGGAGGGAAGGGGAGCGGTGCCGGCTAAAGGGCGAGCCGAGGAGACTGGAAGACAACCAAGGCCACCGCTACCGCCGCCGCCGCCACCTCCGCTCCCCTATCTGGGCACCACACAAAGAGGCCGCTGAACGCGCGCGCACCCTCCCCGAGGCGTGCGTCACCGCCGACGTACGGCAGCCTAGGGCTACCAGCCAATCCCCGCCTCGCTCCCCTTAATCCCGCCTACCGCGCCGCAGCGCCGCTCTAGATCACGGACTCCCCGCCCTCCGCGGTCTATTCAAGCCCGCGGCCTGTGCCGCTCCCGCTTCCGCTTCTGCCAGCCCACTTTCATTCCCGAGCGCCCCACTGTCCCTTGACATGGGTCCCTCCCTGCCCTCCGCGCACCACCGCGATTCATTTCCTCCTAGCACCGCGGCTGTTCCCAGTGTTTCTCCCCCTCCCCTTTACTCATCCCCTCGCCCAACTCCGCAGTGGCGTTCGCGCCAGCCCCTTGAGAGACATCTGAGTTCAGCCAATCACCGTGATCCCCTCGCACCCACTTCCGTTTTCGGCAGCTGTTGGACGGGCGCGCTCCCCGGTGCGCGCTTGCCCCGGCGCCCCCGGCGTGCAGAGCCGGCCTACCACCCCCGCGCCTTCTCCCGCCCAGGGCTTTGCCGGGGAGAGAGCAGGGGGCGCGCTGGGGGCCATTCCCAACGGATGCGGTCTGGGGCGCCACGCGCGGGCTTTTTGAAAACTTGACTGTTGGGGTTGGGGGCCCGGATCTACCCGCCGCCTCTCCGCTTGTCCGCTACACCTGGCGTCCCCGCCCCACCTCCCGCCCGCACAAAGATGGAGGGCAGAGGCCTGGTCCACGAAGGCGGTTATTAACCGTTTACAGTGGGCCCGACGTGCGGTTAAACTAAAACTTTGCCACGTGGCCCTGCGCAAAAGCGAGCCCGAGGCGGCGGTGTGAAAGACAACAGGGAACCAAAAGAACTTCAGACATTAGGAACCAGACGAGGCGCGACATCCCTGCCTCCCTGCCACCCTCCCGCCCTCCTTGAAGCCCTCCCACGATGCCCTCTCAGAGGAGGCCCTTTCAGGTCCCCTTGGCACACTCCAGCAGACATTTTCATTTAACCTCAGTGAATGGTTTTTTATGTGTAATTTACATCATCTATGTGTTGCTTTCTTTGAACTAGAATGTTAGCTTTTTTGTTGTTGTTGAGATGGAGTTTCACTCTTGTTGCCCAGGCTGTAGTGCACTGGCGCAATCTCGGCTCAGCAACCTCCGCCTCCTGGGTTCAAGCTGTTCTCCTGCCTCAGCCTCCTGAGTAGCTGAGATTACAGGCGCCCACCACCACACCCGGCTAATTTTTGTATTTTAGCAGAGATGGGGTTTCACCATGTTGGTCAGACTGGTCTCAAACTCCTGACCTTAGGTGATCCATCTGCCTCGGCCTCCCAAAGTGCTGGGTTACAGGCGTGAGCCACCGCGCCTGGCCTAGAATGTTAACTTTGCTTTTTTTTTTTTTTTTTTGAGACGGAGTCTTGCCTAAGCTGGAATGCAATGGCACGATCTTGGTTCACTGCAACCTCCACCTCCCGGGTTCAAGCGATTCTCCTGCCTCAGCCTCCCAAGTAGCTGGGACTACAGGCGGGCACCACCACACCTGGCTAATGTTTGTATTTTTAGTGGAGACGGGATTTCACCATGTTGGTCAGGATGGTCTCAAACTCGTGACCTAGTGATCTGCCCGCCTCGGCCTCCCAAAAGTAGAATGTTAGCTTTTTAAAGATGTTGGGTTAGACGAATGTTTTACAGAGAGAGAGATCATATACCCCTAAGTTACTGCTTTTAGTGCCCTCACTCAGATGGGAATGGAAGAAAATTACAATGGCTTCCATTTATTGAGCCTTTGTGTGCCAAGCAAGATAAATGGGGTGGGACATAGTTAATATGAGGCATTACGTGACCAAAAGCCTCCAAAACCATATGGTAAACGCTGAAGAAGTTAAGAGGAATTCCTCACTGTATCCTCAAGTATTCAGGAAAGATTTAGGAAAGAATTGGAAGTTGCACTGAACCTCAGAGCCAAAGACTAGTTAGTATCCTAAGCAAATTAAGGCTGGAACAGAAAACCAAATACCACAAGTTCTCACTTATAAGTGGGAGCTACACATTGAGTACACATGGACACAAAAGAAGGGAACATTAGACATCAGGTCTTTTTTAAGGATGGAGGGTGGGAGGAGGGTGAGGACTAAAAAGCTACCTATCAGGTATTATGCTGATGACTTGGGTGACAAAATTATCTATACACCAAACCCCCAAGACTAACAATTTACCCACATAACAAACCTCCACGCGTATCCCTTGAACCTAAAATAAAAGTTGGAAAGGAAAAAAAAAAAGATTTCTGTAGGGAGTTTATTTGAGCAAAATCCAGAGGGAACATAAGCTTCAAGAGACAGGGAGTGGGCCAGTTAGTTTGAGAGAAGCAGGCAGTTTTAGATAGAAAATAGTGAGAGGTAAGATAGGTTGAGGGTCTTTGGTACTATGAAATGATACTATGGAATGTGCTGAATCTTAGGTTAAGTAGTTTGGATACTGTAACAAAGGTAAATAGATGGGCTAAGGTTTGAGGGTAAACTAGTCTGATCTATCACTTACCCTGTAACCATTCAGTTATGTGACTTTGGCTAAGTTACTTAACCTTTTAAAAAAATGTAATCAGTTTTATTATCTTAAAATGGGAATAATAAAACATCTTTCTGTTGTAGTGAAAATTAAATAAGATTCTACATGTAAACATGTATACATGCCTGGTACACAGTAAGTGCTCAGTTTATCCAATTATATGAATCCTATGCCTGGTGCTGGCAATATGGCTGTAAACAACAGACAAAAACCTCTGCCCTCATGATGCTTACATTCTAGTGGGAAGAAGCAGACAATAAACAAATAAGAGTGGTATATGGCATGTTAGATAGTGATAAATGACATTAAAAAAATGAAAGAGGACAGTAGAAAGCTATTAACCTTGTTATTACAAAAAAAATTCAAATGTCAGGATTTGCCTATTGATAATAAAGAAAGGGGAAAATGGGCTGGGCACAGTGGCTCGTGCCTGTAATCCCTGCACTGTGGGGGGGCTGAGGCAGGCGGATCACTTGAGGTCAGGAGCTCAAGACCAGCATGGCTAACAAATTGAAACCCCGTGTGTGGTGGCGCATGCCTGTAGTCCCAGCTACTTGGGAGGCTGAAGCAGGAGAATTGCTTGAACCCAGAAGGCAGATGCTGCTGTTGTTAGCTGAGATGGCACCACTGTTTCAGAGTCATCCAAATCTTAAAACAGTAAAAGATGAACTCCTGAAGGAATAAAGACCATAACTTATGAAAACTGTTACTTTAGGAATTTACAATTTTGGTAGATAGTTTTTGCCTACATTGTTTTTAAATAATAGTTTACCAGCAGTGCCCAACTTTTCTGGCACAAGAGACCTATTTTGTGAAAAACAATTTTTCCACAGACCAGGATGTAGTTTCAGGATGATTCAAGTGCATTACATTTAATGTGCACTTTATTTCTATTATTATTGCATCATAATATTCAATGAAATATAATAATTATACAACTCACCGTAACGTAGAATCAGTGGAAGGCTTGAGCTTGTTTTCCCGCAACTAGCCGGTTCCCATCTGGGGGTGATGGGAGACAGTGACACCCGAAGTGTGTTGCTTATGTCCAGTTTACTCCATAATCTAGTTTTGGTTGCTGTCACTGCAGAAAACCCTGCTTCACAAATATAGGATGCTGGAAATGGAAGCAGGCTTTTCAGTGCTTTTGTGGCAATCTCAGGATATTCCATCCAGAATGTATGGAGATTTGAAGTTGTCTCAAACATACAAGGCTGCCGTCACTTGCAATCTCAAGCAGTTGATCCTCTTCTAGTATCGACAAAGTCAATTCTTCTGGCTTATTCACAAATGGGTGGTGGATCCATTCCTTCCCAGCTCAGGGATTTTTTTGTGGTTGGCAAGTAAAGCTCAAACTCTTTTGAAAGCTGAGCTAGGTGATCATGCAGCAGCTGGGAGAAAGAAGGCGTTGGCTCAGTCACTTTCAAAATCTCTGCTAATGTTTGAAACATGTCAGAAATCCCAATGTTCACTCATCGCCCCCATAACTCCAGTTTGGTTTTCAATGCAGCCCCTTTATCTGCTGATTTGAACACAGTTGTCATTCTCCCCTGAAGTGACAGATTGAATTCACTGAGCAGGTTGAATGTGTCACACAAGTAAACAAGTTTTGCCACCCATTCTATGTCACTGAAATGTGCTGCTAGTGGTGACTGTTTTTGTAAAAGAAATCTCTGGAGTGGCTCTCATAACTCAAAAATTCTGGCCAGTTATCTACCTTTAGAAAGCCATCTCATTTCTTATACACATCTCACAGAGTTGCGCAAACAGACATTGAGTTAAGGGCATGCACTTTAATGTCATTGATAATTTTAATCACATCCTGTAAAACCTTAAGTTCGGGTGACAATTTTCGGCTACCCGGCATTTCTCTGTAGATGACACAGTGCATAGACTCACATTCAGAAGTGACCTCTTTGACCTGAGTAGTGAAACCAGAAAGCCATCCAGTCATATCAGCCACTCTGTCTGTGCATATACTGACACAAAATGACCAATTCCGTTTTTCTGATATGTAATCAAAGTCTTGAATAGTTCTGCACCTGTGGTGTTGGTTGGCAACAAAAGTGCACATAACATATTCCCCTGCACATCCTCCTGAAAAAGATATGGCACAAAAACAAGCATTGTTGTCTTGTCAACATCAGTAGACTCATTAACCTGGATTGCATACCATGGTGACTCATTAATCCTAACAATTGTGCCCCAATATCCTCTGTATTTCATCACTTTGTCTAGTTATGGTACTAGCCGAAAAAGGAACATGTGTCACCTTTTGAACTTCAGCCTCTCCTAAAAGTTCATGATAAATGTCCTTAGCAGCAGGCAGGAACAATTCTTCACCAACGGTAAAGGGCTTCTTAGCTTTAGCAATGCAGTTAGCCACTAAGAATGATGCTCTCAGTGCAGATACATTTGATGAAGTGGTGGCCTTCAATAATTGCTTCTGGTTTTTTGTTTGCTTGTTTTTGAGACAGGGTCTTTCTCTTTCACCCAGGCTGGAGTGCAGTGGTGCAATCTTGGCTCACTGCAACCTCTGCCTCCTGGGTTCAAGTGATTCTCATGCCTCAGCCTCCCGAGTAGCTGGGACTACAGGTGCGTACCACCACACCCAGCTAATTTTTGTATTTTCAGTAGAGACGGAGTTTCACCATATTGACCAGGCTGGTCTCAAACTCTTGGCCTCAAGCAATCCACCCACCTCAGCCTCCCAAAGTGCTGGGATTACAGGTGTGAGCCACCATGCCTGGCCAGTTGCTTCTGTTCTTTGTGTTCATTTGAAAAACTCAAAAGCCTTGTGTTTTAATGCAAGGTGCTAGGTTTCCATGTGGAGAAGCAGTTTTGAAGGTTTCATGGCTTTGTTGGATAGCCGGTTGCCACATGTTATACAAAGTGGGCTTGTAGAATGTTAATCACTTGTTGCAATGAGCCTGTAATTTAAGTAGGACTCTTGGTATTTTCTTTTAAATGCAGCTTTGTTTTTGATGGAAGTCTTAATGTCTTCTGATGTCTCATCATTCAGTCTGTCCCCCTTGACAAAGAAGCTCTCCAGTGACATTTGTTTTTTACTCATTTTGGCTAGGGTTAGCTTGTGGGCTTACCAAAACTATGACTGAGACAAGTGCATAGCATGGGAAAGAGGCACGGATGGAAGTGGTAAATAAAATAATGGGCAGGCCATGCTCAGACTAAAGTTAAGTGTCAGATTCTGACAGCCTGCCACCAGATGTAGCTGTACAATTGAAGTACATCAATTCACTTGCCACTATAAAGCCTACTGCCAGCCACGGCTTAATTGTCACTTGCCACTCACTGATAGGGTTTTGATATGAGTCTGCGACTTATTATGGTCTCTGTGCAGTCAGACCTCCCTGCTAATGTTAATCTGTATTTGCAGCCACTCCCCCACATTAGCATTACCACCTCAGCTCCACCTCAGATCATCAGGCATTAGATTCTCATAAGAAGTGCACAACCTAGATACCTCACATGTTCAGTTCACAATAGGGTTCATGCCCTATGAGAATCTAATCCCGCTGCTGCTGTGACAGTAGACGGAGCTCAGGTGGTAATGTGAGCCATGGGGAGCAGCTGTAAATACAAATGAAGCTTCACTCGCTCACCCACCGCTCACCTCCTGCTGTGCAGCCCAGTTCCTAACAGGCCATAGACTGATACCAGTCCATGGCCCAGGAGGTGGGAACCCCTGATCTATGCCACCTAAATGGGGATCCATTAGGGTTTTCATTTCTATTGGCTAATAAAGCTTCACAGAGGTAAATGTCAGGTCTAGACACCTTACATACAGTAGGGTATAGGGATGATCAGAGACAATACAAGAATGTTGTAGAGACATTAAGAAAGCCAGGATATATGCAGTATGACTGGAATGTTAAGTTTTTTTGTGTTTGTTTGTTTTTTTGAGACAAGAGTCTGACGCCCAGGCTGGAATGCAGTGGTGCAATCTCAGCTCAGTGCAATCTCCGCCTCCAGGGTTCAAGCGATTCTCCTGCCTCAGCCTCCTGAGTAGCTGGAATTACAGGCATGTGCCACCACTCTCAGCTAATTTTTGTATATTTATTAGAGACAGAGTTTCACCGTGTTGACCAGGCTGGTCTTGAACTCCTGACCTCAGGTGATCCATCTGCCTCTGGCTCCCAAAGTACTGGGATTACAGGCATGAGTCACCACACCAGGCCAGAATGTTAGATTCTTTTTGGAGATTAGATCAGTAAAGGTAGGGACAGTCAATAAAAGGAGTATTATGTAAACACTTAAATGATGCAGTCAATTTCCTACTCTACGTCATTAAGGAGGAAAAACTATTTTTTTCTACTTTGCCTTTTAGATCACTGCCTGAGTTTACTTTGTTTCTTTAACTCGCTTACAGGTGTCTAAGCCTTCCAAAATAAAACACTTAAAAATAAAACTGAAATTTAGACTGCCTTTGGCTTCCATCCCTCCTGCAAGCTTGATTACAAAAAGCTAATGGAATGTGATGGTTACACAAGTCATAGAACCACACACTAAAAAGAGTGTGTTTTAATATTAAATTATACGTAGACAGAGAAAGAATGAACTGAGAAAGAAAGGAAAGACTATGGCCAGCTATATTTCCAGAAAGCAGCAACTGTGATTTTTTAAAATTAGCTTTTTATTGGATCCATGTTTGTTTTACAGTTAGGATTCTGCTATGGACTAAATTGTGCACCCCTGGTCCCCACGCTCAAATTCATATATTCAAGCCATAACTCCCAGTACCTCCAAATGTAACCATAATTGAAGATAAGGTTTCGAAAGAGGTGATTACATTAAAATGATGTCATTAGGGTGGGGCCCTACTTCAATATGTCTGGTGTCATAAGAAAGACAACAGGAGCACAAGTGCATAAAGGGACGACCATCTGCAAGCCAAGGAGGAGAGGCCTCAGAAGAACCCCAGACTGCCAGCACTTCATCTTTGACCTCCAGCCTCCAGAACTAGGAGAAAATAAATTTCTATTGTTTAAGCCACTCATTCTGTAATAT
Organism: Homo sapiens; assembly: GCF_000001405.40. Classification (NCBI taxonomy): domain Eukaryota; kingdom Metazoa; phylum Chordata; class Mammalia; order Primates; family Hominidae; genus Homo; species Homo sapiens. The sequence goes on from NC_000005.10 coordinate 137,761,952, forward strand.
TTTGTTATGGCAGCACTAGCAAACTAGTACAGGTTCCATTTTTATTTATTCAAGGTGAACATTTCAAAAGGGCATTCTTTGCCACTTGTGGTGAAAGTATATTTTTTCTAGTGGACCCTAACAACTCATATCAAAAGCTTTTAAATTTGGCCCATTCTTTTGAACCAGCAATTACACTTCCAGAAATTTATCACAGCGAAATAATTCAGGACCTATACAAGGATTTAGCTATAAAGATATTTATTTTAATTTGTTTATACTAGAAAAAAAGTTGGAAATGACCTAATTGTCCCAAAATAGCTGTCTAATAAATAGAGAATCAATTAAGTGCTCCAGGTAAGAATACTATATTATGAAGTACTTAAATTGATATTACAGAGGAAAAAGTCATGACTTGCATTTAGATATAAATCTCATAACATCAAGATGATGTATAAAAAGTCACACTATTTATTTTATCAAATCAAATTAAGTCTGACTTAATTTGAACCCCATACTTGTCAGAATGGCAAAAATGTCAACATTACTGGGGTTCCTTCCACCTTTTTTCATGCAAAGGCACTTGCCTCTCTCTCTTTAATAAAATGCTTTTTGTGGAGAAAAAAAAAAAACCCAAGAGGAAGATTGTCTTTAAAAGGGTCTCTCCTGAGGTGAGAAAATGAACAGACCTATTCATTTTGTAGTGATGTTAATTGTACCTTGTTCTTCTCCTGTATATTCCCTTGCCTCAAGAGCAAAATCTAGGCTTTTAGAAGAGGGAATTGTATTTGTCTCCTCCAGATGGAAGGAAATGTTGAAGGAGGGCCAGGCGCAGTGGCTCACGCCTGTAATCCCAGTACTTTGGGAGGCCGAGGCGGGCAGATCACAAGGTCAAGAGATCGAGACCATCCTGGCTAACATGGTGAAACCCCGTCTCTACTGAAAAATACAAAAAATTAGCCAGTCGTGGGGCAGGCACCTGTAGTCCCAGCTACTCGGGAGGCTGAGGCAGGAGAATGGCGTGAACCCGGGAGGTGGAGCTTGCAGTGAGCCGAGGTCACGCCACTGCACTCCAGCCTGGGTGACAAAGTGAGACTCCGTCTCAAAAAACAAAAAAACGTTGAAGGAGGAGGGCTTAGTGTGAATAAAAGATAGCTTCCCAAGTCTAGAAGTGACAAGAAGCTTCTGAGTTTTCCCCACTGGAGGAAGCCAGTATACAGCCCCCACCACCCCCAACTCCACCCCATCCCCCACATCATTGATAACACTGAAGGCTAAACATTAATTATCTTGAAAGTAAGGTAACCACCTTGGTGTTGGAACCAGATCCACATTCCTAGACCCACGTAAACCTGGAACTTTTTATACACAACTCCAGTAATAACAGGGTTTGAATTACCAGCCAGATGGGTAGGAGGTTGAGGCAGATTATCAGAATTAGAGGACTAAACAAATTTAAACATTTCTCAGAATATCTGTTCCCTAAAACACACACCCCAGCACATACCCATGCACAGACTCATACACAGAATATGTACCTTCTAAATTAAAAGTATTTCGAGCTTTCTATTGTCATTTATTTATCATTTCATTTCATTCATTCATGGGCTAGGTGTTGTGAATAAAGAAAAGTCTCTGGCCTCTAGGAGCTCACAGTTTTGGGAGAAAGAGAAAATCAATTATAATACACTTGACAAGTAGTATAACAGAAGTTGTAAACACAGTGTGTTAGGATAGAAATGAAGAAACCCAGAGTTCAGTAAATTCTTCAAATAAAAGCTGACTTCAGAAGTACGTATAATAATTAAGCCTACAAGAAGGTACAGGAAACAGTGTGTGTACATGCTGTGTTTGGAATTGAAAAGTAACTATCAAAAATGTGATGGTATATGTTAGTTTCCTATTGCTGCTGTAACAAATTACCAGAAATTTAGTGGCTAAAAAAAACACACAAATATATTATCTTACAGTTCTGTAGGTCAGAATCAAGGTGTTGGTAGGGCTGTGTTTCTTTTTGGAGGCTCTAGGAGAGAATCTCATTCCCTGCCTTTTCCAGCTTCAAATGTCAGCCTCATATTCCTTGGCCTGTGGCCCATTTCCATATTCAAAGCCAACAATAAGCCAGTTGAGACCTTCTCACTTTGCATCACTCTGACACTAACTCTTCTGTCTCCCAGATAATCCTGGTGTAATGGACTGAATGTTTGTGCCCCCCCAAAATTAATATGTTGAAACCCTAATCCCATTGTGACAGTATTTGGAGGTGGGACCTTGGGGAGGTAATTAGGTCATAAAAGTGAAGCCCTCATGAATGGGATTAGTGCCCTTATAAGAAGAGCCCAGAGGGCTAGCTAGCTCTCTTTCTACCATGTGAGGATACAATGAATGAGAAGTAGGCAGACTGCAAGATGGGGCCCTCACCAGAACCCAACCATGCTGGCACTCTGATCTTGGAGTTGTAGCCTCCAGAACTGTGAGAAATAAATTTTTGTTGTTTATAAGCCATCCAGGATATGGTACTTGTTACAGCAGCCCAAACTAAGACACCAGAATAATCCCTTTATTATAAAGTCAGCTGATTAGCAACCTTAGTTCCTCTTTGTCATGTAACATAACACATTCTCAGGTCCCAAGGATTAAAATGTGGACATGTTTGCAAGACCATTATTCTGTCTACCTAAGGTGGGAACAAGAAAACTAGCATGATGAATAGAACAGTACCTCACATCTCAATACTAACACTGAATGTAAATAACCTAAATGCTCCACTTAAAAGATACAGAATGACAGAATGAATAAAAATCCACCAACCAAGTATCTACTGTCTTCAAGAGATTTGCCTGATACATAAGGACTCACATAAACTTGAGGTAAAGAGGTGGAAAAAGATATTCCATGCAAATGGACACGAAAAGCAAGCAGGAATAGCTATTCTTGTATAAATAAAACAGACTTTAAAGTAATAATAGTTAAAAAAGACAAAGAGGGACATTATATAATGATAAAAGGATTAGCCCAACAGGAAAATATCACAACCCTAAATATATATGCACCTAACACTGGAGCTCCCAAATTTATAAAACAATTACTATTAGACCTAAGAAATGAGATAGATGGCAACACCATAATAGTGGGGGACTTCAATACTCTGCTGACAGCACTAGACAGGTCATCAAGACAGAAAGTCAACATAGAAACAATGGATTTAAACTGTACCCTAGAAAAAATAGACTTAACAGATATTTACAGAACATTCTACCCAACAACCACAGAATATACACTATTTTCATCAGCACGTTGAACATTCTCCAAGATAGACCATGTGATAGGCCACAGAACAAGTCTTCATAAGTTTAAGAAAATCAAAATTATATCAAGTACTTTCGCAGACCAAAGTAAAATAAAATTGGATATTAACTCCAAAAGGAACCCTCGAAATTATACAAATACATGGAAATTGGAAAATAAGTAATCTGCTCCTGAATGACCTTTGGATCAACAATGAAATCAATATGGAAATTAGAAAATTATTTGAATGAACAATAATAGTGACACATCCAACCAAAACCTCTGAGATACAGCAAAAGCAGTGCTAAGAGGAAGGTTCACAGCACTAAATCCCAACATCAAAAAGTCTAAAAGATCACAAATAGACAATAAGGTCACACCTCAAGAAACTACAGAAACAAGAACAAACCAAACCCAAACCCAGCAAAAGGAAAGAAATAACAAAGATCAGAGCAGAACAAAATAAAATTGAAACAAAAAAATACAAAAGATAAATGAAACAAAAAGCTAGTTCTTTGAAAAGATAAACAAAATTGATAGATCATTAACAAGATTAACCAAGAAAAGAAAACAAAAGGTCCAAATAAGCGCAATTAGAAATCAAATGGGAGATATTACAACCAACGCCACAGAAATACAAAAGATCATTCAAGGCTACTAGGAACACCTTTATGCACAAAAACTAAAAAACCTAGAGGAGATGGATACATTCCTGGAAATATACAACCCTCCTAGATTAAACCAGGAGGAAATAGAACAGACCAATAACAAGTAGCGATATTGAAACAGTAATAAAAAAAATTGCCAACAAAAAAAAGTCCAGGAGCAGATGGATTCACACTGAATTCTATCAGACATTTAGAGAAGAATTGGTACCAATCTTACTGAAATTATTTCAAAAGATAAAGAGGGAATCCTCCCTAAATCATTCTATGAAGCCAGTATTACTCTAATACCAAAACCAAGAAAGGACATAAAAAAACAAAACTACAGACCAATATCCCTGATGAACATAGATGCAAAAATCCTCAACAAAATATTAGCTAACCAAATCCAACAGCATATCAAAAAGACAATACACCATGATCAAGTGGGTTTCATACCAGGGATGCAGGGTTACTTTAAAATATGCAAGTCAACAACTGTGATACGTAAACAGAATTGAAAACAAAAATCGGCCAGGCACAGTGGCTCATGCCTGTAATCCCAGCACTTTGAGAGGCCAAGGTGGGTGGATCACCTGAGGTCAGGAGTTCGAGACCAGCCCAGCCAACAGAACCCCGTCTCTACTAATAATACAAAAATTAGTCAGGTATGGTGGCACATGCCTGTAATCCCAGCTACTCAGGAAGCTGAGGCGGGAGAGTGGCTTGAACCTGGGAGGTAGAAGTTGCAGTAAGCCAAGATTGCACCACTTCATTACAGCCTGGGCAACAAAAGCGAAACTCCATAAAAAAAAAAAAATAGAAGGAAGGGAGGGAGGGAGAGACAGAGAGAGAGGGAGAGGGAGAGAGAGAGAAAGAGAAAGAAAGAGGAAAGAAAGGAAGAAGAAGGAGAAGAAGAAAGAAAAATAAAACAAAAATCATATGACCATCTCAATAGACACAGAATAACACTTGACAAAATTCAGCATCCCTTTATGATTAAAACCCTCAGTGTGATGATTATTGACTTTTTGTGTTACTCCATTGTAGTTAGAGAAGATGCTTGGTATATTTTCCATTTTTTTTTAATGTTTTAAGACTTGTTTTTGTGACCTAACATATGGTCTGTCCTTGAGAATAATCCATATGTTGATGAGAAGAATGTAAATTCTGCAGCCATTGGATGAAATGTTCCATAAATATTTCTTAGGTCCATTTGGTCTGTAGTGCAGATTAAGTCTGCATTCAAAAAAATTGAAATAATACCAAGCATCTTCTCTGACTACAGTGGAATAATACTAAAAGTCAATAACAAGAGGCATTTGGAAACTAGACAAACACATGGAAATTAAACAATATGCTCCTGAATGACCAGTGGTCAGTGAAGAAAGTTAGAAAAAAAAATTGAAAAATTTCTTGAAACAAATGATAATGGAAACACAATATACCAAAACCTATGGGTGACAGTGAAAGCAGTACTAAGAGGGAATTTTATGGCTACAAGTGTCTGTATTGAAGAAGAAGAAAAACTTCAAATAAATAACCTAACAATGTGTACCTCAATGTAATAAAACCCACATACAATAGACTAACAGCTAATATCATACCTAATGGGGAAAAACTGAAAATCTTTCCTCTAAGATCTGGAACACAACAAGGATGCTCACTACTATACTGAATACTGTTGCGGGAAGTCAGGGACCCCGAACGGAGGGACTGGCTGAAGCCATGGCAGAAGAACATAAATTGTGAAGATTTCATGGACATTTATTAGTTCCCCAAATTAATACTTTTATAATTTCTTACGCCTGTCCTTATGCAATCTCTGAACATAAATTGTGATGATTTCATGGACATTTATCACTTCCCCAATCAATACTCTCATGATTTCCTATGCCTGTCTTTACTTTAATCTCTTAATCCCGTCATCTTCGTAAACTGAGGATGTATGTCGCCTCAGGACCCTCTGACGACTGCATTAACTGCATAAATTGTTCGTAAAGCATGTGTGTTTAAACAATATGAAATCTGGGTACCTTGAAAAAAGAACAAGATAACAGCAATGTTCAGGGAACAAGGGAGATAACCATTAGGTCTGGCTGCCTGAGAGCCGGGTGGAACAGAGCCATATTTCTCTTCTTTCAAAAGCGAATAGGAGAAATATCACTGAATTCTTTTTCTCAGCAAGGAACAGCCCTGAGAAAGAGAATGTGTTCCTAGGGGGAGGTCTCTGAAATGGCCACTCGGGGAATGTCTGGCTTATACAGTTGTAGATAAGGGATGAAATAAGCCCCAGTCTCCCATAGCACTCCCAGGCCTATTAGGATGAGGAAATTCCCGCCTAATAAATTTTGGTCAGACTGGTTGTCTGCTCTCAAACCCTGTCTCCTGATGTTATCAATGACAATGCTTGCCCAGTGGGACATGAAACTTCATTAGCATTTTTAATTTTGCCCTGGTCCTGTGATCTCGCCCTGCCTCCATTTGCCTTTTGATATTTTATTACCTTGTGAAGCATGTGATCTCTGTGACCTACACCCTATTCGTACACTCCCTTCCCTTTGAAAATCACTAATAAAAAGTTGCTGGTTTTGCAGCTTGGGGACATCACGGAACCTGCCAACATGTGATGTCTTCCCCGGATACCCAGCTTTAAAATTTCTCTTTTGTACTCTTTCCCTTTATTTCCCAGACCAGCTGACACTTAGGGAAATAGAAAAGAATGTACATGAAATAATGTTGAATTATCGGGGGCGGGTTCCCCCAATAGAATACTATACTGTTGAATACTATATTGTTATTCAATATAGTACTGGAAGTCCTAACTAGAGAGATCAGACAAAAGAAAGAAATAAAGGGCATCTAAATTGTAAACGAAGAAGTCAGATTATCCTTGTTTGCAGATGACATGATCTTATATTTGGAAAAATCTAAAGACTCCACCAAAAAAGCTGTTAGAACTGATAAAATAATTCAGTAAAGTTGCAGGATACAAAATCAAAATAAAAAAATCAGTAGCATTTCTATATGCCAACAGCAAACAATCTGAAAAAGGAATCAATAAAGTTATCCCATTTATAATAGCTACAAATAAAATTAAATACCTAGGAATTAACCAAAGAAGTGAAAGATCTCTGCAATGAATACTATAAAACAATGATGCAAGAAATTGAAGAGGACACACACAAAAAATGGAAAGACAGTCCATGTTCATGGATTGGATGAATCAATATTTTTAAAATATCCATACTACCCAAAGCAATCTATACAGTCAATGCAATTCCTATCAAAATACAATGACATTCCTCACAGAAACAGGAAATACAAACCTAAAATTTAAATGGAACCACAAAAAAACCAGAATAGCCAAAACTATTCTCAGCAAAAAGAACAAAACTGGAGGAATTGCATTACCTGACTTCAAATTATACTACAGAGTCAAAGTAACCAAAACAGCATGGTACTGGCATAAAAACAGACACATAGACCAATGGAGCAGAAAAAAGAAGCCAAAAACAAATCCATACATCTACAGTGAATTCATTGCGACAAAGATACCAGGAACACACAGTGGGGAAAGGACAGAGTATTCAACAAATGGTGCTGGGAAAACTGGATATCCATATGCAGTTTTCTAGAATGAAACTAGACCCTATCTCTCACCATATACAAAAATCAAATCAAAATGGATTAAAGATTTAAATCTAAGACTTCAAACTATGAAACTACTGAAAGAAAACATTGTGAAAACCCTCCAGGACATTGAAGTGGGCAAAGATTTCTTGAGTAATACCCCACAAGCAGAGGTGAACAAAGTGAAAATGGTCAAATGGAATCACATCAAGTTAAAAAGCTTCTGCACAGCAAGGGAAACAATCAACAAAGTGAAGAGACAACACAGAGAATGGGAAAAAATATTTACAAACTACTCATCTGACAAGAGATTAATAACTAGAATATATAAGGAGATCAAACAGCTCTATACGAAAAAATCTAATAATCCAATTAATAAATGGACAAAAGATCTGAATAGACATTTCTCAAAAGAAGACATAAAAATGACAAACAGGTATATGAAAAGGTGCTCAACATCTGTGATCATCAGAGAATGCAAATCAAAACTACAATGAGATAACTCACCCCATTTAAGATGGCTTTTATCCAAAAGATAGGCAATAACAAATGTTGGCAAGGATGTGGAGTAAAGGGAACCCTCGTACACTGTGGGTAGAAATGTAAATTAGTACGACCACTATGGAGGTTCTTCAAAAAACTAAAAATAAAGCTACTATACGATCCAGCAATATCACTATTAGGTATAAACCGAAAGAAAGAAAATCAGTATATCAAAGAGACATCTGGACTATCATGTTTATTACAGCACTCTCCACAATAGCCAAGACGTGGAAGCAACCTAAGTGTCCATCGACCGATGAATGGATATAGAAAATTCATCCTTAAAAAAGAATGAGATCCTGTCATTTGCAATAACATGGATCGAACTGGAGGTCATTATGTTAAGTGAAATAAGCCAGACATAGAAAGACAAACTTTGGATGTTCTCACTTATTTGTAGGAGCTAAAAATTAAAACATTTGAATTCATGGAGATAGAGAGTAAACGAATGGTTACCAGAGCCTGAGAAAGGTACTGGCGGGGAGGCAGTAAAGATGGCTAAAGGGGCCGGGCATGGTGGCTCATGCCTGTAATCCCAGCACTTTGGGAAGCCAAGGAGGGCAGATCGCCTGAGGTCAGTAATTCGAGACCAACCTGACCAACATGGTGAAACCCATCTGTACTAAAAATACAAAAATTATCTGGGTGTGGTGGCAGGTGCCTGTAATCCCAGCTGCTTGGGAGGCTGAGGCATGAGAATTGCTTCAACCCGGGAGGCAGGGGTTGCAAGCAGTTAAGCAAGTCTGGAGCCGAGATTGCACCACTGCACTCCAGCCTGCACAAACAGAGCAAGACTCTGTCTAAAAAATAAATAAGATGGCTAATGGGTACAAAAAGAGTTAGAATAAGTAAAAGCTAGTATTTGATAGCATAACAGGGTGACTATAGTCAGTAATAATTTAATTATACATTTTAAAATAACTAAAAAAGTGTAATTGGATTGTTTCTAACACAATGGATAAATGCTTGAGGTGACAGACACCCCATTTACCCTGAGGTGATTATTATCCATTGCATGCTTGTATCAATATATCTCATGTATCCCACAAATATATACACCTATGTACCCATAAAAAATAAAAATTAAAAAAAAATCAGCAGAGATTTAAAAAAGAACATTGAACAACACAGGGTATTAACAGAAAAATCTACACACACACCTCCATACACATACACACACGCGCGCACACACACACACACACAAGATAAGGCAAATATGGCAAAGTATATATAATTATTGACTCTAGGAGGAAGGCATATGGGTACTCATTGTATTTACCTTTTAACTTTTGTATGTTTGAAAATCTTCATAACAAAGAAACACATTATATAGCACTGTCAGAAAATATGCCATAATGGTTCAGGGATTCTATCCAGGTGGTAGATTTATGGATGACTGTTGTTGCAAATTTTCTTCTTTTACTTTGATGCATTTTCTATAATGGACATATATTATTTTTATTATCAACAATTAAAGCCATATTCTATTGAGCATTAAACAATTGTCCTATCACATGTATCTACTGTAATGTGTCCTTTTTGCTAAATTACTTGATAGTATAATAGACACAACAGAGGCCAGCCACCTTTTCTATCACTCTTCACATTTCTGAGTTCTCCCTCTTAGAGGCACAAGTTTAGGGCAATTTGTGTTTGAACTCTGAGGTCAGGAAGCATCTTGGGAAAAGTTTCTAGACAAATGGTTGCTTTACTAGTTAGGGTACACCCTCACTAATGTTGTGCTATCAGTTTTAGAGCCATAAAACTGAATTATCAGTGTGACCCCCTAGATCAGTGAATGGCACCACTATCCAGCTGAGGTTGCTAGATGTCTTTTCCCTTGACAACCACCCCACCACCAATTCCACTTTCCAGACATGCTTAACTGATTGCAATTCTCCTAAAAGACATGCTCTCTGAGCTCCAGGCCTTTGCACATATGGTGCCCTTTGTCTAAATTAATGTTCCACAGCCTTTTTAATGTCATGGTGCACACAGAAAAAAAATTTATATAATACACAGGTGTAAAGTGGAAAGAATGTGGTGTTATCTGCAAGGGCCTTGCTAAAAAAAATTCAATACGGAAGATATTTAATATTTAAGATAACAAATATTATTTATATTTAAGATATTTAGATGTACTTAAAATATTTAATAAGATATTTTAATGAAAACCTTTAGCTTACTAATTTAAAAATTGTTTTTTCTTTGTAATTTGAAATAATTCCAAACTTACAATAGAGTTGCAACAATAATAATGCAAATAACATTTTTCCTGAAACAGTAAAGAGTAAATTGCCAACATGATGCCCCAGTACCCACCACTAAGACTTTAGTGTATAATTGCTGTGAACAAGGACATTCTCCTATGTAACCACAATATAACCATCACAATTAGGAAATTAACATTGATCCATCACTACCAACTAACCCACAATCCCCATTCAAGTTTTGACAATTGTCCGAATAATGTGAATGGATCTAGTCCAGAATCACACTCTGCTTTTGGTTGTTATGCCTCTTAAGTCTCCTTGACTTTGACTCTCTTGAAGACTTTGACTCTCTTGAAGACTTTGACTCTCTTGAAGACTTTGACTCTTTGACTCCTGACTCTTTTGAAGATTGCAGACTTATAGACTAGTTACTTTGCATAATGTACCTCAATTTGAATTTGTCTAATATTTCCTCATAATTAGACTAAGATTACATATTTTGACAGGAACGTCACAGAAGTGATAAGGCAACCTATCAGGTAGTAAATGATTTATTTTTGTCCCATTACTGTTAATTTTAATCACTCAATTAAGGCAGTGTCTGCCAGATTTTCCACTCTGAAGTTGCTTTTCTTCCGATTTGTAAGTACTAAATTTGTGTGGAGGTATTTTGAAACTACATAATATCCCTTTCCTTAGCAAACTTCCATCCACTAATTTTTAATATTCATGATGATTCTTGGCTGAATCTATGATCATTTATAAATCTATGATCATTTATAAATGGTGATTTTCCTACTCAAGCATTACATCTACACTTACTAGATCTCTTCTCCCCAATTATTTATTCATTTATTTATATTCACATGGACTTATGAATTCTTGTTTTTATTCCATGGATTGTAATCTTCTACTACTATTATTTACTTTGGTACCCAAAGTATGTCAGATTTGGCCACTGGGAATTCATTCAAACTGACTTCTGTGTTCTTTTGACATGTCCCCATAATTCTTTGAGCACGTTTTACTTTCTGGCCTGACAAGATATTTTAGGCTCATCTTGGACTTTTCCTGCCCTATCCTGGAATCAGCGATTTCAAGAAATCTTGTTTCCTTTTAGTGGAGAATGGTACTTAGAAATCAAGATATTGGCACTAGATATGGCACATTGCTGTTGGGGGGTTGCTGCCCGAAGACAGAGCTAGGGGATATATGTATATATACATACCCATGGCACATTATGTATACACATACATTAATGTATGTAATTCACACATTTACATCTATATTTATTTCTACATCAATCTATCTAACCATGAGTTCACACCAGTACCTCAACTCCAATCCAATACCACAAAGTTTATTCCAGTTTTTTTTTCTTTTGCATATTTATAACTCTCTGAAAGTGGAAAACTTGGCTCCCATTTTCCTCAATATATTTACTTATTGGCTCAATCTTGCCTATGTATAATCAATTTCCCTTCCTGCTGCCACCCCTTCACGAAGATGGCCTACTTGCCCTGCTCAGACTCTCATACACTGCGCTGGCCCATCACTGCTGTCACAGGCCTCTCCTATGTAGGTGCCTTCCCCACCTTACTGGGCCTCAATGCCCCATGCCAGGCCACCACCATCCCTCTGCAGAGATTCCCTCTCTGCCCCAATCAAGCTCTGACACATGGTGCCAAGCCAGCAAGTATCTTCCTCACCCCACTTAGGCTCTAACATTTATCACTGAGCTATGAAATCCACCCCAAAATCTAGGTGCCTTCCTCACCTCATTCAAGCCCTAACACCCTGTGCCAGGTTTCTGCTGTCACCACCCTCCTAGGTAGAAAACCTCCTCACCTCTCTCAAGTTCCAACCACCACATGGGCTGTTACAACCCTCCCCCTCACAGACCCGTTCCCACTCCACATGGGTTCTGATACCCCATGCCAGGCTGCCCCCAGCACCATCCAATGCATACGTCTATCTTGCTCAGCCCTACCTAATGGGTTTTTGATTGAATTATTTAGAAAAAAGGAAAGTAGGAAAGAAAAGAAGGGAAAAGAAAGAAAAGAACACGTTTTATACTTGAAATGGCCACACACAATTCCTGATCAAGACTTTTTAATGATAGTCTTTTCCACTTTTTAATTCACCATCCACAAGAAGCTTTATTCATGATAAGTGGTTGAAAATTTAAGTTTTTATAACCATTTTAAAACGAGCCACAACTGAAGTTTCATTTAAAGAATCTAATACCTCTTCCTTTCCTTTCATTGGAAAATGAAAGCATTTCCAATGATGTGATGTCTTAAAATTTAAAAGATGACTGGCTGCTATATGAATTCTGGACTGTAGAATAGAGAGCAGGGGAATCAGTAGGAGTCTACCACGGCAGTTCAAGGAGGAGATAATGATGGCTGGGACTAGGCTGGTAGTAGAAAACAGAAAAAGAAGTGAATGAATTCAAATACACTGGAGGCCGGGTGTGGTGGCTCATACCTGTAATCCCAGCACTTTGGGAGGCCAAGGCAGGCGGATCACATGAGGTCAGGAGTTCGAGACCAGCCTGGCTGGCCAACATGGTGAAACAAAAATACAAAAATTAGCCAGGTGTGGTGGCACGTGCCTGTAGTCCCAGCTACTCAGGAGGCTAAAGCAGGAATCACTTGAACCCAGGACATGGAGGTTGCAGTGAGCCAAGATCACACGACTGCACTCCAGCCTGGGTGACAGAGTGAAACTCTGAAAGACATTAGGGTAGCAGGGTCAAAAGATATTTCCTGATGGACTTGATATAGGGCATAAGAGAAAAAGTAATCGAGAATGGCTCACAGGCTTCTCACTTGTGCAACTGAGTATATAGCAATTCCATTTACCAAAATTTGGAAGACGGAGAGGAGGCAGGTCCGTGGTTGAAAACCATGAATTCTGTTTTGGATATGTTAAATCTGAAATCCCTACTAGACGATCTAGGTAGAGTTGTTAAGTAAACAGATGGATATCAGGGTTCGGGCTAAAAATACGAATTTGGAAGTAATTTTCATGTAGTATTTAAAGACACGAGATAAGATCACATAGTAAGAGTGTGTAGATAGAAAGATGTTTCCAGACAGAATCCTGGGGCACTCCGACATTTAGAAGTTTGGTGGAAGAAAATAAGAATGAGGAGGAGAAAGAAGAGGAAGATGAGGTAAATATACAGATAAGAGTGAGAAAAAGCAGCCAGTGAGGTAGGAGAAAAACCAGGCAAATGTAACATTTTGGAAGCCAAGGCAAGAAAGTATTTCAGTAATGAGGGAGAGGATGGCCATAATAAAAAAGGTAGACAGTAACAAGTGTTAGTGAAGATGTGGGGAAACTGGAACACTCATACATTGCTTGGTGAAAATGTAAAAATGGTATGGCCACTTGGGGTTTTTGTTTTTTTGTTTTTACTTTTTCCACTTTTATTTTAGGTTCAAGGTGTAGATGCAGGTTTGTTACATGGGTAAACTGCCTGTCACTGAGGTAGAGTGTACAAATAATTTCATCACCCAGCTAAGTGAGCACAGTACCAGATAGCTGGTTTTCAACCCTCACCCTCCTTCCACTCTCCTCACTCAAGTAGGCCCCATCTTTGTGTTCATTCATACCTAAAGTTTAGGTCCCACTTGTAAGGGAGAACATACACTATTTGGTTTTCTGTATCTGCCTAATTTGCTTAGGATAATGGCCTACAGCTGCATCCATGTTGTTGCAAAGGACATGATTTTGTTCTTTTTTTTACGGCTGCGTAGTATTTCATGGTGTATATACACCACATTTTCTTTATCCAGTCCACCACTGATGGGCATCTAGGTCGATTCCATGTCTTTGCTATTGTGAATAGTTGTGCGGCCACTGTGGAAAAGTTTGGTAGTTCCTCAAACATTCAGTTACCATATGAGCTAGCAACCTCACTCCTAGATATATAGCCAAGAAAAATGAAAACACATGTTCCCACACAAATATGTAAGCAAATGTTCATAGCAACATTATTCATAATAGCCAAAAAGTGGAAATAACCCAAATGCCTATCAACTAATAGATATGGAATATCATTTGGCAATAAAAAGGAATAAAGTATTAATACATGGTACAGCATGGGTGAACCTTGAATACATCATGCTAACTGAAAGAAGCTAGTCACAAAAGATCACATATTGTATGATTCCATTTACATGTAATGTCCAGAATAGGCAAATCAATGGAAACAGAAAGTAGATTAATGGTTTCATGGGGCTAGGGGAAGAAAAGGAGGGAGAAATGAGGAGTGATGGTTAATGGGCACAGAGTTCCACTTAGGGAGGACAAAAATGTTCTAAAATTAGATTGTAGTGATGGTTGCACAATCCTGTGAATAAACTAAAAACATTGAACTATACAGTTTAAACAGGTGAATTGTATGGTATGTAAATTATCTCAATAAAGCTGTTTAAAAAAAATAAGGGAAGGATCACCTAGAACACATACTGCTGAGAGATGAGCTGATTAGAATAGAGACCACTAGATTGGGTAGCATAGAGGTCATTAGTGACCTTGACAAACAAATGTTTAGTGCAGTGATGGAGAAAGGTAATTAGGGTAGGCTAAGAGGGAATGAGAACTGAGGAAGTGGAATCAAAGTTCTGTTATAATTGCAGAGAAATGGGGTACTGATTACAGAGGCATAAGGAATAAATAGTTTGTTTTTCTAAGATGGGATGAGAATGAATCAATACAGATGGATAAATTGATAACGCTAGAGAGAAAATGTTTTTGTTACTTCTCTGTTTTCCCCACTAAATGATAACTTGTGGGGAAACAAACTTTATTTAATGTTTGTTGTTATTTGTCCCCACTAAATTATTAATCTTTCCATGTAAGGGACCATGAATAACCCTGTATGTGATAGGCATTCAATCAATATTTGTAAAATAATCACAAACTCCTGCATTTAGGCAAGGAAAAATGGAGGGAAAATGTGAAAAAGGCAGCTACGTAACCTAGAAAAAAAGGAGGGTAAAATAATAGGGTAGTTGGGCCTTGATGGTCACAATATAACCTGGAAAGAAGAAATATTAAATTTGCCAAAGAAACCCGTTTATTATGTCTCTACCTCAAGTTCCCTAAGTTTGCCACTAGCCCAAACTCAAGCTAGCTCTGCACTTCTCCCAGTGGAGGTTCCAGACTCATCAACACAAGGTGGAGCTTTGTATCAGTTTTCTGTCATTGCCATAACAAATCATCACAAAAATGGTAAATTAAAACAAGATTATTTATTATTTTACAGTTCTATAGGTCAGAAGTCTGACACAGGCTTCAGTGGGTAAAAATTAAAATTTCAGCAGGGCTGCATTCCCTTCTGAAGGCTCTCGGGGAGAATCTGTGTCTTTCTAGAGGCCACCCACCTTCCTTGGCTCATGGCCCCCTTTCTCGATCTTCAAAGTCAACAATGGTTCCTTTCATACTTCAGATTTCTTTTGCTTTTCTTCCATGCGTCTCTGTCTGTCTCTCTCTCTCTCTTCTTTTCCCCCTCCCCCTCCTTTCCTCCTTCTATCCCTCCCTTCTTCCATCCCTCTCTCCTCCTGCCATCCTTCTCTCCCCACCCCCAACCCCCCTCTACAACCAGGAGAGAGATTATATGTTTATATTGTCCCCACTCAGATAATCCCAAATATTCTCTCCATTCAAGGTCCCTAACCTTAATCACATCTACAAAGTACTTTTTGCCATGTAAGGTAACATATTCATAGGTTCTGGAGATTAGGACACCAACATCTTTGAGAGCTAAAGAAGACCACACATTCGTAAAAGGTCATAAAATCAACACTGATTTAAGTAAAAGAAGTGCTGAGGGATGAATTTTTTTTTTTTTTTTTTGAAACAGAGTCTCCCTCTGTTCTCCAGGTTAGAGTGCAGTGGTACGATCTCGGCACTGCAAGCTCCGCCTCCCGGGTTCACGCCATTCTCCTGCCTCAGCCTCCCAAGTAGCTGGGACTACAGGCGCACACCATCACACCTGGCTAATTTTTTGTATTTTTAGTAAAGACGGGGTTTCACCATGTTAGCCAAGATGGTCTCGATCTCCTGACCTCATGATCCGCCTGCCTGGCCCTCCCAAAGTGCCGAAGGACGATTTTAACTTTGATGACTCAGCTTACTTAGCCCTATATATAAGGTTAGAAATGCCAGATGGGGCTGGGCATGGTGGCTCACCCCTGTAATCCCAGCACTTTGGGAGGCCGAGGTGGGCAGATCACCTGAGGTCAGGAGTTCGAGACCAGCCTGGTCAACATGGTGAAACCCTGTCTCTACCAAAAAAAAAAAAATTAGCCAGTCGTGGTGTTGTGCGCCTCTAATCCCAGCTACTCGGGCAGCTGAGGCATGAGAATCACTTGAACCCTGGAGGCAGAGGTTGCAGTGAGCCAAGGTCGCACTGCTGCACTCCAGCCTGGACAACAAAGCGAGACTCTATCAAAAAAAAAAAAGAAAAGAAATACCAGATGGTAAGGCAGGGCAATGAAGGTAAGAGAAGAGTGAGTAAAGAATAAAGAAAATACCACAATTTCTGTGCCCTAAAACTACTGCTGTGATTTGATGGTTTCAAAGTTTGGATTCACAAACACACACAACCATATGTTGCTTCTCTTCATCAAGTTACATATTTTAAAATAGCTCGAATTTCTATTGGAGAGTACAAAATGTGGGAAGGTGAAAGGGGGGTGAGGGTTGAAAAATTACCTGTTTGGTACAATGTTTACTATGCCGGTGATGGGTGCACTAAATGCCTGGATTTCACCACTATGCAATATGTGCATATTTAAAAATCTGCACTTGTCCCCCCTAAATAAATAAATAAATTATAATAAAAAGCTCAAATTCCCTCTTTTCCTTCCAAATGCAGTGTTCCATTCATCTGCCACCAGATGGCAGAGAAGAGCAGAGAATAAATTCCTAAATATCAAAAGAAAGACTGACACCTGGAGAAGTCCAGCCCTCTTGAAGGAAGGCAAACCTAAATCTTTTAAAATAGAAAAGCATCTTATTTTTAAAGGCTTCCAGAGACATCAAGTTCACAATTTTCCCCTAACTTACTGTTGGGAAACCTGTTAAAAATATACTTCACTAAAGCACAGCCTAATGGAGCTCAGAATTGTTAGGCAAATTCATAAATCCAGAAAGAGCTAAGAATCACTTTAGCTCAAAAAGGTACAAAAAATGGTTTTAAAAAGAAAACTTGCTGCCCTAGTTCCAAGAGGAAACTTAATGGCTGTCCCTCAAGCACCTCAAATTCAACCTGTCCCAAACATAACTCAGTATCTTCCTTCCACACTTTCTCTTTTTCCTGTTCCCAAATCAATTATGAATAGTATCCCCACTTGGTTGCTAAATCCAGAAAACCTAACATCCTCCTTGTTGTGTCCCTAATTCTCAACTTGTAAAGAATGAGTATTTTATCATCTCTTTTCCTTCATCTATTGGTTTTGAAATAATATACTGTTTTTATTCTTTTAGTAGTTATATTAGGAATTACCACATGCATATTTATCAAAACTGAAATTACTAAACATCTTTATCCTGATCCTAGATGACGCGAGGATCATTTAAAATCCATTTATCCCCCTCTTGGATTATATTGTTGTTGTGCTGTGCATTTTAATTTTTTACACCTACCAGGACATTATTGTCACTGTTTTATACAATAGGTCTTTGTTTAGGTTTGCCCATATGTTTTCCACTTTCTCTGCTCTTCTTTCCTTCTTGGATCTCAGGTCTTGCCTCTGGGATCACTTTCCTTCTGTCTGAAGTATGCATCCTTTAGAATTTCCTGTAATGAGCTAGAGATGAATTCTCTCAGCTTTTGTTTTTCTGAAAAATGTCTCTTTTGCCCTCATTCTTGAAAGATACTTTTTGTTTAGTATAAGTTCTAGATTGGCAGCTATTTTGTCAGCCCTTTTAAGGTACCAGTCCATGTCACCTGGCTTCTATTTTTGCTGTTAAGCAGCCAAGTGATAGTACAACTGTTGCTCTTTTGAAAGTAATCTACTTTTACCCTCTGGTGTTTCTAATATTTTTCTCTTTGCCTGTTATTTGCTGCAGTTTCTAGAATGTATCTTGGATAGATTTCTTCTTATTTATCCTATTTGGGGTTATTGGGCTTCTTTAATTCATTCTGAAATATTTGCAACCATTTCATCTTCAAATACTGCCTCTGCCCCATTCTTGCTCTCCTTTCCTTATGTAACTCCAACTAAATGAATGATAAATTCTCTTAGTTTTTCCTTCATATATCTAATTTCTCTTCCATAGTTTCCATCCTTTTGTCTCTTTTCAAAGCATTCTGGATAATATCTTCTGAGCTATCCTCTAGTTCTCTAATTCTCCCTTTAGCTCTGCTCAATTTTCTGTCAGATTCTGTACCCTCTCACATACAAATATACTTACCTCCTCCCCAAGGAAAAAAACTTTTAAAGTTCCATAAAGTCACTGACTTGAGCTCTAAGTCGAAGATCTAATACCTTAATCTCTACATCAGGTCCAGATGAGGTTGATTTTCACCTAGACACCTATGAATTTATAACAACAGTTATTTGTTCCACCCACCCCAATACATATACAATATACAATAGTGAAACAGGGTCAGAATAATTCCAATAAACCCTCCCATTTGGAAAAGAGAAGGATGGAAAATGCAATTCTAAAATCTCACTGGGCAGATGATTACAAGGAGTTCCTACTCTGGGGAGGGGGAATATTTCTTGAATAGCCCTTGATTTCGCTAATACTAATGGGCTCCTCAACCCATTGTTCACCCTGGCCCTTGGTCTTCTCTCTGGCAGGATGTCATTCCTTTTCAATTATCCTCCTTGGTCGTGCTGAAGAAGGCACTGGAAAATATGTCTTTCTTAGGAACTGAGCAGCTTTCTTTTTATGCTTCCTTCCTATAGAAATTGGGGGCCAACAGTCATAGACGATTTTAGTCCAGGCTGTGGTATTTTTGAAGTAAAGTTCTTTTTCAAAAACATACTTGACTTTTTATTTATTTTGGTTTAGTCCGCTGCCTGTAGTAATAGCCATACCTACAATTCTTTTGAAAACAATTCTCCCTCATTTAAGTTAGTTCAGATACTTAAACCTATCAGGTTTGATAGCATTCTTATTTTCTTTTACTTGACCATTTTGTCAAGCTAAAAGGACTTAATAAACACTACTTTAACTCATCCAGAGGTTTTTAACAATGACTGTATGGTCACATCCTCAAGGGATCCTTGCTTAAGCAGCTAAGCATTTTTAATCAGACTTTAATATTCAAAGGCCTTCTCAGTTTTCTCTTTTACCATCTGGAAATGAGAATCACTTGTATCTTCCAAACCTGCAAGTACTGAATTTCTGTGCTCTCTTAATTTCCTTTCAAATTAAATAATTAAATTCCTTTTCTACTTGCAAATAAGCCAATTCTTTTTTGAGCTCATCTCTTTATTGCTGTAAATTACCAAATGAAGCCAATAGTAACTAATTCACCCTACAAGCATTCAGTTTTTCCCAAAAATCTTCCCAAAAGGAAAACTATAGGCCCAGACTCTACCAGCAAGTTCTATGAACATTCAAGGGAGAAATGAGACCAATAATACAAACCCTTTCAGAAAACAGAAAAAGGGAGTATTTTCTCTAACTCGTTCGATGATGCTATCATAACTCTGATATCAAAATCCACTAAGGAGGCCCGGTGTGGTGGCTCACACCAGTAATCCCAGCACTTTGGGAGTCACTTGGGGCCAGGGTTCGAGATCAGCCTGGCCAACATGGCGAGACCCTGTCTCTACTAAAAATACAAAAATTAGCCAGGCATGGTAAGGCACACCTGTAATCCCAGCTACTCACGAGGCTGAGGCAGGAGAATAACTTGAATTCAGAAGGCAGAGGTTGCAGTAAGCCGAGATCACACCACTGCACTCCAGCCTGGGTGACAGAGCAAGACTCCATCTCAAAAAAAAAAAAAAAAAACTCCACTAAGGACAGTAAGAAAAAGGGAACTTACAGGTAAGCTGACTAAAAATCATAAATGCAAATTTCCTAAACAAAATATTAGCACACAGAAAATAGCAATATAGAAAAAGGATAAAAAGGGATAATATTTAAAAAGGATAAAACATGGGTTTGTCTAAATAATACAAAGTTGATTTAGGAGAAGAAAATCAATTAATACTGTTACCTACAATAACAGAATAGAAGAAGAAACATGAACAACCTAATAATGATTGAAAGTGTATTTGATAAAAACAAATATTCAATATTTTTTAAAGACTCTTAATGAACTGGGAAAAAAAAGATAATTTTCTTAGTCTGAAACACTATAAATAAATATTCATGCACAATGCCTGACAACAGGAACTATCACAAAAGACTCTGAAAAAACCACAACCTTGCACAAAGGCCATCAAAATCTTATACAAACAAAAATACTTCTGTGAGGACATTAAGTGTAATATTTACTACAAGTACAGTGAGATGTTTAAAGCTTTGCCTTTAAATAATGCCTGTTAACACCACTTTTATTTAACAGTGTACTAGAGGGCCTAGCCAGCCTAGTAAGGCAAGTATATGAAAAAAAAACAAAACAAGAATAGGAATTGGAAAGAGAAACAAAACTATCATTATTTGTAGATGATAGGATCACGAATGTGAAAAATTTAAGAGTATCTAAGGATAAATTACTAAATTACTGAGACATTTTAGCAAGATGACACAAATTTGCAAAATCAGTTGTATTTCTACACATTAGAATCAAAAAATAAAAAAACTCAAAAATACCAACTATGCTAGCATAACATACATGAAGTACCCAAGAACTGTGAAAGTTGTCAGAATCAAATGAAGTCACATGTGTTAAAGCCTCTGTCAAGAGCCAGGGAAGCCCATGAAAAGAGGGTTCTCACGCACAGTGCCTGATAACAAGAACTATTACAAAAGACCCTGAAAAAAACCACAACTTTGCACAAAGGCCATCACAAACTTATACACAAAAAAATACTTTTGTGAGGACATCTGCCCAGCAACTGCCTGTGCAACCTTTGACTAGTACCACTCTTGTTATTGATCCTTGTAGCCAAGAACAATTGTCTCAGGCAGCTCAGCAAGGCCACTGTGGCCCGACTGCCAGATTTCTCCTCTCTGAGCAGGGCATCTCTGAAAAAAAGGCAGCATCCCAAGTCAGGGACTTATAGATAAAACCAGCGTCTCCCTGGGACAGAGCACCTGGGGGAAGAGGTGGCTGTGGGCGCAGCCTCAGCAAACTTAAACATCCCTGCCTGATGGCTCTGAAGAGAGCAGCAGACCTCCCAGCACAGCGTTCGAGCTCTGCTAAGGGTCAGACTGCCTCCTCAAGTGGGTCCCTGACACCCGTGTATCCTGACTGGGAGATACCTCCCAGTAGGAGCTGACAGACACCTCATACAGGAGAGCTCTGGCTGGCAACTGGCAGGTGCCCCTCTGGGACGAAGCTTCCAGAGGAAAGAACAGGCAGCAATCTTTGCTGTTCTGCAGCCTCTGCTGGTGATAGCCAGGCAAACAAGGTCTGGAGTGGACTTCCAGCAAACTCTAGCAGAACTGCAACAGAGGGGCCTGACTGTTAGAAGAAAAATTAACAAACGGAAAGGAAGAGCACGTCCACTCAGAGACCCCATCCAAAGGTCACCAACATCAAAGACCAAAGTTAGATAAATCCACAAAGATGGGGAAAAAACAGCACAAAAAGGCTGAAAATTCCAAAAACCAGAACAACTCTTTTCCTCCAAAGGATCACAACTCCTCACCAGCAAGGGAAGAAAACTGGACAGAGAAAAGAGTTCGACGAATTCACAGAAGTAGGCTTCAGAAAGTGGGTAATAACAAACTCCTCTGAGCTAAAGGAGCATGTTCTAACCCAGTGCAAGGAAGCTAAGAACCTTGAAAAAAGGTTAGAGGAATTGCTAACTAGAATAAACAGCTTAGAGAAGAACATAAATTACCTGACGTAGCTGAAAAACACAGCCCGAGAACTTCGTGAAGCCTACACAAGTATCAACAGCCCAATCAATCAAGGAAGAAAGGATATCGGAGATTAAAGATCAACTTAATGAAATAAAGTGAGAAGACAAGATTAGAGAAAAAAGAATAAAAAGGAACAAACAAAGCCTCCAAGAAACATGGGACTACGTGAAAAGACCAAATCTACATTTGATTGGTGTACCTGAAAGTGACAGGGAGAATGGAACCAAGTTGGAAAACACTCTGCAGGATATTATCCAGGAGAATTTCCCCAACCTAGCAAGATAGGCCAGCATTCAAATTCAGGAAATAGAGAGAATACCACAAAGATACTCCTCGAGAAGAGCAACCCCAAGACACATAATCATCAGATTCACCAAGGTTGAAATGAAGGAAAAAATGTTAAGGGCAGCCAGAGAGAAAGGTCGGTTTACCCACAAAGGGAAGCCCATCAGACTAACAGCGGATCTCTCTACAGAAACCCTATAAGCCGGAAGAGAGTGGAGGCCAATATTCAACATTCTTGAAGAAAAGAAATTTCAACCCAGAATTTCATATTCAGCCAAACTAAGCTTTGTAAGCAAAGGAGAAATGAAATCCTTTACAGACAAGCAAATGCTGAGAGATTTTGTCACCACCAGGCCTGCCTTACAAGAGCTCCTGAAGGAAGCACTAAACACGGAAAGGAACAACTGGTACCAGCCACTGCAAAAACATACCAAATCGTAAAGACCATCAACACTATGAAGAAACTGCATCAACTAACGGGCAAAATAACCAGCTAGCATGATAATGACCAGATCAAATTTACACATAACAATATTAACCTTAAATGTAAACATGCTAAATGACCCAATTAAAAGACACAGACTGGCAAACTGGATAAAGAGTCAAGACCCATTCGTGTGCTGTATTCAGGAGACTCATCTAACATGCAAAGACACACATAGGCTCAAAATAAAGGGATGGAGGAATATTTATCAAGCAAATGGAAAGAAAAAAAAGCAGGAGTTGCAATTCTAATCTCTGATAAAACAGACTTTAAACCAACAAAGATCGAAAGAGACAAAGAAGGGCATTACATAACGGTAAAGGGATCAATGCAACAAGAAGAGCTAACTATCCTAAATATATATGCACCCAATACAGGAGCACCCAGATTCACAAAGCAAGTTCTTAGAGTCCTACAAAGAGATTTGGACTCCCACACAATAATGGTGGGAGACTGTAAGACCCCACTGTCAATATTAGACAGATCAACGAGACAGAAAATTAACAAGGATATTCAGGACTTGAACTCAGCTCTGGACCAAGCAGACCTAATAGACATCTACAGAACTCTCTACCCCAAATCAACAGAAAATACATTCTTCTCAGCACCTCACTGCACTTATTCTAAAATTGACCACATAATTGGAAGTAAAATACTCCTCAGCAAATGCAAAATAACAGAAATCATAACGAACAGTCTCTCAGACCACAGTGCAATCAAATTAGAACTCAGGATTAAGAAACTCACTCAAAACCGCACAGCCACATGGAAACTGAACACCCTGCTCCTGAATGACTACTGGCTAAATAACAAAATGAAGGAAGAAATAAAGATGTTCTTTGAAATCAATAAGAACAAAGACACAACGTCCCAGAATCTCTGGGACACATTTAAAGCAGTGTGTAGAGGGAAATTTACAGCACTATATGCCCACAAGAGAAAGCAGGAAAGGTCTAAAATCAACACCCTAACATCAAAATTAAAAGAACTAGAGAAGTAAGAGCAAACACATTCAAAAGCTAGCAGAAGACAAGAAATAACTAAGATCAGAGCTGAACTAAAGGAGATAGAGACATGAAAAACCCTTCAAAAAATCAATGAATCCAGGGGCTGGATTTTTGAAAAGATTAGCAAAATAGACTGCTAGCCAGACTAATAAAGAAGAAAAGAGAGAGGAATCAAATAGACACAATAAAAAATGATATAGGCAATATCACTACTGATCCCACAGAAATACAAACTACCATCAGTGAATACTATAAACACCTCTACACAAATAAACTAGAAAATCTAGAAGAAATGGATAAATTTCCGGACACATACACCCTCCCAAGTCTAAACCAGGAAAAAGTCGAATCCCTGAATAGACCAATAACAAGTTCTGAAATTGAGGCAGTAATTAATAGCCTACCAACCAAAAAAAAGTCCAGGACCAAACGGATTCACAGCCGAATTCTACCAGAGGAACAAAGAGGAGCTGGTACCATTCCTTCTGAAACTATTCCAAACAACAGAAAAAGAGGCAATCTTCCCCCTAACTCATTTTATGTGGCCAGCATCACCCTGATACAAAAACCTGGCAGAGACACAACAAAAAAAGAAAATTTCAGGCCAATATCCCTGATGAACATCGACACGAAAAATCCTCAATAAAATACTGGCAAACCAAATCCAAGAGCACATCAAAAAGCTTATCCACCACAATCCAGTCAGCTTCATACCTGGGATGCAAGGCTGGTTCAACATACACAAATCAGTGAACGTAATCCATCACATAAACAGAATCAGTGACAAAAACCACATGATTATCTCAATAGATGCAGAAAAAGCCTTTGACAAAATTCAACACCCCTTCATGCTAAAAACTCTCAATATGAAACTAGGTATCAATGGAACGTATCTCAAAATAATAAGAGCTATTTATGACAAACCCACAGCCAATATCATACTGAATGGGCAAAAACTGGAAGCATTCCCTTTGAAAACTGGCACAAGACATGGATGCCCTCTCTCACCACTCCTATTCAACATAGTATTGGAAGTTCTGGCCAGGGCAATCAGGCAAGAGAAAGAAATAAAGAGTACTTAAATAGGAAAAGAGGAAGTCAAATTGTCTCTGCTTGCAGATGAC
Organism: Homo sapiens; assembly: GCF_000001405.40. Lineage (NCBI taxonomy): Eukaryota > Metazoa > Chordata > Mammalia > Primates > Hominidae > Homo > Homo sapiens. Next base: position 137,787,173 of record NC_000005.10, read on the forward strand.
ATGATTGTATATTTAGAAAACCCCATCGTCTCAGCCCAAAATCTCCTTAAGCTGATAAGCAACTTCAGCAAAGTCTCCGGATACAAAATCAATGTGCAAAAATCACAAGCATTCCTATACACTAATAATAGACAAACAGAGAGCCAAATCATGAGTGAACTCCCATTCACAATTGCTACTAAGAGAATAAAATACCTAAGAATACAACTTACGAGGGATGTGAAGGACCTCTTCAAGGAGAACTACAAACCACTGCTCAAGGAAATAAGAGAGGACACAAACAAATGGAAAAACATTCCATGCTCATGGATAGGAAGAATCAATATTGTGGAAATGGCCATACTGCCCAAAGTAATTTACAGATTCAATGCTATCCCCATCAAGCTACCACTGACTTTCTTCACAGAATTGGAAAAAACTACTTTAAACTTCATATGGAACTAAAGGAGAGCCTGCATAGCCAAGACTATCCTAAGCAAAAAGAACAAAGCTGGAGGAATCACGCTACCTGACTTCAAACTATACTACAAGGCTACAGTAACCAAAACAGCATAGTGCTGGTACCAAAACAGATATACAGACCAATGGAACACAACAGAGGCCCCAGAAGTAACACCACACATCTACAACTATCTGACCTTTAGCAAACCTGACAAAAACAAGCAATGGGGAAAGGATTCCCTATTTAATAAGTGGTGTTGGGAAAACTGGCCAGCCATATGCAGAAAACTGAAACTGGACCCCTTCCTTACATCTTATACAAAAATTAACTCAAGATGGATTAAAGACTTAAATGTAAGACCTAAAACCATAAAAACCCTAGAAGAAAACCTAGGCAATACCATTCAGGACACAGGCATGGGCAAAGACTTCATGTCTAAAGCACCAAAAGCAGTGGCAACAAAAGCCAAAATAGACAAATGGGATCTAATTAAACTAAAGAGCTTCTGCACAGCAAAAGAAACTATCATCAGAGTGAACAGGCAACCTACAGAATGGGAGAAAATTTTTGCAATCTATCCATCTGAAAAAGGGCTAATATCTGGAATCTACAAAGAACTTAAACAAATTTACAAGAAAAAAACAACCCCATCAAAAAGTGGGCAAATGATATGAACATGCACTTCTCAAAAGAAGACATTTATGCAGCCAACAAACATATGAAAAAATGCTCATCATCACTCGCCATTAGAGAAATGCAAATCAAAACCACAATGATTTACCATATCACGTCAGTTAGAACGGCAATCATTAAAAAGTCAGGAAACCACAGATGCTGGAGAGGATGCAGAGAAATAGGAATGTTTTCACATTGTTGGTGGGAGTGTAAATTAGTTCAACCATTGTGGAAGGCAGTGTGGGGATTCCTCAAGGATCTAGAACTAGAAATCCCATTTGACCCAACAATCCCATTACTGGGTATATACCCAAAGGATTAGAAATCATGCTACTATATAGACACCTACATGCACACCTATGTTTATTGTGGCACTATTCACAATAGCAAAGACTTGGAACCAACCCAAATGTCCATCAATGATAGACTGGATTAAGAAAAAGTGACACATATACACCGTGGAATACTATGCAGCCATAAAAAAGGATGAATTCATGTTCTTTGCAGGGACATGGATGAAGCTGGAAACCATCATTCTCAGCAAACTATCACAAGGACAGAAAACCAAACACCACATGTTCTCACTCATAGGTGGGAACTGAACAACGAGAACACTTAGACACAGGGTGGAGAACATCCACACACTGGGGCCTGTCAGGGGGTGGTGGGCTGGGGGAGGGATAGCATTAGGAGGAATACCTAATGTAAATGATGAGTTGATGCGTGCAGCAAACCAACATAGCACATGTAACAAACCTGCACGTTGTGCACATGTACCCTAGAACTTAAAGTATAATTTTAAAAAATTTTAAAATCACATTGAGTACACCCCCGTGACATAAAAAAATGAACAATTATCTCAAAACAATTATGTAATCTTCCTCATTTTTCCTTTAAAAACCTTTATCTTCCTTTACCTCCCTGAATATGCACAGTTTACTGTGAGACACGTATTCCCATTGCTACACCTATTCCCAAATAAACATTTTTCTTTTAGATAATCCCCCTCTGTTTGTTATTTAGGTTGACAAAATAAATCTTTTAAAACTACAGACATGCCGATCTTTATATATAAATTATAAACTTTATTGAGAGAATTTAGAGAGGACCTAACTACATGGAGAGATATACTATATCTGCGGAATTTGGACAACTCAACATTGGAAACATTTCGGCTCTCCTAAAGTGAGTGTCAGAGTCAATGCAATCCCAATAAAAATCATTAGCCATTTATTTGTAGAACTTGAGAAGCTGATTCTAAAATTTATAAGGAAATGCAAAGGATTGAGAGTAGCTATGACATTTGTAGTAGTCTGTCTTCTGTTGCTTATAACAGAATACCTGAAACTAGGCAATTTGTAATGAAAGGGAATTTATTTATCAGAGTTATAGAGGCTGAGAAGTCCAAGGCTGAGAGGTCACATCTGGTGAGAGCCTTATTGCTGGTGGGGACCGTGTGCAGAGTCCCAAGGTGGCACAGGGTTATCACAAGGTGAGGGGACTCAGCATGCTAATACGCTACCATGCTAGTTCAGGTCTCTTCTCCTCTTCTTATAAAGTCACCAGTTCCCATCCCATGATAACTCATTATTCCATTAATCCATGAATGGATTAACTCATTCATGAAGGCAAATCCCTCATGATCCAATAACTTCTTAAAGGTCTCATCTCCCAATGTTGCCTCATTTGGGGTTAAATTTCAACCTGTGTTTTGAAGGGGACAAATATTCAAACCATAGCACTTGGTTTTTCTTGGAGAAGAAAAACAAGCTAGGAAGACTTAGTCTATGATATCAAGGTTAATAAAGTATATTAATTATTATAGTGAGATACTGATGCAAGGGTGGGCAAAAAGACAAGCAGAACAAAACAGCCAGCCAGAAATAGACTTATACACATTGTTTTAGTCAGTTCAGATGGCTGTAACAAAGTACCACAGGCTGGGTGGCTTATAAACAATAGAAATGTACTTCATACAGTTTTGGAGGCTGGAAATTTAAAATCAGAGTGCCGGCTTGGTGAGGCACTCTTCCAGGTGAGGGCCTCTCCTGGTGAGGGCTCTCTTGCAGGTTGCAGTCCACCAGCTTCTCACACAAGGAAAGACAGCTCTCTAGCTCTCTGGCCCCTTCTTTATTTTTTATTATTATTTTTATTTTTTTGTAGAGACAGGATCTTGCTATGTTGCCTAGGCTTGTCTAGAACTCTTGGCTCACTGGAGCCAAGTGATCCTCCCACCTCAACCTCCCAAAGCACTAAGATTATACAGGCATGAGCCACCATGCCCAGCCTTGGCCTCTTCTTACAAGGGCACTAATCCCATTCATTGATGAGGGCTTCACGCCCATGACCTAATTACTTTCCAAAGGCCACGTCTCCAAATACCATCACCTGGGAATAGGGTTTCAACACAGGAGTTTTGAGGGAATACAAACATTCAGTCCACTGCACATACACAGATGCTTGATAAATGACAGAGATGGCATGGTGAAGTAGTAGGGGCAAGGACTGTCTTTTTGATAAATGGTAGTAGGACAATCAAATATCTGTGAGAATGAAATGAAGTTATATTTCTAGCTGGTACTAAACCAAAAAGTCAACTTCAAATAGATTATAAACCTAAATGTAAGAATAAAAACTGAAAGCTTTTAGAGGATTATATAAGAGAAAATCTCATGATCTCAGGATAAAGAATTTCCTAAGAAGCAGAAAGCACTACATTAATGTTTGTTGAAGATAATGAACTGAGTCACAAAATGTCACTGAAGTAAAAGGTTAGAGGTGCACACCCAAATGGAATGAAATTCCACAAAGTAGAAAAGAAGTCATCAAAATGGCAAGAGAAAGCCAGAAATAAAGACAATTATTGTCATTTACAGTAGTTGTCTCTATAAAACTGTCATGAACACTGCACTAGCAAATACTGAAGCTCTGATCCTAGGGGAAATATAGGGCTAGGTTCCTGGTAAGCCTCTGGTCACATGTTCATCAACCAATCAATACATAACTTGTTTTATAAGTGTTTCTGCTTAATGATATTTTATTTAATATACTCATGGCAACAGCACTATAACTCATGATTGAACAAAGTTTATCTAACACATATGTTTTCTCAATAAGATACATCACAGCCTTCTTCCATTTAAGAACACTAGAAAGCACTTCAGTACTACACTTGGGGGCCATTTAAACAGTGAAATCACCAACAAAAAGCACAAACAGGTTAAAAAAAAAAAGCACTAAATCAACCACAAAAAGACAATTGTTTATAGTGTGAGAACTGAAGTAAGAAGACAATGTTGCCTTGTTCAGCCTCAATTGGGAACGAGTCATCAGGTGACTTAAATTTTGAACCACTCTGCACATGTCCACAAATGACCATGCAAGTCCTGAGTACTGATTTTGGAGTTACAAATAAATTTTAGTGAGTAGGTGAATTTGTAAATACAGAATCCTTGAATGAGGCTCAACTGAATAGATATACAGAAGTCCCTCGCTCTGGGGTTTTGCTTTCCATGATTTCAGTTACCTGGGATCAGCCATGGTACAAAAATGTTAAACAGAAAATCTAAGAAATATACCATTTGTAAGTTTTAAATTGTCATTCCAAGTAGCATAATGAAATTTCTCACCATCGTGCTCTGTCCCGCCTAGGGTATGAATCACCGCTTTGTCCAGTATATCCATGCTGCATATGCAACCCATCCATTATGGTCCAGAAAAAAAACACTGTGTACACAGGCTTCAGCACTATCCACAATTTCAGGCATCCACTGGGGATCTTGGAACGTATCCCTCAATGATAAGGGAGGACTACTATATTCAGTCCTGTGAGGCCTGGACTGTGAGAGAAGGTACATTTTCAGTTAAGTCAGCAAAGGAATCAGGGTCCTCAGAGAAGGACCATGTGATGCTCTGAACAAAATGGGCAAGAGGGTACTGGAGGGGAACAGTGCCTGAATGGGCTTACATTTTGAGGAACAGCCAAAGATGACAGGGATGAAGGAACTTGATACAATCAACTGACCTCAACATTCCAAATGAAATCCTAGCAAAAGTTATTTCAATGGTTTTTATGCTTTGACTTATTTGTCTGCCATGGCATCATAGCATACTGATCAGGTCTGGATATGAAGATGTGTCAGGCATGCTCAAACATCAGTACACCCCAGACTGTTACTTCCTTAAGAAATGAGTGTGGGCTAATATTTAACAGTGTACCCCTGACTGTTACTTCCTAGAAATGAGTGTCGGCTAATATTTAACCACAAAAGTCATTGTTTATAATGTGGTATTTACAATGGGACTGGAGAACTAGAAACAATCTATGTCCATCAGTGGGAAACTTGTTAAACTATGTTCTACCAAAAAAAATGGATTTTTATGATAAAAGCAGTAGCATTTTTGAAATATCTTCTAATTTATGTTGCCAATTCCCACCCCTACCTCTACCTTACCCCTTTAAACTTAACCAGCCATCATCAAAGAGCGTTAAGAGAAGGTGGGGTCCTATAATAACATAGATATAAAAGTAAGCACTGTCAAAAATAAAGTATTTATTTTAGCTGCCATTTAACAATCAAGCTACAGAGTTCTTCCTGTCTTCTATTAAAACTTCTCCTTAAAACTAACATTGGGAAGGACTTAATAGATGTGGGGAAGGGGAGAGATATGACAGAAAACTGGAGAGGCAGATATCATATAAGACTTCATAAGGAATAGTAGATAATTTGGATTTTACCACAACTGCAATTAGATACTGTCAACAAGCTTTAGGTGAAGAAAAAGCAACATGATCTCATTTATTTTTTTTTTTCAAAATCTACTCTGACGCAGTGTGGAGAAATGATTGGAAGGAGGTAAAAGAAAACGTGGAGAGACAAGTAACTACACCATTGCTTTAGTCCAGGTAAGAAATGATGGTGGCTTAAACTAGGATGACTAGAATGGCAATGGAGTTTGAAAAAGGATGAACTTAAGACACATTTTAAAGCAGATAATCCTTTAAAATGCTAAAATTCAGGTATTACAGTGACAATATTATTTTTCCCCTCATGGTATTTCCCAACTTTTTGTTAAACAATAGTACTTACATCTAAAATTTTTAAAACATCACTTACTTTAAAATAATTCAACTCTAAAGCAAACAAATAAGATACTTGTAAGCAAATCCAGGCCTAATATTTGCAAGGTCCACAGCCAGAGTATAAATGAAAGCCCATAGTATATCTCTAAAAATGAAAAAGTTATAAAACAATCTGTTAAATAAAATGTTTAATTCATGTGCCTTGATGAAAATTTTAAAATATGTATAAAAGCATGATTTTTTTTTTTTTTTTTTTTTTTTTGAGACAGGGTCTCACTGTCACCCAGGCTGGAGTGCAGTGGTACAATCATGGCTCACTGTGGCCTTGACTTCCTGGACTCAAGGGATCCTCCCACCTCAGCCTCCTGAGTAGCTGAGACTACAGGCACATGCCAATCATGCCTGGCTAAGTTTTTGTGGTTGGTTTTTGTTTGTTTGTTTGTTTTTTGTAGAGACAGAATTTTGTTATGCTGCCCATGCTTGAACTCCTGGCCTCAAGCCATCCTCCTACCTTGTCCTCCCAAAGTGCTGGGATTATAGGTGTGAGCCACCATGCCTAACCTAGTTGTGATTTTTGTATGACTAAAAGTTGACAGAATATCCAAGACAACTGAATTTAAGCAGTATTGTACATGTCTGGATATAATGTTGATGAGCTGGCAGTGTCTAGATAAAAATAAGATAAAGACATACATAATTTTTAAATTACAATATAGTCCATACAATTTATCTTTCTACCTTAATTTTATCAAATCACTAATCAGGTTTTCTCATAATTTGTGTCATATTGCCAGTAAGTATCCAAAGGATTAAAAATAAATTCAATTTATTTAGAGCATAAAAAGTGTTTAATAATAACATATTGATACTTGAAAATTGCCAAGACAGTAGATTTTAAAAGTTCTCATCACAAAAAGATGATAAGGATGTAAGGTGATGGATATGTTAATTAGCTTGATTTAATCATTCCACATGTATACATATATCAAAACGTCATAGTGTACACTATAAATACATATAATTTTCATGTCAATTAAAAAATAAACATTGATATAAGAAAAAAGTGTTTAAAATTTAAAGTTCACCAAAATTTATATTAAATGTGAAAAATTAAAAATTTCATACTGGTTTTCAAATGTTATCTTCTTTTTTCTATTTTGAGACAGAGTCTCACTCTGTTGCCCAGGCTGCAGTGGTGCAATCTCAGCTCACTGCAACCTCTGCCTCCCAGGTTCAAGCGATTCTCATGCATCAGCCTCCCAAGTAGCTGGGACTACAGGCAGCACCACCACACACCAGCTAAATACAAAAATTTGTATTTTTTGTAGAGACAAGGTTTCACCATGTTGGCCAGACTGGTCTTGAACTCCTGGGCTCTGCCTCAGCCTTCTTTTTTTTTTTTTGAGAAAAGATTGATGTAATTTTTTCCTTTTTGAGTTCCAACCCCAAAAATATTCCAGGAAAAGACGGGGAGACTGGACTGGTTCTTCTTCAATGGGCTTTTGCCATCAAGGAGGACAGTGGACTTGCCCCACATCCAGGCTACCCCCAGCCCACTTCTCCCCTGCTTAGCCAGGGGACAGGGGGGTGGGGTGAGGATGTGGGCGGGGGGGAGGGGCGGGGGGCGGGGCGGGGAGACAGTAGAGGTGGCAGGGGTAGCCGGGAGGGAGGGGCCAGGGCAGTGATGCTTTCAGGTAAGAATTTGGGCTGAGGCTGGGGGGATGGAGGAAGAGCTGCCCATGTGCAGTCACCATTGCTCAGTGACAGAGCCTCAAAGCTTGGCCAGGGCTGAAGGTACCACATGGGTGTGGGTGAGGCAGGCTAAGTTGGATGGCTGCAGTGCCCAGCTATCATATGTTATCTTTTTTCTAAAATATTCAAAATTATGTATAAAAATTCAAAGACAAAATACAAATTATAATTAGCAATTACCAAATTTTAAGTAAATTTATTATAATAAAGTTTAAACTTTAATGTGATTTTTAAAAAAACTAAGTCCTATTATGTATTTTTACAAAAACAGAACTACTCACAATTCTAGAGTTCAAGGCTCATCCACGGCCAATGTCCAGAATATCAGGACCTTCATATATAAAATTTAAGAGTAATATGAGTTGTTTAACATTGCAAAATATTCCTCAACTGCCATGAGCCACTGTTACAAATATCATCCTAATTTATATCTCCAGAACTACATACTGGAATACAAAGAGAAACAAGAAAATGGATGCTCAGCAGCCCTGGGAAATGATACCTCAGTGTGCAAGAATCTACTCCATTTGTGCTAATTAATTTGTCTTTTCCCTCACCTAAGAACTTCTGTCACTCAAATCCTCCCCATACTCCAAAGCAGTGTCCATAACCAGCATCAACAGCCCATAACCTTCACGGCATTCACACAGAATCACTTTTTGCTTCAATGGCAGACGGGAAGAGATGGAGGAAAGTGTTATCTGGAGCCTGAATGGTGTTAGTCACTACAGTGGACATTTGGATTACAAATCGTACTATGCCACTTAGTGCTGGATCTTAAATGACACTTATGTTTTAAACATTTGTGATATGTGCATCCTTTAAGTATAAGATCCAAAGTAGGGGGCCCTGTCACCCAGGTCTTAAGGTGATACTCTAAACTTTAGGGAATATTTCATCCAGGATCTACTGAAATCTAAGAAAAAAAAATTTGAGCAGATTGATAACAGCTTTTCTTTTTTAAATGTATATAATGAGAGAGCTGTTAACAAAGTCAAAAGAGTTATTGACAGAAGTAAAGATGGCTGTAGTGGGGGAGAAAAAAAAACAGGAAACCTTTCTCTACCAAGTTTCTGCAATAATTGACTAATTATAACATGGATGACTGGGAGTTTAGAACCTACTACTCGTATTTTTCAATCTTAACTTTCCCTAATATGGTAAAAACATGGCTTCAGAAAATCATCTCATGTCTTAATTCATGCTTACAAAGGTATATCAGATTAAAGGCAATAAAACGTATTTTATAACTAAAAATAAAACACACGATATAATGAGAGAGCAGAAATCAATGGTACAAGGGCTCTGGAGAGATAAGAAAAGTCAGATGCTCAGTTCTTTCTTTGGATACTTTTATCAACCAAACTGCCTGCTGTATAAGATTACTGGCCTATAAATTAACTTTTGCAATTAAAGCAGTGAATTTTAACTTGAGGCAAACAGAACCCTATTGTTCACTAAGTTTTATCACCAACGATTACAGGACAGAGAGATCTATATCTCCAACACTGTATGCTTAAAAAGAAACAAAACTTGTTTTTCAATTATGAAAGTAATATATGTTCATTATAAAAAACTTGAAAAACTACAAAAATATAAAACAGTATAAAGTATGAAAGTCACCCATAATCCTAACCCTAAACTATTAACATTGTTATATTTCCCTTATTGTGTATACTGCTCTGCATATTTGAGATCATACTGTGAATCATGATTTTATACCATCCATTTTTCATTTAACTTTATATCATAAACATTTCTCATATTTTATTATTTCTAAATATCATTTGCAAGGGCTGCATAAGTCATGTGCAGACTTAGAGTACCCTCTAATTTGCTTAACCATTCCCCTAATGTTGGAGGTTTAGGATGATCTTTGGTTTCTTACTACTATAATCACACTGTGATGAATATCTTTATTTATAAATCTTTATCTGCATTTCCTAGTATTTCCTTAGGGTACAGCTAGACTATGGAAACCAAGGAAATAAGTATTTTTTAAATATCTTGAATGTTTGTCCCCAGTTTTTTCTAATAAGGTATTCTACATTATATGTCCACCAATAATGTATAAGGTGCCCTTTTCACCCTCCATTATCAATATATCAGGTATTCATGACTTTTTTCCAGTATTTGATTAACTGATAAATGAAAATAATTCATTGCTGTTTTGTTTTCTATTTCTCTGACTACTAGTGAAACAGAACCTTTTTTTGCAAATATTTGTTAGTCTTTATTTGCCCTTCTGTTAATTGTCCATACATACTAACAGATACTAATCTATTTTCTTGGTGATTCATATATATGCTTCATAAAGAAAAATACTGTCTTTTGCATCATATTTCTTATAATTATTTCCATTTTTGTGTCTTAACTTATATATTGATTTTTTTCAAGAAAGTTTAAAAATTTTTAAATAGGCATCTCAACTTTTCCCCTTGTATTTTATTTTGAGTTTAAGCTTATTCATTTATTCATTCATTCAACAAATATTCACCAAAGACTTGCTATGTGCCAGAAACTATGCAGGAACACTAAAGATACAGCAGTAAATAAGACGTATTTTTAGCCTTCAAAGAGTTTCCATTTGGCCAGGCAAGATGGCTCATACACCTGTAATGCCAGTGCCTCAGGAGGCCAATTCGGGAGGACTGCTTGAGACCAAGAGTTTGAGACCAGCCTGGCCAACATGGCAAGAACCTCCCTCCACAAATAAAAATTTAAAAATGAAATAGGCAAGGTGGTGCATGCCAGTAGTCCCAGCTACTCAGGAGGCTGAGGCAGGAGGATCACTTGACCCCAAAAGTGCAGTGGCGTGATCTTGGCTCACTGCAACCTCCGCCTCCCGAGTTCAAGCAATTCTCCTGCCTCAGCCTCCTGAGTAGCTGGGAGTATAGGCACATACCACTATACCTGGTTAATTTTTGTATTTTTTGTAGAGATGAAGTTTTACCATGTTGGCCAGGTTGGTCTCAAACTTGGGACCTCAGGTGATCCGCCCTCCTCAGCCTCCCAAAGTGCTGGGATTACAGGTGTGAGCCACCTATTTTCTGTATTTTCTTATATTGTCTACTAATATTTTTTTGAGTCTGTTTTCTCAAATTCTTTCACCTGGGATTTATTCTAGTGTATAGTACGAAACTAAATTAATATTTTTTCTAAGCAGCTAGTTAACTATTCCAGCAACAGTTACTTAATAATTCTTTCCTTCCCTAGAAATCCTTACTGCTGGCTGGGAACGGTGGCTCACGCCTGTAATCCCAGCATTTTGGGAGGCAGAAGTGGGCAGATCACTTGAGGCCAGGAGTTCGAGACCAGCCTGGGCAGCATGGAAAAACCCCATCTCTACAAAAAATACAAAAATTAGCTGGGTGTGGTGGCACATATCTGTAGTCCCAGCTACTCAGGAGGCTGAGGCAGGAGAACTGCTTGAACCCAGGAGGCAGAGGTTGCAGTGAGCTGAGATCACACCACTGCACTCCAGCCTCAGTGACAGAGTGAGACCCCATCTCAAAAAAAAAAAAAAAGCAATCCTTACTGCTTTCACTGTCATATATTAACACGTTATATATACCAGGGTCTATTTCTGTCTATTCCATTCCTTGATCTGTCTGCTAATTCTTGGCCCAGCATTACGTTGATTTAATTATTCACACTTTATAATATTTTAAAATATTTGGTGTTGTTAATCATGCTTTTCATTTTAATTATTCCATTTTTCAAAGCTATTTTCACTTACAAATACTTTATAAGTAATTTTTTATAACCTCTCTTGGGATTTTCATTGAAATTGAATTATATCTACAATTTAACTTGGGAAGAAACAAAATCTTTATAATATTCGGTCTTTCCATCCAAACATTCCTTTTTCCCATTTAATCTTTCTTGAAGGCATTAATGTATTTCCTGGTGATTCTGGAGAAAACAGAAGTATTAATCAGTAGGCTTCCCTTTATATATATACCTTAATTCCTAAGCACACCCAACCTTGATGACAAAGAAGTGTCTTTGAAAAGGAAAAAAAATAAATGGACATTGTGTGTTAGCTCCTCATCGTTTGTTTACATCAGATTATAATAGCTCTCTATGTGTACCTAGGTGAGCAAAAATGTTAACAACAGTGGACCCCTCACCTCAGAACACAGATTTACACCAAACATCCCCTTAAAAGTTTTTTTAAAAATGACTCTGGTTTTGTCATTTCTCAATTTCCCACACTCATTACAGACTTCCTTTAGAATAATAAACAATAAACTCTGTTATTAACTCAAATTTTATGTTTCTACTAAGCGAAATTCTAAACAACAGCAACAGTAATAACTACTATCTATTGAATATCTACTATGTTCTATCATTAATCTTCAAAATAATCCTGCAGGATAGGTGGCTATATTCACCTTATAGGAAAGGAATCAAAAGCTTAGAGAGCAGAGGAGCAAATCCTTCCCTGCTCCGCGTTCAGCCACCCCAGCGATGCTTTATGCTTGTTTTTATTATTTGTAACACTTTGGGAAGTTATTAAAGGAAGATCTATTGCTTCCTCCTTTTGGGGTAGAACTGGATGGCAAAAAATAAAATAAAATAAAAATAAAAGCTTAGAGAGAAGCTCAAGATCACCCAGCTAGGTAATGCTGGAGAATCCAAATTCAGACCTAGCTCTCTCCCACTCAAGCTGACTCTCAAAATCATCATGATCACAGATAACTAAAATGATCTCTTAATATCCACCAAACCTGTGGCACCACTAGCTTTTGCCAATACTCTATATATGGAAAAGGTACTTTCCAATAGCCCTACAATCTTCCAAAGTTTGCTACTCTCTGTATTTTAAATACAAACAGGTAAATAAGTAATGGGACATTGCTAAAAGTTGACTGGGGAAAGAAATACAAGCCACTGAACTGCTTTGATAGTATCTGCTCTTCAGGTTCTTACAGAGGAGGAGATTGGCTTCACGTCCATAGTACACATCCCACTCCTACTCTACCTGCAAGTCCCCCCAGCCAGTGACCCAGCAGGATTCTATAAAACACAGACACACAATGTCAATGTTGTTGACTGCCTGGAAATTTTGAGTTTCTTTAGGGTAGTTTGATGTATTTGGGTAGGGAAACAGGATTGAATCACACAGCCTGGCCCTAAAATGTAGGGTTCTATCACTGAGTCCTTGGCTTAGGAAATGTAGTATTTGAAAATGTTGTGTGCTCATCCACTAGACCATGCCACAAATATTTTCAACCATACTCAATCTTCTACAACCTTGTTTTCTAAAGTCTTCAAACACTCACTATAAGGAAATATTTCTTATATTTAATATAAATCTTACTTTTTGAGTCTTTTATAAATGAGAAGTAGGCCCCTTCTTGTAATAATTTTTCAAATACAGGAAAAGCGCTTTTTAGTCCCCACTTTCATCTATAGTCTATAAGCAGCTCAGCTGTTGTCAGCTCCAAAGTAGTTGATAAAAATCTTATATTTATAATACATACTTGCTCAGAAACTTGGCATTAATTTCAATTTCAAAAGTATCTTCATTAATCTTATAAATTACTGCAAAATCTGGAATAGCACCATCTCTTTTTTTAAACTTTTAAGTTCAGGGGTGCAAGTGCAGGTTTGTTACATAGGTAAACTGGTGTCATGGGCGTTTTTTGTACAGATTATTTCATCACCCAGATATTAAGCCTAGTACCCATTAGTTATTTTTCCTGATCCTGTCCCTCCTCCTACCCACTACCCTCTGAAAGGCCCCAGTGTGTGCTGCTGCCCTCTATGTGTCCATCTCTTAACTAACAGTAAATGCTCTAAGAACAACCATTAATGTTTACTAATAATTTTCCAGGAATATTTAAGTTAAATGTCTGATTTTGGCCGTGCTAATTTAAAAAAAAAATATATATATATATATATACATATATATATGCCAGAAAATGCCACAGATTTTCAAGAGGCACTCTTATTATCATCTCTACAAGATGACTGAAAGTGACATTTTGAAAATATCTTTTAAACAGCTCCACCTCATGTCACTGCTGCTGAGATTTCTGACTCCTCCCTTCCGGCTCTTCAGTGACCTTCAGTGCCCACTGGATTCCAAAGCTCAATCCTCTGTGCAATGATTCCAACTCCAGGGATCAGTGTCTGAAGTGAAGCTACAGATTGTCTGGTGGATAAATAATCCAAGAAGGAACGGGGGATGTTATGACTTTTTGAGAGAAGGCTAACATGTCATCCTTGACAGATAAACTTTAAAAAATTATAATAATGGAAATGAAGAAAGAAAACAACAGAAGATGAGAATAGCAAAAGAGCTAGACATTTCCGACAGGTAAGAAAATGGGAAACAAACCTCTAAAATGCTTAAGAAAAATATTGCAAATGTGTTTATCCAATGTGTATTTCATGTTAGAATAATCCAGTTTTAAAAAGTAAATGAAGATCATTAAAAATTGGAAATATAGTGCTTTTAGGCTAAATTGTACTAGATGCCTTTTTACATATATGATTTGAAAAACAACCCTACAGTTTCAGAATGCACTACTGTAAGAAAATTATAAAAAGAAACCACCAAAAGCTAGTATTGGCACAATGGGGTTTTAATTACTTTATCTTTTAGTAAATAATCTTAAAAATCTGGTATACTTATTTTCATTGGCAGAGTTGAGATCTCCTTTCTTAATGCACTCAATGTTTTATTATTTTAAAGAACTGAAAACCCCCACATTCCTAAAATGATAAGTTCGGTTATTAACCTTCAAAGAAAATAAAAGTCAATTCAGACAAGCTGTGTTGGCTTGTTTTTAAAACAGTAGCTTTGAGAAGCATATATATTTTCCACTACCACTTTATATGGATTCAGGCAATGGTCAAATTCAAGGAAAGAAAACATATAAACCATTTTCAGCAGAGAAAAATCAAAGTACATGTAATAAAAGAATGGTTGGGTCAAATGTAATCCTCAAGTCTTAAAAGACAGCACACACTTCTGCAACAGATAGATATGAAATTTGATTTTTGGAATGGGTGAACAGTTGAATAACTTAAGGAGGTTTGCATGATGTTGAATAACCAGGCCAATTATACTTTTTTAATAACGCTGTAAGAGATTAGGCATTTGTTTCTTGATGCTTAGTGCAGTTACTTAATGTAGTACTTTGTTCTTAGGGTAAGCTCTAAGATGTACCTTTACAGAGATTCTAGTCTATTTGTTTTCATGGAACACAAATGATTTATTTGACTGATCTTTTAAAAAATGAAATGACCAAATAAACTAGAAATATTGCCTTGTATACGATTTAGGAAGTAGACGTCTGTTCCTGGCTCTGCAGCTAACTACACAACCATGAGTCAGTCACTGGATCTTAGTTTCCATGTTTGTAAATCAGAAATAAAGTATCATTCCTATCTAGAGTACAGGGCTGCTGTAGAGATCAAGTAAGATAGCAAGCCTTGTCAGCACATGAATTATTGATGAATTAATTAATGAACAATGCAGTACTTTAAAAATCATTAAGCCCTGAAGACTATGAGACGTTATCTGCATCAGCACAACCATAGAATCTGTACTCTTAGAGATTTAAGAAAAAGGAGAGAGAATTCTATGGGAGATGCTCACAGTGTGGTCCTACCCCATTTTGGGCTCCTCACATATATACTTGGGGGTTGGGAGATGTACAAACTCTCTGAAGCCACAACTCTCTGAAGTTACATAACAGAATTTTGTTCATATAGAACGAATAGAAAATATTCTACTTCTTTGCTTTTAAAATTAACGACAGGAAATACAGAACTTGATATAAGAAATATAAAACAGGAGGCAATAGAAAATTGTGGAAAGAACACGGAACTCTCTGGAAGCCAGAAGACTTGGGCTCTGGTCCCTGTTCTGCTAATATTTAACTGCAATGCTGCAATATCTGTCAAATGAAAGGAATATATTAGAGGACCTTTATAGTCTCTTTCAGATCAAAGCACCATAGCCCCAAATGAAATAGAACAAATAATGTAAAATATAATTTTTCTATGCCATGGACAATTAAGGGAAAGGGGTAAAACAAGAGTAAAGAATAAGACAGATGGACAGAAAGAGAGGAAGAGAGTAAATGGTAAGGAAAAAAACAGACAGACCAAAAGGCAGACACACACAAACTCTACCCCCAGCTCTCTCCCCCTCAAAAAAAGAATTTTATGAATAAAGAGACAGAAGAAAGATACACACTAACAAAATGACATTCAGATGCAGAAATAAACATGTACATAAAAACTTTGGTGGAATTATGCTCTTATTTTGTTCATCTTGAAACTTTTAAACACAAAACTACCCAAAAAATTTAACATACTGTTGTACTTTTATGTTAAAAGGCATAAACTGAATCAGTTCAAGGCAGGTGCCTCATGAGCTAGATACAATCAAGTTGAAGGTTTAGGATTAACTGCTGCCATATGCTACTGATATTTTTTAGTAAAATGTCACTTGATAATTTGAGATCTCACTTCCATGGGTCAATTCCAACCAAACAAGCCAAAGATGAACTCTCCTAAAATAGAAATGAATCCCAAGAATTTTTTTATGAACAGGGCTTAGTATTATTTTGCTTCCAGATAGGCAGGATTTAAATATTTTAACTTAATAGTTACCAGTTACATAAAGTGTAAATCCCACATTGCCATTTAAAGCCCAAATTTGGCCATTTTCCTATTTAATCTTCTCTGTATTGTGTAGAGGGTACTAGATAATGTAACTCCAGCACTCTCCTTTGATTCCCTCCTAAGATGAGGCCCTTCAGATCTATAGGCTTTTCTGAGCTCCAAGCTGAGATAGGAATTTATAGACTGGGGAGCTAATTTGTACTTTGCTACTAATCAGAATACAGGAGAGCAGAAGAATTGCCACCCAGTTTCAAGCCTGCTGTTGCAGGATTTTGAGTAATCCCCATTCACTATGAAGTCAGCCCAGATTGACAAGAATAGGCAACACAAGAGCTCTCGATGTTTATTCTCATCTTTATCTGCTAGGAACCCTGCAAAATTATATGAGTTTTCACATCTGTAAAGAGAAAACCTGCAGGATTCATAGGAAGCTTTTCTTTCTTGTAAATAATAAGAGCTTGGAAGAAAAAACACACAAGACTTTTCTGGTTTTGTTTGGTTTTAGCTAACTCCTTGGACTTTTCTGTACTTTGGTTTTTTCCTCTATGAAATGGAACTATAACAATCCCACTCCTCCCTAACACAACTGGTGATGGAAAAATAAATAGCATAGCAGATATGAAAGCACTCATAGCTCTTTGGAGGATGAGGATTAGATCAGTTCAGTCCAAGTGTCTGAGACATGCAACAAGAATAACAACAACAATAATGAGCACTTGGGTTTGAACAGTGTTTAACAGTTTATACAATTTTTTTTAATTTTTAAAAAACTTTTAAGTTCAGGGGCACATGTGCAGGTTTGTTATATAGGTAACTTGCATGTTGGTTGGGCACGGTGGCTCACGGCTATACTCCCAGCACTTTGGGAGTCCAAGGTGGGCAGATCACGAGGTCAGGAGATCGAGACCATCCTGGCCAACATGGTGAAACCCCTGTCTCTACTAAAATACAAAAAAAAATCAGCCAGGTGTGGTGGTGTGTGCCTGTAGTCCCAGCTACGCAGGAGGCTGAGGCAGGGGAATCACTTGAACCCAGGAGGCAGAGGTTGCAGTGAGCCAAGATTGCACCACTGCACTCCAGCCTGGCGACAGAGCAAGACGCCGTCTCAGAAAAAAGAAAAAAAAAGTAAATTGCATGTCATGGGGGTTTGGTGTATGGATTATTTCATCACCCAGGTAACAAGGATACTAC
Source organism: Homo sapiens (assembly GCF_000001405.40). Lineage (NCBI taxonomy): Eukaryota > Metazoa > Chordata > Mammalia > Primates > Hominidae > Homo > Homo sapiens. The sequence goes on from NC_000005.10 coordinate 137,804,965, forward strand.
CCGATAGGTCGTTTTTCAATCCTCTTAAAATGTTTTAAATATATTATTTCATTGGCCTTTATAACAAGGTATGAAGTAGGGAGGCTATTTTTTATTTCATTTGACAGATAAAGAAATTGAGGCCAAGAGGAGAGTGCCTTGCCCCAGATCAAACAGCTAGTAAACAACAGGACATGTCTCCTGACACAAAATCTAGTGCTCATTCTAGTTTACTCAACTACATATGCAGTTAATGCCTATTTCCTTTCATTCCTATCCTCCTTTAAGTGAGGCTTGCTTGGTAGGAGGCCTCTAATTAGCAATCAAAGCTTTCTGTCTCTCATGTATAGTTCTAATCTATCAACTGTATAGAGAGCTTAAATTTTACTTGAAATTCTCCTTCAGCCAATATCTGTGAACTCTGGGTCTCATGAGTCATCCAGGCCTTAAACTTTCCTTTTGAATACCATTATTTATAAATTTTGCTATTTCTCTTATTACCACATAGCACGTGTTAAAGCAAACTAAATATAGCCTGAGAAGGACTCTGTACTTCTACATTTGAGTCCCTGTGGATGAACTGTAACCTAGCTTAATAGGCAGACAAGATTGAAAACCTAACCTAGGAGTATGCACCTGTAACAATAGCTGAGTCTTAGCCAATCCCAGCGGCCATACTTCAACCACTCATAGACTGCTAAGCATTCAAACTATGTTCAAAGAAGGTAAACGTCAACCTGTAATCAATCTAGCTGTTTCTGTACCTCACCTCCAATTTCTGGACATCACTTCCCTTTTTTTGATCTATAAATTTGTTCTGACCACGAGGCATCCCTGGAGTCTCTCTGAATCTGCTGTAATTCTGGAGGCTGCCTGATTCACAAATCGTTCATTGCTCAATTAAACTCCTTCAAATTTAATTCAGCTTAAGTTTTTCTTTTAACACGTCTAAGCCACAGATCAGTTCCTTGGATCCTCCCTCCTCGGCCTCCCGAGTAGCTAGGACTACAGGTGTACACCACCACGCCCAGTTCATCTGTGGTATTTTTATGCTGTTCCTCATTGTGTTATCCATTGTTGAAACCATGACAGACCTAACTATTCTTAAGGTGATTTCTTTCCAGTAAGAAACTGCTAAGCCTTAGATCTCAGAAAGAACGTGAGAAGAGGCCATCATAATTTCAAACAGCAAACAAAATTGCATTCCCTTTCATTCCTATTGCTCAGTTCCCTTTATCAATGTTATTTATGTTGTTTTCTTCAAACTACTAAAGAATAAACCAAGATGAGGAGTACCCCCCCACCTCCGCCTTTGCTGTCTTTCAATGTTTTCTCTTTGGGCCAGAAATCCCAGCACTTTGAATGGCAGGGAATCCTTCAAGCCTGTTGTACATCCCGGTATGAATAATTCTACTGAATATAACCACCCTAAACTATGCTGAGCCATAGAACCAGAGCCTGCCTTTCCTCTAGAAGTTAGAAGAAGAAAGCATCTGGAGGAAGGAAGAATTGGAGGAATGCTTTTTAAATGAAGTTAATTCTGGGTAATAGCTCACTAGACGCTGGCTGCCTTCCTTGCCTTAATCTCCAAAATCCGCAATGTACCCCGAAACTGCCTATGGCTTCAATCCCAGAGAGTGGAAGAAGTGAAAAGAGGAGAAGGCACATGCTATTCCATAGCAGATATGTTCTGTAATTCTGGCCCCCAAACTAAAGGCTGTAGACTGGCTCTGGGCAGTAGAGCTGACAAATTTTATTCAACATACATATACTGAGTACCTACTATGTGCTCTATGTTGGGGCTGAGGGACAAATTTAGATGTGTGTTCTCACTTAATCTTCACAACTACTCAGATAGATAGAGATTATTTATCCCCATTTTACAGATAAGAAAACAGAGGAGGAAGGGTAACTGACCTACAACAAAGTCAGACAAATACCAAGAAGTGATGCTCCAACTGGAACCTGTCTTAGTCCATGTGTGATGCTTTAACAAAATAACACAGACAAAATATCACAAGGTTATAAACAATAGAAATTTATTTCTCACAGTTTTGGAGGCTAGGAAGTCCAAGATCAAGGCACCAAAAGGTTCAGTGTCTGGTAAGGGCTCTTCTCTTCCAGAATGGCACCTTGTTGCTGTATACTCGCACAGCAGAAGGGACAGAAGAGGCAAACTCACTTAGGGTCTCCTTATAAAAGGAATGAGTTTGCCCTTACAAAGCCCTTTTATGAGGCCCTAATCCATTCATGAGGGCAGAGCCCTCATGGCCTAGTCACCTCCTAAAAGCCCTACCTCTTAATACTGTTGCATTGGGGATTAAGTTTCAACATGAATTTTGGAGGGAACACAAACATTCAAACAAACCATAACAGAACCCAACTTCAAACACAGTACTCAGGCCTCCAAAGCACAATCCCTATCCTCCTGACTTTTTATAGTCCATTGAAGCAAGTGTGTGCATACTCAGGTGACCCTAAAAAAATACAGAAGTTGGCCGGGCATGGTGGCTCACGCCTGTAATCCCAGCACTTTGGGAGGCCGAGGTGGGCAGATCACGAGGTCAGGAGATCGAGACCATCCTGGCTAACATGGTGAAACCCCGTCTCTACTACAGATACAAAAAATACAAAAAATTAGCTGGGCATAGTGGCACACACCTGTAGTCCCAGTCTCCTGCAGTCCCTGTCTCCTGCCTCGGGAGGCTAAGGCAGGAGAACCGCTTGAACCTGGGAGGTGGAAGTTGCAGTGAGCAGAGATCACACCACTGCACTCTAGCCTGGGTGACAGAGCGAGACTCCATCTCAAAAAAAAAAAAAAAGCAGAAGTTGATAGGGATAGAAACACATTTGGCTGCTTCTATAGTTAACAAGATGCTGTTACATTCCTTGCCTCACTAGCTCTGAAGACTATACTAGCGGGACAAAGAAAGCACCTGAGATGAGCTGAGAGGAGGGTAAAGGTACACAGAGATCCCCTGGATATTTGTTCTATGTCCTCTCAGGGGCTTTGCTACCACTAGAGAATTATCCATATTAAGAACTTGCATTGATATTCTGGGTTCTGTTTCATTTTTTAGGGTCTCAAGAGCACGCTCAAGTCATTCACATGTTTCCATCAAATACAGACACAGATCAGGGAAGATTAAACCCTACTAATTTCTCGTCGGATGCCTCACAACAAGGTGCCTTCCAAGAACTAATGGCCAAAATATCCACCCACAACACAAATAAGCTTAGAAAATCTCTTCTTACAATCCTGACACAATGGAAGTTTCCCTAAACCACCCAGCATCTAATACAACCAGCACAAAGAACAACAACTCGGCATTTTTTTACTTTGAGTCCTGTCAACCCCCTTCTCCAGCTTTACTCCTATTATGCATAGCCTATACTGTGGTCTTAATTGTGGGCCTTTTTGGAAACCTCTCTCTCATCATCATCATCTTTAAGAAGCAGAGAAAAGCTCAGAATTTCACCAGCATACTGATTGCCAATCTCTCCCTCTCTGATACCTTGGTGTGTGTCATGTGCATCCATTTTACTATCATCTACACTCTGATGGACCACTGGATATTTGGGGATACCATGTGCAGACTCACATCCTATGTGCAGAGTGTCTCAATCTCTGTGTCCATATTCTCACTTGTATTCACTGCTGTCGAAAGATATCAGCTAATTGTGAACCCCCGTGGCTGGAAGCCCAGTGTGACTCATGCCTACTGGGGCATCACACTGATTTGGCTGTTTTCCCTTCTGCTGTCTATTCCCTTCTTCCTGTCCTACCACCTCACTGATGAGCCCTTCCGCAACCTCTCTCTCCCCACTGACCTCTACACCCACCAGGTGGCCTGTGTGGAGAACTGGCCCTCCAAAAAGGACCGGCTGCTCTTCACCACCTCCCTTTTTCTGCTGCAGTATTTTGTTCCTCTAGGCTTCATCCTCATCTGCTACTTGAAGATTGTTATCTGCCTCCGCAGGAGAAATGCAAAGGTAGATAAGAAGAAGGAAAATGAGGGCCGGCTCAATGAGAACAAGAGGATCAACACAATGTTGATTTCCATCGTGGTGACCTTTGGAGCCTGCTGGCTGCCCCGAATATCTTCAATGTCATCTTTGACTGGTATCATGAGGTGCTGATGAGCTGCCACCACGACCTGGTATTTGTAGTTTGCCACTTGGTTGCTATGGTTTCCACATGTATAAACCCTCTCTTTTATGGCTTTCTCAACAAAAATTTCCAAAAGGACCTGGTAGTGCTTATTCACCACTGCTGGTGCTTCACACCTCAGGAAAGATGTGAAAATATTGCCATCTCCACTATGCACACAGACTCCAAGAGGTCTTTAAGATTGGCTCGTATAACAACAGGTATATGAAAATTGATAATGCTGAAGCTCTTCTTGAATGGGAGCTGGACAGGTAATGGTGGGAATAGGGCAAGATGCAGAAAGAAGAAACCAGAACCAAAAATAGCAACTTTATACCCACTTTTCCTTTAGGCTAAGACTGCCTGTCTCATATGTCTATCCAACACACCCTCCAACATACACGAACACACATACCACCCCTTTTCTCTTAAGAAAATAACTCTAATAATTCAAACAACCTGCCCGCCATCATTTGTGGCAAAGAATGAGAATGAGAAAGCAGAGAGAGAGGCAAACAGCAGTGATGGCTGGGGAACAATGTTCACAGATACTTTTATTCAATGGAATATCTACAAAAGTTATGACTAATGATATGCCTAGTAAAAACACTGCTATACCTCCTTAGCACTGAAGCAAGTCTATTCTCAGATATGAAAACTGTAACTTTCAATCATATAACTATTCAATTAATTAGCCAAGTCAGAAAATCCCCCCTTAAAATTCATTAATTAATTAACAAACTAAGTTTGGACTAAAGTTGAAGGGCTGGTTTTAACTTAACATTTAAACGAAGTGTTGTAATTACAATTAATTCCCATGCTTGAATCATATCTCCAGTTTATGATAACAGTACATTTTATTCACTAACAATGCTATTAGAACTGGCCACAAATTCTTTAGCATAGCAATTATGCTAGAAATTGCTCTAACAAACTTATTAATGGCCAATGTAGATACAGCTTTCCTCACAAAGTGGCTTTTAATCCCTAATTCTTTATGTATATTAAAAAGAGGTCATTATGACTCTATTACTGGATCTCAGAGACTTTGTCAGTAGCATTTTTATAATTAGCGCCAGATTTTTAAAACCTTCTCATATATCTTGTGGCTTAAACATTTTTAAAAGAGCCCTCATCCCCACAGAGTTGCTTACACAGGGGAATCAACTAGACTGTTCTCAAAAGACACTAAGCTACTGTTCAAATTGCTATTAACTGAAGTCACTTTTATTAAATTGTGACCAGCTTTACCACTTCTTAGAACAAACCTCCCCTATATCTATCAAAGTTGAACTGCAGCTTATTTGTATGTTAAAAATGTAACTGTAGGCTGGACTCAGCAACTTACACCTGTAATCCCAGCCCTTTGGGAGGCCAAGGTGGAGGATCACTTTTGCCCAGGAGTTGAAGACCAGCCTGAGCAACACAGTGAGACTCCATCTCTACTAAAAATACAAAAAATTAGCCAGGTGTGGTCATGCATACCTGCAGTCCCAGCTACTTAGATGAGAGGAAGGATCACCTGAGCCTGGGAGATCAAGTGAGTCATGATCACACCACTGCACTCCAACCTGGATGAAAGAGTGAGACCCTGTCTCAAAAAAAAATTTTAAAAGTAACTATATTTTCTTTTGAATAAAAAGTAATGTTTCTGGAAACATCTGTGATTTTTCTATTGTGCTTTTTCTTGCACATTAGCTTTCACATTTTCCTCTCCTGAAAATCTCTTTCTCTCTTCCTCTTTCCCTCCTTCCCTTATTCTCTCTTTATTCATTCTCTTTAGGGTTTCTATTCTCTGTTTTATCATTTTGGAATAAATGAACAACAAAAGCACTGCAGAACACACAAACGAAACAAAATCTAACCATCTCATGGCAGTAGCTGTAAATGTCACTTTACTTACTTGGTAAAGAAATACCGATTCTAGGCCAGGCATGGTGGCTCACGCCTGTAATCCCAGCACTTTGGGAGGCCAAGGTGGGCAGATCCCTTGAGGTCAGGAGTTCGAGACCAGCCTGGCCAAAATGGTGAAACCCCATCTCTACTAAAAATACAAAAATTAGCCAGGTATGGTGGTGAGCACCTGTAATCCCAACTACTCAGGAGGCTGAGGCAGAAGAATCTCTTGAACTGAGGAGGCAGAGGTTGCAGTGAGTGGAGATCATGCCACTGAACTCCAGCCTGGGCAACAGAGAGAGATTCCATCTCAAAAACAAAAAGAAAAGAAAAGAAATATGATGCTAGTTGTCATTACTAAAATGATTCTGATCAAACAATTTGATGTGGTTTAGATGTGTGTCTCCTCCAAATCTCATGTTGGAAAGTGATACCCAGTGTTGAAGGTGGGGCCTGATGGGAGGTGTTGGATCATGGGGGCAGATCCCTTATGAATGGCTTAGTGCCACTGCCTTGGTGATGAGTGAGTTCTTGCTCTGTTAGTTCAGGTGAACTGGTTGTTTAAGGAGTCTGGCACCTCCTCCTCTCTCTTGCTTCCTCTCTTGCCATGTCATATGCCAGCTCCCCCTTCACCTTCCACTATGACTGTAAGCTTCTTGAGGCCTCACCAGAAGCTGAGCAGATGCTGGTGCTATGCCTATACAGCCTGTAGAACCATGGGCCAAATAAACCTCTTTTCTTTAAAAATTACCCAGCTTCAGGTATTCCTTTATAGCAACTCAGAACAAACTAACACACCACCAAAAGCAGGAAAGGGCATCAAATTCTAATATTCCTCCTTCCTCTCACCCACATACATATACCCAATCTCCTCTAATTCCGACTTCCACCCTGAACATGCAGAAGAGATCTCCTGTATATGACTAAATAGTATGGCATTCTTTCCTTGATAAGAGCAATTTCCTTCCATAAAGATGTTTTGTTTTTTCTTTTCAACTTTTCTTGAGCAAATGGTATAACTATCAATAATAGTCTTTCTTGTGTTTATTTTTACCTCAAAAAAGTAGTGAATTAAATGTATTTTTAATGCATGCCTTCACCTTTAAGGGGCTTACATTCTGACAGGTAGGCAAACACAAGTCTATAAGTAGCTACTTCGAGAAGAAGGTATAATGGAAACATAAACCAAGTATTGTGGGTAAAAGTCTTTTATATGAGAGGAAACATGGAAAGACTTCAGAAAATCAGCCTTTATTTCCTCTATTTTTGCAGTGTTTGTGGATAATTCATATCAATTTGGTCTATTGTTGAACAAGCTGGTATATGAAATAAGGTCTTACCTCCCTCTCTCCAGTTGCCAGATGAGCCTTTTAGGAGACTGGACTTTCTTTTTTTTTTTTTTTTTAATTATTATACTTTAAGTTTTAGGGTACATGTGCACATTGTGCAGGTTAGTTACATATGTATGTATACATGTGCCATGCTGGTGCGCTGCACCCACTAACTCGTCATCTAGCGAGCATTGGGAAGGGTATATCTCCCAATGCTATCCCTTCCCCCTCCCCCCACCCCACAGCAGTCCCCAGAGTGTGATGTTCCCCTTCCTGTGTCCATGTGATCTCACTGTTCAATTCCCACCTATGAGTGAGAATATGCGGTGTTTGGTTTTTTGTTCTTGCGATAGTTTACTGAGAATGATGATTTCCAATTTCATCCATGTCCCTACAAAGGACATGAACTCATCATTTTTTATGGCTGCATAGTATTCCATGGTGTATATGTGCCACATTTTCTTAATCCAGTCTATCATTGTTGGACATTTGGGTCGGTTCCAAGTCTTTGCTATTGTGAATAATGCCGCAATAAACATACGTGTGCATGTGTCTTTATAGCAGCATGATTTATAGTCCTTTGGGTGGAGACTGGACTTTCATGTTTGCCAGATAGTCCTGGAAACAGGTTCCCCTAACCAGCACTCCAAAAACCTCCTATCCCCCAACCTCAAATCATTTTGGATTGAGAATAATTTCTCATATCTTTAAAAGCTTCTAGAAAAGAAGACTATTAGTGGAATGAATAAGTGTTTATGCCCTAAAAGAATTAGTAAACTATCCTGAATATGTCTGTCCAGTAAACCAGAGCTGAATGAGAAAATGCTAAAACATTCTTGCAACAAGTCCCCTAAGTTTCTTCTCTGCCTGAACAGCATAGTTCATCAGCCTAATAAACAGAGTCAATCTCTCTTCCTGTAAGCTTTGTTTTTTGTAGAATAATAAATCAAGAAAAATATATTAAGCCCTTACTATATACTTAGCTCTGCATTTGGAATAGAAAAAGTACAAGACACAGCTTTAAAGAATTTACAACCAAGCTGAGGCTTTAAAGCATTTACAATATACCAGGGGAGTAATTCAATGTGTTGGTTTTGAAGTCTTTCCTTCTTTTTTTAATTTACTTTTTTAAATTACAGTATAGGTGACAAAAATTATATATATTTACAGTGAACAATGTGTTTTGATATATGGATAATGTTATGAAATGGTTAAATCAAGCTAATTAACATATCCATCATCTCACATACTTATCACTTTCTGTTGTGAGAACATTTAAGATCTACTCTCTTAGCAATTTTCAAGAATCCAATACATTGCTATTAACTGCAGTCACCATGATAGACAATAGATCTCTTGTACTCATTTCTTCTGTCTGAAATTTGGAAACTTTGACCAGTATCTCCCCAGTTCCACAACCACCCCTCAGCTCCTGGTAACCACCATTCTACTCTCTGTTTCTATGAGTTCGACTTTTTAAGATTCCACATAAAACTAAGATCATGTAGCATTTGTCTTTCTGTGCCCGGCTTATTTCACTTAGCATAATGTCCTCCAGGTTCATCTATACTGTTGCAAATGACAGGATTTCCTTCTTTTTAAAAGCCAAATAGTATACCATTGTATATATATCTGTGTATGTGTCTGTATGTGTGTCACATTTTTTCATTATCCATTCATCCATTGATGGACATTTAGGTTGATTCCATATCTTGGCTATTATGAATAATGCTGCAACGTACATGAGAGTACAGATATCTCCCTGATATGCTGATTTCAATTCCTTTGGATATATACCCACGAATGGTATTGCTGGAGCATATGGTAGTTCTAATTTTAATTTTTTGAGGAACCTCCATACTGTTTTCCATAATGGCTGTACTAATTTACATTCCCATCAACATGTACACAGGGGTTCCAAAGGCTTCTCTTCAGGCTAGGTTGAAAGCTGACTAAAGGAAAGTTAAGGGTAACTGAAGGCAGAGTTAATATCAAAGGAGGACTCAACTTACCTTTATACCCATAAGTGAGAATATATTGAGAGAAGAGGAAGCATCCTAGATGAAGGAAGAAGAGGGGAGTATTTCAAGACTGATTATTTCCAGGAATCCCTAAAATCCTTCCTGAAGCCACCCATGCAATAAATGTGATCATGCAATAAATTGAAGACAGAAGAAGAAGAATACTTCCGGTTGGATAAGGGAGGCAAGGCAGGTCTCTTTCTCCTGTTTCTGTGCCCAAATCAAGCTCCTTGTTGAGGCTGGGATAGTGTTTCCCCTGAGGGAATGAAAAGATGTGTGATGTTAGTGACAGAAGTATATCTGTTGTATCTGGTCATTGACTGTTTCCTGCTATTCTCTATTTTAGGTAGATAAACCTGTTCTCAGCTAGACTGTGAACTTTCAAAGACCTGTCCTAGGCATGGAAAAAGAATTTAATACATATAGATCTTGAAAGTTACTTCTTTAAAAACCAAGTTAGGGCCAGGCACAGTGGCTCACACCTGTAATCCCAGCACTCTGGGAGGCCAAGGCAGGAGGATCCCTTGAACCAGGAGTTTGAGATCAGCCTGGACAACACAGCAAGACCCTATCTCCACAAAAACAATTTAAAAATTAGCCAGGCATGGTGGCATGCACCTAGCTAACCAGGAGGCTGAGGCAGGAGGATCACTTAAGCCCAGGAGTTCGAGATTACAGTGAGCTATGATCATGCCACTGCACTCCAGCCTGGGCAACAGAGCGACCCTGCCTCTAAAAAAAAAAAAAAAAAAAAAAAAACAAGTCAGGCAGTAATTATTTACTTATTAAATGCCAGAATGTTTTCAAACCTATGTTCTATTAATTATCCAATGAGAACATAAAGACATAATCCTAATTACACAGGGATTATAGTACTGTCAATAAGTCATGAAATTCTGAGTCTTGAAGATTCCACTTAAACATTTCTCAACAACATTCTCTAATTCCCCAGGGCTATTAGGATCCCCTAGTCACTGCTCCCACACCCTGTGTATACCTACCATGCAGTACCAGGAAGACCTGTTTACATGTGTGCCTTCAAGGAACATGCATTCCTCAAAGGCCGGGCTTGTACCTTATTCACTGTAGTAGCTCCAGTGCCAAGTATGGCATCTGACACAAAGTAGGGGAACTCAACAGATATTTGTAAACTGTAGGTGTAGAATAACATCTGGGATGACAAATCTTTGCTTGAAAGTGGTGTGTGGATCTGAACAGTAAATGAGGACTATATCCTCTAGATTTAGCATCTGAAGAAGCAGAAAGCTAAATTTCCATCTGAAATATAAGAGCTTAGGATACCTGCACTGGCAGGAAGACAAATAAAAACACACATTGGTCACAAGGAGCTCAAGGGCAAGGTGAACTTTTATAGCTCAAATGTCATTTGCCAAGAAGAGCTGTGCCAATAAGAGAGCTGAGCAAGTCCTGGGACTCGAAGAAAATGCTCTATTAACTTTTAATTAATTGCCTTGACAGGTTCTTGGAACAGCTTTTAGAAACGAAAGGCCTTCCAGGGCAACCAGCCTCCAGGAGAGCAGGCCCCATTATGATTCTATTAGAGGAACCAGATTCTCTCTTAAAGGCCAATGCAGGGCAGAACTTTATCTTTTTCAGTGAGCCAAATCCTTCTCTAATAAGGCAACATACAGCCTAAAAGTAAAAGCTATTGAGTTATTGATTTGGAGGCCATTTTCTACATCCTGGGGTCTCCAAAGATGCTTTCTGCTTTTCCACAGCAGCAGTGTCCCTTTCTTCTGGACACTGTCACTAGATAACCTGGTTTCCTAATAATTCCAGTTATCAACCCTTCCTATTTTCTATGACATTTCTCAACTTAACAACAAAGACAAATATTTTAATTTATGTGTGTGTGCACACGCATGCATGTGTGCATAACACTCAGGAAAATGTCTGAAAGAAAGTATCCCATAACATTAATAGTGTTTATTCCCAGGTGATGTGACAAGACTTTTGGGTAATGTGTCTTTATTTCTTTCCTACTTGTTCCATCTTGCTGCCTTTTTTTTTTTAAGGTAAAACTTCATCAATACTATTTCTTTTCTAATTATTTGTTGATGGTATATTAAAATACCAGGAATTTTTACGTTGACTTGTATTCTGAGCTCTTGCTAAATTCATTTACTAATTCTAATGATTCACCTGTAGCTTCTTTTGAATTATCTGTGGACATAATCATGCTGGGTTGTTTTTTGTTTTTTGGTTTTTTTTTTTTTGAGACACGGTCTCACTCTGTCACCCAGGCTGGAGTGCAGTGGTGCAATCACAGCTCACTGAAGCCTCAACCTTCCTGGGCTCTGGTGATCCTTCCACCTCAGCATCTGGAGTAGCTGGGACTACAAATGTGTGCCACCATGCCCAGCTAATTTTTGAATTTTTGTAGAAATGAGGTTTCACCATGTTGCCCAGGCTGGTCTCAAACTCCTGGGCTCAAGTGATCTGTCCACCTCGGCCTCCCAAAGTGCTGGGATTACAGGTGTGAGCCGCTGTGCTCGGCCTTGTTTTTGAATAATGACAACTTTATATTCCTTTCCTATACATATAACTTTTTATTTATTATTATTATCTCATTGTCTAGTAGGGGTAAACAAGCAACTTCTTTGTCTAAAAATAAGTGTGTGTTTTTTATTTTAACTTTGACCTTTAAAGAATATTTTCACCAGATATAGAATTACAGATTGGCAGTTATTTATTTCATTATTTGAAAGGTGTTATTCCATTGTCTTCCATAATTTCAGTTGGGAAACCAACTGTCTTATTTTTTTCATTCCTTTTAAGATAATGTGGCTTTTATTCACTAGCTTTAAGATTTTCTTAATATCTTTGCATCATGGCGAGGCACAGTGGCTCATGTCTGTAATCCCAGCACTTTGGGAGGCCGAGGCAGGTGGATCACCTGAGGTCAAGAGTTTGAGACCAGCCTGGCCAACATGGCAAAACCCCATCTCTACTAAAAATACAAAAAAATTAGTCAGGTGTGGTGGTGGGCACCTGTAATCTCAGCTACTCGGGAGGCTGAGGCAGAATTGCTTGAACCCAGGAGGCTGAGGTTGCAGTGAGCCGAGATTGTGCCATTGCACTCCAGCCTGGGCAACAAGAGCAAACACCGTCTCAAAAAAAAAAAAAAAAATTTTGCACCGTGCCTTCTAAACTCCTTCCCTCTTTCTTTCTTTCTTTCTGTCTCTTTGCTTAACTGTATTTCCCAAATATTCTACTAAGAACATATAATGCTTATATAATTTTTCTTAATGAAGGAGAAAAAGACAAAAACTTTTTTAAAAAACCTGAGAATCCAAAGTGCCTGTCTATGAGGCAGTTGTGCTGCAAGGAGTCAAGAGATGTGGAGTCTAGCTTCTGCTTTGGGCAAATTACCTATCCTTCCTAAGCCCCTGCTTCATTCAATCAATAAATATTTAATAAATGTCTACTATGTGCTTAAATACTATAGTGAGCAAGACTGATATAATCCCTGCCCTCATGGAGTTTACAGTCTAACAGAGATAATACTTTAAAAGAACTGTGATAAGGCCAGCCGTGGTGGTTCATGCCTGTAATCCCAGCAGTTTGGGAGGCTGAGGCAGGCGGATCACCTGAGGTCAGGAGTTCAAGACCAGCCTGGCCAACATGGTAAAACCCCATCTCTACTAAAAATACAAAAAAAAAAAAAATTAGCTGGGCGTGGCAGTGGCCACCTGTAATCCCAGCTACTCTGGAGGCTGAGGCAGGAGAATCACTTGAACCCAGAAGGCAGAGGTTGTGGTAAGCTGAGATCACACCATTGCACTCCAGCCTGGGTAACGAGTGAAACTCCGTCTCAAAAAAAAAAAAAAGAACTGTGACAAGTGCTGTAACAGAGAAAATATAACATGATGAAGGAGGAATTAACCTACTCAGGGGACAATGGAGACAGGAAGTAGATAAGAAAAACTTCTTGGAAGAAATAATTTTTAAACTGAGATCCAAAGGATTAGGACTTAGCCAGGCAGAAATTAGGCTAGTTTTCTCTTAGTTGCTTTGTAATTCTGTGATTCTATGTTCCAATCTTTGTTATGTTACTGAATCAGAATCCAAAGGAACATCACTTATCAGGCCCCTCCATTCATTAACTTAATCCTAAAAACACTCTTGTAAGTAAGTAATGCTATTCCAATTTACAAATTTTAAAACTGTTAATTAAGCAAGTTGCCTGAGGTCACACAGTGGTAAATTCTGATCTGTCTGGCTTCAGATTCCATCCTCTTTCATTCATTGTTCAACTATCATTTACTGAGTACCCGCCAAGTTATCTGCCTGACACTGGGGATAAAGAGAACAGTAAGATTGGATCCCTGCTCTTGACGAATGCACTTTCTGAGGGGGCAGTGTCAGTAATCCAGACAATTACAACATGGTTAGGTATTTAGAAAGAGGCAGAGTAGGACTATGGCTTTTCATCAGAATCTAATTCCCTAGCTTCTCCAAGAAACCAAGGAGCTAGGTACATGATCACTGAGAAAGACTACCCAGATTGGTAAATTTGCAAAGCTATAGCTGAAGTCCAGCATCCCTGACTGGCCTTGACCAACAGTTCTGTCTGCTATCTACCATACAATTAAGCCAGTCTCTTTAGGTGAGGATCTTCCAGAGGAATGGGTATCCAGATGGCATGCATTCATCTTATTATACAGAATAAACAGGCTTTCAGCCTTCCCAAACTGATGAGGAACTTCAACATTCACCTCATGGACTCTTAGAAAGACATATATAAGCTAATCATGCCTGCCATAACCTTGGAACATTTCATGGACATTTTCAGATAAAGCCCCTCCTCACCCATATGGCTTCAAAAAATGCCCTCTGTCTCTGATTAAAGGGACTTGAGAGAAGTATGAAACCAGGATTTCCGAGTTGTTCCTGGAAGAGCTTCAGCCAGGAGCTTTCAGTAGCAGATGTTAAATCTGATTTTAGAGCCTAACGAAAATGCTGGGCTTCTAGCTTCGTGGAATGAGTCTGAGGTATAGTTTCTAAGTCAATAACTCAGTGGAAACTTGACCTATGGTATTATGTGAAGGTTCCTCAATTCTTCTATAAGCAACTAGTGGGAAACAGCTCATATGCTTAAGCATCCTTCTGAGAGGCCACGAGGAGCATCCACTTACTCATACATTTAGAGCTATAACAAAACTGCCTCCGGTGTTGGAGGGATGGGGACTATCAATGTCTCTGGAAGCCGGGAGTCCAGGGACTCTCATCCCAACTCTTCCATGGTCTCACTGTGCTGCCCTAAGCATGCCACTTAAACCCTCTGTGTCTCAGCTCTGCCACACTGTCCCTCCAGTCCTTGGGTCCCCTCAGTGCATGTATACAAAGTCTATTCCTGTTGCCCAGCCTTTCTCTAATTCTACATATACCACTCTGCTTCCTGGCTACAAACTTGTTGCTAACAAAACTGTGAGCATCTCACCAGAAGATTCAGGACTTTATATCTTTTGACTCTTTCTAAGTGTCCACCAAGGGGCCAAATCTACTTGCTGAGTAAAGAAAAGATTCCCTGAGACTTCCTATTGGTGAGAGAAGATTCAACCTTTAAAAATTACTCAAATTTCCCAACTCCTAATACATAAAAGGACTGAGAATCCCTTTGTCCTATTCACCTTGCTGGAATGAGGAAATAAAAGATTAATATACAAGAAAGAAAAAGAAAGTATCTATTACTTATCTTCTCATGACTTCACATACATACAGTATGTTTTCTTACAAAGTTCTAAACAGCATCACCGTTTACAATTACTAAGACCTCCATAAAAATTCATCAAGTAGATATACCATGTTTTACTAACCATTCCTTGGTCAGATGTTTAGAGTGCCTTAAAACTTTTCCAAATTATAATATAAATAACACTGTGATGAACATCTTTATCCATAAAACTGTGACTGTATTTTGGATTATTTCCTGAGGTTAGATATCCAAAAGTGGATCTGCCAGATCATTGGTAATGAACATTTTTATTATGCCTCATATGTATTATAAATTTTATGATTAATTCTTAAATATATTTCAGCCACAAGACATAATTCTATTGCTAAAATATGGGATCGTCTTAGTCCAAACGTTTTGTTAAGTAGGCAGGATAGTATAAAAGAAAACAGCCTCTAGAATCACACTGTCTGGGTTCAAATCCCAGTTCTATCATTTGGTAGATGAATGGACTTAAACAAGTTACTAAATTCTCCTAAGACAATATACATAAAGCACAGGGTCTGGCATATAGAAAGGGGTCAATAAATGTTAACCATTATTATTGCCTTTAGATTACAAAAAAAAAAGATAGATCCGTATTTTAAAAAGCCAAGAATATCTTCAAATAATGGAGTAAGAATAAACATAAAACAAAAGACAAAATAATACTCCCGTACTTACATCATAAGCAGGCTCGTTTATGGTAAATACTATTTACATCACTGTGGTTATTAGTTACATATAAATACCACTTTATTGAGTGTCTGCTGTCTTTAAAACCTTTACATACACTGTCTCATTTAATCCTCATAACAACCCTCTATGGTGATGATAATAATACCAAAAACAACAGCAAATGTTTACCAAGTGCTTATTATATGTCATGCATAGTTCTAGGAAACAACCTATTAATCATTATAAAATCCTATGAAGTAGGACTTTCCATTTAATTATTACCTTCATTATACAGACATAATTGAGTTACACAGAGGCTAAATAGCTTGTCAAAGGTTACATAGCTAACAAGGTAGGTCTTATTACTCCCATTTTATAAGAAAACTGGAACCTATGAAAATTGCCTGTAAAAGCAAGTAACTGGGGCAGGCTTTGAACCAGCATCTGTTGGACTCTCAAGTCCATATGCTTTTATTTCTGTTACTCTGCCACCTTATGTGGATTATCAATAGCAAATGGTTAAGGTTGGCTTCCCTCATTCTCACCTTCCTTTGCCATAAGCCAGAGTGTACTGAGAATAGTCTCGTTTGAACATTTGCCTCTGAGGAGAATATAAACAGGAAGGCAAGTCTGATGCAAAACTCCATATTCTGAAATGCATCCCTTAAAACAATGCACCAAGGATCCTCTCTCCCGAGGTGTCTGTCGCACTCCATCTAGCATACATATCTGAGAGTTTCTAAGGCTTGCCTTTCAGATACTTGGTGGTTCCTAATAAGGTGCCCTAATCAGTTTCTTAATCAAGGCAACACTTCAAAAGATTTTCAAATGAATGCTACAGACAGGTTTCCTATTTCCCTCTGTCTCAGAAGGCCCTCAAAATCCCCTCCACTGAAAGAAACAAAGCCGCTTCAAGCCTCCCAAAACATCTTGAAAATACTCACATTTTCAAAAGGACTGCACTCATAGGAAGAAACCTAAACTGAAGTCTTATTTCTCGAATGAACTAATTATTTAATATTGGACAAATTATCTCCCTTCTTTGTGCCTCTTCAAAAGTGGAGAAAGTGTCCTGAGATTCTAGTTTAAAAATGGGGCTCCTGGTAGGGCGCGGTGGCTCACGCCTGTAATCCCAGCACTTGGGGAGGCCGAGGCAGGCAGATCACAAGGTCAGGAGATCGAGACCATCCTGGCTAACATGGTGAAACCCCATCTCTACTAAAAATACAAAAAATTAGCCGGGTGTGGTGGCGGGCGCCTGTAGTCCCAGCTACTCGGGAGGCTGAGGCAGGAGAATGGCGTGAACCCGGGAGGCGGAGTTTACAGTGAGCCGAGATCGCGCCACTGGACTCCAGCCTGGGCGACAGAGTGAGACTCCGTCTCAAAAAAAAAAAGTGGGGGGGGGGGTCCTTTGAGGAATTATTTAATATTAACCAGGGGGATTTGGTGGAGTGAGAAATGTAGACAATGGTAAAGAAATAAATCCTCTTCACCTTTGTAGGATAGAGCAAAGCAGCATCCAAAGGCCTTTCCTATCTTCTCCTGGCTTTATCCTCCACTAAAGACGAGGGAAGATAGGATCCTGCTGCCACCTCGTGGCACTTTAGGCAGCACAAAAAGAAGGGCTTACTCAATAGGGTCATACAACCCAAATGCCCCTCAGGAAACCACATCCTCCTCCTCCTCCCTTACAATTAACTGCACAGAGCTTGACCATTCACAAAACACTTTCAACCCTATTATCTCATTTCACTCTTCCAACAACTATAGGATGGGGAAGGGGAAGGCGGGGGCGGGGGGCGGAGGGAGCAGAGGGGGCAGGGTGTCAGGACTGGCTGGAGGCATAACTCCAACTCTGTTGAAAAAGCCAAAGCTCAGAGAGACTATGTGACTTGCCTAAGGTCAAACAGTGAGTAGCTGACCGTACCTGAACCCACATCCCTTGATTCTAAATCAGGTGATTCATTATCTGCTGTATAGGGAAAAGGGTAAAACTGAGGTTTAGGTATGCTCCAGGTCTAGGAATTTGAGGGAAGGAGGCTTAAGAAGAGAAAAGGCTCAATTTCTTCTGCAGACACAACTGACTGGCCACAGGCCACAACCAGGCTGCTTGGAAAAAGGTCTACGCAGTCAACCTATCCACAGAAAAAGGTATGCAGATAGCCTGGGTTCCCGTCTTCCTTCTTGGTTTGCACATTCTCAGTTAACATCTCTAGGTATCTCCAGCTGCTCTCCCTCCCTCTACTTTCCAGCCCCAGCCTACCCATAGGACACAAGACTGATTTATGGCTAAGTGCTAAACACCAAACGGATCCCAGGCAAGGGAGCCACAACATCTAGAAATCAGCAAAAACTGCAGGGAGAGCTGCTATGTCCCTGGGTTAGAGCTCATAATATTTGTGGCTCAGCCCAGATTTTCCTGTAAGTTTTGGCAGAAAGCTCAGTTGGCTTGTCCCATATTGATGTCATGCACACTGAAACCCAGGAGGCAATGCTGGAGTTATGACTTACCAACTAGCATATAGGGATGGCCTAAGAATCTGAGAGTTTCCAATTTCTCCAAGGCAACCACAACTTCTTAAAGAATTGCAGCTGGGCACAGTGGCTCACACCTGTAATCCTAGCACTTTGGGAGGCCGAGGTGGAAGGATTGCTTGAGTCAAGAGTTCAAGACCAGCCTGGGCCACAGAGTGAGATTCCGTTTCTACAAAATAGAGAAAATTAGCCAGGTGTGGTGGCATACATCTGTAGTTCCAGCTACAGGGGAGGCTGAGAGTGGGGAGGATCACTTGAGCCCAGTAGGTCAAGGATGCAGTGAGCTGTGATCTCACCATTGCACTCGGCCTGGGCAACAGTGAGACCCTGTCTCAAAAATAAATAAATAAAAGAAATGCAAAGCCCAGGTGCCTAAACTTTCTACAACCACAGGTCTCCTTCCCTCTCTCCCTCCCTCCCTCCTTCCTTCCTTCCTTGTGAGTAGAGCATTCACTAAATGAGTGGAGTATTGTACGGGATAAAGATGACGAATAAGAAATAATTCCTTTGCGGAATCAGGATCTTGAAGAGATACCTGCATTCCTGTGTTCACTGCAGCATTATTCACAAGGACCAAGATACGGAAACGACTTACATGTCCATTGACAGATGAATGCATAAAGAAAATGTGGTATACATGTACAATGGAATATTATTCAGCCTTTAAAAAGAATAAAATCCTGCCATTTGTGACAATATGAATGAACCTGGAGAACATTATGCTAAGTGAAATAGGCCAAACATAGAAAGATAAATACTCTATGATGTCACTTATATGTGGAATCTAATATAGTTAAATTCATAGAATTCACCATGGGCTGAAGGAAGGAGGATATGAAAAGATGTTGGTCAAAAGGCAGAAACTTTCAGTTATGCAAGATGAATAAGTTCTGGAGAGTTAATGTATGGCATGGTGACTATCAGTAACAATGTTACACTATATACTTAAAATTTGTTGTTGATCCTAAGTATTCTCACACAAAAGGTATTCTCACACACACACAAAAGGTAACTATGATGGATATGTTAATTACCTTGATTGTGGTGATTATTTCACAATATGTATATCAAATCAAGTTGTATAATTTAAATATATATAAATTTTATTTTTTTTTCTTTTATTATCTTTTTTAAGAGACATAGTCTCACTCTGTTCACCCAGGCTGGAGTGCAGTGGCACAATAATAGCTCACTGCAGCCTCGAACTCCTGGGCTCAAGTGATCCTCCCACCTCTACCTCCTGAGTGGGTGGAACTACAGGCACACGTCACCATGCCTGGTTTATACAATTTTTCAAAAAAGAAATAATTCCTTTGATTAAAACTGTGTTGCCTAATGGTAAATGGGGAAATGGGAAAAAAACAAAAGTTATAAATGGATGTGAGATATAAACATTAAGTGCTTGGGGGTTAAGAGGGAAAAATAAGATTCCTTCTGGCTTGGGAGTTAGGGGACCAAAATGGATTTTAAAAAAGCTATTTCATGGATGTATAACATATAAAACCCTTCAGAAGTCTGGCCTTTACAAACCTTCCCTGCCTTCTCTCCTACTACTACCTTGCCCTCACCCTACCATATTCTGAACACAAGTTTTCTTTAGTAAGTTAAGGATTAAGAATATATGTTTTGCAATCAGATAGATCTTGGTTCCAATCCTACTTCTGCCATATTAGACAACCTTGAGTAACTTTCAGAACGTCCCCTCAAGCCTCAGTTTCCAGATCTGTAAAGTACATATTATAAAAACAGCTATTTAAAAAGGTGTTTGTGAGAGTCAAGTGAGAGAATGTATGCAAAGCTTTGTGCATGAACCACAGGAAAGACTTAGCAAATAGCAATTGACATTTTTCATTATCTCTGTGTCTCTGATGATGTTTTCTTTGCCCAATATTCTCTTTACATTCTCAGACTGTTCCACTCCTGTTTCTCCAACAGGCACCTTACAAAAGTCTTTCTTCTTGAGTGCTCTAGGACCTGCTAACTGTTCCCCCACTGAGTGCTCAGAACCTTTGTTCACACCTCCTTTACTGTATTTATATGATAACAACTTGTATTTGTTTGTAAGTCTGTCTTTCAGGAATGTGAGGCTCCAGAGAGCAAGAGCTAGGTCTTATTCATCTAGCACAGTATGTGACTCACGGTACCACTAGAGAAGTGATTGTTGAATAAATAAGATTGTATTTGAGCTAGGCCTTAAATAAATAGGAATTACAGCAAATCTCTGGATGGCCTTTTAAATATGAATGTTAACCTGTTAGTGTTATACATTAACCCATCAGAAATCTCTAGAATTAATTATCAAGGATTAGCCTTTAAGATGAGCTGACAGGCAGGACCAAAGTGAGTCAAAATTTCATTAGGGAAAGCTGGAGGTGGATGCATGGATGAATGAAAGGACCCTGGAGCCCAGGCAAGCAGCTCAGGAAACAGGTACAGGGCTTCCTTAGGTTAGCCAGGAGCACTTGGTGGTATGATGGTGAGGGAAGGGAATCACTTTAAGAGTAAATAAGAGATTCAAGGATAGACAAAAAAGTAAAATAAAAAGACCAGTATCACAAATTTTCCAGATGGTCCTAAGGGGAAAGCAACACACATGTAACACAGAAGGTCACTATGTAGTCTAAAAGGGTTAGTTTATTGATTATAGCTTTCTGCCTGCTCATCATGAAACTGTTCTCTTTATCTACAGAGAAGCAATCCTGCCTTTCATTACAACAGAAAAAGAGGTCTCCAGGTCCTGCTAGGGCACCTGAAAATTTCTCAGCCATTATTTCTTCAAATACTTTTCTGGTATCCCTGCCCTTCTCCAACTGGAGTTACATGTATATTAGATTATCTGATATTGTTCCACAGCTCACTGATGCCCTGTTCATTTTTTTCATCTTTTTTCTCTGTGCTTTGAGTACTTCCTATTATTATGCCTTCAAATGTACTAATTTTTTATTCTACTGTGTCTAGTCTGCTGTTAATCCCATCCAATGTACTTCTCATTTCAAATATTGTATTTTTCATCTCTAGAAATTTGACTTGGGTGTTTTTCTTATATCTTGCATTTCTCTCCTTGTTATGCTTGTGTTTTCCTCTACTTCTTGAACATGTAAAGCATTTTTATCATAGCTTTTTAATATCCTTGTCTCCTAATTTTATATATGTGTCATTTCTGTTTCTATTAATTAAATTGTATCTATGTTATGGGTTATATTATCTCATTTCTTTGCACATCCAGTAATTTTTCACTGGATGCCAGACATTACTTCTCTTTCTTCAAGAATCACAGTCCTATTATGCCTATTGTCCAATGTCTGAAAACCATTGTTTCATATATCTTGTTGGGTTTTTTAGTTAAGTTGAAAGGGTAAATTCTATTCCTGATATTCCATCATGGCAGTAAATGGAAGGCCTTGGAATCTCTAATAAATTACTGTACCTAGGCATTAAAAATCAGTGATTGCTAGGCCAGGAACGGTGGCTCATGCCTGTAATCCTAGCACTTTGGGAAGCCAAAGTGGGTGGATCACTTGAGGTCAGGAGTTCAAGACCAGCCTGGCCAACATGGTGAAACCCCATCTCTACTAAAAATACAAAAATCAGACAGGCATGGTGGCGCGCTCCTATAATCACAGCTACTTGGGAGGTTGAGGCAGGAGAATTGCTTAAACCTAGGAGGCGGAGGTTGCAGGTGAGCCAAGATCATGCCACTGCACTCCAGCAAAAAAGTGAGACCCTATTTCAAAAAATAATAATAATAATCAATGATTGCTACTATAAAATCACAAAAAGAAGAGATAACCAGACACTTTGTGCCTCCTGATAGAGAAACACAACCCAACATCACCTGTGAAGTTGTCTTTCAAAATAAAAAATCAAACCTGAATCTGATCAAGCCTCTAGATCCAACAATCAATTTATAGGAAATACAGAAGACAGAAGAGAAGAACATCTTAAACTACACCACAGGGATACAATCAACAAAATCAAAACTGCAGGAAACTCTACAGGACAAACAACTAGTTTTTTCAACAATCACAAGAATATAAAAATGCTGGAGGGAAAGCTATAGATTGAAAGAGACTAGAAGATACATCTATTGTAATGTGTGAACCTTATTTGGATCCTGATTCAAGCAAGCCAACTGCAAGAAAAAACTGTGACATTTAGGAGACAACTGGAAATCTGAACGCAGACTAGATCATTGATGGTATTTAGGAGTTATTACTAATTTTTAGGTGTGATTATGGTATTATATTTTTCACAAAAATCACCTCTTAGAGAAATATTTTGATTATATTATAGACAAAATATTTTGCTATTTGCTTCAAAATAATATGGTAGGGGGCAAGACAGTAGGGGTACAGATGAAATAAGATTGATCATGAATACATGATTGTAGGAACTAGGTGATATATATAGACATATAGATATACATATATTTGAAATTTTCTGTTATAAATAAGTTTTAAAAATTTAAAGAGTCATAAAATTGAGACATGGGTTCTAAAGCTGGCTCTAACATCATTTTCCTCCATGCCTATGGACTAATCACTTCTCTCTAGGCCTCAGTTTTCTCCATAAATTATGAAACATAAAACGCATTCCAATATTAATTACACTTTCCACCATATCCACTCATTAGCTATGTGACATGGGAAAGTTACTTAATCTTTTTAAGCTTCAGTTTCCTTATTTGTAAAAGGTGATGAAAATAGTAGCTAATTTTTAGGACTGCTGGTGGGTTAAACTGGATGCTGCATGTTAGAGCTCTCATCACAGTGCCTGGCACTAAGCACTTAATAAATAATATCTATCATTATTATCTCTTGCTGCACTAAGAAATAACAATAAAGAATTCTATACTTTTTTTAAAAAAAAATGAGAGGCCTCTATAGTTTAGCCCTTCCTTCCTCCATATCTCCTTTCTTTGGGACAAAAGCAAGAAAATCTGAAACTTCCCCTCTAAAAGTCTGTGGAACAACATGCCCAATAGCACAAGACAGGGTAGGGTTTGGCTCTCCTTCCTAGTGAGAGTCATTGCTGCGGGTCTGGAAAAAACGGAGGTGCTACTTTAGTCATTTTCAGAATATAGTATGCAGCTGTTCTCCTGGAATGCCACACATCCTGAAGTTGCTCCAAGGGCTAAAAACAGAGCTTAGGCGATCAGCCCAATGCAGCCAAGCTCATTCTTTTCAAGGTGGCCCCATTTCAAATAAAATGGGCACTCTGTATGTAACTCCTTTTCTAACTAAGAGTTGGTCTTCCTCACCAGACTGTGAGCCCTTTGAGGGCAAAGCTAGTTGATCTTTCTAGCTTATGCTCCCTAGCAAAGCACCTGGGACAGAGCAGGTACTCAATGCATGCTAGTTGAATGAAGGAATTAATGGCCTATTCTTTTATTTTATTTGGGTTGGAGTAGGAGTGGAAAAAGAACAATGATAACGAAGAACCAATATTGGAGGGATCTCTCTAACAATTTTTTCAGGGAGTGCAACTTGTTCACAACTTTCCCAAATACACCCTGAATATTTTTCCTTCTGAGCCTATACTCATACTCATTCCCTCCACCTGTTAATATCTTTCTCTTACTCTCCTTCTCTCACTTCACTCTTGCTGTCACTCTTTCACTCTTAATATCTACATCCTTCAAGACTTGGTTCCTCTTCCATGAAACTTTTCTCAACAACTGTTGCTGAAAGGACTCTCTTCATCTTGATTTCCTATAACACTTTATCTTTAGCTTTAGACACTCATAATGTTCTGTCATATGCAGTGGTCAGTTTTATGTTTCATAATTTTTGTGGGATTGAAGGCAAGGTCCTCTCTCAATTTCTGAGGCACTCAGCATAGCACTTTGTATAAATCAGACATGTGGTAAGAGTTCAGTGCATGTACTGTCTAAACTTGGAAGAGTAAGAAATATAATCATTCAACCCAATTTAAAGTAGAAAACAACTGAGCCTTAAAAAGTATGTTTCATCCCTAAGATCTTTTTTTCTAAAAAAGTTAACACAGGAGCCAGGCATGGTGGCACATGCCTGTAGTCCCAGCTACTCAGGAGGCTGAGGCAGGAGGACTGCTTAATTAAGTCCAGGAGTTCAAGGCTGTAGTATGCTGTGATTATACCCATGAATAGCCACTGCCACTGCACTCCAGCCTGGGCAACATAGTGAGACCCTGTCTCGAAAAAAAAAAAAGTTAACACATTGTTTTGGAAGTTTTGCTACCCTATTATTCTGTTTGATTAGGCAATATCCTCTTCTGGAAACCTAAGGGAAAACTGTTGTTAGGCATATATATCCTCTAACCAAGTGAATTTAAAAGAAAAATCAAAACATTAAAAATAATAATTTATATTTTCTTCAAATTTGGAGATAAGACAGGCTGGGCATCAAAAAACTAAGACTGAGAATCACTAGATAATTGTAGAACTGTATCTAAGCCCTTGGCTTTTCCCAACACTATCCTCCCCAAACTACCTCTCAGCATAGTTGTAGGTACAAATGAGAGGAAAGCATTGAGAAACTATAAAATATTATGTAATTTTAGGGTATAATACTCCTCAAAGGAAAGGGTCAGGATAGAAGTAAATCTTATTTCTTGAAATTAAGGATGAACTGAGGCTTCCTTGTTACTGAGATAATTGCTTTATTTTCTCTTCTAGATGATATATTCTACAACTGCCATCATATAATGACCACTTTGTTGCCTCTTCTCTTTTTTCATTCCCTAGAGATTAAAAATTAAATATATATAAACCAAGATACCCCTACTACCCCTACCCCCAGCAAGCAAGTTCACTGAGCCTTATCAGTGTTATTTCTTCATGTTACCATATTTTATTGCTGGAGCATATTTATATCATCTAGTCCAACTTTTCCATTTTATAACTAAGGAGTCCAAATCATAGAGAGAGCATATCATTTGTACGAGGTCATCCAGCTAGTGTCAGACCCCATAACATAATCTTGTTCTCTTAACTACCAGTTCTCAATATTACACCCAACAAGTATTTGAACACACATTATTTATTGGCCATAAATAAATATTTGTTAAACTAAAATGAATTTAATTGTTTCTTCTTTGTTTCACAAAATAGCTGGACACCCTGTAGTACCTGCAAGGAAGAAGTAAAAGTGCTGTTCTGAACTCTATGGCTTAAAGCCAATATGATACAGACTCTGGAGCAGGCTGCCTGAGTTCTGATCTGGATTCCACGACTGCCTATCTGTAAGACCTTGGGAAAATTGTTTTACATTTCTTAGCCTCAGCTTCCTCATTTGTAAAATGAAGATAATCACAATAACTACCTCAAAGGGTTGTTTAGTCATCCAATAACATTTATTGAACATTTGCTCTGTGGCAGGACTCTTTTAGATGCTCAGGATACCACAATGGACACAGAAAAAAATACTATTTATCCTTAGGGGCTGACATCCTTCTGGGATTAAAGGAGATAATCTATGTAAAACACCCAGTAGAGAGTCTGGCACCAAATAAATGTTCAATAAATGTTAGTTATGGTGGCTGTTGTTATATTTATTTTAAAACGTACCATGTGTTGGGCTAGGGCGCAGTGGTTCATGCCTGTAATCCCAGCACTTTGGGAGGCCAGGGCAAGAGGATAGGTTAAGTCCAGGAGTTCAAAACCAGCCTAGGTAACATAGTGAGACCCTGTCTCTACAAAAAATATATACAAATTAACTGGGCATGGTGGTGTGCACCTATAGTCCTAGCTACTCGGGAGGCAGAGGTGGGAGGATCGCTTGAGCCTGGGAGGTTGAGGCTTCAATGAGCCATGATCGCGCCACTGCACTTTAGCCTGGGTGGCAGAATGAGACCCTGTCTCAAAAAAATAAATCAACTATATATCTCCACTAAAAAAGCAAATCAACAAATAAATCTTACAAAGAGCTCCAAGCAAGATTTTACGGCATAAAACAGCTCACATAGCTGTGTTTCACAAGGACAAATATTATCACCATAGCAACATTTTTCTGAGTTCTTTAATAGCAGTTGCTTGATATTGCAGAAGATTTAGGAATGGTCTTTGAAAATACCGTATAAAGAGTGTCATGTAGGAGTGAAGATAATCCTCTCCAGCTTGTCTCCAAAAAAGATAAATTTTTTATAGGAATCACTTTAATAAAAATTAATATATAAAATCTTACATCAAGAAACACAAATCAGGGGATGATTACTTGTATTATGTGGGAATCATAAATATTTCTTTTTGAAAGCCAGCCTCCCTGGTATATTCAAAATATTCCCAAGTATATCCAAAATATGATGCAATGTTCAAAATTCTATGATTAACAAGTGCATGAAAAGATGCTGAACATCATTAGTCGTTAATGAAATGCAAATAAAACCACAATGCAGTACCGCTTCACACTCACTAGATGGACATAATTTTTAAAATGGAAAATAACAAGGGTTGGCGAGGATGTGGAAAAACTGGAACCCTCATACACTGCTGACAGGAATGTAAAATAGTTCAGCCTCTGTGGAAACAGTCTGGCAGTTCCTCAAAAAATTAAACAGAATTACCCTATGATGCTGCAATTCCATTCCTAGGTTATACACCCCAAATAAGTGAATCAAGTCCTCAAAAAAGTACATTACATGCATGTTCATGCCAGCACTATTTATAATAACCAAAATGTAGGAACAGCCCAGATGTCCATCAATGGATGAATGGATAAACAAATTGTGGTACAGACATACAATGGAATTTTATTCACCCATAGAAAAATGAAGCACTGATCTATAACATGGATAGACCTCCAAACCACTATTACAAGTGAAAGCAGCCAGGCACAAAATGTCACATATTGTATGATTCCATTTATATAAAATATCTAGAACAGAAAATTCCATAGAAACAGAATACAGATTGGTGGTTGCTAGGGTATATGGGGAAGAGGCATGGGGAGAAACTTCTTAATGGATAAGAGGTTTTATTCAGAAGTGATGGGAATGTTTCAGAACTAGATGGAAGTGTGGTTGCAACACATTATGCATGTACTAAATGCCACTGAATCATTCACTTTAAAATGGTTAATTTTATGTTACATGAAATTCACCCTCAATAAAATATTTTTTAAGAAGATGTCACCCACATGACCAATAAACACATAAAAATGTGAGAGAAAATTACAACTGATTGTCTAGCCATTTCAGAAACCCATGTAAATGGTGCTTCTACCTATTCACAGTGAATGAAGTGTTAAATAAAATTTATAGGAGTTCACTGTTTTGGACTAAGCTCCCATACTAGGCCCCAAAAGACCAAACTAAAATGAAGTCACTCATGCTAAGTATCACAAAGTCAAACTGAAACATTAAGAAAGCAGGTAAAATCCCAAACAGATCAAGTTTTCTTGAAAACAGGAGAATCCCAGTAACCAATCAAAAGAGGCCCAGTTAACCGGAGCTGGCATGATAGGGAAGTCTCCTCTGCTTAACCCTTATAAGAAAAGTAACTTGAAGTAACTTGATATTAGTCAATCTGCTTTTTCAATTTTTATTTCCTTGTTCCCACCTTCATAAACCAATTGTTCTGACATGCCCTGCGAAGCATCTATTCTATTTTATAGAATGAGATGTTGCTCCAATTTATGAATTGCTAATAAAAGCCGATTGGACATTTACACTACGTTTGTGGACATGTTGTTTATTTAACAAAAGGAACAGAGAATGCTTACTAAAATCTTAGTTTCTTCCTGTTAAAAGATAATTTTTAAGGCAAAATTATGATTGCCATACAAATATAAAATGAACACATGTTAAAGGTTTCATTTAACTCATTAAAAACAGATCCAGTAAAATGTTAAAAACTGGTACAAGAGGCAGCCAGAAAATGCTGAAATGAATGTGTTAGTAAACGCAAACCCAGCTTCATGTGTGTGAGGAGTAGTAACAATTGCACCTTTGCAAGACAAAATTCATTTGCATTTCTACAGATAAGAATAATTTGTATTACCCTCAGTTTTCTATAATTTTAAAGGATTTAAAATAGTTCAAAGAAATGAAAGGTGTAGAGCACTATAGAATCAGATAACCTAGAAGGGTTTACTAGTCAATGCCTAGCATTCTGAAGGACATTTGGTAATTTTTTTTTCCAAATTTCACAATTTCTCCTGATATTTCTCTGGCAATAACACACTACCATGGCAAATGGCCTCTCTTCTCTGGACTTCAGGTCCTCATTTGTTTTTTAAAAAAAAAAAAAAAAAAAACTGAGGAGTTGGATGACCTGAAGCTCACCTTGAGCTTTGACAGTCTGCTAAGAACCTGCTTCCAGAGGCCAGATGCTGAGTCACAGATTCCTACAGATTACAAGCCCTTTAAGTCAACAGCACTCATGATCACATCACATAAATTACTTCTCTAATGATAGAACATGCCATCCTTTGATGAGGGAGGCCATGTTTCTAATGAATCATCCTTAAACGATTTGCCTTTTTTTGCACTACTACTGGAAATGGGATAATACTGAGTTTTCCCAGCTTCTGTCATACACAACAAGCATTATTTAGTTTTTAAACAATTGGCTGAAACTAGAAAGAAGTAGTCTGGGGCTAAAAAACAAAACAAAATAAAGTAGGTAGCCTACATGAGATGCTCAAAAAATACTGAGTTGAATGGCTTTTGAAATGTTTACACCATGTTCTACACACTTAATTTACTATAAATGTAGTAGGATGTTTTTTTTTTTTTCCCTTTTGTTTGATCTGTTACTCTCCAGCTGCTCAGTACCGGGCAGTACAAGAGACCCTCAATCAAAGCCTGCTATTTAATTCTATAATTTATAATAGAGAGTGGAAGTGTATTCTTGTCAAAAAAATTTTTCAGCTTATGCATGGTAAGATGAAGTTTCTCTATACTGGCTGAGCATGCCTAATCCAAAAATCCAAAATCTTCAATGCTCCAAAATCCAAAATTTTTTCAGCACTGACATGATGCTCAAAGGACCATTTAAGTATCAGCAAATATTCCAAAATCTGAAGAAAAAACAAATCTCAAACCTGAAACACTTCTGGTCCCAAGCATTTTGGATAAGAGATATTCTTCGGCTTCTATGCTGGACCTAAATTCTTTTTATTGTATTTTAAATGTATAGATCGATTCAGCACAATCAAAAGCACATCCACCAACAGTGTATATAAAAGTCTTACATGTCTAAGAAAAAAATTTCACAATTTAAAATACCTCTCCATAAAGATCTACAACATTGGACAGATTCTCCACTAAAGCCAATGCTAAGATTAATATTAGATTTCCAAAATCAGTAAAATTGTAATTGTGACCCAAACAACTGTGAGCTATCTGGATTGAAGGGAAGGGCAGCTTGAATTTCCATTAAATGCCAATACCAACATTCTTTACATTCCAGCTAAAAATGCTTTCCTTACCATGAGACTTTGGCTTTACCCTGCCTTTTATCTCCTCATTCCCATTTAGATTTGATGTACAATTATTAGTGGTTAATTCGGGGTCACATATTTTCTGTCCTGTTGGGAAGATGAGCACTTCTCAAGTGTGATAAATTGAAAGCTGGAACTGCATCAACTAGAGTAGAATAGGAAGACTCTTCCCCATCCTTTCCAATTTATACACTAGCCTATTTGCACACAGCTGTCATTCCAGTTTATGCTCCTTCTTGCCAGAGAGCAGCGACCCGCCTCAAACACAGCCTTGAGGGGCTCTTTCTTTGGGGACAACAGGAGCAGAAAACCAAACAGACAACGTGGAGGTTGTGAGTATCTTTGAAACGAAGGCTGCTGGTTAACTGGGTTTTCTCATATCATATTGATCCTACAGATGAGGAAAATCAAACGTTCTTAATTCCTTGGGAGCAGGAAAGAGAATACAATCCTGATGATTTTAACTTATAGGAAACCAGTATAGTGGCTTCTTACTTCCAGTCTCAGGACCAAACACATTCATTCACTCACACACACATTCATCAATAAAGACTTAACTAATGTCTATTATTTAAGAACTAAGCAAAATGCAGGAGAGGACTCAAAGATAGACTGGAGCTCAATATTTCCTGGCTCCAAACATCTGCAGCTGTTAAAGGTCCTGCACTGGGCCAGGCACGATGGCTCACGCCTGTAATCCCAGCACTTTGGGAGGCTGAGGTGGGTGGATCACCTGAGGTCAGGAGTTCGAGACCAGCATGGCCAACATAGCGAAACCCCATCTCTACTAAAAAATACAAAATTAGCTGGGCATGCCGGCGTGCACCTGTAATCTCAGCTACTCAGGAGGCTGAGGCAGGAGAATCACTTGAACCCAGGAGGCGGAGGTTGCAGTGAGCCAAGATCATGCCATTGCACTCCAGCCTAGGCGACAAGAGCAAAACTCCGTCTCAAAAAAAAAAGAAAAGAAAAGTTCCTGGACTGCCCAACACTCCTCTTTTTGGTCAGTGTACTTCTGAGAAGCCAGTGCCAATCTCGGTGAGTGGGAGACTAGAAAAAGGAGAAGTTTCCATATTTGTCCTTTCATTCTCTTCATTGCTACTGGGGGCCTTGACTCTGCCCTGGGGAGGCCAGGTAGAATCTGCTGCTGACTTTAAGCCTGGAAATGACAAACAGTAGAGAAAGACAAAGAGAAAACCTACTGATATAGCCAGAAGGAAAGGAAGAGTGTTGTGCGGAAAAAAAGAGAAGGGTAACAAAAGGAGAACAGTTAACAGCTGATCTCTACCAGGGATTATGGGAAGATTCTGACTCACCTTTTAGAGCTCAGCTCCGAAGACTGAGAGTCAATACCTACCTATGAAGGATCCCTAGAAGAGGAGACTGAATTTAAAAGTCTGTTGTGTGCATTATGCTGAACACAAGGAAAGGGGTGGAGGCAGAATAAACATTATTGAATACCTACTGATCTCGCCTTCTATCTCACAGATTCAGTCAAAAAACAGGAAACCCAAGGAATTTGTTTTTGTGTGCTCGGTCTGTGGTTGATTTTTTTTCTTCCATATTTTCCAAATTTTCTATAATGAGAATGCATATTTTGTACAAATATTTAAATAAACTTTATTTAAACAAACAGAACAAACTTCCCAAACTTTCCCCAGAGAAATGGATCCGACTGTTCACTGCTGACTATATGGACTATGAAATCACAGAGCTCCCAGGGATCTTAGCAACAACTGCTGCCAGAGTCTCAATCTGTTGGCTTCTCTGAGTCTAGCAGTTAATAAGAGGATAAGAACATCTGCCTTCCTTACAGGCTTGTTGTGATCACAAGATAAATGTGTGAAAGCATTTTGTGAGCATCAAGGACTTAATCAGTGTGAGACAGTATTATTCCAGTTAAATGCAACTTGCTCTAAAACTAAAAGAAAGTAGGTTCAGATATAAAGAAGGTAGGGATTTGCATGGATTTCCTCCCATTTTAGTTCACATGAGATCCATAGGTTAATTATAACTGGCTAAGGCTTTCTGCTCAGGACATTTGAAGTAATAACAGAAGAGGAATTCAGTGATAAGAATCCTTAACTCCACATCAGGGAACCTGGATCACGGTGCAATCTTCAGGTCCTAGAGAACTGATTTCCTGAGATGCCTTCCCACCTTTCCAACTCTGTTAAAATCTGACCCCTTGGGGGAAACACTGAAACCCAACTGACAGAAGAGAACTAGCAAAAATATATTTGAAGCTAGAAGAAATCAAATTATTTCCCCTGAGATTGACTCTGAGTTTGGTTTTGAGTTCTCACCTTGATGTACTTAGCTATCTCCTAGAGGAGTTGGATGGACTAACTAACTTAAACCTGGCAAGAAGCAGCAATAGGTATATCAGGACAAGGGCTAAGGACTTTTACTGACACTAGTTTATGGCCAAATCTATTTCTCATTCTGGCTCCTATTTATGCAGTGCATTAGGAGAACAGATGATGTCAACACCACCAGGCAGACAAGTTATCTCAATGCTCAGTTCCTGGCAGAAGAATTTGTGCCCTGATTTATTTTTAGTGCTTTTCTACCTTAGTAATCCAGTCAGCTGAAGAAGAGCCAGCAATCTATTCTTGGAGCACACCCATTTATTTATTCCTTAGCAATTAGCAATACATTTAGTCACCTAGGTAAGAATCTACTAGGAGTTTGGGGTCTCATCATTTGCAAACTTACAAAGACCACACAGGATCATTACCCCAATCCAAGTGTAAGTGTGGGCCTCACTATTTCATTAGTAGAAACCTTTTATTCAGGGAGAAAAACAAAGAAAGAGAGGCCGCTAACAAAATCAGGTATGCATAGCCTATCATTTTATCAGCAGGGTGGAGGTTGGGGTGAAAAGTAGGAACTCTACTTCATCTTTTATAAAATGTTAGACCTTAAGTTAAGGCACACATTTAGCTTATCATAAGCTTCAAACTGGACTGTTGCTAGGAGTTCACAACAAACAGTTCCTTTTTACCAAGATGCAGAAAGTGAAATATCAAAAGACTAATCAGCCATTTCCACATCTTTACATTTGGATTTAACCCCAAATATTTAATTTTATTTCAATCTCATACAGCTTGTGAGGACAGACTTATTCAACATCAGCTGTCCTCATATTTAAAAGCTTCACCACAAAGATAAAATTAGAATCAAGTGAGGATCATATTCCTCAGCAAGAATTCTGCTCTATGTCCCACTGATGCCCCAAGCCACAACTGACAAATCAAATACCAGCATTATTGTTGTTTTTCTTAGACACTTCCTAAGCAGCCATAGTATGATAGAAACTGTATAGATAACAAAAAGAGGCAGGATCACTAAACTCATAGAATTATACCCATGGGTATAAATTTATTTCCAAGGTTATTTATCAGCAAAGTGGGAGGAAAGTATGTACTGTCTGGACGGAGCTGGGAGTGACTGGGAAGTCAACTATCACAAAACCCCTTTTTATTGTTGGTACTTTCCACTTCAGGAATTTTCCAAACTTGGATGAGGTTCAAATTAGACTAAAGACTGGGTAAAGTACAACTGTTAACACCAAATGTCATCATCTTGGTATTAGACATTGGTGTGACAATGTATTATATTTTAAAAAATGAAAAAGAATCTCAAGATTTTAAACTATTAGTTGTTGAACAATCACCTTTAATGGAGTCTAATTGTAAAAATGTAGCTGTAAAAATACATCGTTAATGTTCTGTGTTCAATTTGGAGGCATTTTACCAGAGGGGAAAATAATTCAGTTCTCAACAGGCATTTTACAAGAAGGAAAAGCAGAAGCAACCAATAAACACATAAAAGATGCACAGCCTCACTTATGACGAAAAATAAAGCAAGTTTACAAAACAATGGGATATATTATAAGAAGCATTGAGGAAGTTATTCTCAAATAACTACTGAGAATGTACCATTTAATAAAAGGGCAATTTAGCTGTAACTATTAAAATATAAAATGAATATTATTTTATCCCCTGTAATTCCACTATAGTATGATCCCATTTGTGAAAAAAATAAAATTATACACAGAGCTGAATATGCAGATAAATTTTCTGTATAGATATACAAGAAACTGTTAATAGTAGAAATTGGGGATTTGGAAAGGTCAGTTGTACCTTTCACTTTGTACCTTCGGTACTCTGAATTTTTAGAATTTTTGTCCTTAAGCATTTACTACTTTTATTTTTAAAAATATTTTTGCAGTAATAGGTTTATTTCAATTTTCAGGAAAATTCATTTGTGTGGATCACCCAAGTCCCTAAAAATGCCTTATGCATCAAAAGAATTAAATTATACTCAGTAGTTTTAGCACTGACTGTATTTTGCTATATCCTAAGTTTCTGACATTGGTAATTCCTGTATGTTCTGTAGAATAAGCCAGAACTCCATTCACTTACTAGGACAGATAACAAAGAAGGAACTTTTATTTTGAAAGTGGATTTGACCTCCCAGGATATATTTCTTCACACCCTGGTATCATGTCAATGATTAGAAAACATTTCATGTCAGGCAATTATAAGTACAATACTCTGAGCACACCAAATACTCCAAGACATTCATACCAAATTCCCACAAGATATTTTTCCAAGACCTCTGGCCCCAGGTTCAAGAAGGCAAGAATGTCACACTGAGTAAATGGCAGGCAAGCATGTTTTGATATGTGAAAGCCCTCTGTAAATTACTAAATGGAACAGAAATTTAGATAGTAGAATGTTAGTATATTTTGTTGGGGCTACTGCCTTACCTGATCTCACCAAGCATCAGACTGGGTGGGATAACTACTTGAACTATCTGCATTGTGAAATTATACTAAACAGAAAAGCTCTCCATAGGTATAGGCTCATGTAGCAACTTTAATTTCATTCTCTCACTTTTGGCAGACCCTGTAGACAGGACGGACACTCCCTGATATTACTTTTGAGTGTGTGTTCATGTAGATTTAAAAAAATAGACTTCAGGTGCATAATTAATCATATTTTGTATTATTAACATGCATGGTACTCTTCTACTTTATTTTATTTACTGGTTCATTTCCTTATTTATTTTAATAATATAACAAATCCAGTGAATCAATTACTCAAACCCAAGAACTACAACAATAACAATAATTCACATCATCTGTTTACTTCTCCCTTATCTCTTCCCCTTACTTTCCCCCAATTGTAACCACTATCCTATATTTTGTGTTTATCATGTCCTTGCTTTTTAAATAGTCTCATCAAGGATATATTATTGCATCTTAAGCTGAAATAGGATAATTAAGCAGAATGAATTCCTTCATTCACCATTAACATTACAAGGATCCTGCATTAAACACTCTAGGAAATACACAGATGCTTGAAACAGCAGAGGACTGTATTTGGCACTCAATACATTTTGATAAATTGGATCTAGAAATTTACCGTATTTTATGACTGCATCCTTAAATAAGCAAGGGATTTGCAGGGATCTCTTGGAATTTGGGCGGACTAAAGAGATTTGTGATCCAAACAACTCCTTATTCTCACCCAGGGACAGTCTGTAAAGCAGGTAGCTTCTCTATTGCCAGTGCCCTCCTCTCTCCTTCCTGCAACTTTTTCTCATTTGGCATTAAGGGCCAGGAGTTGAGTCTCTCCTACTAAATACCTAATATAAAACTTCTAGCGCATCTGTCCTATACATGATGACAGATAAATCTCCCTTAAGTACAGGTCCTATCATGTCACTCTCTACCCAGTATAGAAAACTACAATGATTCTTTTACATAGAATATCACCTAAATCCTTACCTTGGCATTCAAGGCTCTTTGAGATCTGATCTTCCCTGTCAAACTGACTTGCTATTCCCTATGCATGCCTTACATTTTAACCAATGCTAAGACTTTATTCAGCTATTTGCCAAAGTGTAGTCTGTGGACCAGCAGCATCATGGACCAGCAGCATCTATTTTACCTAGGAGTTGGTAAGAAATCCCAGACATACTAAATCAGAATCTGCATTCTAACAAGATTTTGGAATGATGCATATACATGTTAAATTTTGAGAATCACTGTAAAA
Source organism: Homo sapiens (assembly GCF_000001405.40). NCBI lineage: Eukaryota > Metazoa > Chordata > Mammalia > Primates > Hominidae > Homo > Homo sapiens. The sequence continues at coordinate 137,840,780 of NC_000005.10, forward strand.
CTATCAAGTGGTTTTCCATGGTACTTGAGAAGCTGTTATTATTATTTCTTTCCCTGCTGAATATGTGAGCACTTAGAAAGCAAAAGATCAGCCAGGCGAAGGGGCTCACGCCTGTAACCCCAGCACTTTGGGAGGCTAAGGCAGGCAGATCACAAGGTCAGGAGTTTGAGACCATCCTGGCCAATATGGTGAAACAATCTCTACTAAAATACAATCTCTACTAAAAATACGAAAAAATTAGCCAGGTGTGGTGGCACATGCCTGTAATACAGCTACTCAGGAGGCTGAGGCAGGAGAATTCCTTGAATCCAGCAGGCGGAGCTTGCAGTGAGCTGAGATCGCGCCACTGCACTCCAGCCTGGGCAACAGAGTAAGACTCCGTCTCAAAAAATAAAAAATAAAAAAATAAAATAAAATAAACAAAGCAAAAGGTTATCCAAATTATGTGCCTAAAATATGTTGTCTACACACCCGTAATCCCAGCAGTTTGGTAGGCTGAAGCAGGCAGATCGCTTGAGCCTAGGAGATGGAGACCAGCCTCAGCAACAGGGCAAAACCCTGTTTCTACAAAAAAAAAATTAGCCAGGCGTTGTGGCGCACGCCTGTAGTCCCAGCTACTCAGGAGGCTGAGGTGGGGAGGATGGCTTGAGTCTGGGAGGTTGAGGCTGCAGTGAGTGCCACTGCACTCAAGTCTGGGCAACAGAGCGAGAACCTGTCTCAATAAATAAATAAAATATCTGTCTAGCCATCAGAAACAAAGGAATACACTGAGTGGATACTTCATAAATATCTATAGCTTGACTAATTTTGTTCCTGATTTCAGCTAAAAAGGTAACTAAAATCATAATCTTTCACTCTATTGTCTGACAAATGAGGTGCACCATAGACATCACATCCACATAAACGCACATAGGCAAACACACATACACAGGGTCTTCTATAGATAGAATTTTTAACAGGAAAGCAACTTGCAAAAGAAAGCGATATTAAAGCCTGCCATGAAAATCAAAGCTGTTTTCAATCAACTGGACAAAATCCCTTTAAATTCCCTTTAAACTGAAATTGAGGGTCTATATGTACTTGATGGACTGTGAGGTTATATGGGGCTCTAATATTCAATAATTATGTGACCCTAGGGAACATTGCTTCTGCACTGTCCCAGAAGTGACTGTAGGGACCAGTGACAGCCCTGAGATTAAGACTGAAGCTATAAAGCCTGACTGCTTCTCTCAGTGCTCTCTAAGTCCCAGCTTCTCTATAATCTCCCCAAAATGCTACTGCTCTTCGCATGTATTTATTATCATGACCACTCAGCCCCCCAGCCCCGCTTCCTCGCACTTCAAACTGCCCCTTGCCTCCATGAGCTTGTCACTGTCCCCCTTCTCTCCCCCTCTGTGCCTCAGCTTCTCAGTCTCTCGCACAGATCAGTACTGCCAAGGTGGCGAGGAGCTAAATTAAACTGTACTAGTGGAAGAGGGTAAGGGAAAAAAGATATAGTGCTAACCTGTCCCGATCATCCTCTTCCCCTCCCCTTGTAGAATTCATTTATTTTTCTTTCTCTCTCTCTTTTTTTTTTTAAAGATTCAGGGGTACATGTTCAGGTTTGTTACGTGGATATATTGCGTGATGCTGAGAGAACTGCAGTGGGGTGTCATCATATCATTTTCTGTAGTGAGGCGGCTGGACCTAGTGAGAATTTGCCCTTTGGGTATTGTAAATATCTTTATTTCCTGAACATAGTTTCAGTTCTGTCTCTGGCAAGGCCTCCAAAGTGAGTCTTGGGGCTTTGACCCAAAGCTATTTCACATCCAAAAAATTGAATCAACACATTTATCACGCATCTCGCTCATATTTTGGAAACAGATTTTTACACACTGTCTAGTTCAACTAACTGCAATGCCACATATATCTTCTTATGTATCTAAGCAATAAACATAGACCATTCTCAGAGTTAAGTTTCTGACCCAGTGTTCTGCATATGAGAAGGTTATTGGTGGAAATCTGTTTACATCCTTAAGAGAGTCCTGCTAAACCCAAAGCCTAGTTACAAAGTAGAACCACAATGAGATACCATCTCATGCCAGTTAGAATGGCGATCATTAAAAAGTCAGGAAACAACAGATGTTGCAGAGGATGTGAAGAAATAGGAATGCTTTTACACTGTTGGTGGGAGTGTAAATTAGTTCAACCATTGTGGAAGACAGTGTGGCGATTCCTCAAGGATCTAGAACCAGAAATACCACTTGACCCAGCAATGCCATTACTGGGTATATACCCCAAGGATTATAAATCATTCTGCTATAAAGACACATGCACATGTATGTTTATTGCAGCATTATTCACAATAGCAAAGACTTGGAACCAACCCAAATGCCCATCAATGATAGACTGGATAAAGAAAATGTGGCACATATACACCATGGAACACTATGCAGCTATAAAAAGAATGAGTTCATGTCCTTTGTAGGGACATGGATGAAGCTGGAAACCATCATTCTCAGCAAACTAACACCGGAACAGAAAACCAAACACTGCATGTTCTCACTCATAATTGAGAGTTGAACAATGAGAACACATGGACATAGGGAGGGGAACATCACATACCGGGGCCTGTTGTGGGGTCGGGGGCTAGGGGAGGGATAGCGTTAGGAGAAATACCTAATGTAGGTGACGGGTTGATGGATACAGCAAACAACCATGGCATGTGTATACCTATGTAACAAACCTGCACATTCTGTACATGTATTCCAGAACTTAAAGTATAATTTTAAAAAAAAGAAGAAGTTTGGACTTTAAGAACATGTGTAAAAATAAAGGTTCATCTGGACAGAAAAATAAAGAAAGTAGAACTTCAGGCTTTTCATTACAGCCTAGGTCCCCTTTCCTCTTATTTCCCAAGAAGTACACATTATGAGATTTACTCACACAGGTCAGGGAAGTACTTAAAGGAAGATCTCTCTGCTCTAGGGATGAACTGTGTGGATTTTATTCCTGGCTCCACAGCTTACTAGCCATGTGACTCTGGGCAATTTGTGTAAACCCTCTAAGCTCATGTTTCCTTTCTTGTAAAATGGGAATGATAATATCCCTAGATATTGGAGTTGTTGTGAGGAGTGAATGAGATTATGTATATAAAGTGGTTAGTACAGTGCCTAGGTGATTAACTCCATTTCACAGTTATTAAAAATTAAGGTCAGAGGGTTGTTGTGAATGATCTTTTTTTTTTTTTTTAATTTGCAAAGCCCGCTTAATGCTACAGATTCTCCTCTCTAGGACTCTTCTACTTGCACACATCTCTAGCACATGACACTGTCCATGTGGGAGGTAACCTGACTCCCAGCTAACGACAGTATGGGGTCTTAGCTGTCCTTATGCACGCAGTGTTCCTCTGGGCAATAACTCTGTGTATGTATGCATGGCTAACAGAAATGGAATAGCCCCTTTTAAAAATTGGGCGTGACTTTATAACATAAAAACTTATGTACTAAATCCAGTGGCATCAAAAAGGACAAACAGGCTGAGAACAGTGGGCTCACACATGTAATCCCAACACTCTGGGAGGGAGGGATGGGAGGATTGCTTGAACCCAGGAGTTCAAGACCAGCCCAAGCAACATAGCAAAAGTCCATGTCCACAAAAAAAAAGTTTAAAAATTAGCTGAACATGGTGGCATGAGCCTATAGTCCAACTACTCAGGAGGCTGAGGAGGGAGGATCACTTGAGCTCAGGAGTTCAAGGTTTCAGTGAGCTATATTATCGTAATACTGCACTCCAGCTTGGGTGACAAAGTGAGACCCCATTTCAAAAAAAACAAAAACAAAAAAAAGACAAACATCCTTTTCCTATTTTAGGTGACATGTCAAAGGAAATAGAAGTTTGAGGGTTAAATATCAAAGTATTTTCTGCATTCAGCAGGACGTAAAAGACATCTAATCTCCCCTACCTCTAAGATGATGTCTCTGCTTCAGAATGCCACCACTGGAGAGGGTGCCATTGGGGTTCAAGCAATGGCTCTTCCTAAAGACAAATGAAGGGGTGAAATGTGTTTATGAAGAAATGTGTGTCTTTAAACCAGTCTATCAGAGATAAGAATAAAACAAGTCAGTTTTGATGTGGGCTTGAGGAAGTGATAGGTTTGGAGGGCTAGTTCTAAAGGAAGAAAACACTATAATGTGTGTGTAGGAAAGGGTTCTGGGGAGGGGCAGACAGAAGAGGTGAGGAGAGCTTGCAAAATATAAACTATATCAGTCAGCAGTTCTGCCAAAAGCTGGATTTGAAGTTGTTTGTTGCTTCTGGGACAGGAAGGCTCTTAACTGTAGGCAACTTTTCTCCTGTCATCTCTCATCAGCATGATCACTACAAGTGTTAGAGAGTGAGACCCAGGAAGCAGTGTAGACTATTCACTTGGAATATGGGCCCCCCACCATCACTGTTCCTCTCCTTTGCCCTAGGGCCAGGTCAATTTCAACATTTCACCCTCAAATAAGAAAAAAAGATCATAAACACAATCTTTAGCTAAATTTGAAAGTTCCCTAACAAAACAAAGTGAAAAGTAGCTTGCCACATCATTCAACTTTTTATCTTAGTATTTGAACCCTAAGGCCTGAATTTTTTATAAAGAAGAATTCTACAAATTGGGTCTTTTAAAGCTAGTTCCTCTATTGTCAAAAGAACAACTGGGGAAAGACAGTCTTTTAAGAGATGGTTCTTGGAACATTTTATTTTGGTGCCCTAAGCCCTCATGTGAGAGATCTACTACCAGGAGGTCACTATCCTGTGAGCTCAAGCCACATGGAGATCACTGAAAGATGAGACACCAAGTTGGGGACTGGGGTGAACTGACAAAGATGGCACAAAGGTGCCATACATGTGAGTGAAGAAACCATCTGGGAAATGCATAATCTAGTCCCAGCTGTCAACACTTGGATCAGAGATGAACTGCTCAGCCAGCTCTTCTCAAATTCCTAAACTAAAACATTAAGCCACAGGAGAAAGACCATATGCCCCAGAAGAGCCCTCCAGTGAGCAAGATTTTAAAGATATGCCCCAGTTGTTTCTAATTCCACTAGGATTTCAGTATCAAGGGAAAGAAGTAGTAACATTCATAACTCATGACAGGCATCATATCCTTTGATGGAGAAGCTGTCTGAGAAAGGCCATGAACAATGTGGACTTTGACAACAAGAAAACAAGTACAGTAAGGGTTGAGCTACATAGATATTCAAATAGAAATGCATCTTTTGTAACAACTTCATAGAGTAAATGGTTTTATATAAAAATACAATTTAGATATAGGAACCATGAGAACCAGGACAGTAAGTATTTTAATCTAACATGGAGAGACATATGATTAACAATCACAAGACAGACCTCCTCTTTGGCACTTTGTAAAATCAAAAAATTTGACAAAACACTGGGGACAAGACAAAACTCTAAATGTGATGAAGTAAAATTTCCAGTCACGTAGAAAATAGCTCACCCTTGACATCAGTTTAATGTGTTGAAAATTTTTTAAAAGTGATTTCTTTTTCCCGAAAGCAAGCAAGCAAGAAAACAAAAGGTACAGAGACCAATGTGAAGGCTGTATGCTAATAAATTGAGAGATATGAAATAATTAAAATCTACTTTTGTTAGAAAATGGTCTAGATCAACTGGGGAAGAAATAGTGAGATGCATCTTTAGAATCTCCCATGTATCAAGCTTCCTTAAGAACTTTTCAAAACTGTCACCAAAATACTCAGTTGATGTCAAATATCATCATCTTCTTGAGCAGCTTGAGTATGTTCACAAAACAGATGCATTTATTTTTGCAGGGACTAATATTACAGTCACAGTGGTGACTGTGAACTGACACAGTGGGCCACAGCAGAAGCTGGATTTGTTCAGAAACTGATGAAAACCATCTCATACACACAAAACTCACAACTCCTTTACTGACTTAATTCACATACCTCTTTCCTCAACTATTTGTTCTCCCTCCACCCCTGTTAGGTGTAATAGAAAATAAAAAATGGCCAGGTGCAGTGGCACACACCTGAAGTCTCAGCTGCTCCAGAGGCTGAGGTGAAGATTGCTTGAAGCCAGGAGTTTGAGGCTGTAGTGTGCTAGGATCACCCATATGAACAGCTACTGCACTCCAGCCTGGGCAACATGGCAAGATCCTGTCTCTTAAAAAATAAAAAAATTAAAAATGAATAAAGTAATTAAATTGTTAAAATCTTTCACAATATCTGGTGCTTTATGGACACTTTGAATTATCTTTATGTGAATAAAGGTTACCTAGTATGGCATCTGTTACCAAATAGAAGATAAATAAATATGCAAACACTAAATCTCCAGCCTGTGCTACCTACCTAGCAAGACTCCATTTCTACAAAAAAAAAAAAAAAAATTAGCGAGGCATAGTGGCACATGCCTGTAGTCCTAGCTACTGGGGAGGCTGAGGTGGGAGGATCACTTAAGCCCAGGAGTTCAAGGTTGCAGTAACATATGGTCGTGCCACTGCACTCCAGACTGGGTGACAGAGTAAGACCCTGTCTCTAAAATCAAAACAAAACAAAAACACTAAATAATAAAATAGGCAAGCAAAAGAAAATAAATGGAACAACACAATAAACTCTCCAACAAATCAAAATAACTTAAGCAACATTTTAAAAGAATGCAGAGTTTAGGTTATTGTATGAATTTAAAATATTCTCACTAATGTGACATTTTAATACATTTAAAATACTGTACATTGCTAAACCTGCTTTATCTTACTTCTCTTTCCTCTTTTTTTCCGAATGAAGCTACTGTCAAATTCTTCAGTTGTTCACTTTTAAATAGATCTAATGTCCTATTTTTCAGACCACTGAACCTATATAATATCCATGAAGCTAGTATAACTCTGCAGACATCCTAGCTATTCAGGCAATGTTATAAAGGCATCATCATTGTTCATTTGTCTGATCTCTATGTATCTTGTCATCTTTCCAGGGTAAGATTGCCAAGGTCTTGGACTCTTCATTTGGTGGAGTCTAATTCTGTTCTCTTTACAAAGAGCTAGGGTTACACTCAGCAAAGGTTACCATTTACGTGAGACATGAAGCCGGCTAGCGTAACGCATCACCAAAGTAAAACCCCTGGCTATTTTTTCCCTCAAGGACATCCCCAGTGCCACATAAAATCAAGAAAGAACACTTCAGGATAGGTCACACGTAGGGCCTGCATGTACTATGAACCCACACTTTCATTTTTATATTCTGGAGTGCGCTATTTTCAGAACAGTCAGACAAAGGGGTATTTTTCCTTTTGAAAAATCTCCTTTTCTCTCCCCTAGAGGAAAATACATGAGAATCAAATGTAAGAGACTACAGTGGCTTTAGCAAGAGAAGCCAATATTTAAGGGTGAGCTTTCTTTTAGAAATTATTCCTTTTTGTGTTTGGCTTTGCTTTATCATTTACTCAAATTAGTTATCAAAGATTTTTAATAAATAAATAATATTTTAAATTGTTTCAGTAATTTCTAAGACTCAGCTCATTATCTTTCAAACCTCTGCATTCTGAAGTGGCAGTCAAAGCCAGTGCCCTAAGTGCTGACTGCTTTTGCTTTAAGCACTAACGTTCATCTTTCTTTCTCTTATCCTCGGATGGAAATTCATCTACTCTGGTAATTCTGAAAATTGGAGATTTTAAAGCATGATCGGGCTTCGAGATTTTTTTTAAATGTTTAAAAATAGCAAATATTAAACCTAGAAGAAACCTTAGGGACCATCTCACTTCTGATATAACTGAGACCCCAAAAGTCTTGCCCAAATCATAACTAATAAACGACAGCCATAAAACAGAATCCAGATTGCCTTAATCTTGAATTAGTGCTCTCTTTCACCATATTACTTGATCTTTCTATATTTTTATCCATTTCAGATACAGATTATATAACTCAGCAATATGCCCAAAGTAAGATTCAGGGCATTTCTTTGTTCCATTAGTCATCACTGTCTTTTTTCATTGGTTGGAAGATCAGGGACAGGAAACAGGAAACTCCTTCTTGGCCTCCCCACCCCATGGATTAAATGGTAGCAGGGGCTGCCTGGTGCCTTGCCCATGAAGCTTGACTATTCATGCTTAGAAGGAGGAGCATCATGAACATTAAGAAACCAGGTACAAAGACCCTTCTCTTTATAAAGATTGAATTTTCTCTTTTTTGTTTTCATTAGCTTAAGGATATAAAACAATTTCAAGGTGGCAAAAGCCTGAATTCCACACACCACCAAAACTATTCTGCTCATCTTTTCCAGCTATTCCTTTGAGATGTGCCAGGAGCTTAGAGGATGTTTTATCCTCTTGCACCAACTGACCTTACACATTTACTTATAAGGCATGTTTCTTCCAAAAAGTTCCAGAAGTTTCATATATACTCTCTCATATGCTTCCCCCACAGGGGGAAGCATTTCATTTTTATTTTTTTGCCATAGCCAAAGTTTCCCTGTTGTTTCCAGGGTTTCTTTCCAGAGTTTGATGCTTAAAGTTTAGACTCTCTGGAAGTCACAAACATTCCCAAATGAAGTCTCAACCAATACTGCCAACAAAGCCAACTTATTCATTCAACAATTACTTATTGAGCATCTCCTGTGTGCCTGGCACTATTCCAGACACTAGGGATTCAAGAGTGAACAAAACAGACTAAATATCCATCATCATGGAGCTTACATACAAAATAAAAGTTTTGTTTTTTGTTTTTTTTTTTAGATGGAGTCTCGCTCTGTCGCCCAGGGTGGAGTGCAGTGGCGCAATCTCGGCTCACTACAATCTCCGCCTCCTGGGTTCACGCCATTCTCCTGCCTCAGCCTCCCGAGTAGCTGGGACTACAGGCGCCCGCCACCACGCCCGGCTAATTTTTTTGTATTGTTAGTAGAGACGGGGTTTCACTGTGTAAGCCAGGATGGTCTTGATCTCCTGACCTCGTGATCCACCCACCTTGGCCTCCCAAAGTGCTGGGATTACAGGCGTGAGCACCGCGCCCGGCCATAAAAGTACTTTTAAGTCCTTTTAAAAGTAAAGTCCTTCTGGGACTTTAATGGACTGTCTGGTAATGGATGTTCTGGTAATGGACTGTTCCCTTACTCACTGAATTCAGAACCATAAACACATTCTAATCTAATAAAAGATTTAAAAAAATTACAGTCTCAACTACTCAGAATAATATCCACAGTTTTGAATTTATCGAGTAATAAAGAGTCCATTTGCTATAAACCTGCATGGATTGCGCTATAAGACAAGAGACTCAGATTCTAATCTTGACTCTTCTACCAACAGATTGCATGACCTTGAACAAATAACATACTCTCTCTGAACCTTACTTTTGTTTTCCAAAGATGTAAGGCAAGAAGATTTCTCATGTCATCTCTTGCTCTGTAATCATAGGATTGGTTAACCTCACCTAAGATGACTGGTGTAATACTAGGATTTACTGCCAAGGTCAAAAGAGGAGGAATCCTTCTATATCAATTGCTTTTATTTGTCAGGCGGGGTTAAGGAAAACAGCAGAAGGCAACATACACCTCCTAGGAAAATGTAGTATCTCCCTGTGCAATAATCTGCGAAATCAACCAACTCCACACCTATGTGTTCAACAGTAGGCCAGACACTTTGTGGATAGGAGACACATTACATATTAAAAGATCCCTGATCTTAAGGAATTTCCAAAGAAAGTACATGATAATAGATTATTTAAAACAAAAGTGTATTATAGAAGTTCTAAGTTCACAAGAGAAGAAATATCAAGGAGGCCTAGATTAGTAACCTCTGAGGAAGGGTAGACTATCCCCTGGATCTCCATATAACAACCATCATCACAATAATAATAGCAGCTAACATTCATTGAGCGCTTGATATGTATCATATATAAACTAAGTGCTTTTGTAAGCCACCTAACCCTAGAAATAAACACTACTATTGTGTCTTTTTAACCGATAAGGATCATGAGACTTAGAGGGAAACCTAACGTACCTAACAGTAAATGCAAACAATCTGACGCCAGAGTATTCCACACCATCTAATGGTCATGGGCTGCTTGCCTCACCCTCGAGATAAAGGTACAAGCCACAGTATCTGGCACACAGTTTAATGTTCCGTGAATGTTACTTAATGCCCTTCTCTATCCATCCCCCACTACCATTCACCCTCAACCCTCATCTCACATACATACCTCATTCTAAACATTCTTCAAAATTCAGTTGAAGGTCCACACTGACCTTCTTAGACCAATCAAGCTTCTTTCTCCTTATTTCTAGCACTTACTTCTCAAAGCCTTCCAGGTCATCATGCACTGTCTTGTGATGTCACTGGCATGATTTAATGTCTTATGACATTAATGTTTCTTATGTCTTATGATATTATTAAGATGAACCTATATTATTATTCATCTTTTGCACTACTGACCTTCTCATATAATTTAATTGTGTCAGTTAACTCCAAAATCCTTTGTGTTGTTCCTGGAGTCTTAGTAAAAAAGGCATGAGGAAGCATTCACCAATGCAAGAGTTTGACTGTGAAGTTTTCATTTTTAGAAAAATGATCCAAGTCAAGCAAATGCAGCTAGCATGTCAAAGTTTGATTCCACCCTGTTTAGAGAATATGTAGATATAGGTTCTTTCTGTTTGTGCCTAATTTTAGACATAAAAGTAATCTATGCATGTTTATAATACTCTATCTCATGCATGTTCACAGAACTGAATTTATCTTCTTCTGAACTACTGAGAATACTATCTGTTCTTTGAAAATGAAAAAACTGGCCAGGCATGGTAGCTCACATCTGTAATCCCAGCACTTTGGGAGGCTGAGGCAGGTGGATCACCTGAGGTCAGGAGTTCAAGACCAGCCCAATCAACTTGGTGAAACCCTGTCTCTACTAAAAATACAAAAAAATTCACCAAGCATGGTGGCACATGCCTGTAATCCCAGTTACTCAGGAGGCTAAAGCAGGAAAATAGCTTGAACCAAGGAGGCAGAAGTTGCAGTGAGCCAAGATCACACCACTGCACTCCAGCCTGGGCAACAGAGCGAGACACCATCTCAAAAAAAAAAAAAAAAAGAAGAAGAAGAAGAAAATGAAAAAATTAACTCTTACAAAAACAAAAGGCAGCTTCAGTTCACAGATTTATTTTAATCTTATGAATTTATTATAAAATACTACATACATAGGAAAGAGTTAATATAATATATATGTACAGTTTAAATAATAATAAAAGGTACATTCTATACCCACTATCTACCTTAACAAATAAAACATGAAGTAGCATTAGTAAATCTTTTTACATCACCTAAGTTTTAGTCTAAAGCAAATTAAGCCTGATACGGTAATACAACTTCAAGATGATAAAGGGTTTTTAAAGACTGAAAAGAGCCACCAAGTATTAAGAGATTATATATTGAGATTAGGAGGAGATTAGATAAATCTAGTTCTAATAATGGTATCAAACACTATATATAAAAGACTTTTAAGTGGGAACCAATTTTTTTTCATTAAAGCATTGTTGTGTAATGCAAACTTATGACCTAAATTTTCTCGAATAGTTAGTTTTAGATATTCTATTTCCATAAACCAATGACTTTCTGGAAATTACCATATTTTGTTATTTAGGCTAATCTACATCTTCCAATCGACCTCTCCTACATGGAAATAATATAAAAGTTCTTTGTGGGGCCATGTGACCTAAATGTTGGTTTGAGGAAATAAATCATCATAGTGTAAAAAAAGTATCAGGCCACAAGTTTAGGAGATCCTAACTCTAATGTCTATTGAATTATTGGCTCTGTAAGAGCCAAATCATGAATGAAATCCTATTCACGACTGCCACAAAAAGAATAAAATACCTAGGAAGACAACTAATGGGAAGTGAAGGGCGTATTCAAGGAGAACTCCAAACCACTGCTCAAAGAAATCAGAAAGGACACAAACGAATGGAAAAATATTCCATTCTCATGGATAGGAAGAATCAATATGTAAAAATGGCCATACTGCCCAAAGCAATTTATAGATTCAATGCTATTCCCATTAAACTACCATTGACATTCTTCACAAAATTAGAAAAAAAAAATTTAAAAATTCATATGAAACCCAAAAAGAGCCCAAATACCAAAGACAATCCTAAGCAAGAAGAATAAAGCTGGAGGTATCACACTACCCAACTTCCAATTACACTACAAGGCTACAGTAACCAAAACAGCATGGTATGGTACAAGAACAGACAGATATACCAATGGAACAGAATAGAGAACCTGCTAGCGAGGTTGTGGAGAAAAAAGAATGCTTTTACACTGTTAGTGGAAGTGTAAATTGTTCAACCACTGTGGAAGACAGTGTAGCAATTCTTCAAAGACCTAGAGGCAGAAATACCATTTGACCCAGCCACCCCATTACTGGGTATATACCCAAAGGAATATAAATCATTCTATTATAAAGATACATGCACATGTATATTCATTGCAGCACTATTCACAATAGCAAAGACATGGAATCAACCTAAATGCCCACCAATAATAGACTGGATAAAGAAAATGTGGTACATATACACCATGGAATACTATGCAGCCATAAAAAGGAACAAGATCATGTCCTTTGCAGGGACATTGATGGAGCTGGAAGCCATTATCCTCAGCAAACTAATGCAGGAACAGAAAACCAAATACCACATGTTCTCACTTATAAGTGGGAGCTGAATGATGAGAACACATGGACACACTGAGGGTAACAACACACACTAGGGCCTGTTGGAGAATGAGGGGTGGGAGGAGGGAGAGCATCAGGAAGAACAGCTAATCGATGCTGGGCCTAATACCTAGGTGATGGAATGATCTGTGCAGCAAACCACCATGGCACATGTTTACCTATGTAACAAACCTACACATCTTGTACATGTACCCCAGAACTTAAAATAAAACTTGGAAATAAAAAAAAGAAAATATATTTGAAAAAAAGAATTTTTGAGGAAAATATAAATGATGGAAGTTTATTCTGGAGAGACAGAAAAACTGAATGAACCAGTCACTTTAGAAGATATTGAGAAAGTTTTATTAACCCTTTAGGAAAGCTCATGGTTCAGAATGGTGCCATCTAATAAAAATATAATGCCTATCAGAAAAGAGAACAGCAAATATATAATTTTAAATTTTCTAATGGTAACACTAAAATTACAAAAAGGAACAGGTAAAATTAATTTTAATAATATGTTTTAACACAACATATATAAAAGATTATCATTTCAACGTGCAATCAATATAAAAATTCATTTTGCAGCCGGGCATAGTGGCTCATGCCTGTAATCCCAGCACTTTGGGAGACTGAGACAGGAAGATCACTTGAGGTCAGGAGTTTGAGACCAGCCTGGCCAACATGGTGAAACCCCTTCTCTACAAAAAATACAAAAAAAAAAAAAAAAAATTAGCTGCGTGTGGTGGCACACCTGTAATGCCAGCTACTCAGGATGCTAAGGCAGGAGAATCGCTTGAACCCAGGAGGCAGAGGTTGCAGTGGGCAGAGATCGCATCACTGCACTTCAGATTGGGCAACAGAGCAAGACTCCATCTCAACAATAAGAATAATAATAATAATTTTACCTTTTTTGGTACTTAGTCTTTAAAACTGTATTTTGCATTAAAACATTGGAATTTAGTTGCTAAATTTTCATTTAAAATACTTCATGTATTTAAATTGTATGCAATTTATAAAAAGTAGATTCATATACCTAGACTGTTCTAAACACACTTAGAAGTTTTCCTAAACTGAAAATGAATATTTAGATATAAATTCAATTTAATGAAAATAAAATTTTAAATTAAAAAATTACTGGCTCTGAGGTGAGCTCTAAACTTTCAGTTAGCTAACACAGCAACACAACCAATATTAAGACTAATAGTGTCTATGAGGAAAAATTAAACTAGTATCGTGGGAGACGCTCAATTATTCCTGGTACTAACAACTGAAATACATTTCTCTAGTAAATCATCATGGAGATAATAGGAACACTGACAACATCTGCTATGGTCCAAATGCTGACGTCCCCCCAAAATTCACATGTTGAAACCTAATATTCAAATGTGATAGCATTAAGAACTGGGGCCTTTGGGAAGTGATTAAGTCATGAGGACTCCACTCTCATGAATGGGATTAGTATCCTTATAAAAGAGACTTGAGGGAATTCCCTTGCCCCTTCTACCATGTGAGGTCACAGCAACAAGGCACCATTTACGAAGGAGACAGCTCTCACCAAATACTAAATCTGCTGGTGCCTTGGTCTTGGACTTCTCAGCCTCCAGAACTGTGAGCAATAAATTTCTATTGTTTACAAATTACCCAGTAAGGTATTTTAAAGGGTATCATAGCAAGCCTGAACAGACTAAGATAACATCCTTCCTTATAGTAAGCATAGCAATGTGTTTCAATATATTTCTTACTATAACAAATATTCTGAAGACTTCAGACCAAAACACAAATTCACAGATACTAATTTATGCCCTCTGAAATAATGTTTTTGAGAAATGACTCAATACCTCCTCTGGGCACAAGTGCTATAACTCTATAAAGGTAAACATCTGGATTTCTAAAATGGAGAATGCTAAAGTAGTTCCATCCTGAGTTAAGAATTCAGTTGTTCTGGGCAGGGCATGGTGGCTCACACCTATAATCCCAGCATTTTGGGAGGCTGAGGCAGCAGATCATGTGAGGTCAGGAATTCAAGACCAGCCTGACCAACATGGTGAAACCCCATCTCTACTAAAAATACAAAAATTAGCCAGACATGGTGGTGCAGCCTGTAGTCCCAGCTACTCAGGAGGCTGACGTGGGAGGATCGCTTGAACCCGGAAGGTAGAGGTTGCAGTGTGCCAGGATTACACCACTGCACTCAAGCCTGGGCAACAAAGCGAGACTCCATCTAAAAAGAAAAAAATAATAAAAATAAAATAAAATAAAAAGAATCCAGATGTTCTGGATTAACCTGTCTGTAACCGATACCTGCTGCTAGTCCGAGTGTAAATACAATACACTGGAACTAAATTGTATTAAAACCCAATGAGATTTAGAACAAATCTATTTTTTCTCTTTCTTGCAGGTGCTCAGGGAAGTAAGGAAGTTTTATCTCTGGAATTGTGGTTGAAATGTGCTACAGAAATTTCAGGGTAAGTGCAGAATCTCATGTGGATGTGCATTTGTTGCGTGTGAATATAGTGAAAGTTCCACTTTAAAAAATACCAAAAAAAAAAAAAAAACCTAAGACTTTGCAGACAAACTTTTAAGTGATTATTTGCTTTATAGGTTATTTCTTCTAGACAACGTGTTTCATAACACACCCTGATTACCAGACTGAGACAAAAGAAATTTAAAGTGAAACAATTAGGAACCATAATCCACTAATAATTGGTTAAAAAGGCAAAAAAAGTATTAAAATGATTATGCAAATGTAGAGAAATTTAAGAATTATAGGTAAAAATGTGTGCTACATTCAAATGTGTATACAGTGAGGCATTTCTATCAAAGTCGCCTCTAATCTTTCTTTCACTTGACGGTGTTTGGTTTTGTTTCCCCCACAGGATAAAGAAGAAAACCACTAGAGTTTCTCTGACCATCAGCTCCCCAACGAATGAAACCTCCAACAACAGATCAAGTTACTCTAACTTAGTTCAACAACTGTATATTAATCCCTAGAGGGTAAGTTCAGTTTTAAGCCTTCTGAGAGGGTCTTAGTAATGGAGACATAGGCCCAAGAAAAAGGAGTCAATGCAGTTTTCTTAAGAAGTATACAAGAAGAAAGCCTCTAGCTGCATGAACTCAAAAGAACAAGAAAGAAATCCATAGGTTTCAGAAATAACTCCATGGTAGCTCTATGGCTTGGCCCTTTGTTTGTGTGCCAGATAAGGGACAGTTGGTTTCTAGGAACTTGTTCCCATAAGAGAATATTCCAACTATCCGAGGAATGAATTCCCTTTTAATTTAAAAAAAAAGCGGGGGAGGGAGATGCTTTTTTGGAAATCTAAAAGATCCAAGAAGAGCAATTGTATGGAGGAAGAAAAAAAATTTAGTAAAATTTAAACTTTTTTTAAATGTTTAATATATAGTATCTAAATACTTGCCAATATGCATTTCCCAAATATAATTGCCCAGTGTTGTATTTCTCCATCTCAGCTAATGGAATGCTGAAGGATAAAGAAGCAAGTGTAGCACACTGGAGCAAATACCCAAACTGACACTGAAATTAGAAGCATCATGCTTTTCATAAAGGAAAGTTAAGGTGTGGTCAGTAGCAGCTAGAACTGAGCCCGTCAGTTTCTGGCAACCATGGACCTGAGTTTCAGGGCTTTGACAGTATGAGTGACAGCACCATGTTCTCTTTTATTCCTTAAACCAGATGCAGAGTCCCTGCAGCAGCCTGTCAGGATCCACTTGTGTAGTACCCTCTGTGTTTACCAAGGTAACCTCTCCATACTGCATGATGGAGTTTAGATTTTATAAGTAAGTTTTAGACATTAGTGAAGCGGTGAGAAGAAAAAAAGGGGAAATCAGAAAGGATTTCAGAGATTATTATCACGTTATATATGAGAAAAAATGAGGCTGAAAAGGGGTGAAATGATTTGCTCAGTGTCACAGAGCAATTCATGGTTTACCCTGTGCTCTTTAGACTTCTGCTCTGTGGCCGTCCTCCACCTCTGGAGGGCAATGCTTAGACTGTCCCCTCCAAGGAGACTGCTTTGCCTGACCTCAAAATATAGTCAAATTCTCTTAACTAGCCATAAAATGCCATTCTGAAGAAGTCAACAAGCAAAGTAGTAACTAAGTCCTGATTAGGTCACAGCCAGGAATCACTATCTTCCCTCTCACCCACTGGAAATAGCACAATTCAATCACCCCGGTCAAACCAAAACTAGGGCTAAGCCTTCTCTGGGCTCTCTGTCTCCCAATTACCAAACCTGGCAGAATTGGAATCAATGCCCATTGCTGGCTCAAAGTATGAAATGCAGGGCAGGGATTTAATCTGTACCAGATACAGGATGGGAGACAAACAAAACAATGTCATTAAGAGTAAGTGACATTGCTATTGATTCTGGAAGCTTGTTTTCAACAGATGCTGTCACGTACATGTCTGTTATTTCTACAAGTCTCTCCTGCTGCATTCCTTCCCTATAAGATGCCTGAGACCTCTGGGCATCAAGCCTGAGGGTTAGGCTGGTCCTTAGTCTAACCTGTAGAAAGACCTCAGATTCCCGCTCTCTGGTCTCACTGCCAAGTTATAATCTGAAATATCATTCTAGATTCCAGGGTACTCTGGGGTTGCAGGTAGAGGGAGGAGAAAGATCAGGATTTAAGGGGTAAATTTAACATAAATGCCATCCATTCATTTATACATTGTGATACTAAACTAGCTAAAAACACTTTTTATATATCTGTATAACTCTTACTCTTTACAGGAAGTTTTCAGACCTTTGTGAAATGAACCTCAAAACCCCACATATTTTGCTAGCCCTATTTCATAGACAAAGAACCTGAGTTCCAGAGAAGTTAATAGTCTTTTCCAAGTTCCTATAACCAGCTTCAATCAGCCAGTGGCAGAGTTAATATTTTGGCCCAAGTTCCCTAATTCAGGGCTCTTAAGAAATTACAACATAGTACTCACTTCGTTATCCAGTTTCACTTTCTGTGGTTTCAATAACCCACGGTCAACTGCAGTCTGAAAATAGATGAGTAGAGTATAATAAGATATTTTAAGAGAAAGAGAGAGAGAGAGAACACATTCACATAACTCTTATTACAGTATACTGGTATAATTGTTCTATTTTATTAGTTATTGTTGTTAATCTCTTACTATGACTAATTTATAAATTAAACTTTATCATAGGTGTGTATTACAGGAAAAAACACAGTGTACACAGGTTTCAGTACTATCCATGGTCTCGGGCATCCACTGAGGGTCTTGGAATGTGTCCCCTGCAGATAAGGGGTGATTACTGTACTGCCCATGCTACTGTGACCAATAATAAAGACTAAATCTGTGACTAGATATGTACTCAACAAAATAAATATAACAACAGAAGGAGTGTTCAACCAATCTGTTTTCTAATTTGAATAAAATGGCTCTTGGCCAAGTGAAATAATAACTTTCTCATTAAATATAATTCTATGAAGATAAAAATAATTTACACCTGACTGTAAAGCACACTACAAAGCCCAAAAGAATGCCCGACAGCGCCTTAAGATACAGTCAGCTGTCAATAATTATGATTTAAAAAAAGATGCACTCTTACTGCAAATGGCATTTCAAATCATTGTAGATGGTATAACAGTTTCTTCCATCCTCTGAACTCTGTGTTTGTTCTTCAGCATCTTCAAGACATCCCTACAACCAGAGGTCAGTTGGTCATGTTTGAATGCGGAATCCAGGCCACAGCCACAGTTCAAGTTCACTGGTACAGAGAGAACGTGCAGATAGCCAACTCAGATGACTTTCGGATTCTGAGGAAAAGTATCATGATAAGCCTTTCAATTGTTTTTAATTCCAGTTAACCTTGAAGTCTACTTCCTGTTTTAAAGTTTAATTGCTGATTTTTTTTAAAGGCTTAAAGATTTGTGCTGGTAAACAATTATTATCTCAAATCCAAATGATTTCTCAACAATAACCAACAAAGAAAACTGTTTTGATGAAAGAGTAATTTTCATAGCTGTGAAAAGATTGGTTTATCATCATAAATTAATCTTATTTTCATAATGAGTTCTTGACATATAAACAAAAAGAAATATGAGAATAAACATATTTCTTAAAGGGTAAAAACATAAAAAAACTGATGCATAACTTTTTACTTTATTGGGTAATTTTCCTACAAGATAATTAATTTGGAGAAAGGTAGTAAGTATAATGATCTATCTCATGCTAAACAATGAATTTATACTTTATAAACAATTTCTCATTTAATCCTCACATAAACATTTTGAAATATGTGTTATTATCCTCATTGTTAAATAACTGAAATTAGAAATACAAAAAAATCTTGCTCAAGGACACAAGGCTAGTAAATGCTGTAGCCAGTGTTCAAATCCAAGATAGTTCTTACGCCAAATGAAGAAAATATACTCATTTAAATATTAATTCAAAATAACTAAATATTTACACATCATATATAGGGAAAAAATCTTTTTATTACACAAAGGATATGATATTTCTGTTAAAATAACATTTATTGCATTGTTGAAAATAAAGTAATACAAATTTGTAATAAACCTGGAAAATACATAACATGAAAAAATTAAAAATAGAGAAAACCATTATTAACCTTTCATGTATTTTTCTACAGTAATGCTACAGTATTTTTATAATGTAATATTCCATTTTATTTTAATCAGAGAAATTAGGAAAAAATGATTCTCTTCGGTGAAAAAGGCCACCTCAGTATTAGTGTGTTCAACAGTGGTTCATATTCAGAGAAGATATAGTCATCTGGTCTAATCTTCACATTAGGGATGAAGAAAGTCTGGGTAAGTAAAGTAATTTTCACAAGGTCACAGAGCAATTTAGTGATAAAAGCAGAACTAAAATCAAGTTCTTCTACCCTGCCACTTATTCATTCCTTTATGCACCTTTTCTGAGTTTCTGAAGAATTTACTTACCGTCTGTGACTCCAGATTAGTCAATTTTGTATTTGTTTCCAGGTATTTCTCATATACATATGGCCCCTTCTCCCAACTAAATTATCATCACTTAAATTCTCTCTCTTTTTTCTTGTTTTATCTTTCAGAAGTTTATCATCCATTCCTGGTAAGTATAATTTCTTAAAATCTTGAAAATTGATTAAATCAACATTAGCATCAGAAGACATTGTCCCCTAAGTCACTCTTGCCTTCATGAGCTCTTTTGAGGCTCCCCTACATCAACTCTTGAACTGACACAACAGAAGAAGCAAGACAGCTGGGATTTATCAGTGTTTTTATTCATATATTTATTCATTCAACATAGGTTTACTGAGTACAGACTAATGGTTAGTCTCTGTTCTTGGTATTAAGGAGACAGCAATGAACCAGACTGACAAGGTCCCCACTCTCAAAGAATATGCATTCTCCCTGTAATCCCACTTGGTTTAGGATTTGTGACTCGTGAACTTTATACAGAAGCAATAAGGAGATGTCCTGACATCGAACATCCAAACTGCTCACTGTCCAAGAAGTAGTTGTGGTGACCATCACACTGTGGCCATCTCTGTATTAACATGAGGTCTAAGCGTGATGGTAGTGATAATTTCTAGTTCAGTTCAGAATATGTTTCCATAGGACTAAAGCTACAGAAATCTAGAAATCAAGGAATAAAAT
Organism: Homo sapiens; assembly: GCF_000001405.40. NCBI lineage: Eukaryota > Metazoa > Chordata > Mammalia > Primates > Hominidae > Homo > Homo sapiens. The sequence continues at coordinate 137,861,109 of NC_000005.10, forward strand.
GTAATCCCTGCTTTCAAGGATTTCATAGTCTAGTAGAGAAAACAAACATGTCTAAGAGGCAGTTGATAAGAACCATGATGGGACTGTTTAAGACTTTTTTTTAATTTTATTGATATATATTAGAGGTACATATTTTCAAGGTATATGTAATAATATATTCATATAATGAAATCAGGGTAAATGAGATATGCATCACCTAAATTACTTTTCTTTACACTAGAAACATTCAAATTATTCTCTTCTAGCTATTTTGAAATGTACAATTAATGGGGTTTTTTGTTTTGTTTTGTTTTTTGAGATGTAGTCTGGCTCTGTCGCCCAGTCTGGAGTGCAGTGGCACGATCTCAGCTCACTACAATCTCCACCTCCTGGGTTCAAATGATTCTCCTGCCTCAGCCTCCTGATTAGCTGGAACTACAGGTGCCCGCCACCACACCTGGCTAATTTTTCTAATTTTTTAGTAGAGACAGGGTTTCGCCATGCTGGCCAGGCTGGTCTCAAACTTCTGACCTCAGGTGATCTGCTGCCTTGGCCTCCCAAAGTGCTGGGATTACAGGCATGAGCCACTGCGCCCAGCCAATGGGGTTGTATTTTTAAGATTTATCTTTATGAGCCCACTGAGAAGAGAAAATACCTAATCAGATGGATTTTTTTTTTAATCTCAGGAATAATCTATTTATTCCTAGTACCTACTCTCCCCAACATCCTCCCACACTATATGTTTGTTACCTTGGGGCATCCAAATACAGTAATCAAGTTGAATTTCTTCTCTTTCCACAGGAAGTCTGCACCTTGATTATCACAGAAGCATTTCCTGAAGACTCTGAGGAGTTCAAGTGTATTGCAGAAAATGAGGCTGGCACTGCAGCTTCTGCAACAAACTCTTAGTTTCCCCAGGTAATAACTCTTCAAAATCTCTTTGCTACAATTCAGCCCTGAGCCAAAAGGAAGAGTCTTTGTTTCCATCTGAACTCATGATTAATTATATTTTTGAAAGAAAGTAGTAGAGAAATCAGAGCGTCCTCCCAAGTTATCCATGAGCAAATTTTCTCCAAAACTGGCCTCCTCTCTCTGGAGCACCAAAAGCTACACAAAGGACACAAATCCAAACGATACCCCCATAAACTTTATGCCAATTACTCCTGAACCAGCCAGTCATAATGAACATGAGATCCAGTTTCCAAAGAAGGATTTCTGTACCATCAGTGGAAATACTTTTGAGCTACAAGCACAATAGTAAAGGGAGACAGACCCAACATTCATTCATTCAACAAATATTCCTGGTTCTGTAGATAGATCATGACAAAGCTCCTGTCCTCAGGGAGTTTGCATTCTGACATGAGTCACTTTATGTCGGTCCTCCCTTGCTTTTCAGTATGCATTTCACCATGGCTGAAATATTAAGCCCTGTGCTTAGATTCACAGTTAAGGGTTTATTACACAGATTTATTGAAAAAAAAAATCAGGCCAGGCACGGTGACTCACACCTGTAATCTTAGAACTTTGGGAGGCCGAGGCAGGTGGATCACTTGAGGTCAGGAGTTCAAGACCAGCCTGGCCAACATGGTGAAACTTCGTCTCTACTAAAAATAAAAAATAAAAAAATTAGTTGGGCATGGTGATGTGCACCTGTAGTCCCAGCTATTTAGAAGACTGAGGCACCAGAATTGCTTGAACCAGAAGGTGGAGGTTGCAGTGAGCCAAGATCATGACACTGCACTCCAGCCTGAGCGACAGAGCGAGACTCTGTCTCCAAAAAAAAAACAAAAAGGAAAAGAAAAATCAATACTGAAATAACACAAGATTTTAAAGAAGTGGAATCTCTTCCCAAAATAGAATTCGGTGTCCTATCTCAATATAAAAATGTAAAACATTTTGTGATACAGGTTTCTTCTTTATCCATGAAGAAAAACAGACCTTAGAATAAAAACAGAAATGTCCTTGTGTTTGGAAAACAAACCTACAAATGTAAAGATAATTCAGTTAAGTGAATTTTCCTACCAGGTTATGTTTAAAACAACACAATCCATCACCATTTGCTACTTCTCCACCCCCCAACACAAACCTCAAATCAAAATATTGTTTAAAAAATAACCTAGGGGCTTGGTGTGGTGGCTCATGCCTGTAATCCCAGCACTTTGGGGGGCCAAGGCGGGCAGATCACCTGAGGTCAGGAGTTCAAGACCAGCCTGACCAACATGGTGAAACACCATCTCTACTAAAAATACAAAAATTATCCGGGCATGGTGGCACATGCCTGTAATCCCAGCTACTTGGGAGGCTGAGGCATGAGAATCGCTTGAACCCAAGAGGCAGAGGTTGCAAGGAGCCAAGATCAGACTACTGCACTCCAGCCTGGGTGACAGAGCGTGCTGGGCTTGCCTTGGGAAGATGGCCAATACTGATTATCTAAATTTTTTCTAAGTACCTGTGTTTAATAGTGAGCCTTTGGGAGGCTAGGCGGGAGGATCATGAGGTCAGAAGTTTGAGAACAGCCTGACCAACATGGTGAAACCCCGTCTGTACTAAAAATACGAAAATTAGCCGAGCCAAGTGTCATGGCACACGCCTGTAATCCCAGCTATTCAGGAGGCTGAGGCAGGAGAATCACTTGAACCCGGGAGGCGGAGGTTGCAGTGAGCTGAGATTGCGCCACTGCACTCCAACCTGGGCAACAGAGCAAGACACTGTCTCAAACACACACACACACACACACACACACACACACAAATAGTGAGCCTAGGTCAGGCACAGTGGCTTACACCCATAATCCCAGCACTTTGGGAGCCTGAGGTGGGCGGATTGCTTGAGCCCAGAAGTTCTAGACCAGCCTGGGCAACATAGTGAGACCCCATCTCTACAAAAATATGCAAAAATTAGCTGGGTGTGGTGGCTCATGTCTGTAGTCTCAGCTACTTGGGATGCTGAAGTGGGAGGATGGCTTGAGCTGGGGAGGTCAGGGCTGTAAGTGAGCTGTGATCTCACCACTGCACTCCAGCCTGGAAGGCAGAGCAAGACCCTGTCTTTAAAAAAAAAAAAAAAAGAAAGAAAAAAAAAGTGAGCCTTTAAAGCTTTAAAAGGCACGGTTGCTCACACATGTAATTCCAACACTTCGGGACGCTGTGGCAGGAGGATCACTTGAGCATAGGAGTTTGAGGCTGCAACAGATATGAATCATGCCACTGCACTTCAACCTGGGAGTCCAAGTGGGACCCCATCTCAAAAACAAAAATAAGCAAATAAATAAAACTTTAAAAGACCTTGAATTTATAAGTTAGTATCTTTCATAACACATGACCATCTTCATTAGTAAAATCACCTATGGAGAAAACTATTGGGTAAATATTCCATAAAAGTTAACAAGTTTTTATTGAGTGTCTACTATGAGCCACACTGCGTTAGGCCAAGATAAATAAGTAGTAAACAGTCCCTCTCTCAGAAACATTTTAATCTAGTTAAGGAGATAAACCTACAGAATGTCCATTATATGACTTCCCATTTCACTTGAGTCTCTCATCAATCGTCTGATTTAGGTTGGTAAACCTTGTACTACTCTTTTTTTTTTTTTTTTTGTGAGTCTGGGTTACAAGTCTTGCTGTGTCACCCAGGCTGGAGTGCAGTGGTGTGATCATGGTTCACTGCAGCCTCAAAATCCTGGGCTCAAGCGATTTTCCCACCTCAGCCTCCCATGTAGCTGGGACTACAGAAATGCGCCAACATGCCTAGCCTCATTTTTCGATTAGTTATTAAAGCTCAAAGTTTAAGCAACTTGTTTAAGGCTACACAGCATGTATGTGGTGGAGTGGGCCCTCACACTCAGGTCTCCAAAAACAGATAACAAAAGGTAAATATGTCTAGAAAGTTGTAGAGCATTAGCCAAATTAATGTTATCATTTGTATTCTTTAACTCCAAACCCGATGGATTCCATTATTATTTCTTGCTTGAGAATAATATAAGATTGAGTCAAATGTTAGACTGGATATTTCAAATTACAAATGCTACAATGGGATTCCCTTTCATTATATATCTATGCAGAACTTTAATAACCACAGTGAATTTGTGTGAACTAAAATAAAACTTTCTTCACTCCTTAGTTCTTCCATCCTCAATGTGACGTTTTCCTTTTCAGTTGATATAGCAGAAATGAGTTTCATCACACACATCTGACCTCCGAATTTAAAAGAAGTTCACAGCACCATTTTTTTTTTACAATGGCATATATATCTTATATTTTTGAAAGACAAGAGCTATATATGAAGAGGGAAGAATGAGAGACAGTTAAATAGCTACCCTGTTTCTGAAACTGACGATAGACAAGGAATCCCTTAACATGTAACAGGAAAGGTTTCAGTGAGATAGTAGGAAGTTACTATATTTTGTAAGGCATTTGAATAATTTACTGAAGGCCCTTACTGATAATTTAGAAAAAGAAATGGAAAAGGTTGTCTTTGTGAGCAGGTTGTAGTAAAAGTTCACCCATCTGGCATTGTAATAATTCCAGTCTTAAGAGTCTATGATTTTTCTCAAATAGGCAATTAAACCATTCAAATAGCTATATTTGTGAGGAAACAAACCACCATTCAAAAAAGCAAATCAAACATTAAAAGGCAGGAACAAACAGATTTACAGTAGATTATTAATATAGCCCCTGACTACTGAGAATGGTATCATAAAAGAGGACCTACTTACCTTTCCTAAATCATCCCTTGATCCCATTATAGCAAAAACTTTAGCCTTGACGTACCATGAAGGCTATCACATGTAACACACGGTAACCTGGGTTGTATCTTACAAAGACCTAGAGAAGAGGCAAAGCTTGAAAGACAAAGAGTAAGCAGAACTAAATTCTTCCTCGAGTGTAGTATGCTTAGAACCTGCTGTAGGCAAAATTGGGAATTTAGCAGGTTGTCCTGGATGTCTTCCCTACTTGGCTGGTGAGGTATACCTCAAACTTTTAGTGCAGAGAGACCTCAAATCTATTATTTCCTTTTCCATGCCCTAATCAAACCCTGTTCTCCAGCAGAACCAAATGTCAGTCACATATACCACATTTAAAATTGCTTAGAATAGATAGGCTGGGCATGTGGTTTATGCCTATAATTCCAGTGCTTTGAGAAGCCGACGTGGAGGATCGCTTGAGGCAAGGAGTTTGAGACCAGCTTGGGCAACATAGCGAAACTCTGTCTGTCCAAAAAATTTTAAAATTAGCTGGGTATAGTGCTGCATGCCTATAGCCCTAGCTACTTGAAAGTCTGCAGAGGAAGGATCTCTTGAGCCCAGGAGTTTGAGGCTGCAGTGAGTTCTGATCATATCACTGCACTCCAGCCTGGGTGACAGAGTAAGACCCTGTCTCTAAAAAAAAACTAATAATAAAATAAAATGCTTGAAGGAGTGTCTTACTCATAATAAATGCTATATATTGGCTATTATTACTTTTATCCTATCACTTGCATTTGTATTTTAAGTCTCTCTAATTTAGATGGAAAGGTTTTGTCTGTATTACTGGAATTTGAAATATCAGTGAACAGATGTTGAAGAATATTTTGGGAGACTCCTGAAATAAGACTTTGTAGGCAACCACCTACTCACCAAGTCTAGCATGCTTTTTCTACTAAGGGCTGCACGCCCAGGCAGAAATTATCAAGCTTTCTTTGAACACCAAAGAAAGGTACACCTACTTGGCCAGCTGTGAAGGATTTTATATGGCTCATATGTGCTCAAACATCTATTTGCTGGATTCTAATATACATGTTAATTCAATCAAGATTGGGGTATCTACCCATGAGGGAGGGGAACTGAAGCCACCCCATGGAGATAATTCTACTCCCTTGGCCCAATCCTCATGCCACCTACCCTACTTCACCACATTTGCTGATTCGACATTTTATTCTTCTGCAATTATTTACTTCCCTGCACAAAAATGGAAATCTAAATACCATGATGGTCTCTGTGACAAAAAGTGAAAGGAAACTAACTGTTAGGAATAAAGGGAGATGAACATGCATTGACAGCTCTAATTATATAGATTGCTTATTTGTTTGGTTGTTTCTTAAGTGTTTCAAAACTCTTTCAGAATAAAAGTACTAGGCAAAAGGGGCATATGCCATACAGATTCAGAAAACTTGCTCAAGAAACACCATCATGTTTTTCCACCTCCCTACCTTCCCAGTGACATGTCACTATGACCTCGGTCTCCTGCTTTGCCCAGACTGCCCTCCACCTCGGAACAAACTGCTAGTACTGAGAGACCTCAAATCTATTATTGAATCCTACTCTCATTAGGCAAAAGAAAAAAGACTTCAGATGAAGAATTATGCAATACAAATCAATTGGGAGCCCATCTATCACTGGTCTTATTCCTGGAGAAGTCTTAGTATAATAGATAGAAGAACTCCACTCTTGAAATATTATTTTCCCTTTAGTCCTCTCTCTTAAACTGGGAAAATTCAAAGTCCCCACCATAATAAAGAAATAAGAGGGTTTTTTTTCTATTTTTCCCATTTCCCTATTCACTGCCCTTCCCTCACATGAGCTTGCTAAAGTTCATAGTCAAAATTCACGTCTGAAATAAAGAGGCTTGCAAAAGAAGCTCATGTAATCCCACTCCTTAAATACCACTAAGACACGTGAGATATTGTTTAGATTGTGGACTCTTACTTTGACATGCCAGCATAGGTAGATGGACAGGCAAGCACATCAGATGTCACTGTTTGGCAGCTGATAAAAGTCAGTGGTGCTATAATACTAAGCACAGAGCCACTAGATTAGTCTGTGAGGGAAGGAGATGCCTCTTCCTTCCCTTCAATAGTGGGTTAAACCCAGCTGGCACCCTCTGGAACTACGGGTAAGTCCCTTCTTTATTCCTACTACACTTTTAGGTCTTGTTTTTGTTTTTTGTCCAAATCAGATGAGTGTATACAAAGATGATTTTCAGATAAAAAGTTTGAAAGCCACAACATTATAATGGTATTACACAAAAATTTAAAGAGAAAGCGACTCATTCATTTCATTGAGACTGGAAGGCATTATACAAATGATAGAAGGAAAGATAGCTGTGTGTCATTATTTTTAAATCACCATTTTTCCTTGAAAAGGGACACTTGATCTGATGTAATTGTGGTGATGTCTTATGAACGCAACATATCCTCTATCAGTCTTCTGTGCAAGTCTATGCTATATTAGAGACAGGAAAAAAATGTTAAGATTTTTTAAAAAGGAGACTGAATAGTACTTTATTTATAAAAATCTTTGAAATTCATTTAACATTATTTGGAATAAAATGACCCTGTCATATAACAGAATCTATTATAGAATTAAATTGTTGAACAGTAACTACAAACATAAAGAAAATACAGGATCACCTGCGTAAATGTCTGCATAAAATTTTGACACATGGATAAAATGAAACTTATGAAATAACATATTTTTAATTGGGCTTTTAAAAATATCACTAATTATTAACAATGTAGGCCAATATCAACATGTACAAGACAGTTGCCATTCTGAAAATATATGTAAAGAAAAAAAGAGAACTGTTTCTGGAAAATATCTACTATTTCATAAGCGGTTTATTCCTTGCTATCTGAAATGAGTCTCAATAATGTACCTGCCCAGAAAGAAATTTAGGAATCAAACTCTGGATTCAATTCTGCAACAGACTGAATAAACCGATAACTACAAAACTACTTGCCTTGAAATAGACTTTTTTTTTAGATCTACTCAAGGCCCTCCTTCAGGATGTTTTTCCCCAACAATTTAAATGCCTAAAGTAGTTCATTTCTAAAATGCATTCTAGTTTAATGTATTTGTGTTCATAAACTTGAAATTAAGGAATATTTAACTTTTTAAGTATTCTTTCTCAATAGCGTCTTTCTCTTGGCTGTTTAGTTGCATTTCTGTTTTTTCCTAAAATTGCTAGTTTTAATTTAACTCTAAACTACATAGGCAACTTTGAAATACTATTTTTTGAAGGTATCCTATTATTTAGGATGAAACTCTTTGGTCTGGAAAAGTTTTATTAACATTTTATCCAAGACAGTAACTAAAATAATTAGAAGACTTCGTTTCAATGATGACAAACAATTTGGTTAATTTTTCAGTTAAAAGTTTGATTTGTCATTATCTCAGTATTGGCTTATACCAGATGAAACAAAATAGGCAAATGTATTTTGAATCAATTTATCTGATATTTTCAATGAAAACAGGATTAGTGTGAAAACAATTTATAGGACTAGTCTTTGTGTGTAATGTCTATATATAGTCCCGCTTAGGTTTACCATACTAATGGAAAAAAAATCAGAGACAAATATAATCCTTCAAGGTTGATTTTCATGGCAAATGTTTCATCTGAGAAAAAATGAGGATGTACTGTAGGAAGGCAGGAGGCCCACTACAGAGCTAAGTAGGAGGAATGGCACCTGTCTTTTCTTGGTAAGGTATAGACTAGTTTCATATGTGTCTTATTTACTTCTATGCTTCCTGTTTGCCATTTGAAAAGAAAAAGTAAAAGAGCTAAAGCAATTTCAAAATTAGTCTGAGATCTCCAAAGGTGTGGCAAAAAAAAGAAAAAAAAGACCAAAAAACAAAATTAGTCTAAAATACATACTAAACAAATAATAAAAAGTAAAACTCTAGATAATTAAAAGAACATCAAGACCAACAACTAGGAAGTATAATCTAAAAATAACAGAATTATAAGGTATGATTCTGTTTAAAAATACATAATAAAAACAGAAAAATGTATAAGTGGCTCTGGAATGCAGCCTGTAACATATGTTCTACACAAACATATACACACAGTCACTCCTTAATTAATATCTAGTTTAGTAATATGGTCAATTTGGAATCAAGGAGAGAAAAAGAAGCAGTGAATTGTAAGGTTAAAAAGCAATCCACTCAGCTGGGTGCGGGGGCTCATACCTGTAACTCCAGCACCAAGGGGGGCTGAGGCGGGAGGATTGCTTGCAGCTAAGAGTTTAAGACTAGTCTAGGCAACATAGTGAAACCCTGTCTCTACTAAAAAAAAAAAAAAAAAAGAAAGAAAGAAAAAAAGAAAAATTAGCCAGGCGTGGTGGCTTATATGTGTAGTCCTTACTCTGGAGGGTGCAGTGGAAGGATCGCTTGTGCCCAGGAGTTGGAGGGGCTACAGTGAGCTATGTTCGCCTGGGCGATTAAGCAAGACACACACACACACACACACACACACACACACACACACAAAAGGAAGGAAGGAAAGAAAGGAAAAGAAAAAGCACATCAGATCTGAAAGATGTCAAATAAACAATGTTATTGTTTAAGCAAATATTGTAACAATTATTTTCTCCTTTTGAAGGAACAATATTCTTCAAGAGAAGGTCACTCTACCAAAGCCAGGAGCACAGTATTCTCAGGATCTCAACAAGGAAGAGCAGACCAAGGTTGCTTCTGATTCCTTACAACCTTCCGTAATTCCAGGCTTGTGGCCCCAAATTCAGGGCCCCACCCTTCCAGGAACAAATCATTATAGTAATAATTTGCCTTCATCTTCCATATACCAACTAAGCATGTTTAACTACGAACGTCCAAAACACTTCATCCAGTCCCAAAACCCATGTGGCTCCAGATTGCAGCCTCCTGGACCAGAAACCTCCAGCTTCTCTAGCCAGACCAAACAGTCTTCCATTATCATCCAGCCCCGCCAGTGTACAGAGCAAAGATTTTCTGCCTCCTCAACACTGAGCTCTCACATCACCATGTCCTCCTCTGCTTTCCCTGCTTCTCCCCAGCAGCATGCTGGCTCCAACCCAGGCCAAAGGGTTACAACCACCTATAACCAGTCCCCAGCCAGCTTCCTCAGCTCCATATTACCATCACAGCCTGATTACAATAGCAGTAAAATCCCTTCCGCTATGGATTCCAAGTAAGTGAATTTTTATATACCGCATGTACAGTGAACTTATATCTGAGGAGTTTGCGAGGGGGTAGGAGTTTTGGGGGTATGCTGCAGTTCATTCTTTACTATCTAAAAAGGCAATGTGACCTTACAGTCTCATTCCATAGTTCTACTAGAACATGCTGAACCAGGGTACTGGCAATAAGAGGTCATCTGACTATTCTCCAGTGTCCAAGCTGCGCTGAATCCAATTACCTATTACCCCATAAAATTATTTACCCATTATTTTCCATCTTTGAAAAAAATAATTTCTCACATACCAAAGAACAATGAACTTTTCCTTTAGTTCTAAGCTAAGCTCCTCATGCTGTAAATTTAATTCCTCTGGTTCTGGGCTTGGCTAAGATGAACACCTGTCTGCTCTTCTTCAGATAGGATTTCCTCTCACATAAGCAGAGGCTATTAAGTTTCTTCTCAGTCTTTTCTTCCTATCCCTTTTCCCCTCTAATCCTGAATATCCACTTGGCTGAAAAATTTTTAAATTAACAAATAAAAAAACCTGGAACTCAGACCCTGGAATGTATACATTTTCCTTACTGTGATCAGAAGAAGGAAGGCCTGAATAGATGAAGGCTTATGACCTTACGGTTTCGTTTGGTAATTAAAACCACACCTTGTTCAAATTAGTTGGGTTGATCTAAATACAGGGACTAATACTGGGGCCTTATGTAAACATGTGCTATTTCCACTACCCTAAGACTGTCCTAGGAGAACCTAGTATGAAAAAGGAGATGGTGGTTATGCTTTTTTTAAAACATGAACTGAATACCTTGTGCTTATGCAAACTATTGGCTATCAGCTTTCCTGTTCCTTGGCTGGCTGGAACATCAGAGAATTAAATCAGAGGCATCTCAAAAATTGTCTGATGGAATATGTTTTGTTGCAGGCTTACTAATACATTCACTCAACTCTGCTAATTTCTCGCAGTCTTCTCTAGAGGCTAATTTTTCTACAAACTCCTATTATTGGTGACAACTTTGGAAATCTAGTTGAACTGCCTATAGCAATTCAACTTGCAAAAAAAAACCTTTTCAATATTTTAAAAAATAAAAATCAGGAAAACCAAAAACATTTGTTAGAATCCTATAGATATTAAGTTGAACCATTTGAAATGGCTGATAGTCAACTGTTTTTGACCTACAAAAATGGCATTCTCACAGGTTTAACCTAATATTTTAAAAGGATGTTTTTAATAATTGAGAGCCCTTTCTTTCTCTTCCCTCCCAAATTCCCTTTATAATATATAGATCTTTCTTGGTTATATTTACCCAGATGATCATTTTCCATCTAGCTTTCTATTATTTCCATATTTCCTATATTAGCATTTTAAAATCTAGAAGAATTTTTTGTTTTTCTTAGTAAAGTCTTTCAATCATATTTCAAATTACTGCCCAGAAAAGAAAGTGATCAAAGACTTAAGAAAAGAGAAAGGCAAAAACATAATAAGAAATAAAGCCTAGGAGGTCCCCAAACCAGAGATCAAAGATCCACTTTAGCTGTTCCATTTTCAGCAACCACAGATAACTCTTTAATCTTCCCATAGCTACTTGATACCCATTTCGTGTCCAGCTGTGCAGAGTGGAAAGCCCTGGCCCTTTGAACATTTGTGCACAACTCCCTCGTTATTATGGGCTCCAGTTCGCCCTGACTTCCAAAATAATCCCTTGGATTCTGACCTAGAGAAATTTGAAAGCTTTATTTAGATTTTCATCAATAGGAAGCTCTTAGGCAAACATTTTACCCAGTTGATCAAACCACAGACTGAAAACTGAGGGGAACTCAATTGTTCCTTCCAAAAAGCTTGCTATGTGAAATTCAGCAAGCACTTTACCTACCCAGTGCTTCAATTTTCTGGTCTGTAGCAATATTAAAGAGTTAGGTAATTAATGATAGAGAAAGGACCTATAAAGCAGTGTGCAAACGTACTATTAGTTTGTAAATGGGAGCATTTATCAAGTCGTAACACTTAATCCACCTAAACTGGGAATAATGAGAGTATTCAGTGAACAAAGTGACTGAGGTTACATATACATCAGTGATTCTCAGGATTGGTTTTGATAATCCTTCAGGACTTCTCAGATATATTCAGAATTTCCCAGATATGACAAGTCTAAAAACAATTATTTAATGCTAATTCACATTAACAAATGTGTGACTTATAAAGATGATAAGCTAGCATTTTTAAAAAAAAAAAAAACAGTAGGCTAGGCCAGGTGTGGCTCACACCTGTAATCCCAGCACTTTGGGAGGCCAAGGTGGATGGATCACCCAAGGTCAGGAGTTTGAGACCAGCCTGGCCAACATGGTGAAACCCTGTCTCTACTAAAAAAAAAATACAAAAAAATTAGCAGGGTGTTGTGGCAGGCACCTATAATCCCAGCTACCTGGGAGGCTGAGGCATGAGAATCGCTTAAACCCGGGAGACATAGAGAGAGGCAGAGGTTGCAGTGAGCCAAGTCCATGCCATTGCACTCCAGCCTGGACAACAAGAATGAAACTCCGTCTCAAAAAAAAAAAAGTGGTCTATTATAATTCTATACGATTGAAAAAATATGAGATCTATAAGGCCAAAGAGATTTTGACACTTTGATCTAGGAATTCAATCTTTAAAAAAAAAATCGCTATTTTAAAAAACATTTTGTTTGGCTATTAACTGAACAAATCAGACTTTAAAAATTTATATAGACAACCATAAAGATCTTAAGACCTGAAATGTCAGGAGAGGAAATGTGTATCATTAGCTTTCAATAGAGTGTCCTGAATACTATGAAAATCACTCATTCACTCAACTGATAGTATCTCCTATACCCATGCTCTGTGTTCGTGGATATAAATGATATAATGATAACAAATAAGACATATTTTTTCTCCAGAATGTTTACAATCTAATGATTACTAACCAAGTTCCCAAAGCCAGTAAAAATTAAAACTCTGGCCCTACTTGGAGGAAATACATTTATACTTAGCTCACAAGTCCTTTTAATGATCCTTGAGAATATTTGGAAAGGATCATTTCAGAGAAGAGACCAAGATTGTCTCATCTGGATAGCCAGAGAACATTTATTATAATAATGGTAAAATACTCATTGAGGGCAGTGGCTAGTTTCCTCACATTAAATAGATTAATAAAGATTAGTCCCTGCAGGCCGGGTGCGGTGGCTCAAGCCTGTAATCCCAGAACTTTGGGAGGCCCAGGCAGGCAGATTACCAGAGGTCAGCAGTTTGAGACCAGCCTGGCCAACATGGCAAAACCCCGTCTCTACTAAAAATTCAAAAATTAGCTGAGCATGGTGGCGGGTGCCTGTAATCCCAGCTACTTGGGAGGCTGAGACAGGAGAATCACCTGAACCCGGGAGGCAGAGGTTGCAGTGAGCCGAGATCGCGCCACTGCACTCCAGCCTGGGCAACAGAGCGGGACTCCATCTCAAAAAAATAAATAAAAATTAAAAATAAAGATTAGCCCCTGCAGGGCTCTGAATGGATAAACTAGGTAAAAACTGAATAAAGCACTGTGATACATTTAAGCTACCTAACAGATCTAAAAATACAGGACTCTCTAAATACCACCCTATCCTCTATCAGAATCAACAAGGGAAATACGGGAGGGGCAAGGACATCATAGAAAAAATTTAGGATCAAAATTTGAAATAAAGACTTTATTTGCTTTTTTCCAGTTTACATTTCTTTCTCCTTCCTCAAATCATCCCATTTTTTCTCTAAAAATCACTTCAGTAGTATTGAAGAAACTGTCATTACTTTAGAAGTTATTTGCTGTTATATAGTGCCATACTTGGATTTTCTAGAATATGAAATTAATAGGAATTGGAAATTACAGGAAAGTCAATGACTGTGTAGACTCCATTCAAAGCAAAAGATTATTCACTAAAAGCCAGTGGTGTGCTGGTAAATGTCTAACAATCACTGGACAAAAGAGCCATTATTTGTGATATTTACCGATTTCCCTGGTGTAAATATTTCCACCACAACCAATTTCAAACTATAACATGAAATCATAGGAAGCTGGGAAAAGATGCTAAAAATCAGCCCATATGAACCAGCTCCAGAATACCACCACTTAATATCTACCCATAAATCAAACAAGAAATTCGGTCATCGTAGCTATAACAAAGAACAAAATTACGTCCTTTGCAGCAACACGGATGCAGCTTGAGGCCACTATCCTAAGCAAACTAACACAGAAACAGAAAATAAAATAGAGCATGTTCTCATTTATAAGTGGGAGCTAAACATTGGGTACATATGAACACAAAGATGAAAACAATAAACACTGGAGATCCCGAAAGCAGGGAAAGAGGTGGAAAAGGGTTCAAAAACTAACTATCAGGTACTATGTTCACCTCTTGGGTGACAGAATCATTAGAAGGCCAAACCCCAGCATCATACAATATACCCATGTAACAAACATGCACATGTACTCCCAGAATCTAAAAAAAAATTTTATTAAAGAAATTACTCATAAGATTGGAAGAGCTCTCAAGCTGCCACTAACTAGACTTACTCTCACATTCCTTAGGGAATATCTTCAAGGAAGGACATCCTCCTTATGTCTAATCTAAATTCTTCCTCCTGACACTTAATTTCCATTTGCCAAAAGGAAAAAAAAAAGATAGTAACCATTCTTATAAAATATTTCTTGACTGTTATTAGGGCAATTTGTTTTTAATAATACTAGTAGTACTAAGTGGTAAACTCAACATATCTAAAGGTAATTTGCAAAATGAGGCCAAGACCTTCTTTTTAAAAATCTTTTCTTTTTCCTTTTTAAAGCTATCAACAGTCCTCAGCTGGCCAACCTATAAATGCAAAGCCATCCCAAACTGCAAATGCTAAGCCCATACCAAGAACTCCTGATCATGAAATACAAGGATCAAAAGAAGCTTTGATTCAAGATTTGGAAAGAAAGCTGAAATGCAAGGACACCCTTCTTCATAATGGAAATCAAGTGGGCAAGATGTCTATTTTGTACAAAAGGCCAATTAAACTATAAAATCTAATTTTAATAAGGAAGTTCTAGCTCACAGATCTAGGTCCATATATCAACAAGGAATAAGATTATCTAAAAAGAAGGAATATTTGGGCCCTATTCCATTTCTCTCTGCATGAAATCACCTCTTGGTTTACAGTAGTAAAAGAATGAAGCAAATGAAAAATGTATCTGAATGGTTTAATGAAATTTTTCTGTTATTAAATATTACCCTCTCATAAAATATGTCTGATGCCCAAATAGCTATTAGGAATTACTGTCAAGTCAACTTAGTGTACTTTGATGTATAACACTGACAGGTAATTATTGCTATAATTCTTATCATGTAGTCCTTATTGTGTATATTATATTAGTAACTTATCTTTAAACAGTACTATATGCCTTTAATACAAATACATTTAGCCTATCAGTTGGACTGCTCTCAATCAGAAGTTAGTACAATCAAATATTCAGTGCTCATTTAATAAAAGTTACTTCTGGCTGGGTGCAGTGGCTCACGTCTGTAATCCCAGCACTTTGGGAGGCCAAGGCAGGTGGATCACCAAGGTTAGGAGTTCGAGAACAGCCAGACCAATATGGTGAAACTCCATCTCTACTAAAAATAAAAAATTAGCCAGGTGTGGTGGCATGCACCTGTAGTTCCAGCTACTTAGGAGGCTGAGAAAGGAGAATTGCTTGAACCCAGGAGGCGTAGGTCGCCATGAGCCAAGATCGTGCCACTGCACTCCAGCCTGGGCGACAGAGTGAGACTCTGTCTCAAAAATTAATTAATTAAAATTAAATAAAAATTACTTCTGAATGTGAGCACATGAAGTATTATATTCAAAAACAAAGCTGACTGGAACATGCAGAACAACGGAGGAAAGGGTTGAATTTCCCTTTACTTAGGAGATCCTTATTTAAGAGTGATTATGCTTGCCTGTCATAGGAGCAAAAAGAAAGCCTAAGTGAACCTTTACTGCAAGTGAGGGAAATGGTACTAGAATAGAAGGAAAATGCTTTGAATGGAAGAAAAGACTTTAAAAAAAAAAAAATAGAATCAGCCGAGCGCAGTGGCTCACGCCTATAATCCCAGCACTTGGGGAGGCCGAGGCGGGTGGATCACAAGGTCAGGAGATCAAGACCATCCTGGCTGACACAGTGAAACCCCGTCTCTACTAAAAATACAAAAAATTAGCTGGGCATTGTGGCAGGCGCCTGTAGTCCCAGCTACTCAGGAGGCTGAGGCAGGAGAATGGCGTGAACCCAGGAGGCGGAGGTTGCAGTGAGCCGAGATTGTGCCACTGCACTCCAGCCTGGGCGACGGAGTAAGACTCCGTCTCAAAAAAAAAAAAAAAAAAAAAAAATAGAATCTATCATTCAATAGATAGAACTATGCTTCTTTGAAGTTCTGACCTATAGTAGTGGTTTTAAGGTAAACCTGTACAAACATCTTTTATTAAATCTAATTACTGTCTCAATAAATTCTCTAAAGCGTCTAACATATGAAGAGAAGATGGCTCGCAGATTGCTAGGACCACAGAATGCAGCTGCTGTGTTTCAAGCTCAGGATGACAGTGGTGCACAAGACTCGCAGGTAAGTTAAAATGCTCTAAGTGGAGTATTTTTATTCTGTGCGATTTTTAAATGTCTGCTTTTCTAAATGCTTATAAATAGCATCTGAAATAAAAGTCGGTCAGTTCCATCCACCACTGGATACATAAAGAGGCCATGATAAACATATATACATAATTTTACCACATTTTACCCCATTTTCTGGTAGTTCTAATACCTGGATACACAACGTCACAAAATCAAAACACAAGAAGTCTAATGGTATTATTTTTTATCAGGACATTTATGGGTCAGTTAGACCTAGGACTCTCTATGGTGTCTACACGGACAGGGAATATATGGGTTGTGAACCTCCAATAGGACAGAAATTAAGATTATAAATGAAAGTAATTATAACCTTTCTCATAAGCTGTTTAACATTTCAATGTTTTAAAATATACTTGTGGTACTAATGAAACATCCAATTCCTTTTGTTATATTCCTGTTTTCAAAAAATGCTTTCTGAAAACCAAAAAAAACCCCTCATGAGTAATTGTTCTAAGATTAACAAATGTATCCTTTCCAAGAAGGGTTTAACTTTATGGTGGCACATCCCACAGGTTTGCACCTGATCGATTTTTTTTTTTTTTTTTTTGAGACAGTCTTGCTCTGTCACCCAGGCAGGCTGGAGTGCAGTGGCACAATCTCAGCACACTGCAAACTCCACCTCCCAGGTTCAAGTGATTCTCCTGCCTCAGCCTCTCAAGTAGCTGGGATTACAGGCGCACACCATCAGGCCCAGCTAATTTTTGTATTTTTAGTAGAGATGGGGTTTCACCATGCTGGCCAGGCTGGAACGCCTCGGCCTCCAAAAGTGCTAGGATTATAGGCATGAGCCACCACGCCTGGCCTCAACTTGATTTTAACAAGTAAACTTAACCCCAAAGAAAAATGTACAGTTGGTGGCTGGGCACAGTGGCTCACGCCTGTAATCCCAGCACTTTGGGAGGCCGAGGTGGGTGGATCACGAGGTCAAGAGATCGAGGGGATGCTGGCCAAAATGGTGAAACCCAGTCTCTACTAAAAATACAAAAATTAGCTGGGCGTGGTGGCCTGCGCCTGTAGTCCCAGCTACTCAGGAGGCTGAGGCAGAAGAATCGCTTGAACCCGTGAGATGGAGGTTGCAGTGAGCCAAAATCATGCCACTGCACTCCAGCCTGGGTGAGAGAGAGACTCCATCTCAAACACAAAAAAGAAAAAAGAAAAATGTTCAGTTGGACAGGTAGACTGAATGTTAGCACTCTTTCTTCCTTCATAGTTACCTTCCATTCCCTCCAAAAAGTCCACAAGAAACTGGGAGCCAAAGAGATTAAACCAGGAACACAAATATTCCTAGCTTCCAAATGTAGAAAACTGAAATTCAGTTTTTTTTTTCCAACATCTACTTCCCAAGTTCAAGTGATTCTCGTGCCTCAGACTCCCAAATAGATGGGACTATAGGTGCGCACACCGTGCTGGCTAGTTTTTGTATTTTTTAGCAGAGACGGTGATTTCACCATGTTACCCAGGCTGGTCTCAAACTCCTGAGCTCAAGTGATCTGCCTACCTCAGCCTCCCAAAGTGCTGGGATTACAGGCATGAGCCACCACACCTGGCCTTTGAAATTAAGTTTTTTGGTTCTGTTTGATGCAACTACACCTACTAAAAAGGATGGAAGAGGGTCTACCAGAGCAAGAACTAGAAACTGAAAAGAGAACTTAAATTTATTTTTGGCTACTAAACAGTTCATGAATTCGTTCATTCAACTAATTTACATGGAGAACCTACTTGTATGTTGGGCTCTGCACTTGGTATGGAAGATTATAGCAAAAATGAGACACAAACTCATCACTATTAGGGGAATTACTCAAAGCAATATTATACTGATGATGGTTCATCTTTTTTTTTTTTTTTTTTTTTTTTTTGAGACGGAGTCTTGCTCTGTCACCCAGGCTGGAGTACAATGGCGCGATCTCGGCTCACTGCAAGCTCCGCCTCCCGGGTCCATGCCGTTCTCCTGCCTCAGCCTCCCGAGTAGCTGGGACTACAGGCACCTGCCACCACACCCGGCTTTTTTTTTTTTTTTTTTTTTGTATTTTTAGTAGAGACAGGATTTCACCTTGTTACCCAGGATGGTCTCGATCTCCTGACCTCATGATCCACCTGCCTCGGCCTCCCAAAGTGCTAGGATTACAGGCGTGAGCCACTGTGCCCAGCCTGGATATTTTTAATTGGATTACTTTTACTTTACCAAAAAATTAGTTGATTTGTTTGATCACTGAATTGACCAGTTGTCTTGATATTTTGCTTAGAGAACCTTAAGGCTAGCCAAAAATTGTTACAGAGTTGTAAGACTTTTGCCTTAAAAATGACAAAATACATTAGCTAAATAGATTCATCCCAAAGCAAATTATTTGTACTCAGATCTTGTGTGCTCCTACAGAGCTTTGGGTAGGGACTGTGTTTTCCACTTTGTATCTCCCACTGTGCTAAGCACAGTGAAACGCAAAATACACACTACTTAATCAATTAGTTCTCTTATAATTTTCATAAATCCCTGATTTTATTCTCAAATAGAAATAATTTTCTGCTGTTCGGATATAAATCCTAAAAGATGTCTGCTTAAATACAACTTTATTAAACAGGAATTAATGCTATTTTACAAAGCTTTTTCAAAGCCTTACACATACCTTTCGTGGAGTCCATCAGGATTTTGTGCCACGAGCTAAAAAGAGAAGAATTTTCCAGTCTAATATGTGTTTACTGCTGTTGGTGCCACTTTTGAGCAGCAGGCATAATACCCTGCAGCTACTGCCAATACAAGTGACTTCATGTCTATTCCTGTTTTACTAAAGGACAATCTGTACTCTGTGCTCCCATTTCAAATGCACCAGGGAGACACATCACCCTTTGTCATAAAATAGTCATCTGAAAAATGAACCACCATCAATTCCAAGTCTAGCTAATTTTCATAAATAATACTTGTTGAATAGTCCCATTAATTCTGGGCTTCTTGCTAGAGTGGTAGTATGTTAGTGCACTGTACTTTAAGGGCTTAAAAGCTGAATATATAGAACTTACCAGGGCTGTTCAAATACAGCCAAAATAGGAATGTTCCTTTCAACTGTAACTACTTAATTCTGCTTCATTCAAGCTAACAATTGCATGTAAACATTCTTACTTTGTTTTAATTTCAAGCAACACAACTCAGAACATGCGCGACTGCAAGTTCCTACATCACAAGTAAGGTAAAAAATTTTAATTTTAAAGAAATGTATGTTTTCCTATCTAAAATATTTTCAGCTTAAAAATGTAATATTTATAAAGCCCTCGAGCCTACTCTATACCTTTTGAAAAATACAATGTGTATTTTCTAATGTCTGAGAAGATGACCAAAATTTTGACGTTCATCATCAAAACTATCACAGGGGAATTTTTTAATGTTTTGGTCAAATAAGCCAGGATCATGCTTCTATATTAAACAATTTTCTCATGACAATGGAGACCTAATTCTTATTATACAATCTTTGGTGGTAAGAATAATCTGCTGGGTACTGGGCATTTTAATAGACCATTTCTTCATCAATTCATGGCACTGTAAAAGAGAAACTAAGATGTACAATTTGTACCAGATGTTTCTAAATTGCTACCATTTCTAATAGTCATCAAATATGCCACAGGTAAATACAGCCCTAAGGCCTCTCTTCATTGTTATTACACTATCAGATCAAACAGTAGATTCTGTGGTTTCAAATTTGATGGCTAGGCTGGACGCAGTGGCTCACACCTGTAATCCCAGTACTTTGGAAGGCCGAGGTGGGTAGATCACCTGAGGTCAGGAGTTCAAGACCAGGCTGACCAACATAGTGAAACCCCATCTCTACTAAAAATACAAAATTAGCCAGGCGTAGTGGCACATGCCTGTAATCCCAGCTACTCGGGAGGCTGAGGTAAGAGAATCACTTGAACCCAAGAAGCGGAGGTTGGTATAACTGAAATACCACATCTCTGAATATAACTATATACATGTTCACACCACCACTATAGAAAAACGTCAAAAACTTAATTTGGATATTTTTATTTATTTATTTATCTTTGAGACAGACTCTCACTCTGTCATCCAGGCTGGAGTGCAGCGACGCGATCTCGGCTCACTGCAACCTCCGCCTCCCGGGTTCAAGCGATTCTCCTGCCTTAGCCTCCTGAGTGAGCTGAGATTGGGCCACTGTACTCCAGCCTGGGCAACAAGAGTGAAACTCCATTGAAAAAAAAAAATTGATGGCTAAACTATATTTGTGCAAAATGAAAAGCAAT
This sequence comes from Homo sapiens, assembly GCF_000001405.40. NCBI lineage: Eukaryota > Metazoa > Chordata > Mammalia > Primates > Hominidae > Homo > Homo sapiens. The sequence goes on from NC_000005.10 coordinate 137,881,932, forward strand.
GATAATATTTACGCATAGTTGTTACCAAAATATTCTTGTAGAAGTAGATCAACCTCAAGGGGAGATGTGAATGATCAGGATGCAATCCAGGAGAAATTTTACCCACCACGTTTCATTCAAGTGCCAGAGAACATGTCGATTGATGAAGGAAGATTCTGCAGAATGGACTTCAAAGTAAGAGAAGGGTTCAAAAGTACTGGGGGAAAATTAACAATGGGATACTAAGTTTTGAAAAATGTTCTTTTCCTACTTCATAGCTTGCAAAGCAGTACGTACAATGGACAAGAACACAAATTCTGAAGTCAAACTGATGTGGGTTTGAATTCTGGCTCTGCCATCCTCCAGCTAAGCAACCTTAGACAAGTCATTTAACCTCTCTGTGCTTTTGTCTCCTCATCTGTAAAATGGGATAACAAATACCCCAAAAAATTATGAGGATTAATTGAGTGGATAGGTATACCTAATAAATACTTTTATAAGTGAAGCTATCAGAACAATATAATTTTTAAAGTACAATGCCCTTTTTTTTTTTTTTGAGACAGGGTCTTGCTCTGTCACCCAGGCTGGAGTGCAATGGCACAATCGCAGCTCACTGCAACCTGTCTCCCAGGCTCAAGCCATCATCCCAACTCAGCCTCCCTAGTAGCTGAAACTACAGACGCGTGCCACCATGCCCAGCTAGTCTAGAACTCCTGGGTTCAAGGCGATCCACTCACCTTGGCTTCCCAAAGTGCTGGGATTACAGGCGTGAGCCACTGTGCCCAGCCTTAAAGTATAATGTCTCTCCAATTCTCCTCTATCAAGAAATTCAAGCCACCCTGCTTTCTCTTGGCCTAAAAGAGTCCCTCAGACTAGAAAAGCTCTTTAGAAGAGGTTATATTTTTATTATCCTTATTTTGGAGAACTTTTCCTTATAAAATTTTTTTTCCAGATTCCTTATGAACTCAAGTTAGTGTTAAAGCTTTGGATTCCACTGTTAACAGTTTATGTAAAAACACTTAACAAATTGCCATTTATATGCCAAACTATAGCTCAAGAACACTCTGTTTTAGAAAAATTACGCATTAGATCAGGAAGCCTCATATATATGTGCCTCTGGGACTTCATTTGCAGTCACATTTAGCCAGAAAAGCAATGACTTCTATATTCCTTATGGAAACCAATGTAACATAAATTAATGTTCTAAATATAGAAATTAAGAGTTCATAAAGAGACTGAGGTTGCATGTAAAAGAGTTATGGTTTGAGACAGTCTAAAAATACTATGTTAATTTCAAGGATCTTATTTCCAATGTTTTGTTTAAAAAATTATAAATACTTTTGAGCTCTTGCTTTGCATTTCAATCGCAAACCCACTCAGATACGGGAACTGTTTAAATTCATATATGGACAAATAGGTTTCAGTGATGCAATACTTTAAAATTCTGCCATCTCCTTGTGTTTTTCTTTCTAGGTGAGTGGACTGCCAGCTCCTGATGTGTCATGGTATCTAAATGGAAGAACAGTTCAATCAGATGATTTGCACAAAATGATAGTGTCTGAGAAGGGTCTTCATTCACTCATCTTTGAAGTAGTCAGAGCTTCAGATGCAGGGGCTTATGCATGTGTTGCCAAGAATAGAGCAGGAGAAGCCACCTTCACTGTGCAGCTGGATGTCCTTGGTAAGCCTCCAAAGAGACCCTTGAGAATTCCTTAAAATCCAGAAGTATTGAAAAAAAGAAAGTATTTTAAAAGAAAAGCCCAGCAGACTTCATATTTAAGGTTAATGTCTATACAACCTATTGGAATGTCCATTTTTATCTACAAACCACAGGAAAAAATATATATATATACACACACATACATACATATATAGATATGTGAAGGAAAGTCAGTGAAACTAGAATGACAGATCTATCACCAAAGCTTTTCTGGAAAGAAAATAAATCATACAATTTTAGACAAACCAAATAATGAAGCATAAGCATTTCTAGACGTAACTATAGAGTCTCAAAATGAAAATCTTAGTCTAATCATTTCTCTGGTCTTTGTTTCTCCAAAATGAGGATAATAAAAATAACCAATCTGACTCACAGTATTACAGAATTATCATAATCTGTCAAACGTTAAATACATAGTTTAAAAGTGAAGAGTAGGCTGGGTATAGTGACTCAGGCCTGTAATCCCAACACTTTAAGAGGCGCCAAGGTGGAAGGATCACTTGAGCCAAGGAGTTTGAGACCAGCCAGGGTAACAAATAGCAAGATCTTCTTTGTCTCTACAAAAAATAAAAAAATTAGCTGGGCATAGTGGTGCACACCTATAGTCCCAGCTACTAGAGAGGCTAAGGCAGGAGGATAACTTGAGCCTGGAGTTTGAGGTTTCAGTGAGCTATGATTGCACCACTGTACTCCGGCCTGGGTGACACAGTCAGACCTTGTTTAAAAAAATTTCTTAAAAAATCAAGAGTAAATATCAACTTTTAGCCTTAGACTATGTCCTTTTTACTAGGAAACTAATGTCTAATTATAACCAAAACAGGCCTACTTGCTTTAGAAAACAGGTATGGCTACATTTATGTCTCAAATCTGTCTTAAGTAGAGCAGTTCTTATAAAACTGGTGTCTGGTTTTTAAATTTTACACTTTAAGTGCTTTAAATATACAAGTTGAGTATCCCTAATCCAAAAATCTGAAATCTTTAAGATGCTCCAAAATCGACATGACACACAAAGGAAGTGTTCATTAGAGCATTCTGGATTTTCAGGTTAAGAATGCTCAACAAGTATAACGCTAATATTCTAAAATAAAAAAAAAATCAGAAATCCAAAACACTTCTGGTCCCAAGCATTTCAGATAATGGATACTCAACCCATACCATATTTTTAATACTTTAAGCCATTGTATATTGCATAAGAGATATTTTGCTATAATTCACTATTTATTATACAGAAGTTTGATCAGGTTAAAGGATAAACTATTTTCTTGAGTTTATATTCTACCCAGATCAATACAAAATCTTTAAGATTATTCAATAATATACCAAAGGGCCTCAATCTCAGGGGAAAAACTAGTGGGCTGGAAATTTTCAAAAACACATACAATTTAAGTGATTAAAGTTTAGACAAATCCTATTTGTACCAATGGCTTCAGAAATACTACAATAGTAGAGCTGAAAGAGATCTTGGCTGCCATCCGTTTAATCTCATTTCTCCTTCAGAAAAACCAGGGTTATGGTACTGAACTATCGTTTCCTGTCTCCCCTCAGGTAGCTGAAAATAAGGTCATAATAATTACTGATATTCCCACATTCCTTCAGAGTTTACAAAGTATCTCTTTGTTTATTATCTCATTTGTTCCTTACAATTATTTTGTGTGGTAGACACAACAGTCACTACTACCGGGATTTTTTTTTTATAACAATAGATAAAACTGAGACTCAGAGAAACTAAACAAAATTTTACCAATTTGGCATGGCTCATGGAGCCAATAGGTAATTTGAACCCAAGCTGTCTGATACTCTTTCCATCACTCATGCTGCCTCCCTGTAGATGAGATGATAAAGAATATAACTTAAATTTGGGCCAGGCACGGTGGCTCATGACTGTAATCCCAACACTTTAGGAGGCTGAGGTGGGCAGATCACTTGAGGCCAGGAGTTAGAGATCAGCCTGGCTAACATGGCAAAACTCTGTGTCCACTAAAAAAAATACAAAAATTAGTTGGGTGTGGTGCACACCTGTAATCCCAGCTACTCAGGAGGCTGTGGCAGGAGACTTCCTTGAACCTGGGAGGCGGAGGTTGCAGTGAACCAAGATCACGCCACTGCGCTCCAGCCTGGGCAAAAGAGCGAGACTCTGTCTCAAAAAAAAAAAAAAAAAAAAAAAAAAAAAAGAATATGACTTTAGTTTGAATGAAATATAATTATCTGATTATCAATTCAATGCATCATTACATTAGAGTTTAGAATTCTGAATGGTATAACAAAATAGTACTGCATGTCTTTTTTACTGAGTTTCTTTCTGTTGCTGTTGCTTTTTAACATTTTAATATCAACATACAAATTTCATAATACCTTGGTTTGATTTAATACCTTTTTTATAATATTTCAAATACTTGAATTTTTGTATTAATATATAGCAAAAGAACATAAAAGAGCACCAATGTTTATCTACAAACCACAGAGCAAAAAAGTTTTAGAGGGAGATTCAGTGAAACTAGAATGCCAGATCTCGGCTATACCTCCACCAAAGCTTTTCTGGAAAAGAAATAATGAAATGGTACAATTCAACACTGACCGAATAAGGTAGGATATGTATTTCTAGACTTACTATAGTTTATTTGGGTGAATCCAGTTATACTTTTTAACATGCATTATAAATGGCATGCATTTATCTCAATTTGTCTAGTTTTTAAAACACTAAAGAATAATATAATAAAATATATATTAGATAAAAATGTAAGAAAACTTCAGTAAGCCAGATTCCACTAATCAGAAATGTAAGGCATAAAGTAGACTAGGATTTATCTTTTTATCAACGATGATGAAAGATGGCCCAAGGAAATAAATGACATAAACAAGATTAAAGGGGGATGTTTTCTTTTCTTTTCTTTCTTTACAAAAAGCTTCAGCCTTTATTAAACAAAGGAGGAGGTAGGAGACAGATAACGGAACAGGTCAGGACCCCTCCATTCCCCTATACATACGCATAAATACAAACACAGACACACCCGAGTGAATGACAGGGACCATCAGGGGACAGATTGAAGAGCAGAGGGAGACAGCACCCAAGGGGGGATGTTTAATTCAAGAAAACCAATAGCTATTTGGCAATAAATAGATACAGCTTTGGAATTTTCAAATGTTTTTTTCTTCCTAGTCTGACTGTTGGTCAGAGACATCCACTTCACAGAAATAATTCCTGTACTTTCATTTCTTAAAAATTTTTATTTCAGCTTATATCAAGATAACACTGGAAGAGTTACTTTACTGATAAAAGATGTAAACAAGAAAGATGCTGGGTGGTATACTGTGTCAGCAGTTAATGAAGCTGGAGTGACTACATGTAACACAAGATTAGACGTTACGGGTATGTCATACTATTAACCAAAGTATTATAAGGGATTTAACTAGGAAGATTTAATAAGAAATGAAAATCCCAGCAGAGTATAAAATTTGAGATATTTTCCCCATATATAATCAGTTTTGGTTCTTTTTTCTTTTCCTGTCTGATAATAAATACCTAGTGTGACCAATTTGGTTAGAACAGGTTTTCTGAATCAACTTTTATGTGATCTATTTCAGCACGTCCAAACCAAACTCTTCCAGCTCCTAAGCAGTTACGGGTTCGACCAACATTCAGCAAATATTTAGCACTTAATGGGAAAGGTTTGAATGTAAAACAAGCTTTTAACCCAGAAGGAGAATTTCAGCGTTTGGCAGCTCAATCTGGACTCTATGAAAGTGAAGAACTTTAATAACTTTACCAACATTGGAAAACAGCCAACTACACCATTAGTAATATATTTGATTACATTTTTTTGAAATTAATCCATAGCTGTATTAACAGATTATGGTTTTAATTAGGTAATATAGTTAATATATATTTATAATATTATTTATCCTTTGACTCTTGCACATTCTATGTACCCCTCCGATTTGTGAAGCCTACAGGAAATCTGGGTATATGGATTTGTAACTGCAGAAGACTATCTTAAAATACAGGATTTTAACATTTAAGTCATGCACATTTAACAATTACAGGTTATAAATTAGTATCAACTTTTTAAACACATCTAATGCTTGTAATAACGTTTACTGGTACTGCTTTCTAAATACTGTTTTACCCGTTTTCTCTTGTAGGAATACTAACATGGTATAGATTATCTGAGTGTTCCACAGTTGTATGTCAAAAGAAAATAAAATTCAAATATTTAAAACGGACTGTCTCCTCTTCACAAAAGTCTAGATCTGTAAAATAAAACTCCACTCAGCAAAACCTATGAATAACAAGTTCCAAAAGAGCAATGTTATATTCTAGAACAGTGTGAAGCTCACTTACAGCTCAGCCAATTCCTCTAGAAACTAAGCTAGACTTGCCATGGTTTGCACTTCAAAGGCAATCACAAGAACTTAAATCATGACTGAATCTACTGAATTTGTGATTTTGTTTTAACCAAACAGGTTTCTAATTCTTCAGGATTTTTCAGTCTGTTATGCTCAAAGGAATAAGAATAGTCTCTAGAGATTACCTGCTTAATTCTCATAGTTAATGTAAATTTGACAGCCCGGTAGTCCCAGCTGCTGGGAGAGGTTGAGCTGGGGATCCCTTAAGATCAGGAGTTTGAGGCCAGACTGGGAAATATAGCGAGACTCCATCTCTAAAAAAAAAAAAATTATGTAAATTTGATTACCTATATATGGGTGTTTTTCCTCTAATAATTTCAATTTCAGATAATCTGTTACTTTAGAAAGCATAATTTTGTGAACAGCTGAGAGTCCCAGTACAGGAAAGCCCAAATCCTTTTGTTAAAACTATTCTAAAGCTTTTTTTCCTCTCGGGCTTCTAGTTCACTGGCTGTCAGCCTTTTGCGAGGCCTCTCCTGTTCCTCTCATCGATGGTAGTTTTTGACCCTCACTACTGTGTGGCCGTTTTGCTTTTTATCTACACATAAAACAGCATTTATCGACAGCAGTCTACATCTCTTTCAGGGAAATAACAAAAGTGGCTTTATCTTTTACTTTCAAAACTGGTTAGTGGTTTTCTTTGCAGGTTTCCCTGGGGCCTTTGGACTGGATTCCATTTTATTTTCCTTTTTATCAACACGAGAATCCGTCCTGGTCTTACATCCTGGAGGGCTTTTGGCTGCCTTAATTTACAGCCAAATTAGTTTGGCCTTTTCTATAGCTGGTTTACCAACCTTCTCATCTTTGCAAAGCTTCTGGGTCAGATGTGGGTCTGGGCCCCAGGACTCCTGTGTCGGCCTGACCTTTCACATAATCACTGCAGAGTTTTTCATCTATTTTTACATCACGGGGGCAGGGGAGTGGAAGCTACTTCCAGCAACAGCTCTCGGTTAATAACCAGTTTCTGCAAGTAGCAGCAGCAGCAGCAGCGTAGGGTCACGGTTAGGAATTTGGGCTTGGGCATCCAAGACTTGGCCCCAACTTCCAGTGAATTACTTCATTTCTCAGCTTCTCGGTTTCTTCAGGCCTAAAATGAGGACAAAAATACCTACCTTTCACGGAGGTGGATGTGGAGACTAACAAGGCGATAAATGTTAAAGGTATTCGAGAGAGAGAAGCCCGTGATAATGAATGACTACGATTTTTAAGCCCACAGCCAGGTTATTCCCAGAAGTTGGCCCTCCGCACCAGACCCCAGCAGCCCGCAGCCCGCCTCGGGCGAAAGGCCTCCCGGGCTCCTGCGGCGCAGCCGCGCTGACGACTTGTCGAGTAGCTCGCCGCCCTGGAGGAGCTGGGGGCTCGCGCAGGCGTCAGAGCCGGGCAGCGCGCGCCGCAAGACTAGCGCGCAAGCGCCGCGGCCTCAGGCGAACGAACGGGCGGTGTAGTGCAGGTCCGCCATGGCTGAGGCGTCACGGTGGCACCGAGGCGGTGAGGGGTCCTCTTAAGGAGTGGGAGGGACAGGGGCGATTTGGCAGTTCCAGACACCCTGAAAGGAACTCTGCGGCCCCAAATTCGTTTGAGAGATGTGACTGCCGACACCTTTAGCCCTCACAGCCTCCCCTGGGGAAGCGGAGAGGGACAGATGGTCCCATTGCACAGACGGGAAAACTGAAGCCCTGAGCGAGGTGGCGCTCGCCTCTTGCCGGAGGCTCGAGCTGGGCGTTGTCACCTGTCGAGTGACCGTCGCTAGGCCGGTCTCTAAAGTCCTTGGTTGATCTGGGGAGTCGTGACCTTGACAGAATTCAAGCCGAGGTGTTTTTCCCCTGTCCAGCAGAAACCAGCCTTCCCAAGAAGCTGTATTGAGGGTGGAGAAAACGGTTAGGACAGATGAGAGGTTTTACTTGTTTCGTATTTTGCTTTTTCATCTTAAGACTGGCGAGAAGACATCATGATATAAAATCTGTTAGTGGCCGGGCGCAGTGGCTCAAGCCTGTAATCCCAACACTTTGGGAGGCCGAGGCGGGCGGATCACAAGGTCAAGAGATCGAGACCATCCTGGCCAACATGGTGAAACCCCATCTCTACTAAAAATACGAAAATTAGCTGGGTGTGGTGGCGCGCGCCTGTAGTCCCAGCTACTCGGGAGGCTGAGGCAGGAGAATCGCTTGAACCGGGGAGGCGGAGGCTGCAGTGAGACGAGATCGCGTCACTGAACTCCAGCCTGGCGACAGAGCTAGACTCCGTCTCAAAAAAAAAATCTGTTATTAATAGTATATAGTAAAAAAATTATCCCTGCCTCGTAAAACTAAGAATTGAAAAATAGCCAGAAGCTATTGGAGCTTTCCTCCCCGCAGTGTAAGGACTAAAAGTGGCTGTGGTTTTTCCATTGTTGTCACTTATAAATTACATAATAATGTAAAGAAAAATTTTGTCTTATATCTCACAGGGGCTTCGAAACATAAGTTGCATTACAGAAAGGAAGTAGAAATTACAACCACACTTCAGGAATTGTTACTCTACTTTATTTTTTTAATAAACCTATGTATATGTAAGTACACAGATATAAAGATGCTGTTTGTTTGAACTAAGAAGTTAAAATGTGGAGATGAAAAATAAAACATACAAACTTCAAAACCACAGGCTGTCAGGCTACTAAAACTCAAAATACAGTGACACGTTTAAACATAATCTTAAATTCATTTAGATTCATTTCATTTAGAAATTGACTATTTTCAGTTCTTAAGGGGCAAAATTTTACATCGCAAATGTAAGAAGCTTCCATAGTCAATACTGACTGAATTAGAATTATTCCTTTCATTTGGCAGTTCTGTCTTGAGCATAATTCATCCCTTGGGTTGGCAACTGCAATTTGATTTTGTTTAGAGTCATATAGACACATCAGCTGAGTTTCATAAATCAAAGTACAAATGAGGCCAAAGTTCATCTTGGTGTCTGCCATTAGCTTGGTTCTTTTCACTGACCTATTGCAGTTAAAAAAATAGTTTGTGCTGAGTCAATGCAAATAATTAAGGAGGACTGGGAAAACATCTCAACCTGCATTCCTCCTACCTGTGGGTCAATAGCATTGGCTTAATATGCAAAGAGGAGTATTAAAGAGCATTTGTCGATGGCACCCAACATAACAGTAGATGAAAGCTCACTGGCAGTATTGTCTCATGTTGGTATGTGCTACACACTGGCAATTGTATAGCAATTAAGTAATTAATTGGTGTTGTAGGGGTGAGTTTGAGTCTGCTCTTGATTGAAAAGACAACTATAAAATTAGCCAGGTGTGGTGGCACACCCCTGTAGTCCTAGCTACTGAGAAGGCTGAGGTGGAGGATTGCTTGAGCACAGGAGGTCGAGGCTGCAGTGAACTGTGATTGCAACGACTGCACTTCAGCCTGGGTGACAGGCTGAGACCCTGTCCCAAGGAAAAAAAAAAAAAAGATAACTGTAGGCAACTTTATAAATTAAGATATCTTAGACTGCTTTATAAAAGCTTGGTTATGAAAACTACATGCTTACTACAGAACATTTGGAAAATGTAAAAATGTAAGTAAAAAGATCATTTATAATCCCATTATTCAGAGATTTTTAAAGAACACTTTTTTTAATATAATACAGCAACCTGAATCTCCATTTATAATGTGATTTTTTTTCTTTTTTTTTTCTTTTTTGAGACAGTCTCGCTCTGTCACCCAGGCTGGAGTACAGTGGCTCACTGCAACCTCCACCTCCTGAGTTCAAGCGATTCTCCTGCCTCAGCCTCCGGAGTAGCTGGGATTACAGGCCTGTGCCACCACGCCCGGCTAATTTTGTATGTTTTTAGTAGAGACAGGGTTTTCACCATGTTGGTCAGTCTGGTCTCGAACTCCTGATCTCAGGTGATCCACCCACCTCAGCCTCCCAAAGTTCTGGGATTATGGGTGCAACACCACGCCCCGCCACTAGTTAATATTTTTAAAAACTCATCATGTGCCAAAACACAGTTTAAAATGTTCTGTGTGCATCATCTCACTTCTCACAACAAAACTAGGGGGTAAGAGATACTATCCCTGTGATGGGACTCACACCCTTATCTGTCTGAATTCAAAGTCCATGTAACCTTAACCACTCACCATACTATATTGCCTTACTCTCATGTAGAGAAAAAGTCAACTTGCAGAATAGTGTGTATAATGTGTCCTCATTTTTGTAAAGATAAAATTATTTTCTTTATAAATGTGTATGCATAAAGAAATGTCTGAAGAATATTTGCCAGACTAATTCTAGAAACCACATCCTACTTTTTATATTTCTAGTTTAGATTTTTTAAATTATTACTTTTATAATTAGATTAATAAAGTTTAATTTTCAAAATTGAGAAAAAAATGTAACATTTTTAATCCTGATAAGCTGAGTTTTTAAATGTAAATTATTAAACAAAAAATTATTCTCCTTAGTGACTTTTGGGATGGTAAACCCACATATGTATTACTTAAACAAGGTTATGTCATCTCTATTTTTGGACACTTCTGTGCCTGGTGAAGAAAGAACCAACTTTAAGTCCATTCGCAGCATAACTGATTTTTGGAAGGTAAAGTATCTTGTGACTGTGGATGAAGTAGATTTAGGTAGTCCATGAACCCTTGGCATACACAGTGGGCACTCAATGAATATCTTTTGAAGAAATGAATAAAAATAAATGTCATTTCTTTAAACTATTAGAAACAACCAACCAGTAAGTGTTTTTGAGAGCCTGTGTTCTCAGTTTGATACTATTCTTGTAATTTTTTAAAAAATTTTTTTGGCCAGGCACGGTGGCTCATGCCTGTAATCCCAGTACTTTGGGAGGCCAAGGCGGGTGGATCACCTGAGGTCAGGAGTTCAAGACCAGCCTGACCAACTTGGTGAAACCTCGTCTCTACTAAAAAATACAAACATTAGCCAGGCATGGTGACAGCCACCTGTAATCCCGGGAGGTGGAGGTTACAGTGAGCCAAGATCATGCCATTGCACTCCAGCCTGGGCAACAGAGCTAGGCTCCATCTCAAAAAAAAAATTTTTTTTGATTTTTTTAGACATTCTCATTTCATTTGTTAAATAGAAGACTTGCATCTACTATGTGAGGGTTAGGATCTAGTCTATAATTGTGTATAGTGAAATTTACTTTTAAAAATTTCTTTAATTGCCCAGAAAGTGTAATATATGTGGTTTTGGCATAAAACCTTTACTGTTTATATGTGTTACAGTAAGGTACAGTATATAATAAAATTTATATATAAGAATATAATTTCATGGTGTTTTTACTTACGTAAGGGAATCATTCCTTCAGCAGTGGAATAGACTTGCTTTTTCCATTACATTTAACATAGCAACATGCTCACATTATGAAGAAAGAACAGTTAAGGGGACAGCAGTTTCAGCTATCCCAGGTCACAAAACCTGGCATATGCACATTGGGGCATATAAGGACAAGGCAGAGAACGCTTCCAGTGGTGATGACAATTTAGTTGCATTTTGAAGCATGAATCAGGGATGGGTATTTTAGGAAGAAGGAACAATATGTTCTATAAGTAATTCTACATGTGGAGCTATGTTTGGTATTGTGAGCATATGGAAGATGAGGTGGAAAAGACCAAATTATGAATTGGACAGAGTTCATATCATGAATGCTGTGCAGGAATTTGAAACTTATCAAGGAGACACGGTCATTTCCTGGAAGAGGGCAAGTGTGAGATGAGGGCTAAATGATCCTAGACGGTTGGTTTAGGCTAGGTGAAATAGGAAACAATAATAAAAGAGGTGGAGGTCACCTTGCCACTTTGTTATTGTGTTTTCTGAAGCATGTATGTGGCCAATGGCAGAGAAGACAAAGGGAGGAAGTAAATGAACCCTGGGCTTGGGTTCATCTTAGAACGATCAGCAAGGGCCAGAGCCAGGAGTAGCAGGCACCATGGCCAGAGTCGGGGAGGAGGGTTGGGAGGAGGGGTACAGACAACTTTGGAGTGAAATCATGATGTGTGGCTATGACCAGCTCTGATACTCATGTATTGGAAGAAAATTTTCGATTTACTCATATAAGGAGAGAAGAAGGGCTATGGGATTCCATAAGTTAATGCTTGTAAAGTGCTTAGAGCAGTGCCTAGTACACAGTACGTGCTTAATGAGTGTTAACCATCCACAGTAGCTTCATTAGCATTACCATTACCATTAATGGTAGCTTGGTCAATAGTTTGATTTTCATACTCAAAATCTCTTATGCATAATGTTATGAATGTAGATTCTGTTGACATGAAAATATTTTTCCCATGACATTTGTTTTTCTCTGTGGAGTTTATGGAAGGACCCCTTTTGGAAGGTCTGTACTGGGATTCATGGTACAATAACCAGCAGCTGTATAATTTAAAGAACAGCAGTCGCATCTACTATGAAAATATACTTCTAGGAGTTCCCAGAGTTCGTCAACTAAAAGTCCGCAACAACACATGCAAAGTCTATTCATCTTTTCAGTCTTTGATGAGTGAATGTTATGGCAAATATACTTCTGCAAATGAAGACCTCTCTAATTTTGGCCTTCAAATTAATACTGAGTAAGTAGCATAAAATTATACTGTAACTTTTTCTAGCATTTACTGTTGTATCTTTTAGATATGTGTCTTCCAAGTAACACCAGCTGGGTCCTGGAAGGGTAAGGAAACTGTTTCAACAATAGTAAAAAAGGAAGATGTGGAGATAGCAGTGTTTAGAAAAGGAAGGGTGAACCTATTATTTTTTGTTTACTTTAGGATGCAAAGTGTTTTCTTTTTTCTGACTTTGGTATATGAACTGCTTAGTCATATTGGACACAGGGCAAAGCATCCATTTTTGCTTCTAAAATGGTCAATTAATCTGCTTTTCTGGCTGTGGCTAGATGCCCACAACACATCCCCAAGACAATCTGGGATCCTTAGTGGGTGTCTTAGGTGTGCTCTGTCACTTTCCTCCTCTCTCATTCTGGCTTCCTTCAGTGATTTTTTTCTGTTGCTGCCCCTACTAAAATGGGGCAGTTATGCTCTACAGGGACTGCATCTGATGATGCTTTACAAAGATGCTATGGCCATTGTGTTTCAAAGTGACTGAGGCTAGTGCTGGTGTAGACTCGTGTACACTTTATATTGAAAATGTGAGGCTGGACATGGTGGCTCACACCTGTAATCCCAGCACTTTGGGAAGCCAAGGAAGGAGGATTGCTTGAGGGCAGGAGTTCGAGACTAGTCTGGGCAACATACTGAGACCTAGTCTCTACAGAAAATTTAAAAATTAGCCAGGTGTGGTGGGGCTTGCTTACCTGTAGTCCAAGATACTCGGGAGGCTGATCCAGGAGGATCACTTGAGCCCAGGAGGTTGAAGCTGCAGCAAGCTATGATCACACCACTGCACTCCAGCCTGGGCGACAGAGGGAGACCTTGTCCCTAAAAAAAAAAAAAAAAAAAAAGGAAGGAAGGAAATGTGAAAACGCAGTGCCACTGGCACTGCCTCTCCTTGACACAGAAGCTGCTGGTATCAGTGCAGTGCACACTTTGTGCTTTTAGAGCTTTATGAAAACCATTGGCTCACGCCTGTAATCCTAGCACTTTGAGAGGCTGAGGCAGGTGGATTATTTGAGTTCAGGAGTTTGAGACAAGACTGGCCAACATGGTGAAACCCCATCTCTACTAAAAATACAAAAATTAGTCAGGTATGGTAGCAAGCACCTGTAGTCCCAGCTACTCAGGAGACTAAGGCACAAGAATCACTTGAACCCAGAAGGCGAAGGTTGTGGTGAACTGAGATCATGCCACTGCGCTCTGGCCTGGACGGTAGTGTGAGACACAGTCTCAAAAAAAAAAAAAAAAAGGCCAAGTGTGGTGGCTCACACCTGTAATCCCAGCACTTTGGGAGGCCGAGGCGGGCGGATCACCTGAGGTCAGGAGTTCAAGACCAGCCTGGCCAACATGGTGAAACCCCATCTCTACTAAAAATACAAAAATTAGCCAAGCATGGTGGCACATGCCTGTAATCCCAGCTACTTGGGAGGCTGAGACAGGAAAATCGCTTGAACCCAGGAGGCACAGGTTGCATTGAGCCAAGATCGGACCACTACACTCCAGCCTGGGCAATAAAGAGCAAAACTCCGTCTCAAAAAAAAAAAAAAATTGAGAAGAGAATAGACATTTTTTGTAATTTGATATTTATTAAAGTGATACAAATATCTACAAAGGCCTACCCTTTCCTACTCATAATTTCCACTCTCCAGAAGCAGCTACTTTTAACTCTTTTATAGTTGTTTCTTCTGGTATATACTTTGTCTTTCTAAATTACATTCTCATACTGCTACCTTATACTTGATTTTACAGTTGTGTTTTGGCTTTGTTTTTGTTTTTTTCGTTAGGGGCAGGATCTCACTCTCTTGCTCAGGCTGCAGTGCAGTGGTGTAATCATTGTTCACTGCAGCTTCAAACTCCTGACTCAGGCAATCCTCCTGCCTCAGTCTGCTGAGTAGCAGCTAGGACTACAGGAATACACCACCACACCTGACTAGTTTTTCATTTTTTGTAGAAACAGGGTCTTTCTATGTTACCCAGGCTGGTCTCAAATTCCTGGCCTCAAGTAATCCTCCTGCCTTGCTCTCCCGAAGAGCTGGAATTACAGGTGTGAGCCACTGCGCCTGGCCTCTATTGTTTTTCTGTCTTGGAAGGTGATGCGTCATATAGCTCTCTTATGCTACCCCTCTACACACACTCTTCCTGTTCCTCTTAGCATCTCAATATAGTTATATCATAATTATTGTCAATCATTAGTCAATGTTTATATTATAAATATGAATAGTGATTATATTTCCTTTCTTGAACAACCTGTCTTGAACTCCCAGGATTAATCATTGCTGGGTTTTTTTTTTTAACTTGTTTCTTCTTTGTATGAGTTTGTAGTGTTCCTGAGGACTTGTATGATTCTTATAAATCGAATACATTCATAAGTATGATGATACATTATTATATTATTATTATTATTATTATTATTATTATTATTATTATTATTGAGACAGGGTCTTGCTCTGTTGCCCAAGCTGGAGTTCAGTGAAGATCATAGCTCACTGCAGCCTTGACCTCCGGGGCTCAAGCAATCCTCCTGCCTCAGCCTCCCAAGTAGCTGGGACTACAGGCACATGCCACCACACCCAGATAATTTTTGTGTTTTCTGCAGAAATGGGATATCACCATGTTGCCCAGGCTGGTCTCGAACTCCTGGGCTCAAGCAATTCACCCGCCTCGGCCTCCCAAAGTGCTGGAATTACAGGTGTGCACTATCACACCCAGCCCATTCTCTTAACTATTACAGTACTATTCACTTTCTTTCAACCCCAAATTACAAGATAAAGCAATTATTTACACCTTTTAAATTGGAATCCTAAGACTAATCTTTTAAGAATTTTAATATTCCAAATTCTCATAACAAGTACAAATACTTTATTAAATACCAAAATTAACACTATCAATTAGGTTTATTTTATAATCTCTGTACTGGAATTGTGAATTAATATCTGTTAATCCTCAACAATGAAAAAAGAATCAATTTGTCCTTGTCTAAAATGTAAAATTCACTAATTAAAAACAAAAAATTGGAAGCTAGGAGAGATCTGGTGTAACAGATCTTCCTGTTTCCACTTAATAGTCATGTGTGGAAAACACTCAAAAATACAACTATGGAAGTTTCATTAAAACATAGGTACTTTTTCCTAGTGGTGTCTCTTTCCCTCCCTGCTGAAACATAGTGTTATTAGTAGAACAGGTTTAAGCAGTGCATCTTTGAATAACCTTTCAAATCTGTTTTTGGGGAACTGAATAGAGAGACTGAAATGAGGAATCAAAGCTTTCTTTTTTTGGATATCCTGTAATTAAATTAAAAAATAAAAAGAAGAAACAAAAAAAAAATTTTTTTTTTTTTTTGAGACAGAGTCTCACTCTGTCACCCAGACTGGAGTGCAGTGGCGCAGTCTTGGCTCACTGCAGCCCCCGCCTCCTGGGTTCAAGAGATTCTCATGCCTCAGCCTCCCAAATAGGTGGTATAACAGGCATGCGCCACCACGCCCAGCTAATTTTTGTATTTTTAGTAGAGATGGGGTTTCACCATGTTGGCCAGGCTGGTCTCAAACTCCTGGCCTCAAGTAATCCGCCCACCTCAGTCTCCCAAAGTGCTGGGATTACAGGCATGAGCCATTGCACGGGATCCAAAATTTAGTTATACACAGTTTACTTTGATTTTATGTTTCATTAAAATATCTACGTAACAACATGGACATTGTAACAAAGTTTTTATTGAGCATTTATAAACAATATGTTACATTTACAAGACAGATTATGAAGCATGTTTTTTACCCATTTCTGAGCCAAAACTCTTGATAGTTTTGTCCTACTCAAAAACTAAATATCTCATAACAGAAACAACCTGTTAAAGAAAAAAAACAGTCGTCATTTTCTAGATTCTAAGCTCCCTGAGACAACAGATGGATTTTTTTGTTTTTTAGAGATGGGATCTCACTATGTGACCTATGCTACAGTGCAGGGACTATTCACAGGCACCATCATCGACACTGCAGCCTCAAACTACTGGCCTCAAGCAGTCCTCTCATCTCAGCCTCCTGGGTAGCTGGGACTACAGGCATATGCCACCACAGCTAACAGATGGATTTTTTTTTTTTTTTCTGAGACAGGGTCTTACTTGGTCACCCAGGCTGGAGTGCTGGAGTGCGGTAGTGCAATCATAGCTCAGTGCGGCCTTGAACTCCGGGGCTCAAGCAGTTCTGCTTCAGACTCCTGAATAACGAGGACTACAGGCATGTGCTGCCATGCCCAGCTAATTTTTGAAAAGTTATGGATTTTTGAAAAATTATCTCATAGCACCTAGTCCAGTGGTGTTGCCCACCATATGCATTAAAAAGTAAAAACTACATTAAATCTTAATTAAATCGTAATCCTTTAATCCTTAATGCATTGTCTTGCTTTAAAATTACTAGAATACTTATGAATTTACTACTGCTTTTTAAAAAACTACTACTTTTGTTTTGGTTTTTTGTTTGTTTTTGGTTTTGTTTTTGTTTTGAGACAAGGTCTGGCTCTTTGCCTGGGCTGGAGTGCAGTGGCATGATCACAGCTCACTGCAGCTCAACCTCCCGGGCCCAAACAATCCTCCTACCTCAGTCTCCTGAGCAGGTGGGACTACAGGCACATGCCACCATGCCTGGCTAGTTTTTGTATTTTTTGTAGAGATAGGGTTTCACCACATTGCCCAGGCTGGTCTCGAACTCCTGGGCTCAAGGGATCCGCCTACCTCGGCCTCCCAAAGTGTTGGGATTACAGGCATGAGCCAGCGCACTTGGCCAAAAAACTACTACTTTTGAACCAAAGATCGATTTAAATTCTTAGAATACTTCTCAGTTGGGCTTTGTCATTTCACCATTATTCTTTTTATGTGTAACAGATGGAGATATTCTACTTCTAATACCAACTCCCCTTGGCACTGGGGATTTCTTGGTGTTTACCGAAATGGGGGATACATTTTCACTTTATCAAAATCGAAATCTGAAACCAAAAACAAGTTCATTGACCTTCGACTGAACAGCTGGATCACAAGAGGGACTAGAGTTATTTTTATTGATTTTTCCTTATATAATGCTAATGTAAATCTATTTTGTATTATCAGGTGAGTGACTCAAAACTTTTTTTCATAGACAGTGGTCAATGGCCTACAAAACTTCTTTATTAGTACAGTTGACCCTTGAACCACATGAGTTTGAACTGCACAGGTCCACTTAGATATGGATTTTTTTCAGTAAATATATTGGAAAATGTTTTGAACCTTTGTGACAATTTGAAAAAACTCCCAGACAAACCATGTAACCTAGAAATACTGAAAAAAAATTAAGAAAAAGTTAGGCATGTCATGAATGCATAAAATACCTGTAGATACTCATCTATTTTATTGTTTACTATCACAAAGTATACACAAATCTATTATAAGAAGTTAAAATTTGCCAAAACTTATGCACATAAACATATGGCACCATTTGCAGTCAAGAAAAATGTAAACAAAAGATGTAGTACTATATCATAACTGCATAAAATTAGAGTACGTACTGTACTAGTGTAAGAATTTTGTAGCCATCTCCTGTTGCTATTGCAGTGAACTCTAGTGTTATGAGTATCCATTTAAAGTGTCGTGTGATGCTCACCATCTTCACATAAGCAGTTTGTCTCTCCAGTAAATTGTGTATCTCAGTAAAAAAGTGATCTCTTATAGTTCTCGTGTGTTTTTTATCGTATTTAGTGCAATATCATGAACCTTTAATAACACCATGGGACCCATACAAAGTGCCACTAGTGATACTGGGGGTGCTCCCACAAAGTAGAGAAATATCATGACATTGAAAGAGAAAGTTGAATTACTTGATATGTATCATAAATTGATGTCTGCAGCTGCAGTTGCCCACGATTTCAAGATAAATGAATCCAGAAACTAAGGACCATTGCCCTGGAAGCAGGGGGAAGGAAAGGAAATTCATGAAGCCATCACTGCAGCTATGCCAGCAGGTGTGAAAACCTTGCCCTTTTTGCAAAATACCTTTTTATCTCATTGAAAATGCAGCTTCTATGTGAAATTCATGAAGCCATTGCTGCAGCTCTGCCAGCAGGTGTGAAAATCTTGCACTTTTTGCAAAATGCCTTTTTATCTCATTGAAAATGCAGCTTCTGTGGGAATGCAGGATTGCTGTAAGAAAGGCATACCTTTAGATTCTAAAACGATTTTTAAAAAGCAAAGTCAGCCAGGCACGGTGGCTCACGCCTATAATCCCAGCACTTTGGGAGGCCGAGGTGGGAGAATCACCTGAGGTCAGGAGTTTGAGATCAGCCTGACCAACATGGAGGAATCCCATCTCTAATAAAAATACAAAATTAGCCGGGCGTGGTGGCACAGCCTGTAATCCCAGCTACTCAGAAGGCTGAGCTGGGAGAATCGCTTGAACCTGGGAGGCAGAGGTTGTGGTGAGCCGAGATAGCGCCATTGCACTTCAGCCTGGACAACAAGAGCAAAACTGTGTCTCAAAAAAAAAAAAAGAAAGAAAGAAAGAAAAGTCATCATGTGACAACTGGTAAAAGGAAAGTGAAGGATCTAAAGTTGGAGAATTTAATGCCAGCAAAGATTGGTTTGATACTTTTAGAAAGAGGTTTCACTTTTAAAAATGTCAAGATAGCAGAAGTAGCTTTTGCCAAGCAAGTGGCAGCAGACAATATAGCAGACGTCATTTTGAAAATCATTGAGGAGAAAGGATATCTGCCTGAACAGGCTTTTAATGCAGACAATAGTGCCCTATTCTGGAAAAAAAAAAATGCCACAAAGAACATTGATTAATAAGGAAGAGAAACAAGCACAAGGATTTAAGGCAGGAAGGAATAGGCTTACTCTACTGTTTTGTGCAAATGAAGTCAGGTTTATTATCAGGACTACCCTTATCTATAAAATTGCTAACCCCCCTAACCTTGAAGGGAAAAGATAAACACCAGCTTCCAGTCTTTTGGTTGTACAACAAGAAGGCCTGGACAATGAGAACTCTTTTTCTACAATGGTTCCATTGATGCTTTTTCCAGTGGTTTACTTATCCCCAAACACAACATCTCTAATTCAGCCTCTAGATCAGGGGATCATGAGGACTTTTAAGGCTCATAACACACAGTACTCTTTAGAAAGGATTGTCGACACTGTGGAAGAGAACCCCAACAGAGAGAACACCATGAAAGTGTGGAAGGATTGCATTATTGAAGATGCCATCATCGTTATTAAAAACTGTGAAACCATCAAACCTGAAACAACAAATACCCGCTGGAGAAAACTGTTCAGATGTGCATGACTTCACAGGATTTATGACAGAGTCAATCAAAGAAATCATGAAAGAGATGTGGATATGGAAAAAAAAAAAAAGTGGGAGGGTGAAGGGTTTCAGGAAACTGATCTTGGAGAAATCAAGAGCTAATGGACACCACACCAGAGGAATTAACCTTCCAAATCAGTGCCAGATAACGAGAAGGAAAACATAGAAACAGAACAGAAAACAAATGGACATTAGACATCTGGAGAAGGGTTCCGATTATTCAAGACTGCTTTTGACTTCTTTTATGACATGGACCCTTCAATGATATAGACACAGAAACTAAAGCAAAGGGTTGAAGGAATGGTACTGTGTAAAACGTTTTTAGAAAAATGAAAAAAAAAAGTCAGAAAAATTACTATGTAAAATCTGTAAAGTTTCACTGAATGCACTCACCTCTCCTGCCTCTCTTTCTACCTCCTCCACCTCTTCCGCTCTGCCACCCCTGAGACAGCAAGACCCTCCCTTTCTCTTCCCCTCCTCCTCCTCAGCCTACTCAGTATGAGGGCAACTAGGATAAAGACCATTATGAAGACCCACTTAGTGAACAGTAAACATATTTTCTCTTCCCTATGATTTTTTTTTAGTCTGAGTCTCACTCTGTTGCCCAGGCTGGAGTGCAGTGAGCTTGGCCTGGCATAAATCAATTAGCATGGTCCATGTTAGGGAGGTGACCTAAGGTAACCCAATTAGACTAATGGGAATAATTTTTTTTTCTCTTTGGTTGGTGCTATCTCTTTAGTGACATCAATGACATATAATCACAGTTGCTGCTTGTACACAGACATCTTGGGGAAGCGTAAGATACTAAGCTAACACAAAGGAGGGCAAAACTGAAGCCATCTCAAAGAAATGGAGCTAGATCTGTTAACTTACCACAAATGGTGTCTGCTGTATCTCTGAAACTGCTGCTATGTGACAGAAATAAATTTCTTTGTTGTTTAAACCAATTTAAGTTGGGGTTTTTGGTTACAACCAAAAGTCTCCTAAATGATTCAGAGGTAAATTGCTGAGGCCCAAGTTGGGTCTTGTATCTAGCTTTTCCTAGGTAACAAACCACCTCCAAGTGTAGTGGCTTACAATAAATATTTCTCATGTGTTTACAGAGTTCAGTTGATCCAGCTGGGCTTGACTGATCTCTGTTAGGCTTGCCAATATAGCTGCCATTTGGCAGGACCCACACATGCGTCTTTAAGTTGGTTCTGCTCTACATGTATCTCATCCGTCTTCTGGGTCCAAGTTAGCCCAGGCATGTCTTTCTCATGGCAGTTGTAGAGGTCCCAAAGAGCAAGTTCTAATGTACAAACTCATTTCAAGTTTCTGCTTGCATCATATTTGTTAACATCCCATTGGCCAAAGAAATTCATGTGTTTGAGTCCAGCATCAAGGGCTGGGGCAGTACACCCTCTCCTGGGTGACAGGCCAGGCAAAAAGATGTGAAGAACTATAGCTATTTTTGCAATATACCACAGGCTCTAACATTTCTGGGATGCTGGCTGCTATTACACATTGAAATTTAAATTGTTCATTCTTGAGACAAAAATTGGTAACTTAATAAAGAAGCCATTCTGAAAGGAAACCAACAGATTTTAATGATCTGATTACAGGAGGAAATTATCGAGACTAAATGATAGCTCTTTGTAGCTGCAGAAAGACAAGAAATGAGACTACATATTCTTAAACATATAAAACTAACATATTGTATGTAATCTACATGTTCCTAAATAAATTTTGAAATAATAAAACAATGTGATGTTACTTTTCCACATTGACAGTAGAACTACATTTTTTATTTTTTTATTTTTAATTTAATTTTTGAGATGGAGTCTAGCTTGTTGCCCAGGCTGGAGTACAGTGGCATGATCTCAGCTCACTGCAACCTCTGCTTCCTGGGTTCAAGTGATTCTACTGCCTCAACCTCCTGAGTATCTGGGATTACAGGCATGTACCACCACACCCAGCTACTTTTTGTATTTTAGTAGAGACGGGGTTTCGCCATGTTGGCCAGGCTGGTTTCGAACTCCTGACCTCAGGCGATCCACCCGCCTTGGCCTCCCAAAGTGCTGGGATTACAGACGTGAGCCACCCCGCCCAGCCTACGTTGTATTTATTTTAAACCTTATGATTTTAATCTCAGCACAAGCATGAACAAATTAAAAACCCTATTAAGGGTTTATACCTCCTTCATTGGTGGGTTCAGATATGAGGGCTTCGGATGTTTTTTAAATTCAATATATAGTTGATCTTCAAACAACATGGGAGTCAGAATCAAGCACTAGCAAAGGATTTGCTCTAGAATCAAACACTTAGCAAAGGATTACCATGATTGGATCTGCCTGGGGATTTAATCAGCTTCCACTAAGTGATCTGGGGATGGGCGAAAGACTGAATTCAATTAAGATTCTGTTAGAAAAAAATGGAATAATGACTGCTAAAGAGGCAAACAACAGTGTCTACTATACACCATCTAATACTATGCCATAAAAAGAATGCGATCATATCCTTTGCAGGGACATGGATGGAGCTGGAGGCCATCATCCTTAGCAAACTAACACAGGAACAGAAAACCAAATACTGCATGTTCTCATAAGTGGGAACTAAATAATAAGAACACATGGACAGAAAAGGGGGAACAACAGACACTGGGGCCTACTTGATGGAGGAGGGTGGGAAGGAAGAGGTTCAGAAAAAAACTGTCAGGAAGTACGCTTAGTACCCAGGTGAAAAAATAATCTGTACACCAAACCCTCAAGTCGCAAGTTTACCTATATAACAAACCTGCACATGCACCCCTGAACCTAAAAGTTAAAAAAAATTTACTTTAAATCAGTGAGCCATTTTTCTCTCGTAAGTCTTACATTTTTTCCTGAATGGAATATGGAATTGGAGTTTAGGGGATTTTGCTCCCCGTGCAACAGGGAGAGTGAAACACACCATGGCCTTTAAAATATGTAAAAATGAATAAAACAAATAAACTGCCTTAAGCAGCCAATGGATATTATACCTTTTATTTTAAAGTTCTCTCAGAAAATCAGAGCTTTTTACCAACTTCATTCACCCTTCCCAACAGTCCTGATCAGGATAACATGAAGAGTACAAATTATTTTTATGTTCTAAACAAGAATGGAAGCATTGAGGTAACTGGCTTTAAGTCACATGAAGAAGCCCTTGTAATATAAGATTAAGTCCAGATTTCCTCTCTGAAAGTTTTATGCTTATTCTGTTACCTTTTAAAATGTTATTTTTTAGAAACTTCAGCAGACTTTGAAACTGTTAACTGGCGTATCTAATCAGTAGTTGTGTAGATGCATATTACTTACACCTTATCCGTTTATTTTCGTTTTTGTACAATTATCAGGCAAACTAAACAGAGTATTAATTTTTCCTTTTTTGATTAGTCTACACTTCAGATCATAATATTGAGTTTCCTTCACTTCACTCACTGCCTAGTATGTGTAAGATGTAAGTTTTATTTGTTAACTGAGGTTTTGTTTTTGTTGTTTTGGGAGCACCTTATAAGAGTACCAACATTTGCTAATATCTTTAGTAGGAATAATTAAATTGTAATATTGTGATAGAAATGCTGGTTCCTCAAATTGCCACCAATTCTTAATTATCAGAAGTTGTGGAGAACACCAGAGATACAGTGAACCTCAAAATCTTTTTATATGTAGTGTTGAATTTAATTTTTATACTTCTGTTTGCATATAGATCTTTGTATCCGCATCCAACAGAAAACATTTGCTTTAGTAGAATATGTGACCTTGACATTTAGAAGCAAGAAGCATTTCTGATAATCTAAAGAGGGAGAATGTATGTCCTCCCTCTGAAGTATTCAAAAATTATGTATATTGGGGAAGAGTTTTAACTAATAACAGTAACTAACAGTATAGCATTTTCTTGAACATATCATTCTCCTGTGGACATAAATTATATTCCCAGTTATGAACAAGCAAGCTGAACACAAAATAGAATGAATGTCTGAAAAAAAAATCACAACTTGCTTTCTCATTTACATTGGTCTTTGACCACTGTGAATATTCAGGTATAGAAAAAGTGGAGCCACTATGAAATAGGTAAATCTAGAAGATGTTTAAATTGAACCCATTTCCCCAAGGAAAAATACTTTATTAAAAAAAACTGATTATCATTAAAGCATACATAATCATTGATTGAAAATTTCACATTAAGTACTGAAATATAAATGCTTGAAATGAACAGTTGCTTTCACAAACCTGATTTTACAGATTGGTGGCAGAATTCCCTGCAACTGGAGGAATACTTACTTCATGGCAGTTTTACTCTGTGAAGCTCCTCAGATATGTTAGCTACTATGACTATTTTATTGCTTCCTGTGAAATC
Organism: Homo sapiens; assembly: GCF_000001405.40. NCBI lineage: Eukaryota > Metazoa > Chordata > Mammalia > Primates > Hominidae > Homo > Homo sapiens. Next base: position 137,906,321 of record NC_000005.10, read on the forward strand.
ACATTCTGTATTTTTCTTTTTGTCTTCACAACACAAGAAGTCAAAAAAATAAAAGAATTTAAGTCTGCCTATTTCAAAAGTATTTGGAACTGGCTAGAATTGCTACTTTTGCTGGTGAGTATATATTCATGTGTATGGTTGAAGGGGATCACATCTGAACCTACCAATGAAGGAGGTGTAAAAAGACAGAATCTTCTATTCATCCAGGACTTATTTTGAAAGCTACAAGTATCAAACATAAAATGTACTGGGAATAGTACTACTAATGGGTGCCTCCAAAAGGGAGAGATCTATTTTTTTCTGATTTGGTCCTTGGGAGGGTCAGCGTAAACCTACAGGGAAAGGTGATTCCAGAAATATTACGCTTTAATGTGCACAGTAGGCCTCCCTACCCCTACTTAAAAAATGTATTACTTACAGGGCCTTGAGTTTCACCAGTCACGGGTCTTTGGGGGCAAGGTTGTTTAAAATAATCTATGTTGCCTAAATCTGTTTTCCTTCTCATAATAAATTTTGAAAAAATAGACAAAAGACAAGGCTAAGCAGAATACTGACAGGGGTGAGCAGCCAGAGGAGACCTTATGAGTCCAGAGGGCACCAGGTTTGGGGAAATAGTCCCTGAAAGAAACACCAAAGACCATCAGTTCTAGTCAATGAAATGCACTGAAATAAACAGAGATTTAGGCAGGCCGAGACAAATGTTAAGAGTTTGGTCTTAGGAACAAAGAACCAATGTTTCTGGCTTATACAATCTGATCTTTCACCCTTATTGGCCCTTAATTATAGCCAATCAAGTATTTAAGCCTTGTTTCCCAAAAACAGATTGAAGGTTTCTGAGAGTCAGAAAGCATGCCACCTACCTCTCTGGTAACTCCACTAATATCTTACAAAGGACATAACATTAAATGTTTATTTGAGCATTTGAGGCAAGAAAAGTCAAAGGAAAATTTTCATGTCAGTTATAAAACTCTGATAGCTAAAACAACCTGGTTCTGAAATACTCTTTTAAAGGGTTGTTAAAAGGTTCCAGAAGGTTTTATTTTTTGTAATTGTAAATTGTTTCTTGTAGTGTTACACGGTAGAAAATGTTTAGCTTTTAAGTATTATGTAGAGCAAAAATCCTTATGGCCTCAGAGTTACATAATCATTTTATACATTTGCGCTTTATGACGCAAAGAAACAAAGATTTAGATAGGTTAGGATGGCCAAGCAATTAATATTTTTCAACTTTATAATAATTAATGCTACCTTAAACTTGTATAAGTTGAGGGTAATTTCCATTTATGTAAAAGCATATGTCCTATCTTTCCTTCCCTCTTTGTTAAACTTTTGATGAACTTTTTTTGTGTTTCCTCATAGGCTGTAAGATATTTAGAGGTAGAGATATTCTCTAATTTAACCCTTCTTATTTTCCCATTTAGTTGTGTTTTGTGGCTGTTTCCTTCAACACATACTATAATGTACAAATTTTTCTCTTACTTGGACAGCTGTTGAAAAGTACTGAAAAATATTCAGATTTCTATTTTCTTGCATGCTGGCACATTTATTACAATAATATAATTGCTATTACCATCTTTTTTGCATGGATAAAGGTATTTATATTTCATTATATTACATAATACAAGCAGTGTAATAGCATAATGAAAAATTAAACTAAAAAGCCATGGGGAAAAAAGATTTTTTCAACTATTAAGTAATTTTAAAAGTAGTTTGGGCCAGCACAGTGGCTCATACCTGTACTCCTAGCACTTTGGAAGGCCAAGGCAGGTAGATTCTTGGCCCCAGGAGTTTGAGACCAGCCTGGGAAATCCTATCTCTACAAAAAATATCAAAAAAATATTAACTGGGTGTGGTGGTGCAAGCCTGTAGTTCCAGCTACTCTGGAGGCTGAGGTGGGAGGATCCCTTGAGCCCGTGAAGTGGAGGTTACAGTGAGCTGTAATCCCCCACTGCACTCCAGCCTGGATGACAGAAAAAAAAGAAGTTGGCCAGGCACGGTGGCTCACGCCTGTAATCCCAGCATTTTGGGAGGCTGAGGTGGGCGGATCACCTGAGCTCAGGAGATTGAGACCAGCCTGGCCAACATGGTGAAATCCTGTCTCTACTAAAAATACAAAAAATACTAGCTGGGCATGGTGGCACGTGCCTGTAATCCCAGCTACTAGGGAGGCTGAGGCAGGAGAATCACTTGAACCTAGGGGGCAGAGGTTGCAGTGAGCCGAGATCATGCCACAGCACTCCAGTCTGGGTGACAGAGTGAGACTCCATCTCAAAAAAAAAAAACAGAAGTTTGGCCTTGTAATGATTGCTGGGAAATCCTCAAACACCCATGATTATCATTAAATATCTCCTTTAATTCGAAGCAGAATTCTTCTGAAATTAATTTATTCTAAGTAATTTCATCTTTGATATTCTCCTATTTCAATTAACTTTGTTCTTTTTCAGATATTCAAATTCATAAGCTTTAACAAGACAATGTCTCAGCTGTCATCAACCTTGTCCCGTTGTGTTAAAGACATAGTAGGATTTGCCATCATGTTTTTTATAATATTCTTTGCTTATGCCCAGTTAGGATTTCTTGTTTTTGGATCACAAGTTGATGACTTTTCCACTTTTCAGAATTCCATGTAAGCTCTTAGTATAAATGTAATTATATCTTCTATATTTTCTTACAAAAAAAATTGGAAAGGTCTAACCTTCTATGATAAGTAGTAATATAAGCTTTAATATATTTAAACTTAGTTTGATATTTTCTTTTTCTTTTTATTTTTCTGGAGACAGGGTCTCATAGCTCACTGAAGCCTCAAACTTCTGGACTCAAGCTATCCTCAGCCTCCCAAGTAGCTAGGACTACAGGTGTGCACCACCACGCTTGGTTGATTACATTTTTATTATTTTTTGGTCTCACCATGTTGGCCAGGGTGGTTTTAAACTTCTGGGTTCAAGTGAACCTCCTGCCTCGGCCTCCCAAAATGCTGGGATTACAGGCATGAGCCACCAGCCTGGCTGATATTTTCACTGATGGCTAAATATCTGTCACATTCAAATTAGGATTTGACATTGAAGGAGCCAAATGGGTGACGGTGTCCATTTTTAAGGTGTTAATAGGTCAAGTTAGAAAAATAATTTTTCATTTTTCATTGGAAGTGATAATTTTACCTAAGATAATAGAAATTGTCCCCCATGTCTCTGTGGTGTTTATTCTCTGGACAAAAGAAATTTTTTTTTTTTTTTTTTTTTTTGAGACAGGGTCTCCACTCTGTCACCCAGGCTGGACTACACTGGCGTTATCACAGCTCATTGCATCCTAAAACTCCTGGGCTCAAGCAGTCCTCCCACCTCAGCCTCCCAAGTAGCTGGGTGTGCCACCACATCCAGCCAATTTTTGTATTTTTTGTAGAGATAAGGTTTAGCCATGTTGCCCAGGCTGGTCTTGAACTCCTGAGTTCAAGTGATCCTCCTGCCTCGGCCTTTCAAAAGTGCTGGGATTACAGATGTGAGCCACCACACCCAGCCAAAAGAAATCTTAAGTGTTTTCTTTAGAGGGCTCCATCTTAATATTTTTATTGATATTGACCTGATCGTCCTTTGCTAATCTGCCAAACATGTATTTTTAAAATAGCTTTAGGCTGGGTGCCATGGCACCTATAATCCCAGCATTAGGGAGGCCAAGATGGGAGAATCACTGAGGCCAGGAGTTCAAGACCAACCTGGGCAACATAGCAAGACTGCGTTTCTACAAAAAAACAAAAAACAACTAGCTGGATGTGGTGGCATATGCTTGTATTCCTAACTACTCAGGACACTGAGGCAGGAGGATCACTTGAGCCTGGGAGTTTGAGGTTACAGTGAGCTATGATCACACCACTGCACTCCAGCATGGGCAACAGAGTGAAACCCCATCTCTAAAACAATAATAATAATAATAATAATAATAATAATAATAATAATAATAAAACTTGGTAATAATTGGCATTGAATACAGATGTAATAATTTACAGAGCCTAGGAAATTTGTCTTACCGTGGGTAGTGAAGAGGAAAGGGAAGTATAAAGCACAGAACAGGTAGAGAACTTTGAAATGGGTTAATGAGAGGACGTCTGTTTTTGGTAAGGATATGTTAGGTTATTCAGATCAATCTCCTCTTGAGGACAATTTTAAAAGCTGGATGGGCCGGGTGCGATGGTTCGCGCCTGTAATGCCAGCACTTTGGGAGGCCGAGGCGGGTGGATCACCTGAGGTCAGGAGCTCAAGACCAGCCTGGCCAACATGGCGAAACTCCGTCTCTACTAAAAAAAAAATACAAAAAGATTAGCTGGGTGTGGTGGTGTATGCCTGTAATCCCAGCTACTCAGGAGGCTGAGGCAGGAGAATCCTTTAACCCGAGAGGCAGAGGTTGCAGTGAGCCAAGATCATGCCACTGCACTCCAGCCTGGGCGACAGAATGAGACTCTGTCTCAAAAAAAAAAGAAAAACAAAAAAAAAAAGCTGGATGACATAGAAAACAATGAAGAATTAATAAGAGAGTGAGTAATAACTGGGCCAAAGTCAGAAGGCAACAACCCAGAGAAGTAAGCCCAGCACCCAAAGCTATTTGCCCTGAAGGCATTTTAAAGCCCCTTTTTCAATATTTTTATGGTGATAAAATATATATAACATCAAATTTACCATTTAAACCACTTCTAAGTGTACAGTTCAGTGATATTAAGTACATTCATATTGTGCAACCATCACCACCATCTATCTCCAAATCTCTTCATCTTGGAAAATAAAAACTCTATACCAATTAAACAATAACTCCCTATTTTCCCCTTCCCTGGCCCCTGTCAGCCACCATTTTACTTTTTGTCTCTATGATTTTGATTACTCTAGGTACCACCTGTAAGTGGAATCATATGTTATTTGTCTTTTTGTGACTGGATTACTTCACTTAGCACAAATGCCCTTAAGTTTCATCCATGTTGTAGCATGTAGTCGGAATTTCCTTCCTTAGAAAGGCTGAATAATATTCCATTATATGTATATTCCACATTTTGCCTATTCATTCATCTGCCAATACACACTTGGGTTGGTTCCACATTTTAGCTATTGTGAATAACAGTGCTGTGAACATGGATGTATAAATATCTCTTCAAGACCCTCCTTTCAGTTCCTTTGGTTATATACCCAGAAGTAGAATTGCTGGATCATATGATCTATTTCCCCCTCCAGACTTATTAAGGTATAATTAAAATTATATATATTTATGCTATATGGTGTGATGTTTTGATACATGTATACATTGTGAAATGATTAAATCAGGCTGTTTAACATATCCATCACCTCTCATATTTATCATTTTTGTGGTAAGAACATTTAAGATCTACTTCCTTAGCAATTTTCAAGTATACATTATTAACTATAGTCACCATGCTATACAGTAGATCTCCAGAATTTATTCTGTCTAACTGAAATTTTACACCCATTGACATACATCTCTCAACTCCCCCTGAACTCCACCTCTCCAACCCTTAGCAATTACCGTTCTACCCTCTGCTTCTATGACTTCAACTTTTTCAGACTCCACATGTAAGTGAGATCATGCAATATTTGTCCTTCTGTGCCTTGCTTATTTCACTTAATATGATGGTCCTCCAATTTCATCCTTGTTGCAAATGACAGTATTTCCTCCTTTTCAAAGATTGAATAGTGTTCCATTGTTTATATATGCCACATTTTCTTTATCCATTTAACCATTAATAGACATGTAGGTTGATTCCCTATCTCAGCTATTGTAAACAATGCTGCAGTGACATGGGAGGGCAGATATTTCTTTCACATACTGATTTTATTTCCTTTAGATACATATACCAAGAAGTGGATTGCTGGATCATATGTTAGTCCTATTTTTAATTTTCTGAGGAGTATCAATACTGTTTGGCATAGAGGCTATACCATTTTACATTCCCACCAACAGTGTATGAAGTTTTCTTTTTGTCTCCATCCTTGATAACACTTGTTATCTTTTTGATAAGAGCCATTCTAACAGGTGTGAGGTGATATCTCATTTTGTTTTGGTTTGGTTTGAGATGGAGTCTTGCTCTGTTGCCCAGGCTGGAGTGCAGTGGCATGATCTCGGCTCACTGTAACCTCCTCTTCCTAGGTTCAAGTGATTCTCCCACCTTAGCCTCCCAAGTAGCTGGCATTACAGGCATGCACCACCACACCTGGCTAATTTTTGTATTTTTAGTAGAGATGGGGTTTTACCATGTTAGCCAGGCTGGTCTCGAACTCCTGACCTCAAGTGATCCACCAGCCTCTGTCTCCCAAAGTGCTGGGATTACAGGTGTGAGCCACCGTGCCTGGCCTAACTTGCATTTTCCTGATGATTAGTGATGTTGACCATTTTTTCATATATCTATTGGCCATTTGTGTGTCTTCTTTTGAGAAATGTCTATTCAGGTCCTTTGTCCATTTTTAAATTGGATTATTTGTTTTCTTTCTTTCTTTTTTTTTTTTTTTTGAGATGGAGTTTTGCTTTTGTTGCCCAGGCTGGAGCGCAATGGTGTGATCTCAGCTCACTGCAACCTCCGCCTCCCAGGTTCAAGTGATTCTCCTGGCTCAGCCTCCCAAGTAGCTGGGATTACAGGCATGCACCACCACGGCCGGCTAGTTTTGTATTTTTAGTGGAGACGGGGTTTCTCCATGTTGGTCAGGCCGGTCTCAAACTCCCGGCCTTCATTTTTGTGTTTTTTTAGTGGAGATGGGGTTTCACCATGTTGGCCAGGCTGGTCTGGAACTCTTGACCTCAGGTGATCCACCTGCCTCAACCTCCCAAAGTGCTGGGATTAAAGGCGTGAGCCACCGCGCCCAGCCTTCTTTTTTCTTTTTTTTTTTTTTTTTTTGAGACAGTCTCACTCTGTTGCCCAAGGTGGAGTGCAGTGGCATGATCTCAGCTCACTGCAGCCTCAACCTCCCAGGTTCAAGCAATCCTCCCACCTCAGCCTCCTGAGTAGCTGGGACTACAGGTGCATGCCACCACACCCAGCTGATTTTTAAAAATTTTTTGAAGAGACAGGATCTCATTTTGTTGCCCAGGCTGGTCTTGAACTCCTAGCCTCAAGCAATCTCCAACCTTGGACTCCCAAAGTGCTGGGATACAGCTGTGAGTCACTGTGCCCAGCCATGGCTAATTTTTTTTTTTTTTTGGGATGGAGTCTCACTCTGTCACCCAGGCTCTGAAATGCAATGGTGCCATCTCAGCTCACTGCAACCTCCACCTCCCAGGTTCAAGCGATTCTCCTGCCTCAGCCTCCAGAGTAGCTGGGACTATAGGCACATGCCACCACACCCAGCTAATTTTTGTATTTTTAGTAGAGTTGGGGTTTTGGCCATGGCTAATTTTTTAAATGTATTTTTTATTTTTATTTTTAGAAACTAGGTCTCACTATGTTGTTCAGGCTGGTTTTGAACTCCTGGCCTCAAGCAATCCTCTCACCTCAGCCTCTCAAGTAACTGGGATTAAAGGCGTGAGGAGGCACTGTGCCCAGCTTTTCTTTCTTTTTTCTTTTCCTTTTTTTTTTTTTCCCGATGAGGTCTTGCTCTGTCACTCAGGCTGGAGTGCAATGGTGTGATCCCGACTCACTGCAGCCTCCACCTCCCAGGTTCAAGCAGTCCTACCACCTCATTTTCTCAAGTAGCAGAGATTACAGTCATGCACCACCACACTTGGCTTTTTTTTTTTTTTTTTTTTTTTTTTTTTTTTTTTTTTTGATAGAGACAAGGTTTCGCCATGTTGCCAGGCTGGTCACGAACTCCTGGGCTCAAGAGACTCATCCGTCTTGGCCTCCCAAAGTGCTGGGATTACAGGCATGAGCCACCAACCCAGCCTGAAATTGCTTTCTTGATTTCTTTTTTGAATAGATCATCATTACAGGTTGAGCATTCCAAGTCTGAAAACCACAAATTTGAAATGTTCCAAAATTCAAAACTTTTTGAGTGCTGATATGACACTCAAAGAAATGCGCATTGGAGCATTCTGGATTTCAAATTTTCAGCTTTGGAATGCTCAACCAGTAAATATAATTCAAATATTCCAAAATCTAAAAAAAATCCCAAATCAAAACACTTCTGGTTCCAAGCATATCAGATAAGGTATCCTCAACCTGTAATGTATAAAAATGCTACTGTGTGTATCTTGCAACTTAATTCATTTATTCTAATAGTTTTTTGGTGGAATCTTTAAGGGTTTCTATAAATAAGGTCATATCATCTGCAAAGAAAGACAATTACTGCTTCCTTTCCAGTGTGGGTGCCTTTATTTCTTTTTCTTGCCTATTGCTCTGGCTAGGACTTTCAATACTGTATTGAATAGAAGTGGCAAGAGAGGGCATTCTTGTCTTGTTCTTGATCTTAGAAGAAAAGCTTTCAACTTTTAACCATTGAGTATGATGTTAGCTGTGGGTCTCAGATATAATGGCCTTTATTATGTTAAGGGACATTCTTTCTATACCTAATTTGTTTATAGTTTTTATCCTGAAAATACGTTGATTATCAAAATTTTTTCTGCCTCTATTAAGATAATCATATGGTTTTTATCCTTCATTTTTTAAATGTGTATCACATTTATTGATTTGTGTATGTTGAACCATCCTTGCATTGTAGGGATAAATCTCACTTGTTCATGGTATATGATCCTTTTAATATGCTGTTCAATTTGACTTGCTAGTATTTATTAAGGATTTTTGCATCTATCTTCATTAGGTATATTGGCCTGTAATTTTCTTTTCCTGTACTGTCTTTGTCTGGCTTAGGTTTCAAGGTAATGATAGCCACGTAAAATGAGTTTGGAAGCATTCCCTTCTCTTCCATTTTTGGAAGAGTTCGAAGATTGGCATTAATTCTCTTCTTTTCTTGTACTGTCTTTCTCTGACTTTGGTTTCAGGGTAATGCTGGCCATGTAAAATGAGTTTGGAAGCATTCCCTTCTCTTCCATTTTTGGAAGAGTTTGAAGATTGGCATTAATTCTTTAAATGTTTGTAGAATTTACCAGTGAAGCCAGATCCTTGGCTATTCTTTGTTGGGAGGTTTTTAATTTTAAATTTTAATTTTTATTTATTTTATTTATTTTTATTTTTTATTTGAGATGGAGTCTCACTCTGTCGCCCAGGCTGGAGTGCAGTGGCACAATCTCAGCTCACTGCAACCTCTGCCTCCCAGATTCAAGCAATTCTCCTGCCTCAGCCTCCTGAGTAGCTGGGATTACAGGCGTGCGCCACCATGCCCGGCTAATTTTTGTATTTTTAGTAGACGGGGTTTCACCATGTTGGTCAAGCTGGTATCGAACTCCTGACCTCGTGATCTACCCGCCTTGGCCTCCCAAAGGGGAGGTTTTTTATTGATGTCACAAAATTACATCTTTGTTCATTGTGTCCAAAAACAAACTGAAAAATTTTAATGCATTAGTCTCTTAAATTATGTAGAAAACAAAAATGAAGTTGCAAACTGTTGTTATAATAATACTAGCTTTTATAATTGCTCATGTATTTACCTTTACTAAGAACTGTGTTCCTTCATATGGCTTTATTATCTAGTGTTCTTTCATCTAAACTTGTAGGATTCCTTTTAGAACTTCTTGTAGGATAGATCTAGTGATAATAAACTCCTTCAGTTTTTGTTGATCTTGGAATGTCTTCATTTCTCCCTCACCAATTATGTATACACACATTTTTTTTTTCTTTTTTCTTTTTTTTAAGAGATGGAGGTCTTACTATGTTGCCAAGGCTGGTCTCAAACTTCTGGGCTCCAGTGATCCACCCACCTTGGCGTCCCAAAGTGCTGGGATCACAGGCATGAGTCATCATGCCCAGCTCATTTCTCCCTCACTTTTTTTTTTGAGACGGAGTCTCACTCTGTCACCCAGGCTGGAGTGCAGTGGCACGATCTCGGCTCACCACAACCTCTGACTCCCAGGTTCAAGCAATTCTCCTGCCTCAGTTTCCCAAGTAGCTGGGATTACAGGTGTGCACCATCATACCCAGCTAATTTTTTATATTTTTGGTAGAGATGAAGTTTCATCATGTTGGCCAGGCTGGTCTCAACCACCATGCCCGGCCTCTCCCTCACTTTTGAAGGAGAGTTTTGCCAGATATAAGATTCTTAATTGCCACTTTTCTTCTTTTTTTTTTTTTTTTTTTTTTGAGACAGAGTATTGCGCTTTCACTCAGGCTGGAGTACAGTGGTGTGATCTCAGCTCACCGCAGCCTCAATTTCCAAGGTTCAAGTGATTCTCGTGCCTCAGCCTCCCAAGTAGCTAGAGTTACAGATGCGCACCACCACACCCGGCTAATTTTTGTATTTTTAGTAGAGGCGGGGTTTTGCCATGTTAACCAGGCTGGTCTCGAATTCCTAACCCTGTGATCCACCACCTTGGCCTCCCAAAGTGCAGGGATTACAGGCGTGAGCCACTGAGCCTGGCTGCCACCTTTTTTTTTCTTTTAGCACTTTGAATATATCATTGCACTGCCTTGTAGTCTTCAAAGTTTCTGATGAGAAATATGCTGATAATCTTCTTGAGGATTCCTTGTATGTGATGAGCTGTCAAGATTCTCTGTCTTTGGCTTTTGAGTTTGACTATAATGTGTTTTGGTGTGGCTGTCTTTGAGTTCATTCTATTGGAGTTCACTGAGCTCCTTGGATGTTTAAATTCATATTGTTCATCAAACTTGGGAAGTTTTTGGCCATCATTTCTTCAAATAATCTCTCTGCACCTTTCTCTTTCTCTTATCCTTTTGGAACTTCCATAATGTGTATGTTGGTCTACTTGATGGTGTCCTGCAGGTCTCTTGGTATCTGTTCACTTTTCTTTTTTTTTTTTTTTTTGAGATGGGAATCTCACTCTGTCTCACCCAGGCTGGAGTGCAGTGGTGGGATCTTAGCTTACTGCAGACTCCGCCTGTTGGGTTCAAGCAATTCTCCTGTCTCAGTCTCCTGAGTAGCTGGGAATACAGGCATGTGCCACCACACCCATCTAATTTTGTATTTTTAGTAGAGTCTGGGTTTCACCATGTTGGCCAGGCTGGTCTGGAACTCCTGCCCTCAGGTGATCCACCTGTCTTGGACTCCTAAAGTGCTGGGATTACAAGCGTGAGCCACCCAGCCCTGTTCACTTTTCTTCTTTTTTCTGTTTCTCAGACTCAATAATGTCAATTATCCTATCTTCAAGTTCATTGATTCTTTTTTCTGCCTGCTCAAATCTTCCTTTGAATCTCTTTAGTAAATTTCTCATTTTGGTTATTATTTTTCCATCTTATATTTTTTTGTTTCTTTTTAGGTTTTCTCTTTATTGATATTTCCATTTTGTTCATGTTTTCTTATTTTATCCATGTTTTCCTTTAGTTCTTTCAGCATCTTTAAGACAGTTAAAGTCTTTGTAGTAGGTCACCATCTGGTCTTTCTCAGAGAGCGTATCTACTAGCATGCGTTTTTCTTGTTTTTGTTTTTTCCATTGAATGGCTCATATTTCCATTTCTTTGTGTATCTGGTGATTTTTTGGTGAATTTTTAGATTCAAACTTTGTATGTCTTGTGATTTTGTGATTTTTAAAAAATTCAAACCAGGCTGGGTGTGGTGGCTCACATTTTGGAGCCATTGCACTTTGGGAGCCTCCTAGCAGTTTGGGAGGCCAAGGCAAGTGGATCACTTGGGCCCAGCAGTTTGAGACCAGTCTGGGAAACTAAGGGAGACCATGTCTGTACAAAAAATAAAAAATAATAAAAATTCAAACCAGACATTTGAATCTAATAATGTGATAATTTTGAAAATCAGATTCTTCCCCTTGCCCAGGGTTTGCCATTTTTTGTTCTTATTTTTTATTTTTATAGTCTGGCTCCATGCCAAGGATCACCCTGAGTTGTGCACTTAAGGTCTTCTCAGGTTTTCCTCAGCCTATGCCTTTCCCTGGGCATGCACAATGACTTTTTAACTTACCCTTGATATGGAGTTGGTTTTGAATGTCCTATTCTTTAATGTCTGGATCCCAAAAAAGGAAAAGAGAAGAATAAAGTGAGAGGTAGGGGAAGATAACAGCCCTTTAAATCCCAAGGACATTACTTCAGCTGAAGGACGATGGTCTTGCAACAATGGAGGAGATGCAACAATGGCTGCCCACCTCAGTGTCTGCATCCCCACGATCAGAAGCAGCAATCAGCAATCACCACATAGATCCCCAATATTTGAAAGACATAGTATTTATTCCCCACATGGCTCCCATAAGCTACATGCAAGCTGCTTCACAAACATGTGCATGGATCCCAGCCATGAGGCTAATGAGTAGGGGATGCATAGCTATTGAGATAAAAGCTGAAATTGTCCAAAATTAACAGCAATTTACTGTCCAAGCCTTTCCCTGGAAGTTGCAGGCCTTCTTCAATAGACTCTAGAGTTCCAAAGTAGTACATCTGACAGATTCTGCCCATGTAATTGTTGTCTAGATGGGGACAGGGGAGAAATAAGTTTCCCATGGTTCTCTTCCACCTTCCAAGAATCTTTTTTTTTTTTTTTCCTGATCCAGACGAAATAGTTGAGAAACTGTGTTGCTGGCCATCTCTCAGGAAGGAGACAGAGGCAAGGTCCAGGGCCTGCACAATGTGTGTGTGTGTGTGTGTGTGTGAGTGTGTGTGTGTGTGTGTAGGGAGAGGACCATCTAGTCACCTTTCTATACATCAAGCAGGGAGCCTGAATTGCTACACCCTCAAGTTAAAGATGAATCTCTTGTAGTGACCCAATCAATGACTTCAAGAGAGAGACTGGAAAGTCTTATTAATGACAAATGGCATGTTCTTTTGAAACATACTTTTAGTTATTTTAATTCAATAAGGGAGAACTCTATCTAAAGTTAACAGGGCCATCAAAAAGTTACAAAACAGTATTTTCATTCAATATAACCCTGTATGTTGAGGCGTCATGGTGCTTTTAGCTTGCAAAAAAGAAACAAAATGGATAAACTAAGCTCTAATTAAGAAAAGAGACACTGTATTTGGAGCCTCCAGTTTCGATGAGATTCTAACCATTCAGTAAATGCTTCAGTTTTTGTCATTCTCCCTATTACAGAGCAGAAGTATCTTAACACTTTCCTAACAGAAAAGGGCTGAATGGAAGCTTTGGTTACTAAGCTAACATCTGGAGAGGAGAAAAGAATGAGAATGGTTCCTTCATCTTTTTTTTTTTCCCCAACTCAAAGATGAAAGATCATGGCAGAAACACTAAAACAGAACCTCTTATTCTCCTATGCCAGAAAAAATATTTGATTTGTGGTGAGACTTTCCACCAATTCCTTCCAATTCAGTATTTTCTCTATCTTATGTAGGAAAGCATTACAAACCAGTATTAAAAGCAAGATAAATACTTTAGGTATGATTTGGTCAGGTCTCAGCTAGGTACCGTGGATGGAATCTCAGATAACTCTGAGTCCTAGGACTTCATGTAGCCCATTTCTTTGAATGCTTTTTCTTCCTTCATTAAAGCTTTTTGCTCCTTTTATGTGATTGGCAAAAGCAATAAGGGACAAGCAGGCTTTCTCCCTTTTCACTGACCAATTACGCAGTTATCAACATACGATTAAACATTTGTTTCCACGCGCCTGTAATTCCAGCACTTTGGGAGCCCAAGGCGGGTGGATCACCTAAGGTCAGGAATTTGAGACCAACCTGGTCAACGTGGTGAAATCCTGTCTCTACTAAAAATACAAAAATTAGCCAGGCATGGTGGCATGTGCCTGTCATCCCAGCTACTCAAGAGAGGCTGATGAGGCAGGAGAATCGCTTGAACCGGGAAGATGGAGATTGCAGTGAGCCAAGATCCCACCACTGCACTCCAGTCTGCGTGATAAGAGTGAAACACCGTCTCAAAAAAAAATTTTTTTCCAAATTTCCTCATAAAGAACACACACACATAATTTAAACTGATATTCCTGATACGTCCAGTGAGACCACTGCAAGTTAATAATGAGAAAATAAAATAAGATTTTCAAGTTAGAAAATTCTAATTCTACTTGTTACTACTGTGCTACTCAAAGTCTTAATTTCTTCATTTTTCATCTTTAAAATTAGAAAAAGGAAGGTTTGAAATATTTTAAGTGGTATTTCATATCAAACCAGGCTATCAAAGAGGGTAAAATAGGGCCGGGCACAGTGGCTCATGCTTGTAATCCCAGCACTTTGGGAGGTTAAGGCAGGTGGATCATGAGGTCAGGAGTTCGAGACCAGCCTGGACAAGATGGTGAAACCCCATCTCTACTAAAAATACAAAAATTAGCTGGGCGTGGTGGCACACGCCTGTAGTCCCAGCTACTCAGGAGGCTGAGGCAGGAGAATTGCTTGAACCCGGGAGGCAGAGGTTGTGGTGAGCCGAGATCGTGCCATTGCACTCCAGCCTGGGCGACAAGAGCGAAACTCCATCTAAAAAAAAAAAAAAATCACAAAGAGGGTAAAATAAACCTTAGGATCATGTTGAGTATTATTATCAGCACTTGAGACTAGCAAGTGACAAATTGTTGGCATCCCTATTTTATCAGAATTTAAGAGTTGGTTAAGACAAAAATTCACTTCACTGACATTAGAAAGTTTAGGGCTCTTGGGTCTAAACCTTCTACAAGTTGAAAAATCACTTGTTGAACCAATTCAAAGTTCTAATGTTTAGAAGGGCACAGGCACAGCCGGCCAAGGAGGCCACTGCCAAAACCAGTTAGTAAACAGGTATCTCAGGTTCAAATGTTATAGGTGGGCTGGGTGTGGTGGCTCATGCCTGTAATCCCAGCACTTTGGGAGGCCGAGGTGGGCGGATCACTTGAGGCCAGGAGTTTGAGATCAGCCTGGCCAACATGGTGAGGCTGTCTCTACTAAAAATACAAAAAAAGTAGCTGGGCATGGTGGTGCACACCTGTAATCCCAGCTACTTGGGAGTCTGAGGCAGGAGTATTGCCTGAACCTGGAAGACAGAGGTTGCAGTGAGCCGAGATAGCACCACTGCACTCTAGCCTGGGCGACAGAGTTTGACTGTCTCAAAGAAAAAAAAAAAAAAGTTATAGATGAACACTGAGTTCACATTCATTAAAGCGGTCATTTCCTACATTACCTATTCAGCTATCGAGGTACCTTAAGTCTTTCCTTTAGGGGAATTTTCTACATCCAATTTTACACAACTCTGTACTAACATAATTAAAGTCAGAAAGCATATACCATATGCTGCTAGATATCCTCTTAGAGACATTAGTAACTCCCATCAGTTGTCATGTATGTACATAAAGGTATATATTTTCTACTGTTTTTCTTTCTTAAAGATTTGCACAATTTCGAATTGTTCTTGGAGATTTTAATTTTGCTGGTATTCAGCAAGCCAATCCTATCTTGGGACCCATTTACTTCATCACTTTCATCTTTTTTGTGTTCTTTGTCCTGCTGGTAAGAATAATACATATTCCTTTCATTTCTTACTTTTTAGAATAAAAAGTAAAATTACTCATTTAGAATAAACTATTATTTCTGCTCAGCTGTCAGAGTACTTTACATTTATTGAGAATTGTGTGGATCCCTAGTAATCCAGGTTCACTAGTCCAGTGACTGTTTTCAAGTTGCAGAATGTAATCACAGTAGTTAATTTCTGGGTGTTTTAGACGGGAATGTGCTAAATCCTTCACATAAATAATTGGAATGTCCCAAGTCTCTTCAGGCTGGGACAATGCATGCCATGAGTCATGAATGTGGCCATTAATATTCTGCCCATATTGCAATGGCTTTTGGCCCTTACAGCTAAACACTTACCACGTTGTGGTTTTCAGGAGTTATCAGGATGGATCTCTCACATGCACTCAGAACAAGTCTATTTGGGCCTCCTAACCAAGGAATCTTGCCTTTCTAGTTAAGGCACTGTACTGTCCTCCATGAAAACACTTTTTGTCAGGCACGGAAGTTATCCCCTGGTGACAGACAAGAGTCTTAGGGTGACAGAGCTGGGCCACAGTGAAAGGTGAGCTGGTGGGGTAAGAATATCCTTTCTACATTTGTGTTATCTGGACATTAGTAGTTGCAGGAGCTGTAGTAAGACTGTAAATTTAAACAGCTTCATAGAATTAAAAAACAACAGTAACAACAAACATCCTTGGCTGGACGCAGTGGCTCACACCTACAATCCTTGCACTTTGGGAGGCAGAGGCAGGCGGATCGCTTGAGCTCAGGAGTTCAAGACCAGCCTGGGCAACATGACGAAATGCTGTCTCTACTAAAAATACAAAAATTAGCTAGGCGTGGTGATGTACACCTATAATCCCAGCTACTTGGGTGGCTGGGGCATGAGAATCGCTTGAACCTGGGAGTGGGAAGCTGCAATGAGCTGAGATCGCACAACTGCACTCCAGCCTGGGCAACAGGGTGGGACCCTGTCTCAAAAACAAACAAAAAAATGCCCTTATGAACACATAATTATTCATTCTAAATTTTCTTCCATTATGTAATATTAATTTGTGTATATATAACCAGTTCATATGCATTCTTTTACATTCTGCTTTTCTCATTTGCCATAAACATATTTGCCCATACCCACACACTACACATTTTCTATTCTACTTTATTGTCTGCATAGTCATCTCCCCATTTTTGAGCATATGGGTTATATGGGTTACTTTTAAAATTTGATTTTTTTTGTTGTTTTTCCTTTTTCTTTTCTTTTTTTTTTTTTTAGACGGAGTCTTGCTCTGTCACCCGGGCTGGAGTGCAGTGGTGCGATCTCACTCGGCTCACTGCAACCTCCACCTCCTGGGTTCAAGAGATTCTCCTGCCTCCACCTCCCGAGTAGCTGGGACTACAGGTGTGCACCACCACGCCTGGCTAATTTTTGTATTTTTAGTAGAGACAGGGTTTTGCCATGTTGGCCAGGCTGATCTTGAACTCCTGTCCTCAAGTGATTCACTCACCTTGGTCTCCTGGGTGCTGGGATTACAGGCGTGAGCCACCGCACCTGGCCTACTTTTAAAATTTAAATATAATTTTACAAACCCAAAACTTGTTAAAGTCATTAACATTTAAACTAAATTTTTATTGAAATAATTATTTGAATACTTATCCCTAGAATATGTTCTTGGCAATTATTAATGATACCTATTCTGAAGTGAAAGCTGACTATTCAATAGGCAGAAGGCTAGATTTTGAACTTGGCAAAATGATTAAACAGGTAAGTCAAATTTCTTTCCTAATTAGAATTCTAAGACAAACCTCATATAGTTTATCCTCTTGTAGTTTGAATACCACTTAATTCCAAGTGGTCGTGCTCTCCCCACTCCCACCCCATCCCATCCCCAGGGTTTGTTTTGTGTTTTGATCCAGTGTTACTCATATTCGCATTATTTCATTATTACAGAAGTGAGATATGCTCTCTGACTTCAAAAATGTAGCCAAAATTATTTCAGAGTTCAATATATCAAATAGTTATTGAGTGATTTCCTAAATGCAAAGCGCTGCTGAGTATTATAATAAAACCCTCTCTTCCTTCCGGAAAGTTTTTGCTCTGAATGCTGTTAAATTTCTATCAACAATCTAAACTCAGAACTCCATGTGTCGTCTTCCTCATTTTCCTGTTTCTGTTCATGGCTACACTATCCTCTCAAGTCACTCCTGGCTCAAAAACCATGAAAAGAATTTGTTTCCTTGTCCCTTATATAGTCTATTGTCACGGCACATGTATAGTTTATCTCTGCAGTTCTTGCTTACATTTGTGGAATACTTTAAATTCTAACTGCCACCACTAGATGAGGCTTTCAGTACTTTTCGCCCAGCCTTCACTATGGTAACATTTCCTGACTATTCTAGCCTCTTCCCTGTGCCAGTCCAGATGTGATTATCAGTTTCCCTAATCCTGTCAAGTCCGAATTCCTTACCTGAATATTCCAAATCCTCAAGTCTCACAGTCCTAACCTGTCTTCATTAACTATAATTTTACTATAGTCTCTACCTTTCTGCCTCTATTTACAATACTGTATGTCCCGGCTAATCTGTTTTGTGACGCTTATTCTCTCTCCTCTGAGCCTCTGCTCAAGTCATTCTCTGACCCCGGAAATATTCCTACAGCTCTTCTCTCTTGCTACCATTCTATTCTTCAAAAAGTGGAATCTGTCCTGTCCTCTTCTCAGTATCTACCTCAGTTTGAGCTGTAGCAGAGTTATATGTGTACCAGTCACATCTCCCCTGCCAGTTTGGCCATCTCTGCATGCCCCATGTTTCTAAAGCATAGCACTTCACAGAGAAGAGGTCCTAGTAGCTGCAGGGTTAGTGGGGTTTACGAACTTTGTCCAAGAACTAATCTGTAAAACAAACCAAAAAAACTGTAAAGCTATCCCCCAATTAGTTTGCTTTTTTCCCCATCTTTTATCACTTGAATATGATGTTGGTTATATTCATTAAAAGTGTTAACATCCTTAACGCAATACATGTTAACGCTTTTTAAAGATTTTTGCTTTTTCCAAGTTCCAGAGTAATGCCCCCAACAGAAGAACCCCTTTTGGGTTTTCACCAGCAGGCGTAAACCATATGTAGCAATGAGGTGAAAGAAGGATAATCATAGCATTTACCTCCACAGTCCTTTAGGGTAGCAATCCAGAGGGACAAGCATTCCATATTTATTTTACTTTGATAAAACATTAATAATCAAGGATATATTTTAATGCATTTTCAAACTATTTTAAATTATGCCCAGAGTTACAAAAATGTTCTCGAGAAATTCAGACTGAAGAAAGCTCAAAAAGATGAAGACAAGAAAACGTAAGATGACTTCTCTCAAATGTTTAACTTACCATTTTAAAGTTCCACATTATATGAGAACCTTATAAGGTTTTTTTTGTTTTTTGTTTGTTTGTTTGTTTTAAATAGAGATGGGGTTTCACCATGTTGGTCAGACTGGTCTCAAACTCCTGACCTCAGGTGATCCCAAAGTGTTGGGATTACAGGCGTGAGCCACCGTGCCTGGCCATGAATAAGGTTTTAATTGCAAAACCACCACCAACCTATGTGGCGATTCTAAATACACCCAGTACACCCAGGAGTGCCTCCTAATTTCTGAGGACATCATGAAATTCTAGCTAATTTAAAATTAATATAATGCCTGCCATCCTACTCAGAAAAAGCTGTAAGAGAAAGCTGGAGGGGACCATAAAGTCCCTCTAAAAAGGTTAGAAACAATTTTAGTCTAAATTAAATGCATTTATTTGGCTATAAAAATAAAAACATTTACACACAATACTTACGGACAATACTTATACTTACACTGTATTTACACTTGTATTTATTAAATGACTTTGGTGTCAAAATACTTCCCAAACCCAGAACTCTGGCAGTGGAACATAAACATTTTTTTCACAGTTAATGACATATGATACTCTGAAGAGCTTGTTAATGATCACATTTTCCAAATAATTAGCATTATCAGGAAGAAATATTATTCAGATCCTTACTACAGATCCGATTGTACTTTATGGTGGCATTTCCTTTCTTATTGTCATTTGCCTCTGACTTTTATTTTATATTCTCAATAGCAAAGGCAGCGGAGATTTGGCTGAACAAGCCAGAAGAGAAGGCTTTGACGAAAATGTAAGATTTTAATTTTTTTCATAAACACTAGTGGTAGCTGTATTAGAAATATGCTCACAAAAACGCTCTGGTTAAGAATTGAAATGATTTGCTGTTTTTCAGAATAGTAATTGTCATCTCCAAATAAATCTCCCAGAATCTAGATCCTTTCATGTTTAGGACAAACCATTTGGATTTCAGATGCTTCCTCTCTCCTACCTGTACTCTCAGCCAGATACGTAATCCTACAGGTGTACACTCACTGTGTGAATATCACACTGGGTATTCATAGTGAGATATTTGATGACTTGATAACTTTTCTCTTCTAATCACTAATGTGATGAATTACTTTAACAATTTTGTATTTCAAAAATTGTAATATGTAACATATATCTGACAATAGCAGAATTTAAGGAACATATATGTTCCTTAAATATACTATTACCACTACCACTTAAAAAAAAAAAAGTGAACCATTGCTCTACTTCTGGTCACCACCTCTCCCCTCTAAATGCTCAGAAAGAAGGCAGCAGAATCAGGAGACTGTAATAAGCAAGCAAATAAATATTGAAGTTCTCATTTTCGGATAAAGGAATTATACAAATGGAAAGGCTGAAGGTGAACTTTGTGGTGCTGGATTGGAATCTAGATCTATTTGCGTACATACATGTATTTTCTAGCTCTGTCCAATCCACTATGAGGGCTAGAATGACACCCTAGTAGCAATGAGCACTAGTACCCAGATCTTGGCTTCCAAATAGCATTCTCCTCTAAAACCAACTGGGGCTCCTTCGAGGTCTCGCTAATTCCAGGGCTGGAAAGTACAGCTGCCTCTTGAACAACATGGGTTTGAACTGCACAGGTCCACTTAAATGCGTAATGTTTTAACCTGGATCAAAAATTTAGTATTTGCGGGCTAAGGAGGGCTGACTTTTCCCTATATGTGGGTTCTGCAGGGCCGACTGTGAGACTTGAGTATATGCAGATTTTGGTGTACTTTGGGGTCTTGGAACCAATCCCCCATGTATACCAAAGGACAACTATACAAGATGAGTCTGGAATAGCTTATTGAGACATAAAGTAAAACTGCTCAAAGAATGATGGAGTATCTGTTAAAAGAATCAGTTTAAGGAGCTCAAGCTGGCCAAATTTGAGAATATTTAAGCATTATGATGAATAATGATTCATAACCCATTGAATAAAAGGATTCCATGAATGAGACGTTTACAGACCTCTCCACCAAATACTTATTACAAAAAGAAAAGCAGTCATGTTAGGGTGGAGAAAGTCTAACAGCACCTTAATCAAGTAAGTGACCACTATCAACACTGAAACAAATGGAAATTATATGCTGCCTGATAGGAGGCCATGAGAATTAGCATCCTTTCTGTGACATCCTTGTCAAAGACATATAATCTTAACCTAAATCATGACAAAATTTAAATTGAGGGACATTCTACAAAATAACTGGCCTGTTCTTCAAAAGTGTCAAGTCATGAAGTCAAGGTAAAGCTGAGGAACTATTCCAGATTAAATGAGATTAAAATGATATGTCAAGTAAATACAATACATAATCATGGACTGGATAATTTTCCTATAAAGGCATCATTGGGGCAACTGATAAACTTGAAAGAGAAACAGAGGATTAGATGGTAATAATCTATGAATATTAATTTTTTATTCTGATGGTTATACTATAATTATAAAAGAGGATGTCCTTGTATGCAGGAAATACAGACTGAAGTATTCAGGGATGATGGAGCATTCGTGTTGGTGGCTTTCAAATACTTCAGGAGGAAAAAATATTTGTATTGTTCTTGTAACTTGTATCTAAATTTGGTATTTGTTTTTGAGACCAAACCCAGATAATTTTTGTATTTTTAGTAGAGACCAGGTTTCACTACGTTGGCCAGGCTGGTCTCGAACTCTTTACCTCCTGCCTGGCCTAAATTTGATATTCTTTAAAAAAAATCAGGCCGGGTGCGGTGGCTCACGCCTGTAATCCCAGCACTTTGGGAGGTGGAGGTAGACCATTCCTGAAATAGAAGGTGACGTGAATTGAAAGACATACTGTGTATATGGGAAACTTTACCTAGAATGGTCAATAAGAGGCTTATCCAAGTAAAATTTGGGTTTACTTAAAGAAAATCAGGTTAGCATAACAACATTCAACCATAAATCAACAGAAGAACACCTACAATATATTCAAGGAAAGAAAATGTAAACCAAGGAATTTTATATTCAGCAAAGCTGCGCTTCAAATATAAAGGCTCAAACATGCCTGAAGTCAGGAAATACTATCGTCTTTCTAAGGATTCTATTAGAGGATGAGCATCAGCCAACCAAGAGATGACTGGAGAGGCTGGGCGAGCTGGCTCACACCTGTAATCCCAGCACTTTGGGAGGATCACTTGAGCCCAGTAGTTTGAGACCAGCCTGGACAACATGGTGAAACCCTGTCTCTACAAAAAGTACAAAAAAAAAAAAAAAAAAAAGTTAAAGAATATCATTTAGAATTAATAAACCAGTAAGAAACATAATACGACAAGGTTAGCTCTGTTGCCCAGCATGGAGTGCAGTGGCATGATCACAGCTCACTGCAGCCTCGACCTCCATGGGCTCAGGTGATCCTCCCACCTCAGCTTCCCAAGTAGCTGGGACTACAGGCATGCGCCATCACACCCAGCTAAATTTTGTGTTTTTTGTACAGATGAGGTTTCACCATGCTACCCAGGCTGGTCTCGAGCTTCCGGGCTCAAGTGATCCACCCGCCTTGGCCTTCCAAAGTCTTGGGATTACAGCTGTGAGCCACTGGGCCCAGGCTTTTCTTTTTTAAAATTACATAGTGATGGCATCTCACTGTGTTGCCCAGGCTGGCCTTGAACTTCTGGCCTTGAGCGATCCTCCCGCCTTGGCCTCTGAAAGTGTTGGGATTACAGGCATGAGCGAGCCACTGTGCCCAGCCCTATTTTATTGATTTTAAAACACATTTTTTTTCACATTTTAACATCTGTGAAATCAGAATGTGTTTTATAATTAATGGTCAAAGTTTAATTGACATTTTTTACCTAAGTGGTACATGAAATAATGTTATGTCTTACAAAAGACGTCATCTCTCACATACAATGAAAAATAACATTATTGAATATAATTGGGTAGTAGAGGAGAGGACAATGAAGAAGAATTTACAAGCTAATTTGCTTGTTGATCATAGCAGGGAAACAAAGCAAGAAAGGGAGGACTAAGGGTATATAAAAAGATACACAAAGATGGCCGGGCGCAATGGCTCATGCCTGTAATTCCAGCACTTTGGGAGGCTGAGGCGGGTGGATCACCTGAGGTTGGGAGTTTGAGACCAGCCTGACAAACATGGAGAAACCCTGTCTCTACTAAAAATTAAAAATTAGCTGGGCATGGTGGCTCATGCCTGTAATCCCAGCTACTTGGGAGGCTGAGGCAGGAGAACTGCTTGAACCTGGGAGGCGGAGGTTGCGGTGAGCCGAGATCGGGTCATTGCACTCCAGCCTCGGTGACAAGAGCGAAACTCCATCTCAAAAAAAAAAAAAGATATACAAAGACAAACCAATAGAACAAAAATACATATATTTCTATAGGACAAAATTGCCAAAAAAAAAAAAAAAAAAAAAAAAACAGACCACACGGTAAAAGACTTAAAATATAAATATAAAACAGTATAACTGCAACCAGATATATCTAACATAAATACATGCAAATAAGCTTAATTTACTTAAAAAGAAAAATATTTTCATCCAGCAAAGCTGTGCTTCAAATATAAAGGCTCGAACATGCAAGAACTTAGGGAATACTATCATCTTTCTAAGGATTCTACTAGAGGACAGATGACATTTGAATCACAAAGCAAACCCAGTTCTATGCTATATCCTAAAATATATACTTAAAGAGATTCCAAAATGTTAAATATAAAAGCATGATCAAAGACCTAAAAGGCAAACAAAAGATATCAGGGGACACAACTGAATATAAATCAAAGGATTCTAGACAAAAAGCTCCAAATGACCTAAAGTCTAAACTTTATGAGGCTAAGATTAATTTTATCAGTTATGAATATCTATGCACCAAACAGAGTATCAACTTTAATAAAGATTACTGGATTTTAAAAAGGAGAAATAGGAACACACAAAAAAAACAAAGAACAGATCAAGAAAAACAAACGGATTAAAAAGCCCAAAACAATATAATAAATAAGATGATCGTACAGTTGTATATTAAGTTCTGTACTCTCAGAAAATACCCCTCCTTTTTAAAAACTCATTCATAAAAACTGCTCACCTATTGGGCCACAAGGAAATCCTCAATACATTCCAAAAGTTAATGCAGAAAAAAATTCTATGAAAACAACATAATAAAAATGTTAGTAACAAAATCAGAAAATGAAAAAATTCTTTGACTAAAAAATATCAAAACTCTCTATTAAATGACTCGAGTCAAAGAAGAAATACAGGCCGGGTGCAGTGGCTCATGCCTGTAATCCCAGCACTTTGGGAGGCTGAGGTGGGCGGATCATGAGGTCAGGAGTTCGAGACCAGCCTGACCAACATGGTAAAACCCCATCTCTATTAAAAATACAAAAATTAGCCGGGTGTGGTGGCACACGCCTATAATCCCAGCTACTCAGGAGGCTGAGGCAGGTGAACACCGGGAGGTGGAGGTTGCAGTCAGCCAAGATCACGCCACTGTACCAATCCAGCCTGGGTGACAAAGTGAGACTCCATCTAAAAAAAAAAAAAAAAAGAAAATGAAATCATAGAATTCCAAGAAAACAAAATAATAAAAACACCATGTAGCAGAATCTGAGATAAAGTAAAAAAAAAATACTCAGAGGAAAATTAAGTCTTAAATTTATCAATAAAAATAAAAGAATGTAAAGAAGTGAATGTTAGAATTTTCAAAAAAATGATAAATACCAAGAAAAAAGTTATTAAGATTAAAGTAGAATGAGTTATAAACAATAGTAGTAGTATAAATAAATCAAAAGGCTAGTTCCTTGCAAACATCAGTGAAAAGAAATCACTAGGTAACTAGTGGAATAAAGGAGAGAAAGCATAAACATACAAAGTAAGAAATTACAATGGGGGAAATAAGAAATGGAAGGAATTAAAAGATCTCACTAATAGACTTTTTTGTATAACTCTATGAAAATAACATTTGAAAAACTGAATGAAATGGGCAATATTTCTATGAAAATAAAATTTATCAAAACTGAGCCCAGAAGATAAAAAGCCTAAACAAATCCATTCTGTAGAAGAAATGAAGTCATCAAAGAGCTGTCTCCAAAATCAATCAGACGGTCTTCACAAGGAAATTCTACAAGATTTTAAGGAGCAAACAGTTTCAAGCTATTTAAGCTATTCCTCTTTGCCCTAGCAAAGAGAAAAAAGAAAATGCCCTGGCAAAGAGAAAAGAAAAACTCCCAAATTACGTTTATGAAACTACTATATATTGTGCCAAAAACAGGAAATCTCATGTATACATCTTAAAGCAAAAATCCTAAATATTAGCAGATAGAATCTAACAGCACACAATAATATATGAAGATTCAGATAGTATTTATTTTAGGCATGAAAAGATGGTTCAAAATTGGGTAATCAACTAATCAACGTAATTCATTGCATTAAAAAAGGAAAACTGCATGATCATTTTCCACAAATGCTGGGTATTTTATAAGTTTCAACACCCAATCTTGAGGGGAAAAATAAAAATCAATGATATTTCCTTGATATGATAAAAACATTGATCTTATCCTCTTCACCTTACTTAATAGGAAAACATTGAACATGTCAGGGACAAGATAGTGATGTATTGGAGGGGTAAAGTCAAAACAATTAGATAAGAGAACTACATTAGAGGTATTTCTAATTGAAAAAAGTAAAACTGCCTTTACTTATGATTCTCTTCAATTTTCTAGGTATATGATGATCTGAAAAATTACAATAAAAAGATAATTAGGTAAACTGGTAGGAAAAATAATTTACATAAATGTCATATATGCAAACATCAATTGGTTTGGTAAAAATTATAATAGAAGACCTTATTTGTAACAGCAACAAAGTAGAAAATGCCCAGCAATTAACAAAATGTTCAAAACCAAGATAAAAAACTTTAAACATTCCTTAAAGACACAAAAATACCGGGCATGGTGGTTCATACCTGTAATCCCAGCACTTTGGGACACTTGAGGCGGGTGGATCACTTGAGGTCAGGAGTTTGGTGAACATGGTGAAACCCCATCTCTACTAAAAAATACAAAATTAGCCAGGCGTGGTGGTGTGCACCTGTAATCCCAGCTACTTGGGAGGCTGAGGCAGGAGAATTGCTTGAACCCAGGAGGTGGAGGTTGCAGTGAGCCAAGATCACGCCACTGCACTCCAGCCTGGACAACAAGAGCGAAACTCTGTCTCAAAAAAAAAAAGACACAAAAATACACCTGACCAAATGAGAAAACGTACTACATCTAACAATCAGAGCCCACTCAGAAAGAAACCATAATATGTATTTCAAATAGAGAAAATATACTACAGTGAATTGATTACTACACAGGTATTAAAAGACAGAAAAAAGTGAAATGATAACACTGAGACAACTCATAAATAATGACTGCAGGAAGAGGTTACCACTCCTAGGGCTAAGATTACAAAAGGTGGTGTTACTAGAACCTACTATCTTAGAGAAGGGGCTTGTGGAGCTGTTGCTCAGTCCTGTGATGAGAAGGTACCTCACTGCTGCTGCTGATAAAGGTTAAGTATTCTTTATCCAAAATGCTTGGGACCCAGAAGTGTTTTAGAGTTCAGATTTTTTTTGGATGTTGGAATATCTGCATTATATACCTACTGGTTCCGCATTCCTAATTCAAAAATTTGAAATCCAAAATGCTCCAGTGAGCATTTCCTTTGAGAGTCATCGAGGTGCTAAAGTTTTGGATTTTGAACACTTCAGATTTCCGATTAGGGATACTCAATCTGTACTTCTTGAGTGGGTGTGATGAGGCTGCTTCTGAGTATGCCAAAAGCAGCTAGATGCTACAGCTAGAGCCACTGTTGCTGGAGATAACTACCATTGCATAAGCAGTGCCAATAGAAACAGAACAAAAAACAAAACAAACCAAAAAAAAAAAAAAAACCCACGACCTTTCTCCCCTCTATCCTGCAAATACTGGCAGAATCTAACAGGAATCCAGGTATTAACAGTTTAGGGAATGAAGCTTACAAAGCCTAAAACCCAACATCACAGAGTATAAGAGGGTAAATTTTGAGCTGAACAGTTGGTCCATTCCACTCCTGTGGCATACACATTTGCACTTCCATAAAATGATGATTCCAAGCTTCTATCCAGTAAGATCAAACTATCCTTTATACAAATGAAGGTACTTTCACCTTCTCCCTAAAAAGGGAGAAGCAAAGTCCCAACAGTAATTGTATCCATCTGTGGATATTATGACCTCTTCTAGTTGAATCACAATTCCTTAAGAATACTTTGCAACCTAATGTTTAAACTACAGTTAGCCACCACCAGTATTCCTTAGATAAAGGAGAAAGAAAATATACACATAACAAGCAAAGAAGGAAATAGGAATAGGGCTACAGTCTTTGTTTCTGTAACAGATTACAAGGCTACAGTTGGTATTTATAACTTCCTTCTCCTACCCATTCCGTATCATTCCCTTTGCCTACAGCCAAGAGCTCAGCCAGCTGCATTAGGAATAACCTTAATTAGTTCAGAATCTGAACTCTCAGTGGTCCTGCCTTTAACAGAATGCTGTGGTTTCCCATTACCTTTTACTTTTGGACATCTAAGTATTAAGAGGCATACCAGAGAATCCCTTGGGCACAGTCTGCTCTGTGCTAGTTTGTGGCAGTAATCCAATTTCCCCTTGGTAATTCGCATCAATCACCTCAACACATAAATAACCACTTCTTTCCCTGCTGGTTCTGTAGGCATGAGGAATCCCAAACGGTCAAGTGGCAGTCTCAAATTCAGTTTAAGTCAATTGTTGTGCCCCTTGGTGGAAGCATGCAATCTATGAGGGTCTATTTCTTTGGGTCTCCCCTGCTACCAATTATTCATCAGTTAAGAGTTGTCAGAAAAACAGAAATCACTTAGGTAATTTAAAAAGAGGGAGTTTGGTATACAGAATTTGCTTCTGAGATATTGCAGGAGTGTAAGGGCCAATATGAACATGAAGATCATCCAGAGACAACTAACTGCAGGAGGCAGCTACCACAAGGGAAGGTGGTAGGGCGAGCAGGACGTAGGAGCTTGGAGCAAGGGTCACCAAAGAGTTGGTGCTCAGCTTATGAGGAAAGGTACCACTTTCCTCTAAGTGTCAAGGAAGGCTTCACAAAAAGAGTGATGGCTGAGACGGGTTTTTAAAATAAGTTTACTATGCATAGTCTATTTTACTTTTATTACTAATACATCCACTTTATAATTGGCCTGGTCATTTAGAAATGGTTTCAGGGACTACCACTTTAGCACATTAAAAGTATTAGTAAATGAGCCAAACCATGGGTGCTATAATGTGTCCAAAACAAAACTAGGATTGAAAGCCATCCTTTCCTACTTCGAATATGTTCGTTTAAGGCTGGGCGCGGTGGCTCGCACCTGTAATCCCAGCACGTTGGAAGGCCGACGCAGGCGGATTACTTGAGGCTGGGAGTTCAAGACCAGCCTGGCCAACATGGCGAAACCCGTCTCTACTAAAAAAAAATACAAAAATTAGCCAGATGTGGTGGTGCACGCCTGTAATCCCAGCTACTCGGGAGGCTGAGGAAGGAGAATCCTTTGAACCCGGGAGGGGTGGTTAGCATTCAACTTCCACATCGAATGCTAAGATTGTGCCACTGCACTGCAGCCTGGGTGACAGAGTGGGAGGCTGCAGTGAGCCGAGATCGTGCCACTGCACTCCAGCCTGGGTGACAGAGTGAGACTGTCACACACACACACAAAAGAAAAAAAAATGTTGGTTTAAAGAAAGGCACTCTCTAAGATAGTTTCTCTGACCAGAAGAGTACACACTTATCAAGCAACCACAGAGTGTATGGCACTAGGCATCACCATCCTCTCTGAGGAAGGTAATCATAACCCTTATAAAGGGATCCACTTTGCTACCTAGCATTATTGCTGGAGCAGGGAAGTATCATACAAATTTACTGAGAAGGTTTTGAATCACATCTGGGTGCATTGTCTCCTCTTTACCTTTTTCTAGTGCTATGGTTATTTTCCACAACACACAGGCCCTTTTTATCTGTAGCTGGGAAAAGGGTATTTGGACACTGTAAGGAAAGCAGGTGGTAGTGAGAACAGTGCACAGGAAGGTTCAGCAATACAAATTTTGTGGTACAAAGGGCTTGTTTTTGGATACGTAGACAGACTGGAGTACACACATTGACTAACCAATGCAGTAATTACAAAGAGGGGGTTTTGAAGTCATCTGACTGAGAAGCTGCTGGGAAGGCCAAAAATACCCACAGATACACTTTGAATCTAATTACTAGTTACATTTGCTAAATAACAGAGGTACAGAAAGAACATCTTAGCTTTGATCACAAGAAAGAGAAAATAATTTAGATGGAGATGCTAAAGGGAAAAGGCAGTGAAATGTAATTTATAATTTGTTTACAAAGCTTCCCTAACTATGCTAGACAGCAATTACACCAATCAAGTCCTCTGAAGTGACTTTGCTGATGCACAGATCTAAAATCTAGGCAGGGCAAAAAGTCAGCAGGGCTCAAAATCTGAGGGCTGGAGAGGAGAACAGCTTAAGATCCTCAATCCTGTGATGCTTGTGTGCCAAAGACTTGAAATAGAGAACTAAAGATTGCAGCCTTTACTTGTCCTCTACCCTGACAGGAGATTCAAAACGCAGAGCAGATGAAAAAATGGAAAGAGAGGCTTGAGAAAAAGTATTATTCTATGGAAATTCAAGATGACTACCAGCCTGTCACTCAAGAAGAATTTCGAGAGTAAGCTTATGTTCTAACCAGACTATTATGGGATATCATGACATGCGCATTAAGGACATGAGTTAAACACATTATTTTCCTGAACCCAAAACTTTACTCTATTAGGATGCCTTTATTTACTTTCTATCCAGTTTTAAAGTTGCATATGACTCCATTTGCTTACAAGGTGAGAAGCTTTTGATTACATCCCTGTTATCTCTAAATAACAGAAACTGCCATCTATATTTGATTTGCATAACAGATCCTGTTCTCCACATAGCTTTAGAATATTAGATCTATAACTGGCCACAAGAGGCATGTTTTAGGAGCTTACAATTCTATCTTCCCAAAGCATTTCGCACTAGTAACTTGCTGTCTATACATGAAAGTTTATTACTGACTCATTCTCTACTTCCTTCGAAATTTTCTAGACTTTTTTTATATGCTGTGGAGCTGGAGAAGGAATTACACTACATCAATTTGAAGCTAAATCAAGTGGTGAGAAAGGTTTCAGCTCTATAGTATTGAGACAAGTGGAGGTAAGAATCTGTGATGCAATCATTGAGCATTTCTTTTTTTTTTTTTGAGACGGAGTCTCGCTCTAACGCCCAGGCTGGAGTGCAGTGGCGTGGTCTCGGCTCACTGCAAACTCCACCTCCCGGGTTCAAGCGATTCTCCTGCCTCAGCCTCCCGAGTAGCTGGGACTACAGGCATCCGCCACCGTGCCCAGCTAATTTTTTGTATTTTTAGTAGAGACGAGGTTTCACTGTGTCAGCCAGGATCGTCTCGATCTCCTGACCTCGTGATCCACCCGCCTTGGCCTCCCAAAGTGCTGGGATGACAGGCGTGAGCCACCGCACCCAGCCCATTGAGCATTTCTTATTCATGTATTACTTCATAAACTTGTGCCCTTTTCAGGCACACTTTAAAAAGTACTCAACAACCTATCATCAAACTATCCTTAGGGTCAGAATGAAGTGCCTCTGACAGGGACTCACTATACAATCCATGCATATTATGACAAGCCTCCAGTATACACACACTGGTACAAAGGATTTTATAATGAGGTTTATTATCAAATTCTAGAAAAGTGAAAGTACAAGAAAATGCTTCTAGTTCAGGCGGCAGGTCTCCAGTAGTTCAGTCAGTAGGTAGAGAAAGACAGTTTTCTCATAGTTACAGAGTAGAAAAACTATTGATGCTATCAAGTGCGTCAGGTACCATGTTCTGAATTCCTTTGGCCACAGATAAATTAATAAAGGCTTAGGATTCTGGGAAACCATTATATAAGACCCAAGTAAAGTAACCTCCCTCCATTCTTTAGAATTTGAAGCCTTCTGGAAAAAGCCAAAGTGTAGAACAAACTCCCCAGCCACCTACAGAAATCTCACTAACATCTTCAAACTGGAAATTTACCTAGACCATTTCTAAGGTGTAATGCATTTAAGGTTTCCCAAAAATAAAATACAGAGCAGGGTAGGCGTATCACTGTCATAAGTTATGTTTGGAAAGTGTAAATGAGGATGCTGTAACAGCCTTATTTGGAGGGTTGGAAAGTTGTGTGTGGCTGGCATTTTGGAAATTGGAGAGAAACTCTTCTAATTTTTCTAGGCTATGTAAGCCCCCCTACGATAGCCATATGTTCTCTTAGCCCAAGCAACATCATTTGACCTCAGCACTCAACTTCCACATTGATGCTCAATAGTTCCTGAATTTTAAAACTCAAATATAAAGACATTTTTAGATTACTACTCACCTTCCTCAGGACAAGCTCTTCTCTTAAGAGACTGTACATCCAGTGTTCTTAATAGGATAATTCATTGTAACAAGAAATGCTAACTGTTCTCTCTGCGGCTTCTCCCTAGATCTGCACAAGGGAATGAACAACATGGCCTTTCCCTGTCTTACCATTTCCCAGAGTTGTAGCCAGCCAAATAGTTTAGTGACCCTGTTGTTCCCTACCATCGCCCCTGGGTGGGATCATTTAAACAAAGCCTAAGCTGAGGGAACACTTGAGGTCTTTTTTTTTTTTTTAAGCCCAGTGGAAAAACAAACATACATTTACAATGACTTAGAACTTTCAAGTTCTTTTATTATAAAAGTCTGTACAATGAAGTGCCAGACACAGCAATGCCATTATACTGGTGGACATATATATCTATATATTATTTGTATATAGATATACAGTTTTTATTTGTACCAAAGTAAAACTATCACCAACTGCCTAATTCTACCAGCTACTGCTCAACTATGACACACAATACTGTCACAGAGCATAAGTGCTGCCATGCCACTTTTACATATTCTACTCACAGCCAAACATTAACATTGAATAACATATTGAAGCAGCTGTTAATTCTAAAATGAAACCAGTCAGACCACTGACTTATAAAAATATGGTACTCATATAGATTTAGCATTATAAAGAAGGAATATATTATTTAAAACATTTAAATAGTGCATATGGACATTTTTGCATGTGGTATATAAAATAAAACATTCATATAAGATACACAGTGCACATAAAATTAGATGTTTGGATACACTCCTATCTGGAGACTGAAGGAAATTATCTGAAATGTACACTGCATGATGGATTCAAATAAAAATGATACATCTTTTGGTATTTTCAATTTCACTTTTCTAGGTATACATTATGAATAACCTAGTTGTATCAAAAGGAAACCACACAAAAAGGGCAGGATTTAGTGCTTTTCTTTATTCCCCAACTACACATTCACTACCAGGTTTTCCCTCACCCCCCACCCCCCAGAAAAAGGCATTGCACACACGGGTGAAATGTGAAGTACTAGAACTGCTATTTATTATCAAACTACTTCATGTGCTTACTATGTAATAGTGCCAGAAGTCTGAGGTTCATGCTTCCCTCACCTTATTAAAGGATGTTGCAAAATTCCATTTTTATATGGAATAAATTGTTAATATTAGCTAGTTAAGAAAACCATGCATGAGTCATTGCATGCAAAACATGGGTATAGTCAAAGTGAGACAGTCATCAATCCAAAAAAGCACCAGAAAAAAAAGTTAACACTTAGATTAAGCCTGACCCAAATCTGCTGTTGTACTGTTAGCACAAATGAAGTCACCATTCTGTAACAATGATTAGCAGAATGATACCGAGACAGTACCTGAAGAAAAGCCATGCAAAGCCAAAGGAAAAAAAGATATGCTAAGAGTATATGACAAGGGGCATACCACTACACATCCTGTAAACAGCTGCTTTAAACAGCATGTTATGATTGACCAAAGGGTGGTCCCTTAAGAGGGCGTTGTTGTCGTTGTTTTGGTATGGATTTTGCTGATTAAAATAGGAGGGGAAAAAAAAAAAGATAACCCCCTGAAGGTACATGTGAAAATGCAGTGGTAGAGCCCTTGTTAAGAACAGATTTACTTTAGGCATAATATTTTGCTGATTTAAGCCCATTGATTGAACACACAAATCTGAGCACCATCAGAGTTCCTACATACTGACATGGCTATTTTCTCACATTATCTGGAGGTGGGTTGGGGAATAGCGCGGATCTGATCCAGACAAATCACACCATTGCCAGCGGATAAACAGTAACTCAGGAAACAGTAACTGAAGTCCCATAGGCAGCATGTGGTATGATTCAGTTCTGTGTGTGATGTGTGGTGTGTGTTTTCAATATACTAAGCGAGGTCACCTTTTGGTCTACCAACTGTTATCTTCATCCGGGAGCTGTGTGACCAGCGAATTGCAAAATTTTACTAACATACTACCTGTGAGAAGATGTCACTTTGGGAATTAAACAGAAAGGTGTTCCATAGTACGACTTGAAATCTCAGTTTGATTTTGGTTTTCTAGGAAAACAGAGAACACAGTTGCGTATGTGCACTTTTATAGGCTTTTCTTTCAAATTTTCAGTCATTCTGTAAGAAAAAGGCAACAGAAGAATTCAGTATGAAGATTTTCCTCCAATTTTCTTCAGTAATGAGAAACAAAAAGTTGGTAATAACAAAAAGCTTGCATTTCCAAAGTTCTTGAAGTTGAAAGGATAAAATTCCAGTCTTTTGCTAAAAGGATGTATCTGTAGTACAAAACAATGAAGTAAACCATATGTTTGCTAAAGGTGGAGAGGACAGTCTGTGGTTAATATGGAACATCACTTACGCTCCCTTGAGAGGGCCTACTTACTCTCCCATCATTTGTTTTGTTTAGTGGCACCACAACCAAGTACAAAATGAGATTCTCTGAGTGCCTGACAAAACGAATTTAAGTACCAGCCAAGTACACACGATGATAGCTTCAAGGAATACAACTGACTTTATGATATGAATTTTCAAGGAACGTATCTTATATGGATTTTGAAGAATCTTGTTTGCTTATAAGAACTTCAAGAAGCCTAAGCTTGGCTTTAATTTTCTTGTACTCTCTGTACTCCTCAAGCACTGGAACACGATCCTCTTTCTGGGCATTCCTAGGGGAGAAAATAAAATTTGTAATGTTCTAGAGATCATTTGGAAAAAAAGATCCAAAAGTTGTCTTAATATGAGACATACTGTTACTAAACATAAGTTCAAATAAAAAGTTGTTCTGTTAAAAAAAAAAAAAAAGGTTATTGAACTAATACCCTCATCCCCAAGGAACACTTCTAAAATTTTTGATGGACTTCTCTACTGATAGATTAAATGATGCTATACTTATAAATAATCAACATAGATAACTGGAGGAAACCCAGTATTTTAACAGGACATCCAGTGCTAGACTCTGCCAGGTCTGTGAGTGTCTATTAAGTGTTGGAGGCTACACTGAGTCATTTAATACATTTAGTTAACTGCGGCTCCAGTGAATTGAGATGTAAAAGTAAACTATCTTATCTGCAACAAGAGTAATTTTCTAACTTTATAGTAATGACCCAATGCAATTCAGTTTAATCGCTAGCTAAAGCATCAAACTATCCTAACTATAAGCAAAATTTTCTCCCAATAATACAATGAAACAGTAGACACTTGGAAAAATGCATTTCTGCACTTCAATTTATTTATTTATTTT
Source organism: Homo sapiens (assembly GCF_000001405.40). Classification (NCBI taxonomy): domain Eukaryota; kingdom Metazoa; phylum Chordata; class Mammalia; order Primates; family Hominidae; genus Homo; species Homo sapiens. The sequence goes on from NC_000005.10 coordinate 137,940,924, forward strand.
GAGACAGAGCCTTGCTCTGTCGCCCAGGCTGGAGTGCAGTGGCGACATCTCAGCTCGCTGCAAGCTCCGCCTCCCGGATTCACGCCATTCTCCTGCCTCAGCCTCTAGAGTAGCTGGAACTACAGGTGCCCGCCACCACGCCTGCCTAATTTTTTTTGTATTTTTCGGTAGAGACAGGGTTTCACTGTGTTAGCCAGGATGGTCTTGATCTCCTGACCTCGTGATCCACCCGCCTCAGCCTCCCAAAGTGCTGGTATTACAGACGTGAGCCACTGCGCCTGGCCCACTTCAGATTTTTTTTTAACCATATGTGCCAACCTATATAGGAGACTCACAAAGCAAAGGGAATTAAAGTACAGATATTTTAGAATTTGTAATATTAGCTATCAGCTTGGTAAGATAACCCAGCTACTTAGAAAAATGTTTCTCAGGCCTGAGATAACTGAACCCAAACTTCTGGCCACCATCAGAACTGGAATGTATTTTTCTTAGTTTTTAAAAAGAGCCCTTCCAAGTCAACTGTGCATTACCTAGTTAGATAAAGGCATGTGCCATACTGTATTATAGGAGCCACATGCCTGGCACACTGTTAGACACCTTGGAAACGGGCAACCTCAACACACAGTATGAACACAATGGTCTCAGTATAAAATAAAAAATCCAAACTAGTTAAGGATACCACTCCTGTCATGGGATCCTTTCTAAAATAAGAGATATCTCATTTCACAACCACTCCCAAAAGGGTAAGGATGTAGAATTAAAGAATATAAAATCACTGCAATACAACCAAGGCTCCCTAGGACAATCCGAAAATAGTTAATCAGATGTTGTTTACACTGGCTGTGACTATTCCTGGCCATTAAAAGCAGGGCCTCAGAGCATAAAGGAATGTTTTAAAATTTTTCAGTGCTAGCATCCTATATGCACAATTTCTAATCCCACGTATTCCATTATTTCAACATATGGTCAGTTTGTGAGTTAGAGAAGAAAGATGACTCAATTTTGTGATGCTCAACAAACCTTCCATTTTGTTGATAAAATGCTTCTTCAAATTCCCGCAACGTTTTGCGTAGTTTCTTTTTTTCAGCTCTGGCTTTCCAAAGTTGTTCCAATAATTCAGGCCTAGAATTGAAATGGTAAAATACTGAAGGGCACACTTGATTCATTATATTCTTAAGAGAGGTTCTATTTCTGGCTGCAAATTAAAAGTGGCTGGGGAACTGTTAGGTCTACCAATGCCTAAGCTCCACTGCAAACCAATGAAATCAGAATAGCTGAAGGACTCAAGCATCAGTACTTTAAAATCTTCCCAGTGAAGTCAGGGCTCAGAACCAGTGACATACACCATATCATCCAAAGGTAAAGAAGTGGATATAGAACAAAAAGATCAACTCGCAACTAGTTCCTGTACTTTGTTATAAATCAACTGTAGGATTTTATTTGTTTGTTTCCTTTTTTAGAGACAGAGTCTCACTCTGTCGCCCAGGCTGGAACAGCGGTGCGACAGTGGCCTCAACATCCTCCAAACAGAGAATCAAGTGATCCTCTTGCCTCAGCCTCCCAAGTATCTGGGACTACACGCGAACACCACCACCCCTGGCTAATTTAAACAAAATTTTTATACAGTCTGGGTCCCACTATATTGCCCAGGCTGGTCTTGAACTCCTGGCCTCAAGGGATCCTCCTGCCTCAGCTTCAAAAACTGCTGGGATTATAGGCATGAGCCACTGTGCCTGGCTAGATTTTTTTTTAATTTTTGAAATACAGTAATGTTTTATTTAAAAATGGGAATGACAATAAATATTTGCAAATCACACTTGAAAAGCATGTGTCCTTTGATAAATTCTTGATTCATCTCCTATTAATTCCTTAATACTCATTTAACATCAAATTTCTTGGCATATACATTTTATTATAAAAATAGGCTAAAATCACAAATCAGCATACATACATAGAAGCTGCTCGAGAACTTGACAATCGGAGATCCAGAGCCAGTTTTTCTTGATTTTCTTCAACATCAGATTCAGAGTTTTCTAATGAAGACTGTACCTGTACTGCAGTTTTCAACATATCACCTAACTCAGAGGACAGATTAACACCATCTTCTTCTTCCTCCTAAAAAGATATCCAAACAGAGAATCAAACATGCCTTGTCTTTGAACTCTTCCCTTAGGGAAGGGATCAGATAATTATTTCTTTAAAGGATTACCTTGATTTCTTCAAAAAAATGTGCAGTTTCTCCTTCTATGATTGGCTGTAACATCTGACCCCTTCGCTTGGTGGATGGAGATCCCTATAACAATCAATAATATAAATAGTTTTACATTTTAAGTATTCAAAGTGTCCAGTGAAGCTTCCCTTCATTATGTTACGAATCTTCAACTTTATTTTCAAAATCTTAAACATTTGCTTTAAATCTTTTTAGGAATTGCTTACATTTATTTTTGCTTATATTTTTATTTATGCACAAGGAAGATAATAATTTATGTCTAGAAAAGTCTGAAAGAGCTCATACAACAGATATTTTAAAAATTCTAAATGGGCCAGGCACGGTGGCTAACGCCTGTAATCCCAGCACTTTGGGAGGCCAAGGCAGGCGGATCACAGGTAAGGAGATCGAGACCATCCTGGCTAACACGGTGAAAGCCCGCCTCTACTAAAAATACAAAAAATTAGCCAGGCGTGGTGGCACGCACCTGTAGTCCCAGCTACTCAGGAGGCTGAGGCAGGGGAATTGCTTGAACCCCAGGAGGTGGAGGTTGCAGTGAGCCAAGTTGTACCACCACACTCCAGCCTGGGCAACAGACCAAGACTCTGCCTCAAAAAAAAAATTCTAAATGATAAGAACATACATATAGTTTAATGGGAAGCACTTTTCTTTTTAAAAATAGGTATCAACTTTTTTGGTTTGAGGACCATTCTATACTCTTTTTTAAAAATAACTTTATTAAGATATAATTATATATCATAAAATTCACCCTTTTAAAATGTATAATTTGGTGGTTTTTAGTATATTTACCAAGTTGTGCAACTATCTCCACTAATTTCGGAACGTTTCATTACCTCAGAAGAAACTCTGTGCCCATTAGCTGTTACTCATTTGCCTTCTCCGCCTAGCCCTTGGTAACCACTAATCTAAATTCTGTCTCTATGGTCTTGCCTATTCTAAATATTTCATACAAATGGGATCATATAATATGTGCCCCTTTGTGTCAGGCTTCTCTCATTCAGCTTGTTTCCAAGGTTCACCCATGTTGTGGCATCTATTATTATTTCATTGTTTTTTATGGCTGAAGAGTATTTTGAGTGTACGGGTTACCACATCTTATTTACTCATTCATCTGCTGACATTCGACTCAGCAATCCCATCACTAGGTATATATATCCAAAAGAAAACAAATCATTCTACCAAAAACAACACATGCAGTCACATGGTTATCCACAGCACTATTCACAATAGCAAAGTCATGAAATCAGGTGCCCATCAACAGTGGATTGGATAAAGAAAATGTGGTACATATACGCCATGAAATATTATACAGCCATAAAAAAGAACAAAATCGGCAGGGCACGGTGGCTCATGCCTGTAATCCCAGCACTTTGGAAGGCCGAGGCAGGTGGATGACAAGGTCAGGAGTTCAAGACCAGCCTGGCCAAGATGGTGAAACCCTGTCTCTACTAAAAAATTAGCTGGGTGTGGTGGTGGGTGCCTGTAATCCCAGCTACTTGGGAGGCTGAGGTGAAAAATTGCTTGAACCCGGGAGGCGGAGGTTGCAGTGAGCTGAGATCACACCACTGCACTCCAGCCTGGATGACAGAGCGAGACTCCATCTCAAAAACAAAAAAAAAAAAAAACAAAATCATGTCCTTTGGGATAACACGGATGTAGGTGGAGGCCATTATCCTAAACAAATTAATAAATGAACAGCAAACCAAATACTGAATGTGCTCATCTATAAGTGGGAGCTAAACATCGGGTACTCATGGACATAAAAAAAAGGCAACAACAGACAATGTGGACTACTAGAGGGGGAAGGGAGGGAGGGGGGCAAGGAATGAAAAATGTTGTGCACTATGCTCAGTACCTAGGTGACAGGATTATTTGTACCCCAAACCTCAGCATCAAGCAATACACCCAGGTAATTAAACTGCACATATACCCCTTGAATCTAAAATAAAAGTTAGGAAAAAAAAAAGAAAGTCACCAGGCAGTCATCACCTAAAGGAAGCTGCCATGCAAGTAGCTGTCTACATAAAAATAGCCTGAAAGCCACAGCAAACCAGAAGGTTCAGTGAATTAATTCATAGGAAATAATGTAAAATGGGCTACATGCTGTTTTCTATTTGAACCCAAGACCAATCTATCTACAGTCATACTATCTAAAGGTTAATTTGGGGACAGCACTTAATATGCATTTAAACACTAAAGTTTTCATTTTTCTTTAAAAATGCACACAAATACCAATAAGCATTATTTTAAGTGACTTCTTCTCATTAAAAAGATTAACTTATTTTAAAAGTCAGCTTATATCATTATGCAAATAAAAGGACATCATCATGGCCACCACAAAACTGATGCATTTTCAACGACATGAATTTAAATGGAAAGAAACTAGACAAGGAGTCTGAATGAGTTTCCCATTCTGCTTCTGTCACTTACAAAGTAGATTAGGCACATCACTCACTGCCTAAGCCTCAGTTTCATCACCTGTGAAATGATGCTATCATATTCTACCTGCTGTGATTTTACTTGTCAGGATTTAATGACATAAGCATACATAAAAATGCTTACACAAGTGTCTGGGATATACTAGCAGACATTATTAGTTTCCTATTTTAAAATCAGTAATCTCACCTTACAGTGACAATTATTTCTGTCTTGGCTGTGTATTTCTCCAATATACCACAATAATAATTTTTTTTGGGAAGAGTACATCTTGATAAAATGAACCAGAGAATTATTGCTTATTTTACTTACAAGGACAGGAGTGATGCTAGCTCTTGTCAGCATTTGTTTTACAAGCCTGTATCTATCATAGAGAGGTTTAACAATGTGCCTTTCTTCCTTGGTCACCTGAAGCAAGAAAAAAAAGAAATTGTCTAGTCATCACAAATCTAAAATGTCCAAAACATTAAACAATGACTTATTCGCCCAATTTCAAATTTTATATTAAATACATAGGCAATCCCCCAATTGTAGGAAATAATGCTCAAAAAACAGCCCTGAAGAATGTAGGCCACAAAATTGATTCATGTTCTTTTTTAAGACATAAAATCAAATCTTTTTAGCAAGAGAGATATTACCGGCCTTCCATGTTGACTTTCATAGTAAAGAAGACTTTTCTGAAGAGAAGCTTTCTCTTCTACCAAATGATCTTTGGTCATTTTCTGGAATTAAACAAAAAAAATAACAAAATACAAAAAAAAAAAAACAAAAACAAAAAAACTCCACTGGCACCATTAATATTCTCCTCACTCCCACAATGTAAATAATTAGGTAGAAAGGGCAGACGATCAACAGTCTAGCCCAGGCCTTTGCTTGCAGATTTGCAGGCAAAATTTTCAGTCTCCTGTACAATTTGCTCTTATAATAAGTAGGTACCAACCCCTTTGATGGCTTTACATTTTATCTGAATAGATTATGAATATGGCTTGGGTAAATTACCTAACCTCTTTGTATTCAACATCCTCATCTGTAAAATGGGAATACTTCGTTCTACCTTAAAGGGCTCTAAAGAGGACTATTTATGAGTTCTATGTAAAGTATTTGCAACACTGCCTACCTAGCACAGAGTAAACATACATAACTGCTTGCTATTTCATTTAATGTTGTTGGCATTTTATTGGCATTAAGATGAGTGGGCATGCATGCGCATGTGCATACACACATAGGTTTTATAATACAATATTTATTCTAAACCATTAAGAAAATCTGGAAGCAGTATAGTGGAAAGATCCTGGAAAAAGCTCAACAATGTCCATTTGTGACCTCATACTTCTCTATTACCTCCATTTCCCTTCATCTGAGTTGGCACATTCTTTATACTGCAATACTCTTCTCACAGCTTTTAGTAGTCTAATTAGCAGAGTAAGCAATGCTTCCCAAATTCATTTGTCCACAAACAAGCTCCATAGACAAATAAATATGGTAAGTCTCGCATACTCTACTAATTAAAACAAACTTGTCCCCTTCGTTCTATAGGATCAACTATTAACACCTGAATGTGTGTTCCACAGAATATCCTTTAACACTAGACCAAATAATCTCTCTACTTATTCCCAGGACTCATTAATACCACCCTGGTCTCTCATGAGAGTAAAATTGAAGATTAAAAAAAAATTCACTGGATAACATCTTGCTATAACAAATATAACTTTAGATTACACACATTCAGTAGAGGATAGCTGAGTGTAGTCTGTCAAATACTGTGATTTCAACCTCAAGCTTGAATCAGTCTTAAACCAAAGATAATACATTTGCATAAAGTTGTAGCAGGTAGGGGAATATTTATTCTAACATAAAACTTAAAACTAAAAGAAAGGGCTTGGTGCTGTGGTTCACACCTATAATCTCAGCAATTAAGGCCATGAGTTTGAGCCCAGCCTGGGCAACATAGTGAGACACGATTTCTACCAAAACAATTTTTCTACAAAAAAAAATTTCTTTTTTTTTTTTGAGACGAGGTCTCGCTCTGTTGCCCAGGCTTGAGTGCAATGGTGCAATCCTGGCTCACCGCAACCTCCGTCTCCCAGGTTCAAGCAATTCTTCTGCCTCAGCCTCTGGAGTAGCTGGATTACAGGCATGTGCCACCACAACCTGCTAATTTCTTTGTGTATTTTTAGTAGAGATGGGGTTTCATCATGTTGGCCAGGCTGGTCTCGAACTCCTGACCTCAGGTGATCCACCCACCTCGGCCTCCCAAAGTGCTGGGATTACAGGCGTGAGGCACCGCGCCTGGCCAAAAGAAATTTTTTTTTAAGCAAAAGAAAAGTTAAGAGGGGAAGAGATGAGAATGACTAATTCAGCTCTGTTCAAGGGAAAGAAAGACTCCAATATTTGGATCATGAGAGAGGTGTACTCTGTTGTCAAGATAAGAGTTCCACATTAGGACTATTACCTAGATAAAAGTTCACCTGAGACCATCTACTCTCTCCATTCTCCAAGCAAATCTCATCCAATATAAGATTAGGTTGCCAAGTGCTTTGATCAGGACTGCCCTAGGCACAGGCTTTACTGGGGAAGAATAATGGCTCTTCAAAAAAAAAAAAAATCATTTAATCCTCATAACAACCATATCAAGTTAGTATTAATGGACATAATCACGTCAATATACATTATAGGATTGTTGAAGGGGCTGAGTGGCATAATGCATAAAATATAACCAGCCAACGTGGGGCATAAGCTAGGAGCTCAATACATACAGCTATTAAGACACAAGGACAGGATTCAAGCTAAGGTCTGTAGGTCTGTTTCATGCTTTATTTATTTATTTATTTATTTACTTATTTTCTCACTCTGTCATCCAGGCTGGAGGCACAGCTCACTGCAGTCCTAATCTCCCGGGCTCCATTGATCCTCCCACCTCAGCCTTCCAAGTAACTGGAACTACAGGTGCATACTACCACATCCAGCTAATTTTTAAATTTTATTTGTAGAGACAGGGTCTCACTTTGTTGCTCAGGCTGGTCTCGAACTCCTGGGCTCAGGCAATCCTCCTGCCTCGACCTCTGAAATTGCTGGAATTGAGGCATGAGCTACCTGTTTCATGCTCTTTATACACTCATCTTGCCAACTGACTCCAACATAAATGAACTCATCAGCATTCTAGTTTTTTCAGTTTTATTATGATTCAATTCTTGAAGTATTTGGCACTTCTGTTATGCTGATTAAATCATGTTTCTGAATCTGCAAAGATGGGGAGCAGATTCAGGAAAATCAGACTACCTAGACATCTCTACCCTGCTATAGTAATTATTTTGTTTCAGGAATTCTAAAGGCTAATCTGGGCAAAAATCATAGCTCAAGATTACCTTGATATCTTCTGGAAGACACCTCTCAATACGTTTTTCTTTCAGTCTTTTAAGAATAAGTTCAAGGGTTGCTTCTTTAGATGGTTTTTTCTCCTTCTGAATGACCTTGGGTTCATCTTCATTCTCTTCATCTTCATGGTCTAGAGAAGAGCCAAAGCTTTTTGGAAGTGTGTTACTACGTGGACGTGTCTGAGGTACAAATTCTCCATCAGAATTTTTGTGTTTTGCATCTACATGTCAGAAATAAGGACAGATCAGTAATAATTGGTTTTAGCTTTGACCGGGTCAAAGAATAAGCAAAATACACAACAAGAAAGTATACATTAACAGCACACAGACTTAGATATTTCAAAGCCAAATAAAACATTTAAGAAGCAAAAAACAGCAAGACAGCTATTCTAGGCTGGGTGTGGTGGCTCACACCTGTAATCCCAGAACTTTGAGAGGCTGAAGCAGAAGGACTGCTTGAGCCCAGGAGTTTGAGACTAGCCTGGACAACAGAGTGAGACCCCATCTCTACAAAAAATTTTTTAAATTAGCCAAGGCTGGGTGTGGTGGCTCACGCCTATAATCACAGCACTTTGGGATGCCAAGGTGGGTGGATCACTTGAGGTCAGGAGTTCGAGACCAGCCTGGTCCACATGGCAAAACCCCGTCTCTACTAAAAATACAAAAGTTAGCCAGGTGTGGTGTCATGTGCCTGTACCTGGTGGCACACACCTGTAATCCCAGCTACTCAGGAGGCTGAGGCAGGAGAATCACTTGAATCCAGAAGGCGGAGGTTGCAGTGAGCCAACATCAGCCAATGCACTCCAGCCTGGGTGAGACAGTGAGACTCTGTCTCAAAAAAAAAAAAAAAAGCTGAGCACTGTGGCACATGCCTGTAAGTCCCAGCTACTTGGGAGGCTGGGGTGGGAAGACCACATTGAGCCTGGGAGGCTCAGGCTGCAGTAAACTGAGACTGCACCACTGCAATGCAGCCTGGGCAACAGAGTCAGACCCTGTCTCAAAAAAACACAAAAACAACAACAAAAAAAGAGAGAACAAGCTATTATTTTTATATCCATAGAGAGCCTATTATTGAATAAAATGCTCTGATGGGCATGGGAGATACAGAAGAAAACAAAACAGACATGGTTCCTGTTCTTGTGGAGCATATATTCAGAGAAGGAAAACAATAACCAAATACTCAGATTAGTAAAATAACTTTAAAGAATGCTATGATCTATAGGTAAAACAGGGTAGAGTCACAGCGCTAAAAGGAGTATAATTTGTGGAGGAACAACTACATTGGACGGGATTGACAAAGAAGACCTCTCTGAATAGTATCATCCTGGTAGAATACGGAATAAGGAGCTTGTCTAGCACAAAGGATTTAGTGGAAGGGCATCTGTCCCCAGTGAGGCAATAGCCAGTGTGAAGGTCCTAAAGCTTGGCAAGTTTGAGGAACAGAAAAGAGATGAAAGTGATAAAATCGGCCAAGGGCAGACTGTGCAAGGCCTTGAAAACCACAGTAAGGAGTTTTGACTTTATTCTAGGTGGAAGCCCACTGAAGGGCTTGAAAAAGAAAGTAGTAAGACTATTTATTTTTCTTTTTGAGACAGGGTCTTGCCCTGTCACCCTGGCTGGAGTACAGTGGCACAAACATGGCTCACTGCAGCCTTGACCTCCTAGGCCTAAGTGGTCCTCCTGCCTCAGCCTCCAGAGTAGCTGGGACCCAGGCTAACATGACTTTTTTAAAGATAATTCTGACTACCATGCAGCAGACGGACTACAGAGCAGTAAAAGTGAAAGAAAATGGGAAAATTAGGAGGCCAATGCTAGACAATTTAATGGTATCAACTACTAATAAAATCAAGGTAATAATTTTCACTGATGACTGGAAATTGGCATTAAACAAGGAAATCTTTAACAGAAGTATAGGGGAAAATTAAGTGATACTCTAAAGAGGAGTTAAGAGACATTATCTTGGCCGGGTGAGGTGGCTCACGCCTGTAATCCCAGCACTGTGGGAGGCCAAGGCAGACAGATGGCTTGAGCCCAGGAGTTTTGAGACCAGCCTGGGCAACATGGTGCAATGCCATCTCTACTAAGAATACAAAAAAATTAGCTGGGCATGGTGGCATGTGCCTGTAGTCCCAGCTACTCGGGATGCTGAGGTGGGAGGATCGCTTCAGCCCGGGAGGTGGAAGCTGCAATGAGCTAAGATCGTGCCACTGCACTCCAGGGCAACAGAGTAAAACCCTGTCTCAAACAAAAAAAAAAAAAAAAAAAAAAAAGGAGAGAGAGAGAGGCAAACATTATCTTAACCACAAGAATATAAACTCCATGACAGCAGGGACTCTGTCTGTCTTGTTCACTGCTATATCCCTAGTTGTCTACAAAGTATTTAGTACCTCAGAAATACTTAACACTTTACTGGGCTGGGCACGGTGGCTCATACTTGTAATCCCCACACTTTGCAAGACCGAGGTGGGAGAACTGCTGAAGGCCAGAAGTTTGAGACCAATCCAGGCACAAAGCAAGACCCCAACTCTATACAAAATTTTAAAAAATTACCTGGGTGTGGCAGTGCATGTCTGTAGTCCTAGCTACTCTTGAGGCTGAGGTGGAAGGATCACTTGAGCTCACCAGTTCAAGGCTGCAGTGAGCCATGACCATGCTACCACACTTCAACCTCGATGACAGAGCAAGATTCTGTCTCAAAAAAATAAAAAATATATATTTTTTTATTTTTATAGGCCAGGTGCAGTGGCTCACACCTATAATCCCAGCACTTTGGGAGGCTGAGGCAGGGGGATCGCTTGAGCCCAAGAGTTCGAGACCAGCCTGGGCAACATGGCAAAACCCCATCCCTACTAAAATTACAAAAATTAGCTGGGCTTGGTGGCGTGCACCTGTAATCCCAGCTACTCGGGAGGCTAAGGCACAAGAATCACTTGAACCCAGGAGGCAGAGGTTGCAGTGAGCTGAGATGGCGTCACTGAATTCCAGCCTGGACAACAGAGTGAGACTCTGTCTCGAAAAAATTAGAAATAAAAATAAAAATAAAAACTTTATTGAGTAAATTTAAACCAAAGTGATGCTCCAGATAATAAACCCCTATTTTGCATAATTTTTAAAGTAATAATTATTAAAACACATACTCACTAAACATCCACAAACTAAATATACTTCAACAATTACTATACTGGTTTGACACCCAGAAATGCAATGCCTAGTTTATCATTCAAGAGTTACAATTTAGTCTTTGTGGTATAAACGAGTCACTGTGATTAGACATTCTTAGTCTTAGATGAAAATACCTACCAAAAAATCTTAATGAAATATCCAACAAAACTCAAAGCTGCTTAATATCTGAAATATATTTTAGATAAACTTTATAACATCAGTTCACTTATTAATATACAATCTCAGGTATCTTTCAAAAAGATATTACTAATAAAAACACAAAAAAGACATTTAAAATATAATACAGAACTACAGTACTGTACTATAACACAGTACTACAGTATGCAATTTTGACCCTAATAAAACAAAAAAAGGTAACTTTTATTTTTGTCAAACAGTGCCCAAGATTTAAAATTATCAAAAGTTGTATTTGTGATTCTCAGACATTAATATAAAAAAATTTTTAAAATGCAAATATATTACAAAATGGCACATAATATACCTTTAATTTGCTTCCGCAGTTTTGTAAGCTCTGTCATCCATTTTAATACCTTTGGATTGGCAGCAATATCACTGTAGGAGGGCTGAAAAATTATGGAGCAGAATCACTGACACTTGTGATAAGCAATAGTTACATTAATTTATGTCCAAATAGTATTTTACAATTCCCACAGCAAAGACTGCTCAATTCTCATTTCATCTTATTTTAATTAGATAGGGCAGGATATTAAGTCAAGTTCTCCCAAGGTAAGGTCTCGTAACTGGCAGAAGCCAGATTTGAATATGGGTCTTCTGACTCCAAGTACAGGACTCTTTCCACTTCATATGTTCTAACTATTAAAATTCTCTTTCCCCTCCTCCACTCCATCCCTCACAAACTCCCTCTCCTCCCCACTTGGTACTTGTAGTTTTTGATAGAGCAGAAATAGCAGTAACATGATTTGTCAATGTAAAGTATTTGCTTTAAAAATTCTAAAAGCTGCTTTGCCAGTGGAAATATAAAGATGCCACGGTGCAAATGGCAAGAATACTGGCCTGGAAGTCAGGAGACCAAGGAGTTATATAATCTCAGATCTACATGATCACTGTTCCTCCGGGTATCTCAGATTTGTTACCTTTCTCACACAGATCTAAACTAATGCTTTTGAAAAACTATCCTCTCAGTTCTAATATTAGATTAAGCTCACTCTGGGGAATGCTACAAACCTACCTTGCTATTTCTTTCCCTTTCAAACTGTTCCTCAAATTGTCTGATTTTCTTCTGAAGTTTCTTGACCAGCTGATAAGGTGTTCTGTCCTCTCTCTTTTCATCTTTTGAACTAAAGGATGATCTTCGAATTCTGAATTAAAACAAAAGGCCAACACTGTTAAATTTTCAAGTACCAACACTGTATCTCTTATTGCCCTGACATGGCACTATTAGCAATAAGTAAATCTTAAAGGTAAAAATAAGTCCCTAACACTAAAGGACAGGTAGTATAAAGAAACACTGTAATGTTACAGACCACAAATTTAGCTAATACAAGTGGTGATGAAAACAGTTTGGAATCATTTAAAACTGGTTTGGACAAAGGCAGCAAAGAAACAAAGATACCTAGCAGCTCAGAGCTCTTGTAACTGTTCAAACTGCATAACAAAGTTTTTGACATTCAGATCCATTTAAAGCTTTGATAAAAAAAGATTAGGAACTGCTCAGCACCATTTGCTGCTTCCTTTACAGAGCTCTGTATTTCAGCGATGAATACATAAATAAATGAATAATACACCACGAGAAAATGTCTATTTGAGAGCAAACTTCAAACGCTACACCTCACTGAACTCAGCAGGGTCAAAAAAAACCAAAACTTACAAAAATGTGCTCTATAAAATCAGTGAGAAAGCTCTGAATTCTATGTCTAGAAGACTCAATCTCTCTCTTTTTTTTTTTTTTTTTTTGAGATGGAGTTTCACTATTGAAGCCCAGGCTGGAAGACTAAATCTCTCAAAAGACTTGGGTACATAATAGGAATTGCCTCTTGTAAGTACATAAAAATCATATACCTAGTAAAAGACAGTGCTTTAGATGAGGAATCCAACTTTTCTGGATCATGTAGGAAACGCTGGCTTTGACCAAAATCTAAACTGCGGTGTGATAATACTGGAGGACAGTCCTCTTCCAAGGGGTGATGATTCATTCTTCCAGCTTGTGGAGACAGCTGAGCTTCTCCAGACTCAGAGTCCTCCTGCCAAGACTTAAAAGCAGGAAATGGCTCTATAAAACAAACACAAAGAATAGTACCATGGGTCTCTTGATTCCACGTGGGAAAAAAGTCACAAAATATCAGCTATGTGTTCCTTAAATCATATCATTATGTAGTGGTTCATATATACATACACACATACACACACACACACACACATACATGTGTGTGTGTATATATATATATATATAATCTTCATAAAGCCTACTATAGTTTAAAATTATTCAAGCTTCACTTTTTAGTCCAGAGTTCAATTTTTTTTTTTTGAGATAAGGTCTCGCTCTGCTGCCCAGGCTCTGGAATTCAGTGTCATGATGGTGGCTCACTGCAGCCTCGACCTTCTAGGCTCAAGCAATCCTCCCACCTTAGCCTCCCGAGTAGCTGGGACTACAGGCGCTTGCCACTACGCCTGACTAATTTTCTTTTTTTTGTTGTTGGTAGAGACGAGGTCTCACTATGTTGGCCAGGCTGGTCTTGAACTGCTAGGCTCAAGTGATCCTCCCATCTCAGCCTCTCAGTGTGCAGGGATTACAGGCATGAGCCACTGTGCCCAGCCCAGAGTTCTATTTCCATATAAATTTAAATTTCTGAACCCAGTGGCAAAGCAAGAAAGGACATTGTCAAGCTCTTTAAAACTCAATTTAATTCTAAAGATGTTATTTAATATAATTCTGAACTTTTCAAAAGATGTTTTATTTACAAATGTTAGTTTTCAAGTAGGGGAAAACCAGAAACAGCAAGAACTGAACAGTTCTTTCTTAGAAATTTAATTTAAAAGCCAAATGATGTCAGGTGTATGACCTGTCCCTCACTGTCAAATAGCTATATTAAGAAAAAGTGGGAGCTGTTCCCCATGTTACATGGAACACTCACCAAATGGAGTTCTCTGACTTTAGAAGAATTCTAATATTCCCAAAGGAGGAGCTAATTCACCTGACAGCACCTGGCCTCTAACATTAAACTGTGATGGTTATCTTCTGCTACAGGATTCCTATGTATAATATATATTTTAATAATACCCAACAGTGTTACTAAGACAAAACTTAATAGCACTAGGCCTTCTTAAGCACATTTACTTTACTGCAGTTATCCTGTATGCCCTCAAATGAAAGCTATGTTAATACATTTGATGTCTTTGCAAATATAATGTTTGATTACATATAGAACACATACAGATCATACACACAATCCACAAATATACCCCAAATACAACATTAAGCACAGGAGGGAAAGAAAAAATTCCCATCTACACATTAGCTTTTTATTTATTTATTTATTTTTTTAGAGATGGAGTCTTGCTCTGTCACCCAGGCTGGAGTGCAGTGGCACGATCTTGACTCACTGCAACCTCTGCCTCCTGGGTTCAAGCGATTCTCCTGCCTCAGCCTCCCAAGGAGCTGGTGTTACAGGCGCCTGCTACCATGTTTGGCTAATATTTGTATTTTTAGTTGAGATGGGGTTTCACCATGTTGGCCAGGCTGGTTACGAACTCCTGACCTCAAGTGATCCGCCTGCCTCGGCCTCCCAAAGTGCTAGGATTACAAGCGTGAGCCACCACGCCCGGCAGCTTTTTTTTAAGTAACTACACTTAAAAATTTTGATGCTATTGGCTATTAGCAATAGCGAAAATGAATGCAAAGAGGGCTTGACAGTGTCAAAATTCAAGAGTGATGTTTTCTTTTTCCTCACACAATAGCTAAGATCGCTGCTTTAGTAATTTAGTTTAACTTTATGCATTAGCAATTTAAAGCATTACCTTTCCTTTCAAAATAATAAGAACATAATTTAGTTTGTTTTTGAAGCCCAGATCAATCTGAGAATTAAAAATTGGGTACAAAGCGTGCAATCCCACAATAAACCCAACAATAAAGTGATTTTCAAAGCAACCCTTGTACCTGTGCCCCAGCAAATAAGTAACTGGTAGTAAACATTTTATGAGAAATATCCTATTTTAAGAAAAGACAAAAGTAATAGCAATTTTTTCTGGGTTCACTTTGAACCCAGAACAGTTTTCCTAAGATATGGGGACAGCAGGAGAAGGGCTTAATAAAAAGACAAACAAAGTGAACCATAAAAGGCAAAAAAACTAAACTATGGTGAACCATACTTACCCTCCC
Organism: Homo sapiens; assembly: GCF_000001405.40. NCBI lineage: Eukaryota > Metazoa > Chordata > Mammalia > Primates > Hominidae > Homo > Homo sapiens. The sequence goes on from NC_000005.10 coordinate 137,956,483, forward strand.
CATCTCTCTGCAGATGCATTGTTTTGAAATCAATGAGGGGAAAAGTGATAGGGCATGACGCTAATAAAATGGAAAAAATGGCAAAAAATACTAAAGTGAACACACAGCACAGTCAGAACAAACCATACACATAACACAAAGCCAAAGATACCAAAAACATTTCCCTAAAACCAGTTAGGCATTCTGTTCAAAAACGTTATTAAAAGAAATCACTACTAACTAGATTTTAACAAACACAAACATAACATTTCCATTTCAGCAAGCAATGCAAAAAAGGGGGGGGAAAACTCAAAGTCGTGCTATTTTATTAAAACTCAAACATAAAACTGAAGAAATGGAAATTCTTAAGCAGGTACTGTTTGAAGCTTTTCAGTGTAAATGATTTTAAAGGAAAATATCTCCCTTAGTTTGCTCTTTGAAAAAATCCTACTGCATTTCATTCCAGAGTTAGCAGGAGAGAATCTGAAGATGGTATCCACTTCCATTAAAAGTCAAAACTTTGCAAACAGCTGCTACAAATTCATACTGGTGACAGTCATGTGCTACCTGCTTGCTAACTACTACTGCATTCTGCTATTTTTCTTATCCTTTGAGGAAAAAACAAAACAGAAACTATGTACTTAGGAATAGTGACATAGGGCTCTATTTGGAGTCATCCCACTTCTCTACAAAGAGTCACATCAAACAAAGCATGTCTGATTCCAAGGTATCCAGGGTCTAAAGTAAGTTGGTCTCTTAAATAAATAAGACTTTTTCATTTAGAATATCCTAACTCCTGGCCGGGCACGGTGGCTCACACCTGTAATCTCAGCACTTTGGGAGGCCAAGGCGGGCGGATCACCCGAGGCCGGGAGTTTGAGACCAGCCTGACCAACACAGAGAAACTCCGTCTCTACTAAAATACAAAATTAGCCGGGTGTAGTGGCACATGTCTGTAATCCCAGCTACTCAGGAGGCTGAGGCAGGAGAATTGCTTGAACCTGCGAGGCGGAAGTTGCGGTGAGCTGAGATCGCCCCACTGCACTCCAGCCTGGGCAACAAGAGCAAAACTCCGTCTCAAAAAAAAAAAAAAAAAAAAAAATTGGAGGAATATCCTAACTCCAATCAATGTTTGCATTAGTGACAAAGTTAGAAGAAACAACATGGTCTACAAACAGCCACTCTACAAAGCACATGCACAGTTCATGGCTGGGAAGTTCGCTCAGGTGTCTGTAACTGTCGGCTTTCTGAAAGTTGCGGACCCCTATTTCTGGAAGAACAAGTAGGGGACCTACATAGACTTGTTTAGGCTGTTGAACCAGGGCAGCTCAGGCACTGAAAATCAGGCATCAGCAGCCTACAGGTTACCTCCTTTATCTATACCAAGGTATAGGTGCTGGATTCTGACATGGAAAAAAAAGACAGTCCAGTATCAGGTTCTCTTTCAGGGAGACTCAAGAACGCTGACGCTAGACAGAGAAGGTCTATCCTCTTCAGACAATGAAAAACAATTATTCTTCTATGTTTAAAATTTAATCAGGACTCCCAGGCCAAAGATCATAAAGAACTATTTATCTGCATCTTCTAATAGGAAGAAACAAAAGTGCTTTATCAGAATCCAAGCTGCTTCCTTTGAAGACTCATTTCCTAGCAATGCTGCAAGGGATGCTCTGTCGACCACCATTCCTTTTATTTCAGCCACAATAAATAACAAAAAAGAACATTTAATCTTCAACTGCCACCAGTATGCTAACATATCCCCCAACACTGGGAAGCATCTTCATAAATTCCAGATGTCCTGAATAACCCAGAACAAAGCAAATTAAAGACAACTTTCTAATTTAGTCTAAGTTAAAACAGATAATATGCCACTGGGCATGCCAAACATCTAGACCTATATAAAAAGGAGGGTGGGGAGGAGATGGCAATAAAAATTGGCACAGACAATGACTTGGTTGGGGCTCTTAAAAAAAAATGCCTAGACCTTAAAAAAAAAAACAAGACCCACACACACTCCATTTGCGATCAGGTGAGTACACTTAAACAGTGCCAAAAGGAGTCCGTGGCACTGGCATTAGAATTCCTGTTATTGCCAGTGTATGTCAACAGATACTTGCCAAAGGTGAGACAACCCAGGGATCTTCATCCAAGTGAATGAATATGTAACTATCCTTAAGATTCTTGAGTTATCTCATTGTCTCTTTACCAAAGTGTATGATCCAGAAAAACTCCTAGATCCAAATTTATTGCTTGATTCCCACCCCCACTCAACATTTTATTTGAAAGTTTACAAATACATAGCAAAATTGAAAGAACTTTACACTGAATATCCATATACCAATCACAATCTACCATTAACATTCTACTATACTTGCTTTATAACATTTATCCATCCCATTAACCATCTTATTTTTTTCATGGATTTCAGAGTAAACTGCAGGTATCAGTAAATTTCCCCATAAACACTCCAGCATGCAAATCATCCACTGAAGTTCAGCATTTGTTTACAGTTTTTTATCCTCTTGAAGTAAAAAGAGAACTTTATATACAAAGAAACACAAAAATCTATGTATTTGCTGAGTTTTGAGAAATGCATATACCCATGTTGTTTGCTTGTTAAATTTTAACTTCTCTCCTTTGTGCAAATTTTTAGAGTCCCCTGCACCATACCTTCATAACCTAAGACAGAAATACAGGAATATGGTACAATATTTGTTTAGAAGTACCCTTGAAGGTCATTTTTCAAAAAAGTACTACTGATGATACTAAGGACAAGGTAATTATACACGCTCTGCTTAAACTGGTGAGATCCCTAAGCCTTAACATACTGGGCTTCCAAAGACTAGGAGATAGCACCTGATTTAAATATTAACAAAAACGTATGCTGGGTGACTTTTTAAAAAAATCAGTTCTAACATCCATTTTCAAAGCTGTTGATGGATCAGACAAGAACTTCTAGTTCATATGAGATGCTGCCCCAAAATCTCAGTGTGTTTCACTAAAAACACCCACTTGTTCATCTTACATGAAAGGGAGAACAGAAGATCAAGATGAATAAGGTTATCCAGAAAAGGGCTGTAGTCTTATCATTGCTTAGGGTAATTTCGGTTACAAGTAACATTATCAGGAAAATAATGCGTGTGGGTAAAATTACCTTCCCATTTATCACCATCAGAAACATTCTTCAGATCTAAATGTGGAATACTGACACACGCTGCTTCCCCTTGAACACCAACACTCTGACCTCCTGGTACTTCTGATTCAGTGTTGGCATTCAAATCACATATCTTGCTACTAGAATCCTGTATTTTAAAATAAAGAATATATTTCACAACTACGGAAGCTTTTCACACCCAGCTTAAACACATCCAGCACATATCCAAGTGTAGTCTTCATTAGTTTACTGTGCCTATACAGCCAACTGTCCCACTCCCACTGTGCAAACTATTTTCAAATATAAACATGCAGTTTTAGAATATGTCTTATTGGAAGACAAGTTTGGATCCCAAATTCAGGAAAGTGTTTTCACAACCAAGTCTCTTGTAACCAAAAGTGGCAAATTAAGTTGCTGTTTAACTGTAAAATATTTGGTAAGAGTATTTATATTTAAATCTTTAAACCTAGCTAACCCACATTAAAGACCAGACATAACAGTTTAAACCTAGGCAAGTTTTTAAAGACTAAGACAAAAAAATAGTTCTTACCAGAATCAAGTGTGACAATTTATCACTGTCAAATAACAAATATTCTTCCCTAAAAATACAAGTAAAGTTGTTAGTATATTAAGAATAAAAAGGCTACTATCATTATATATTTCTTACCTAGATTCCTCTACTCCATAACACAGTTAGCATTTACAATGTGCGAGGAGAAAATGCCAACTGGACACATGCCCATTCTTTGGAGCCCTATATCTGAAAAATCACACAATACTGAAAAGATCCACAGAATCACTTCGGGTTTAGAAAAATCAAGTAACAATCCCTACTCCACCCCACAAACCACAGCAAAAAAGAAAAACCTTTATAAAATGAAAACTAAAATCCACAGTAAGTAGAAACCCAAAAGAATGAATGTATAATAAAGATTTTATAAAATAAATGTTTTAACCAAATAAACAGCTCTATTCTCTCCATTCTTGAGACTTTCAAAGAAAACTTTTTAAAAAGGTATCACTATGTCTTTTACTTTAAACTTGACTGTATTCTATCACAAGGATACTACTTCCAATCAGAGAAGGTTACTACTTCCAAACCTTTCCCTCCTCAAAATATAACAGTAACATACTAAAAGGAAATTTTAAAAAATTTCAGTCCACCTTTTACTTCCCCAGAAAAACTAACCCTTATTTAGAACAAGTGTTATAGCAAGCTGTCGTAAGTGATCTGTACCTATTTTACCAGTCAAGAGAGCACCTGCTATTATACAGTAGATTATCAATATGCCTACTGGGGGAAAGTTCTTTTCCCCAAAGACACAGTGGCAATTTACAATGACACATCGAGATGTCACTTCTAACCGGCCATAACAGAGTATGCACTCAGGAGACATGCCTTGATCTAAATATTGCAAGTCATCTTCTCATACAGATAATTACCTTATTCTTGCTGAGAATAAGAAATGAACTAAATGCTCTGTTAAGCTTAAAGGCATTCCTTTGCTTAGAGTAGGAGCAAATGGTAGGATGAGTAATTACTACCTTAGCAGCCTAAAAGACCTAATCACCTACATTTGAGAAGCATGAATGTTAAACATACAAAATGTAATCCACCTAACCAAGGTACTCTGGATCTAAAAACCAGTTTGCTAACTTATACACAGTTGAAGTTGAAGAGGAGAGAGCTTTTTCCAAAAACAACAACAACAACAACAACAACAACAACAACAGAAGAGTCCTCACTAAATGGGTCCTTATTGTTCTACCAAATCCAGATGTCACTATTCTGGGGGTGCCTGTTAATGTTGTTAATTTTATATCTTCAGCCCATAGCTCCAATACTTCCTGGGCTGGAAGAGGATGATTCCTGCCTCCTGAAAGGAAGGACAAGGAACTGCTATAAGGAAATCTGTGGACCTTCAGAGTATGGGGAGGCTCCAGAGACGTGGCTCCAAAGAATTTGCTTACCCTTAAAGAACAGGCTTCCTACTTATAATTAAAAGAAACAATAGAATACAAATATGTCCTGGCCAACAGGCTGTCAGCAAATTAGTATACTGTCTGGGATCTCTCAATATTTACAATCTAGCCTGCAACTTCATTACTGAAGTGTTTTCAGAATCTCAAATCACCTTCCTAAGAAAGTTATACTTTTTGGCAGCATCTTGAAGACTGATGCAAAGGGTAACAAGAACCCAAATCTTACTCTGTGATTTAAAACATTCTAGAAAGCTTCTATTCAAAGAGGCTATCTATTGAGACTCTACATTAGTCGAAATACTCATTGCCTCCAGTATTTCTCTACCATTACAGCCAGCCAAAGAGGTTAAAAAAGCACCAGCTGCCTAAGAGTGTACTGAGACACACCAAGGATAAATTCAAAGAGGAAGAAAAACATCCTATACATATTTGTTGAATCAAATACAGTATCTCTCAGTTAGTTATACACAGTTACAAGATCATGAATTAACTCACTGACAGGTATACTCAGAATATCAGTAAATTCCCAATTGTTCCACAATCAACTGAAAGATTTAAATGTCTCCAAAAAGGCTGTTTTTCCCTCTGAATGTTTTCCAAGTTATAACTACTGTCTGAACCTGTACAAATCCAAACATTTATGGGTATTTAATATCCTTTATGCCTACCATTATAACAAGAAGGCTGTTTAAGATTATCTAAACTATATATTTATAATGGACATTCATCTAAAAAAATCACCTCAAAAATCTGTGAAGAGCTCCAATTCTCAAAATGATTAATTAGCAACAAGAAAAAATGCTTACCTCTCAAGACAGCCATCTTCACTATCACCACGGTCACTGCATGGCTCTAACAATATACCTACAGACTGACAAAAAGAACACTACCATGTATTAATGGAGCTCCCAATACTCAGATAAGAGAAGTTGCCAATCTAAATTAGGATATTAGAATACAGATTAGTCAAACACCCCTAATTAGCTATCATTTATAATAGTCTGTAGTACTTAGCATCTCTTTTTACAGAGAGTAATTTATCTTCCCTCAAAACCTGGGTCATATGAAGTATAGCAGGTACTCTGCATTTCTCTCTATTAGGTAATATGTATCACCACTACCATCCTTCTTCCTTAGAATTATCTCCTCCAAAATGATGGTCTTCTGATCCTGCTTGCCAACTGCTGCTTGCTTTATTTCTCCTCAGCTACAAAGATACAAGTTTGGTGACTTCTTGTAGGTAAGATAGGAGTCATAGAGGAGTTCACTAGATTCCTTTGTATATTTGAAGTAATAACTATTTTCCACAAAGAAAGTCCCCACATGAGAAAACTCTCCCATTTTCCAACGAGCTTAGTGACACCATCTCATCCCTATTCCCCCCCAAACTAAAAACCTACCAAGTCTAATACAAATACCCAGAGAATTACTACAAAATACATGAACGTTGTGGTGTTTTTGATGATCACCTTTCAAATCAACAAAAGGTTCCATACTTCCTAGACTCTCTGATTCTTCTTTAGAAAGTAAGTACCACTTGTCCAGCTTTGTTTAGCGTGAAAGAAGGTCCACAAGAATCTGCAAAAAAAGCTGTTAAAATACTAGTCCCTTTTCAAACTACACATCTGTGAGGCTGTCTCATATGCTTCAACAAAACAATGTAACAGCAACAGACTTAAATGCAGAAGCATATACAAGAATCCAGCTGTCTTCTGTAAGTCAAACAGGTATCAACAATATTTCTAGCTATGTAAAACAATGCCACTCCTCAAACTTAAAAAATTTTATGAAAACAGTTATCTATTGTGGAAAAGAGCAACCTTACTTATGTTACCATAAATGAGTTTGTTAAATTAATGTTTTTTAAATTTACCAGTTTTAATTCCTAATATGGTAAATCCTAACAGATATACCTATGTAAACAAAAGCTCTTTGGGATCTTCAATATTTTTAAGAGTATGAATGAGTCCCTGAGACCCAAAGTGTGAGAACCACTGATACAGAAATCAGACTTCGGTAACTTTTATGATCAATAACAGGTGTCCCCAACCCCTGGACCGGTACCGATCGCTAGCCTGTTAAGAACCAGGCCACACAGCAGGAGGTGAGCAGCTGGGGGAGTGGGGAGTGAGCACTATGGCATGAGCTCCGCGCCTCCAGTCATATGAGTGCTGGCATTAGATTCTCAGAGGCATGGACCCTATTGTGAGCTGTGCAAACAAGGGATCTAGGTTGTGTTCCTTATGAGAATCTAACTAATGCTTTGATGATGTGAGGTAGAACAGTTTCATCCCAAAACCCCAACCCCCTATCCACCATCCATGGAAAAACTGTTGTCCACAAAACCAGTCCCTGGTTCCAAAAATGTTGGGGATCTCTGCTCTAGAAGATAGCTTTACATTCTGAAGGTTTCTGGGCACATGAAATAACCATTACCCAGACCAAATATTTAATTTTTATTTATTTACTTAAAAAAATTTTTTGAGACAGTCTCACTCTGTCATCCAGGCCAGAGTGAGGCTCATGCAGGTTCACTGCAAACTCCATCTCCTGGGTTCAAGCGATTCTCCTGCCTCAGCCTCCCGAGTAGCTGGGACTACAGGTGTGGTGCCAGGACACCTGGCTAATTGTTTTGTATTTTTAGCAGAGATGGGGTTTCAGCATGTTGAATAGGGTAATTTTTTTGTAATTTTAGTAGAGATGGGTTTCGGCATGTTGGCCAGGCTGGTCTTGAACTCCTGACCTCAAGTGATCCATCTGTCTTCAGCCTCCCAAAGTCCTGGGATTACAGGCATGAGCCACTGTGCACAACCAGACCCAATATTTAAAATGAACCTTGGGGCCAGGCACAGTGGCTCACACCTGTAATCCCAGCACTTTGGGAGGCTGAGGCGAGCAAATCACTTGAGATCAGGAGTTTGAGACCAGCCTGGCCAACATGGCGAAACCCCATCTCCACTAAAAATACAAAAATTAGCCGGGCGTGGTAGCACACACCTGTAGTCCCAGCTACTCGGGAGACTGAGACAGGAGAATTGCTTGAACCCAGGAAGCAAAGGCTGCAGTGAGCCAAGATTGCACCACTGCACTCCAGTCTGGGTGACAGTACAAGACTCCGTCACAAACAAACAAACAGAACCTTGGTATCTCACTCAAAAGAACCAAATTCAAGCCCTAGCTCTGCCTTTCTCATCACAAATATGAGAATAACAATAATTTACTTGACTACCTCAGAGTTACCACAGAGAATCAAAAGAAATAGCTTATAAGAAAAACCATCTATATTGGCCAGGCACAGAGGCTCACACTTGTAATCCCAACACTTTGGGAGGCCAAGGCGGATGGATCACTTGAGGTCAGGAGTTCAAGACCAGCCTGGCCAACATGGTGAAATCCCGTCTACTAAAAATACAAAAATCAGCCAGGTGCAGTAGTGTGCGCCTGTAATCCCAGCTACTCAGGAGGCTGAGGCACAAGAATCACTTGAACCCAGTGGGGAGGAGCAGATTGCGGTGAGTGGAGACTGTGCCACTGCACTCCAGCCTGGGTGACAGAGCGAGCCTCTGTTTCAAAAAAATATAAAATATATAAATAAAATAAAATATCAGCAGGCAAAATAACCCATACCTTCTCCCCACTTCCTCCCATGTGCCCTTCCACAAACATTAAGGTCTGCAAAGGAAAGCTAAGGTGCTCTGGTCTCAATTCAGGTAAGTTAGAGAGCTTTGGCAGTGGCGGTGGCAGTGGCAGCAGCAGGAGGAGCAGCAGATACAGCACAGTCATATTAGCAATATCTTAGGAGCTATCGGAGATTACTGCCAAGAGTTAATTAAAACCTGACAGGCATTTCCGGTAATTCCTCTGGTCTCCATCCCTTCCTTAGGGGTCCATAATTGGTGCACCCACCTTGCTTAGTTCTGCATCTTCCCATTTCTCTCATTTACCTTTGGCTCAAGCATGCTAGTTACTTCTATTAAATAGGCTACATATCTCCACTCCATTCTGTACCTTGCATTTGCTGAACAAACACTCAATAAATTGCATATTGATATACTTCTATCTAGCCTACTCTCTCTCTTCTACTGAATTAATATGATCAAAACTGATGAGGTCTTAAGACTAGTACACGTCAAATTTATAGCCTTCTCTTCCTCTTGACTATCTACTAGAGTTTATAAATACTTCTGGCCTCCACTTCTGAAAGGAGATAAAACAGTTTCTCAGTGTTTGCAAGGTATGAATAATTCTAAGTTTTGAAGGGGCACCATCAATGAAGGTACCCTGAAATGAATGGATTTTACTGATGATAAATCCAGGTATTTTGATGTGAGTTCTAATCAGGCTATTCAACTTCATACACTTTTTTTTTTCACCTTCATACACTTTCAACTCCCAAAATATTGATTACTGTACAACTTATACCTATTCAAAATCTATAGTGAATAATCTCTTTGTATCAGATAAAACTCCTAAATATTTACTACAGAATCTAGTAGCACATTAAAAAAAAAATTCTATTTTGCAAAAACCTACTAGATAAGCTTATCCAAAATATAGGCCGGGTGTGGTGGCTCATGCCTGTAATCCCAGCACTTTGGGAGGCTGAGGTGGGCGGATCACCTGAGGTCAGGCGTTCAAGACCAGCCTGGCCAATATGGCGAAACCTCGTCTCTACTAAAAATACAAAAATTAGCTGGGCGTGGTGGTACACGCCTGTAATCCCAGCTACATGGGAGGCTGAGGCAGGAGAATCACTTGAACCCAGGAGGCGGAGGTTGCAGTGAGCCGAGATTGCACCACTGCACTCCAGCCTGGGTGACAGAGACTCCGTCTCAAAAAAAAAAAAGAAAGAAATAGATTTTATATATATATATATATATATATATATATAGAGAGAGAGAGAGAGAGAGAGAGAGAGAGAGAGAGGGAAAGAGAGAGAGAAACTCTTAAAACTCAACAATAAGAAAACAATCCAATTTAAAAACGGGCAAAAGACCTGAATAAACACCTCATTAAAGAAGATATACACATAGCATATGAAAAACTTATCATCGTATGTCATTAGGAAACTCAAAATTTAAACAAGATACCATTACACATCTATCAGAATGGCCAAAATCCAAAACACTAACACTACCAAATACTGGCAAGAATGTGGCACTGTCACTCATTGCTGGTGAATGAATGAGAAACACACTCAACTGATTTGAAACACCACTTTTATTACAAATGTATCCAGGCATTTAGTTTATAATAAAGGTGGCATTTCATATTGGTGGGAAAAGGATATATTATACAAAAAATTACGGTGTTGGGATATCTAGGTAAACATGTAGGACAAACAGCTGAATCTGCTCTTCACATCTTACACCATGATAAATTCCAAATGGGTCAAATATTCAAATGTAGAAAATGAAACCATAGAAGTATTTTTTTAAAAGAAGAAAGTTAGCTTATAATCTCAGAATAGGGAAGGCCTTCCCAACTATTAAAACCTAAAATCTTAAAAAAGGGAAAAAAAAAAAGACGATAAAGTTTAACACCATCAAAAATGACTTTAAGTAGTCAAAAGACAAAAAACTGGAAACAAATATTTGCGACTGATCGTTAAGAAAGTAGGTAGTTCCTTAATAAATAAAAAATATGGCCAGGCACGGTGGCTTATGCCTGTAATCCCAGCCCTTTGAGAGGCCGAGGTGGGTGGATCACAAGGTCAGGAGTTCAAGACCAGCCTGGCCAAGATGGTGAAACCCGGTCTCTAGTAAAAATACAAAAGTTAGCTGGGCGTGGTGGCAGGTGCCTGCAATCCTAGCTACTCGGGAGGCTGAGGCAGAGAACTGCTTGAACCCAGGAGGCGGAGGTTGCAGTGGGCTGAGATCGCACCACTGCACTTCAACCTGGGAGACAAACCGAGACTCTGTCTCAAAAAAAAAATGTACAAACCAAAAAGGAAAAATACCATCAACCCAACAGAAAAATGTGGATGTGGACAACTGGAAACAGAAAAGACGAGACCCATCATGGTGGCTCACATCTGTAATTCCAGTATTTTCAGAGGCTGAGGTGGGAGAATTGCTTGAAGCCAGGAGTTCAAGACCAGCCCAGGCAACAAAGTGAGACTCCTTCTCTGTAAAAAAATTAAAAATTAGCCAGGTGTGATGGCATGCCCCTGTAGTCACAGCTGCTTGGTAAGGTGAGGTGGGAGGATTGCTTGAGCCTGGGAGGCTGAGATTGCAGTGAGCTGTGATCATGCCACTGCACTGCAGCCTGGGTGACTAAAGCAAGACCCTGTCTCAAAAAATAGAATAAAAAGACTTAACATTTCTATAAAAATGTCAATGTAGGCCAGGCGCGGTGGCTCACACCTGTAATCCCAGCACTTTTGGAGGCTGAGGAGGGCGGATCACGAAGTCAGGAGTTCGAGACCAACCTGATCAACATGGTGAAACCCCGTCTCTACTAAAAATACAAAAATTAGCCAGGCGTAGTGGCGTGTGCCTATAATCCCAGCTACTCGGGAGGCTGAGGCAGGAGAATCGCTTGAACCCGGGAGGCAGAGGTTGCAGTGAGCTGAGATCACGCCATTGCACTCCAATCTGGGCGACAGAGCAAGACTGTCTCAAAAAAAAAAAAAAAGTCAATGTAAAAGAAAGTCACAATGTAAGTTTCCACTAAAAAAAAAAAGTACAAAAATTAGCTAGGTGTGGTGGCACACACTTTTAATCCCGGCTACTTGGGAGGCTGAGGCATGAGACTCACTTGAATCTGGGAGGTAGAGGCTGCAGCAAACCGAGATCATGCCACTGCACTCTAGCCTGGGCAAGACTGAGACTCTGTCTCAAAAAAAAAAAAAAAAAAAATTCTTAAGATTAATTTCAGCCTGGCTAACCAATACATTATAGGACTGTGGTTTATGTAGCACCTAGTACTACAGTTTATGTAGATCACATAAAGCTGTTTATGTGATCAGCTTTGAAACATTAAAAAGCAATTTGTGGGGGGAGGAGCCAAGATGGCCGAATAGGAACGGCTCTGGTCTACAGCTCCCAGCGTGAGCGACGCAAAAGACGGGTGATTTCTGCATTTCCATCTGAGGTACCGGGTTCATCTCACTAGGGAGTGCCAGACAGTGGGCGCAGGTCAGTGGGTGCGTGCATCGTGCGCGAGCCAAAGCAGGGCGAGGCATTGCCTCACTCGGGAAGCGCAAGGGGTCAGGGAGTTCCCTTTCCTAGTCAAAGAAAGTGGTGACAGACGGCACCTAGAAAATTGGGTCACTCCCACCTGAATACTACGCTTTTCCGACGGGCTTAAAAAACGGCACACCAGGACATTATATCCCGCACCTGGCTTGGAGGGTCCTACACCCACAGAGTCTCGCTGATTGCTACCACAGCAGTCTGAGATCAAACTGCAAGGCGGCAGCGAGGCTGGGGGAAGGGTGCCCGCCATTGCCCAGGCTTGCTTAGGTAAACAAAGCAGCCGGGAAGCTCTAACTGGGTGGAGCCCACCACAGCTCAAGGAGGCCTGCCTGCCTCTGTAGGCTCCACCTCTGGGGGGCAGGGCACAGACAAACAAAAAGACAGCAGTAACCTCTGCAGACTTAAATGTCCCTGTCTGACAGCATTGAAGAGAGCAGTGGTTCTCCCAGCACGCAGCTGGAGATCTGAGAACGGGCAGACTGCCTCCTCAAGTGGGTCCCTGACCCTTGACCCCCAAGCAGCCTAACTGGGAGGCACCCCCAGCAGGGGCAGACTGACACCTCACACGGCCGGGTGCTCCAACAGACCTGCAGCTGAGGGTCCTGTCTGTTAGAAGGAAAACTAACAAACAGAAAGGACATCCACACCAAAAACCCATCTGTACATCACCATCATCAAAGGCCAAAGGTAGATAAAACCACAAAGATGGGGAAAAAACAGAGCAGAAAAACTGGAAACTCTAAAAAGCAGAGCACCTCTCCTCCTCCAAAGGAACGCAGTTCCTCACCAGCAACGGAACAAAGCTGGACGGAGAATGACTTTGACGACCTGAGAGAAGAAGGCTTCAGACGATCAAACTACTCCAAGCTACGGGAGGACATTCAAACCAAAGGCAAAGAAGTTGAAAACTTTGAAAAAAATTTAGAAGAATGTATAACTAGAATAACCAATACAGAGAAGTGCTTAAAGGAGCTGATGTAGCTGAAAACCAAGGCTCGAGAACTACGTGAAGAATGCAGAAGCCTCAGGAGCCGATGCAATCAACTGGAAGAAGGGGTATCAGTGATGGAAGATCAAATGAATGAAATGAAGCGAGAAGGGAAGTTTAGAGAAAAAAGAATAAAAAGAAATGAGCAAAGCCTCCAAGAAATATGGGACTATGTGAAAAGACCAAATCTACGTCTGATTGGTGTACCTGCAAGTGACGGGGAGAATGGAACCAAGTTGGAAAACATTCTGCAGGATATTATCCAGGAGAACTTCCCCAATCTAGCAAGGCAGGCCAACGTTCAGATTCAGGAAATACAGAGAACGCCACAAAGATACTCCTCGAGAAGAGCAACACCAAGACACATAATTGTCAGATTCACCAAAGTTGAAACGAAGGAAAAAATGTTAAGGGCAGCCAGAGAGAAAGGTCGGGTTACCCTCAAAGGGAAGCCCATCAGACTAACAGCGGATCTCTCAGCAGAAACTCTACAAGGCAGAAGAGAGTGGGGGCCAATATTCAACATTCTTAAACAAAAGAATTTTCAACCCAGAATTTCATATCCAGCCAAACTAAGCTTCATAAGTGAAGGAGAAATAAAATACTTTACAGACAAGCAAATGCTGAGAGATTCTGTCACCACCAGGCCTGCCCTAAAAGAGCTCCTGAAGGAAGCGCTAAACATGGAAAGGAACAACCGGTACCAGCCACTGCAAAATCATGCCAAAATGTAAAGACCATCGAGACTAGGAAGAAACTGTGTCAATTAACAAGCAAAATAATGAGCTAACATCATAATGACAGGATCAAATTCACACATAACAATATTAACTTTAAATGTAAATGGGCTAAATGCTCCAATTAAAGGGCACAGACTGGCAAATTGGACAAAGGGTCAAGACCCATCAGTGTGCTGTATTCAGGAAACCCATCTCACGGGCAAAGACACACACAGGCTCAAAATAAAAGGATGGAGGAAGATCTACCAAGCAAATGGAAAACAAAAAAAGGCAGGGGTTGCAATCCTAGTCTCTGATAAAACAGACTTTAAACCAACAAAGATCAAAAGAGACAAAGAAGGCCATTACTTAATGGTAAAGGGATCAATTCAACAAGAAGAGCTAACTATCCTAAATATATATGCACCCAATACAGGAGCACCCAGATTCATAAAGCAAGTCCTGAGTGACCTACAAAGAGACTTAGACTTCCACACATTAATAATGGGAGACTTTAACACCCCACTGTCAACATTAGACAGATCAACGAGACAGAAAGTTAACAAGGATACCCAGGAATTGAACTCAGCTCTGCACCAAGCGGACCTTATAGACATCTACAGAACTCTCCACCCCAAATCAACAGAATATACATTTTTTTCAGCACCACACCAGACCTATTCCAAAATTGACCACATAGTTGGAAGTAAAGCTCTCCTCAGCAAATGTAAAAGAACAGAAATTATAACAAACTATCTCTCAGACCACAGTGCAATCAAACTAGAACTCAGGATTAAGAATCTCACTCAAAACTGCTCAACTACATGGCAACTGAACAACCTGCTCCTGAATGACTACTGGGTACATAACAAAATGAAGGCAGAAATAAAGATGTTCTTTGAAACCAACGAGAACAAAGACACAACATACCAGAATCTCTGGGACACATTCAAAGCAGTGTGTAGAGGGAAATTTATAGCACTAAATGTCCACAAGAGAAAGCAGGAAAGATCTAAAATTGACACCCTAACATCACAATTAAAAGAACTAGAAAAGCAAGAGCAAACACATTCAAAAGCTAGCAGAAGGCAAGAAATAACTAAAATCAGAGTAGAACTGAAGGAAATAGAGATACAAAAAACCCTTCAAAAAATTAACGAATCCAGGAGCTGGTTTTTTGAAAGGATCAACAAAATTGATAGACCGCTAGCAAGACTAATAAAGAAAAAAAGAGAGAAGAATCAAATAGACGCAATAAAAAATGATAAAGGGGATATCACCACCAATCCCACAGAAATACAAACTACCATCAGAGAATACTACAAACACCTGTATGCAAATAAACTAGAAAATCTAGAAGAAATGGATAAATTCTTCAACACATACACTCTCCCAAGACTAAACCAGGAAGAAGTTGAATCTCTGAATAGACCAAGAACAGGAGCTGAAATTGTGGCAATAATCAATAGCTTACCAACCAAAAAGAGTCCAGGACCAGATGGATTCACAGCCGAATTCTACCAGAGGTACAAGGAGGAACTGGTACCATTCCTTCTGAAACTATTCCAATCAACAGAAAAAGAGGGAATCCTCCCTAACTCATTTTATGAGGCCAGCATCATCCTGATACCAAAGCCAGGCAGAGACACAACCAAAAAAGAGAATTTTAGACCAATATCCTTGATGAACATTGATGCAAAAATCCTCAATAAAATACTGGCAAACCGAATCCAGCAGCACATCAAAAAGCTTATCCACCATGATCAAGTGGGCTTCATCCCTGGGATGCAAGGCTGGTTCAATATACACAAATCAATAAATGTAATCCAGCATATAAACAGAACCAAAGACAAAAACCACGATTATCTCAATAGATGCAGAAAAGGCCTTTGACAAAATTCAACAACCTTCATGCTAAAAACTCTCAATAAATTAGGTATTGATGGGACGTATCTCAAAATAATAAGAGCTATCTATGACAAACCCACAGCCAATATCATACTGAATGGGCAAAAACTGGAAGCATTCCCTTTGAAAAATGGCACAAGACAGGGATGCCCTCTCTCACCACTCCTATTCAACATAGTGTTGGAAGTTCTGGCCAGGGCAATTAGGCAGGAGAAGGAAATAAAAGGTATTCAATTAGGAAAAGAGGAAGTCAAATTGTCCCGGTTTGCAGACGACATGATTGTATATCTAGAAAACCCCATTGTCTCAGCCCAAAATCTCCTTAAGCTGATAAGCAACTTCAGCAAAGTCTCAGGATACAAAATCAATGTACAAAAATCACAAGCTTTCTTATACACCAACAACAGACAAACAGAGCCAAATCATGAGTGAACTCCCATTCACAATTGCTTCAAAGAGAATAAAATACCTAGGAATCCAACTTACAAGGGATGTGAAGGACCTCTTCAAGGAGAACTACAAACCACTGCTCAAGGAAATAAAAGAGGATACAAACAAATGGAAGAACATTCCATGCTCATGGGTAGGAAGAATCGATATCATGAAAATGGCCATACTGCCCAAGGTAATTTATAGATTCAATGCCATCCCCATCAAGCTACCAATGACTTTCTTCACAGAATTGGAAAAAACTACTTTTAAGTCCATATGGAACCAAAAAACAGCCCACATCGCCAAGTCAATCCTGAGCCAAAAGAACAAAGCTGGAGGCATCACACTACCTGACTTCAAACTATACTATAAGGCTACAGTAATCAAAACAGCATGGTACTGGTACCAAAACAGAGATATAGATCAATGGAACAGAACATAGCCCTCAGAAATAATGCTGCATATCTACAACTATCTGATCTTTGACAAACCTGACAAAAACAAGCAATGGGGAAAGGATTCCCTATTTAATAAATGGTGCTGGGAAAACAGGCTAGCCATATGTAGAAAGCTGAAACTGGATCCCTTCCTTACACCTTATACAAAAATCAATTCAAGATGGATTAAAGACTTAAACGTTAGACCTAAAACCATAAAAACCCCAGAAGAAAACCTAGGCATTACCATTCAGGACATAGGCATGGGCAAGGACTTCATGTCTAAAACACTAAAAGCAACGGCAACAAAAGCCAAAATTGACAAATGGGATCTGATTAAAGAGCTTCTGCACAGCAAAAGAAACTACCATCAGAGTGAACAGGCAACCTACAGAATGGGAGAAAATTTTCACAACCTACTCATCTGACAAAGGGCTAATATCCAGAATCTACAATGAACTCAAACAAATTTACAAGAAAAAAACAAACAACCCCATCAAAAAGTGGGCAAAGGACATGAACAGACACTTCTCAAAAGAAGACATTTATGCAGCCAAAAAACACATGAAAAAATGCTCACCATCACTGGCCATCAGAGAAATGCAAATCAAAACCACAATGAGATACCATTTCACACCAGTTAGAATGGCAATCATTAAAAAGTCAGGAAACAACAGGTGCTGGAGAGGATGTGGAGAAATAGGAACACTTTTACACTGTTGGTGGGACTGTAAACTAGTTCAACCATTGTGGAAGTCAGTGTGGCGATTCCTCAGGGATCTAGAACTAGAAATACCATTTGACCCAGCCATCCCATTACTGGGTTTATACCCAAAGGACTATAAATCATGCTGCTATAAAGACACATGCACACGTATGTTTATTGCAGCATTATTCACAATAGCAAAGACTTGGAACCAACCCAAATGTCCAACAATGATAGACTGGATTAAGAAAATGTGGCACATATACACCATGGAATACTATACTATGCGCCATAAAAAATGATGAGTTCATGTCCTTTGCAGGGACATGGATGAAATTGGAAATCATCATTCTCAGTAAACTATCGCAAGAACAAAAAACCAAACACCGCATATTCTCACTCATAGGTGGGAATTGAACAATGAGAACACATGGACACAGGAAGGGGAACATCACACTCTGGAGACTGTTGTGGGGTGGGGGGAGGGGGGAGGGATAGCATTGGGAGATATACCTAATGCTAGATGACGAGTTAGTGGGTGCAGCGCACCAGCATGGCACATGTATACATATGTAACTAACCTGCACATTGTGCACATGTACCCTAAAACTTAAAGTATAATAATAATAAATAAAAAAAAGAAAAAAAAAGAAGTGCAACCATACAGCATTTCTCCAAAAAAAAAAAAAAAGCAAGCAATTTGTTTTCCTTACACTGCAAGTCAATTTCAGAGAAAACAAATCTCCAACATTATCTTTTATGTCTAAAATGTTGATCTCCTTACAATATTCTAGCCCAGGTGTTGGCAAACTACAGCATACTAGACAAATCCAACCTGTTGCCAGTTTTTGCATGGTCACTTGGCTAAGAAGGGTTTCTACGTTTTTAATGATTGTGGGTAGAAGGGAGAATCAAAAGAATAATGATATTCTGTGAAGTGAAAATGACACAAAATTCAATTTTAGTGTCCATAAATTAAATTTTATTGGAACACAGCCATGCTCATTTCTTACGGTTTTTTCTGGCTGCGTCCATGCTACAATAGCAGAGTTAAGTAGTTGTGGCAGAGACTATATACCCACAATGCCTAAAATATTTACTGTGTAGACCTTTACACAAAGTTTGCTGACTCCTGCTCTATCTAGCCTTACACTTTCCTAGACACAAGTTACTTTCTACGAAAGCCACTTGAATCACGCCATGCCATAATACACTTGAAACTCATACATCCTGTCCAACTAATATTCCCCTCTTCTGCAACTTCTTCACCTTACTGTCACCGCTTGAAAACTTCATTCTAAATTTCTAATCCACCCAACACGCACTCTGTACCCTGGCTAACTATTTCAAAGCTATTTAGTCAATGCCCTAACCAATGTGGTCTAGTTTATGACCAGCTTTCTGTCCTCCAGACAGACAGATGCTACAATAAAATGTGTCACTTAACGTACCTTCCTAGTTGGCTCACTACAAATTCATGTCATCAAACTTCAGTTAGACCTCCATTGGTTCTCAAACATCTGGTGACTCAGTTCTGTCTGATTTCTCCCCACAGAGACTCCTGCAAAACTACCTATTTCTTCAGATCCAAACCCAATTCCTGTCTCCTCACCCTCTGCAAATGCATTTCATTTTAAAATGGTCAAAGCCATCTGAATTAAGTCCCCAAAACACCTCTCGCTTAAAAAAATATTCTATATATCCCCTTTTACTGAAGATTAAAAGTAGCCTCTCCTATTTAGGAATAGTCACTCAACTTGCACACTGAATCACCTTTCTTCCATCTCTCACTCCCAACCCCCTCTATGCAGTGTTCCCCTAACTACCCTGGGTTTTTTTTTTTCTTTCTGACATTTTTTAGTCTCTCCCTATCTAGTGAGTGATTCCTACTGACATGCTCAAATCTCCATCCTGTATCAAGAAAGCAGAAATGGGGGACGGGAGTGGGGAAGGGGGGAATATCTCTTCCACAACCAGACTGCTCAACTCTTCCTTTTTTTTTTTTTTTGAGACAGTCTTGCTCTGTTGCCCAGGCTGGAGTGCAGTGGCGCGATCTCCGCCTCCCGGGTTCATGCCATTCTGCCTCAGCCTCCCAAGTAGCTGGGACTACAGGCGCCTGCCACCACGCCTGGCTAATTTTTCGTATTTTTGTAGAGATGGGGTTTCACCATGTTAGCCAGGATGGTCTCCATCTCCTGACTTCGTGATCCACCCACCTCGGCCTCCCAAAGTGCTGGGATTACAGGCGTGAACCACCATGCCTGGCCTTCTCTTTCCTTTTAATTTCAATGCAAAACTTGTGCAAAAGGCATTCCACACACTGCAGCTTCTACCTACTCACCTGATATTCATTCTCAACCATGAAATCCTCTACCTACCAAAGCTCCTCTTTCTTTACCAATAATTTCTATCACTAAATGCAATAAATTTTCTTTAATTGGAATTTTTTGCTTAAATTATTTGATTATAAATCAGAGAAACTGTTGGAAACCTAAATATAAGAACATATGAAGAAAAGTAAAATCATCCATAACCTATCAGCCAGAAGGCCACTGTTGTTGCAGGAAGTCAGGGACCCCGAATGGAGGGACCAGCTGAAGCCATGGCAGAAGAACGTGGATTGTGAAGATTTCATGGACATTTATTAGTTCCCCAAATTAATACTTTTATAATTTCTTATGCCTGTCTTTACTGCTATCTTTGAACATAAATTGTGAAGATTTCATGGACGCTTATCACCTCCCCAATCAATACCCTTGTGATTTCCTATGCCTGTCTTTACTTTAATCTCTTAATCCCATCATTTTTGTAAACTGAGGAGGATGTATTTCGCCTCAGGACCCTGTGATGATTGTATTAACTGCACAAATTGTAGAGCAAGTGTGTTTGAACAATATGAAATCTGGGCACCTTGAAAAAAGAACAGGATAACAGCAATGTTCAGGGAACAAGAGAGATAACCTTAAACTCTGACTGCCGGTGAGCCAGGTGGAACAGTGCCATATTTCTCTTCTTTCAAAAGCAAATGGGAGAAATATCGCTGAATTCTTTTTCTCAGCAAGGAATACCCCTGAGAAAGAGAATGCACCCCTGAGGGTAGGTCTCTGAAATGGCCTCCTTGGGTGTGGCCATCTTCTATGGTCAAGACTGTAGGGATGAAATAAGCCCCAGTCTCCCATAGCGCTCCCAGGCTTATTAGGACGAGGAAATTCCCGCCTAATAAATTTTGGTCAGACCGGTTGCTCTCAAACCCTGTCTCCTGATAAGATGTTATCAATGACAACGTGTGCCTGAAACTTCATCAGCAATTTTAATTTCACCCCAGTCCTGTGGTCCTGTGATCTCGCCCTGCCTCCATTTGCCTTGTGATATTCTATTACCTTGTGAAGCATGTGATCTCTGTGACCCACACCCTATTCATACACTCCCTCTCCTTTTGAAAATCCCTAATAAAAACTTGCTGGTTTTACAGCTTGGGGGGCATCACAGAACCTACGAACATGTGATGTCTCCCCCGGATGCCCAGCTTTAAAATTTCTCTCTTTTGTACTCTGTCCCTTTATTTCTCAACCCAGCCAATGCTTAGGGAAAATAGAAAAGAACCTACATGACTATCGGGAGCAGGTTCCCTGATATCTCAAAGTGCTGGGATTACAGCTGGGATTACAGGCATGAACCACCATGCCTGGCCTTCTCTTTCCTTTTAATTTCAATGCAAAACTTGTGCAAAAGGCATTCCACACACTGCAGCTTCTACCTACTCACCTGATATTCATTCTCAACCATGAAATCCTCTACCTACCAAAGCTCCTCTTTCTTTACCAATAATTTCTATCACTAAATCCAATAAATTTTCTTTAATTATTTGATTATAAATCAGAGAAACTGTTGGAAACATAAATATAAGGACATATGAAGAAAAGTAAAATCATCCACAATCTATCAGACAGAAGGCCACTGTGAATATTCTGACTTGGCCTTTTGACTATGTGCCACACACACATGCAGTGCATGCACACAAAGAAATTGGGACTGCATTAGCTTTAGTAATCTACACTTGGTTTTGTATGTTTTGTTTTTTGTTTTTTGTTTTTTTTTCAAAATAACTTTACCTCACAACTATTACTTGGGCCTTTAAAATAATTTTAAATGACTCAACTATATCCTATGATATGGATATACTATGATTTATCTAATCATTTTCCATTTAGGACTTTTTGTGTTTCCCATTTTTTTTTCCGATGAAGAAACCCCCAGTAAGAATTCTAGTAGAAAAATCTTTGCATACACCTCTGATTTGTATGTATTTCCTTAGGAAAGAGTCCTAGATTTTGAAATTTCTGGATCAAAGGTTTAAGGTCTTTTGTTCTTACTGTTAATGTGTTTTCCAGGAAGTTTACAGCAATTTATACTTCCGATGTCTGTATAAGACCACTTACCTTAACCTACCCTCACCAGCATTAAATATATTGTTCCTGGGTATTCTTAAATTTTTTGTTCAACAGCAAAGGCAAAGAAAAAAAAAAAGCCATTTCATTAGACTTTTAACCACCCTAGCAAGCAAATAAAATTAAACTTACTCTTCTTATTTTTGTACCTTTGCCTCCCACCACCTTTTTTCCTCCTTTTACCTCTCTATTTTGACCAACTTTCAGACTCAGGAAAAAATCCCATCCTCTTTGACATTCCCAACTGCTATGGTCATGGCTGCTTTTTTTCCTCCAAAGAGCTAGAATACAGAGGTTCCCCAAGGGTTTCTTCAATCCCCGTTTATTCTATTCAAGTCACTGCTTTGGCAATGGCATTCACTCACAGACAAAATGAGCCTCCACCACCAGCCACAGCTCAAGACCTGAACATCTGCTTCATATAAACCACCTTGATATTCCAGTTCTGCAACACTGACCTCTTTTCCAATCTCTTAGTGTCTGTGTTTCTTACCCCAGTTTGCACCTAAATCTTAATCATTTTCACCTTTGGAATTTTCTCTATTTTTCCTTCCTTCCCTAGGGCTCACAGTTCAGACTTTTTTTTTTTTTTTTTGAGACAGGGTCTTACTCTTTCACCCAGGCTGGAGTGCAGTGGCATAATCTCAGCTCACTGCAACCTCCTCCTCCTGGGTTCAAGAGATTCTCCAGCCTCAGCCTCCCGAGTAGCTGGGATTACAAGCATGTGCCATCATGCCCCGCTAATTTTTGTATTTTTAGTAGAGATGCGTTTTCACCATGTTGGCCAGGCTGGTCTCGAACTCCTGACCTCAGGTGATCTGCCCACCTTGGCCTCCCAAAGTGCAAGGATTACAGGCATGAGCCACCATGCCCACCAGCTCAGATATTTTAAGTGCTCGCCAAATACAGTGCAAAAAGCCTACTGATTGTTGTTGTCCTTACCCCCAGTCTTTCCCACAAACTTTTTATGACTACTACAAAAAACCTTCTTCCTAAAATACAGATCTGGGTACATCATTCCCTCTGCTTCAAAGTTTTCTATATTTTTCTTCTACTGAGAAAATCTACAATTCTTAAGATAGTATTCCAGGCTCTACGTATGACCCAAATCTACCAATATTCCAGAATTATCTTCTACTATATATCCTCCCACAATACCCTGAGTTCTACAAGTAGCTCTGTTTCATTAACATTCAACATTACCCTGTAATCTTTACTTATACTATTCATTTTAGTTTCTTTCACAAATCTTGAACCAAATCCAGCCCTATAAAAAGCCAAGTTCAAAATCCCCCTCATTCCAAGACCTTCCATAACTACCCTGGCCAGAAGTTCTTTCCTCTCTTCTGCAAGACTATAGTGCCCTAATAGCACTAGTCATATTCTGTATTAGAAAGTATGTGCATGTACAACCTAGATTATCAAGTCATTGAAAACTTAAATCGACCAGGCACGGTGGCTCACGCCTATAATCCCAGCACTTTGGGAGGCCAAGGCGCGAGGATCACCTGAGGTCAGGAGTTTGAGACTAGCCTGATCAATAAGGAGAAATCCTGTCTCTACTAAAAAAAAAAAAAAAAAAAAAAAATTAGCCGGGCGTGGTGGCACATGCCTGTAATCCCAGGTACACAAGAGGCTGAGGCAGGAGAATCACTTGAACCTAGGAGACGGAGGTTGCACTGAGCCCACATCACACGACTGCACTCTAGCCGGGGCGACAAGAATGAAACTCCGTCTCAAGAAAAAAAAAAAAAAGAAAGAAAACTTAAATCAGGTATTTTTGCTTATACTGTCCAAGTAAACAGGTATTATTGTGTATTGCCCAACTGAACTAACTTATTCAAATAATAAGAGTATCACTGAACTTCTTAGCTGGGGTTGGGGGGAAGAAATGGTGACAGGTTTTTCAAGGCCAAGAACCCATCATTCATAAAGGTTTCCTAAAAACAATTTTAGAAAGAATTAGTTCCTGCTCTCTTTATAAAGTAATTGATACACTAATTTCTTTTTTTTTTTTTTTTTTTTGAGACAGGGTCTCACTCTGTCACCCAGGCTGCAGTGCAGTGGCACGATCTCAGCTCACTGCAACCTCCACCTCCCAGGCTCAAGCAATCCTCCCACCTAAGCCTCCCAAGTAGCTGGGACTACAGGCGTACGCCACCTAGCCTGGCTAATTTTTATTTTTGTAGAGACGGGGTTTCACCATGTTGCCCAGGCTGGCCTTGAACTCCTGGGCTCAAGCGATCCACCTGCCTCAGCCTCCCAAAGTGCTAGGATTACAGGCGTAAGCCACTGCGCCCAGCCTAATACACCAATTTCATTCAACAAATTATTTACCGAGTTGTTTACTAGCTTACTATGTGCCAGATGCTATTCTGGTCTTACATCAACAAATGCTTAATGAATACCTACTAAGTGTTCTAGATAATAGGGATGTAATAAAGAACAAAACAGACAAAAATTTCAGCCCTCATAAAGTTTTTTTTTTTTCTTCAAAGACAGGGTCTCACCGTGTCGCCCAGGCTGAACTGCAGTGGTGTGATCACCACGCACTGCAGCCTTACCTCCTGGGCTCAGGTGATCTTCCCACCTCAGCCTCCCAAGTAGCTGGGACCACAGGGGAGCACCACTACACCTGGCTATTTTTTTTTTTTTTTTTTTTTTTTTTTTTACCATTTTTGTACAGATGGGTTCTCCTCCTTACATTGCACAGGCAGGTTTCAAACTCCCAGGCTCAAATGACGCTCTCACCATGACCTCCCAAAGTGCTAGGATTACAGGCATGAGCCACTGTGAGTAGCCCCATGAAGTTTTAATCTAATAGTGGGAGACAGACAATAAACAGACTAGTAATATAAAAGAAATGGCTGGGCATGGTGCCTGATGCTTGTAATCCCAACACTTTAGGAGACTGAGGTAGGAAAATCGCTTGAGGCCAGGAGTTTGAGGTTACAGTGAGTATGATCATACCACTGCACTCCAGCCTGGGAAAGAGTGAGACCTTGTCTCTAAAAATAAAAATTAAAAGATATATAAAATAATTATAACACTATCTAAAGTGGGGAGGGGGCCAGGTGCAGTGGCTCACGCCTGTAATCCCAGCACTTTGGGAAGCTGAGGCACACAGATCACTTGAGGTCAGGAGTTTGAGACCAGCCTGGCCAACACTGTGAAACCCCGTCTCTACTAAAAATACAAAAATTAGCCGGGCGTGGTGGCACATGCCTGTAATCCCAGCTACCTGGGAGGCTGAGGCAGGAGAATGGCTTGAACCTGGGGGGCAGAGGCTGTACTGTGCCGAGACTGTGCCACTGCACTCCAGCCTGGGCAACAGAGACAGACTCCATCTCAGGAAAAAAAAAAAAAGTGCGGCGGAATGCGAAGCAGGGAAAAAGGACAAAAAGTTCAGAGACTGGAGTGGGTGGGTAAGTGGGAGGGCCTGCCATAAACAGACAGTGATGAGGAGATTTGGTAAAACTGAGGAAGTATCTGCAAGACTAGGTAAGAATGTAAGCTAAGGAGATATCCACAAATAAGCAATCCAGATAGGACTTATGATTTAGCTGTCTCAATCCTGACTATCACAGCCAATATTCCGTAGTGCCTATAGCTATATTTTGATAGCTAGAAGGCACTGGAAGGTTTTAGGAAGAGAAGTGGCATTATCTAATTTTCCTCTTAAAAGGATCATTCTGGCTCAGTGTTGAGAACATACCATCAAGAAACAAAGATGAGGAGATTAATTAGGAGGCAATATTAATCCAGGTGAGAGGATGGCAGTAGAAACAGTAAAAAGTGGTCAGACTTATCTTCTGAAGTAAGTCATAAAACCTTTGGCTGGGCGTGGTGGCTCAGGCCTATAATCCCAGCACTTTGGGAGGCCACGGCAGGCAGATCACCTGAGGTCAGGAGCTCGAGACCAGTCTGGCCAACATAGTGAAACTCTGTCTCAACTAAAAATACAAAAAATTAGCCGGGCATGGTGGCAGGCACCTGTAATCTCAGCTACTCGGGAGGCAGAGGTTGTGGTGAGCTGAGATTGTGCCACTGCTCCAGCCTGGGCAAGAAGAGCGAAACTCCATCTCAAAAACAACAACAACAACAACAACAACCTTCATTCCAGAAGTATCTACCCTATACCTGGATGAAAGGAATGCCCTTATCTCTGAATACACAGGGACATAGAAAAGAATCTGAACAAACAGGCCTTGGTTAATGAGCCGCCCTTTATTTATCATCCTCTTTGTCTAATTATTCATCCGCACCACTGTCCACTTTTCATCAAACCAAAGCATTAAAATACACAGGTGTGTCTGTTTCTGTGGGTCTTGATTTCTGAAGGTGTTCATGTCATGTAAAACTTACATTAAATAAATGTGCATGCTTTTCTCTTGTTAATGTCTTCTGTTACAGATGCCTCAGCTATGAACCTAATGATGGGTAAGGAAAGAAATCTTTCCTACTCAACAGATGCTTGGTAAAAATATACCAGTGGAAATGCTGGGTGCCTAGTTGGATATAGCAATCTAAAGTTCCAAAACAGGTCTGGACTCGAGATACAAATTTGGGAATCAGTAGCACATAGATGGTAGGTAGAGCCATTAGACTAAACAAGATTACCAAGGAAGTGAATAAAAATAAGCAATCTGAGAAATGGGCCCTGGGCCATTCCAAATTTAAGAGATTCAGAAGAGGAAGAGCAATCAGCAGAGGGGAATGAGAAAGAACAGCCAGTGTAGGTAAAAAAAAAAAAAAAAAAAAAAAAAAAAAAAAAAAAAAACCGAGTGAGATATCCTGAATGCCAAGTGAAAAAAGTATATCAAGGTAGTGGGAGTAATTAATTGAATCAAACCTTGCTGTTAGGTCAAGTAAAACATTCAACAGACATCACTGGTGACTTGCAAAAGCTATTTCAGAGGAATGAATGGTCGGAGGAAAGGATCACTGCAGTGAATTTAAGAGAGAATGGGAGGAGAAGAGTTAAAGAAAAGAGACACAGACAATTCTTCCAGCAATTCTATTTATAAAGGGAAGCAGAGAAATCAGGGTGTATGTGCTAGAATGGGATGGGGGGAGTCGAGAGAGGGTTTTTTCTGAACTTGGAAGAAATAACAGTATAAATGTTTTACACTGATGGGAATGACTAGGTAGACAGGCAGAAACTGATAATCCAGGAAAGGGCAAGAGGACAACTATAGAAGCAATAACTGAAAAGCTGTTCATCTAATACACCCAAGTCTGTGAAACTAACAGTGGCAGCTTAACTTCTTTGAAATGTCTTCTAGTTTATAAAATAATTTTATAATATGTTCACATCTTTTTATCATAATCCTCTAATATAGGTATTACCCCCACTTATTTAGAGAAAAGCAAAATGCAGTTCAGAAGTCAGGTAACTTGGCCAAAGTCACACTGATACTGAACAAAGGCAGAATACAAAACCTAAGTCTTCCTACTCTAAATTCCTCTTTAGCCCTACTTTAGTGGATGGTTTAGAATGAAAATATACTGAGGAAACCCACCTTATCTATTAATTTAGCATCTTATTTTTAAAAGTAGTATCAAAATTACATTTTGAATGTCTTAGATGCTGCTTTTTACATTTAATGGCAATTATATTAAAAAAAGTTACTAACAAATGTGACAGTGACAATAATTTAGTCATTATTACAACAATGTTCCTAGGTTTCTGCTAATCAAGAAAGGATGCCAACAGTGGAGGTTCAGAACATGCCACACCAAATTATTCCTCTTTGGCATAAGGATTATTTTCAGCTTATTATTTTCAGAAATAGCAAACACAGGATAATACAGAGAAGTTACCCTTTTATAAAAGAAATTTTCATCTGTAGTAGAAATCTCCATTTCTACGGGTGTCTCCTCTCTGTACGAGCAAGAGAAAGATGACTCTAAATCACTAAAAACTACCAATCTTGAGAGCTAACCTTAACTTTGCTTACAGTGCTTTTCCTGGTCATCTCATTACAACTAGGTCTCCCCAACACCCTTTTTTCCTTTGTTTCAGGACATGATGGTATTTAAGCCACCTCTGAGAGATTTACTCACTTCCCCCGAGTATCTCCCATGTATATATGAGGTATACATGTCTTAAAACTTGTTTTTCTCTTGTTAACCAATATTCTGTTACAGGGATCTATCCCATCCTAAGAAGTGTATGAGAATATTATATGTTCTCCCCTATACCATGTTCTTCAGCAAAACTCCTAAGAAATACGGAAGCTGTCTTAAAAATAACAAAAGTCAACCATAATACCACCTAGCTACCTCTGCTGACATCATGATTTCTAGGAAAATAATTTAAAATAAGTTGTTTTTTTTTTTCTTTTTTTTGAGATGGAGTCTCACTCTGTCGCCCAGGCTGGAGTGCAATGGCGCAATCTTGGCTCACTGCAAGCTCTGCCTCCTGGGTTCATGCCTTTCTCCTGCCTCAGCCTCCCCGGTAGCTGGGATTACAGGCGCCCACCACCACGCCCGGCTAATTTTTTTGTATTTTTAGTAGAGATGGGGGTTCACCATGTTAGCCAGGATGGTCTCGATCTCCTGACCTCATGATCTGCCCGCCTTGGCCTCCCAAAGTGCTGGGATTACAGGCGTGAGCCACCACACCCAGCCAATAAGTTGTTTTATACTTCTCTACCCAGTGATGTTTCCTAAACTCTGAAACAATGTATATTCTTGGGGATTTATAATTGAGACAATTAAGTGTATCAGCAAAATACTGAACTATAACTTCTGGCATCAAAGAAACACATGAAGCAATCAAAGTTGTACATCTAACACATATTTTTGACATTCCTTACCTGGGTATTTTCTTCATTCTCAAATACACAATCTTGCTGCATAGCTTCATTGTCTAAATTAGTGCTAGCCACAGGTTTTGAACAGTCTCTGTTACTTTCACTGGCATTAATAATATCATCAGCAATATCAATCCTAGGGATGAAGTTTAAAAATCAGATCAGGCCAAATGTTGAGTGTGTAATGCCTTTACTTTAAAATAAGTAAATATCAATAATGATCTGAAACTTTTACTTGTTAAAGAAAATGTGTACCTTTCACAAAAATCCACACTTTTATCTTGCTAAATTAGATTATTAAATCTGCTATGTTTTTGTCTCCTCGGGATGTTGTGAGGGACCATGTTATCCCCTCTAAAAATGTTCATAAGCGAATAAATAGCTTTTAAAATAATTTATGGGCCGAAATAATCATTTCCCTTGTAAATGCACACTCTCACATAATAATGACACATCTGTCCTGATCAAATACAAGTCCAGTACTAGACACTACAGTGTCCAACACCTTATCAAGTAAAACAGAAATAGCTTCCTACTGCAGAGTTGTCATCTTACAGTTTAGAATATCCAAAACACTGCAGTTTTTGTTTCAAAGATGATACCACTACCCTCAATAGAACATGTGTTCCCCAGTGGTGAAAATAAGACTATCACCTGAGCAATGGGTATAGGTTTACAGGATCCCTAGCTAAGCTAAGGACAAACTCCAAGAAATCTGCTTACATCCTTTGAAACATTTTCCCACTATTTCTAACACTTAGATACTGATTTTTTCCTTCACATTCTGCCCAAATACTCCCAATAGATCCAGTTGTATACATGCTTTTTTTTTTAATGTTTTTCTTTCTCTTTTCTTTCCCTCTCCCGCCTTTTCCCAGTTGTATGCATTCTAATCATGCCTTCAAAGTACACAAACCAAGGCCATCAAATAGAGCTGCACTGGCTGGCAGTGCCATCCATGGCACGCTTGCAATTGTACTATATGGTATTCCAAAAATAAACATTCCCAGCACTGGTTTTCACATCCATTTACATTTTTCATTTTATATTTGATAGCTATTCTAGTTAGCCCTTTTAAAAACTGTCTTAAAAAAAAAACCACTCCCCAATTATCTTTTTTTTTCCTTTACCTTCCTATGAATCTTCTAGATTTGGGTACATTTTTCTCATCTTCCCCCCCCCAAAAAAAATTGATATATGAAAAACATGAAATCACTGCACCACGGTCTCTGAGGGAGGCACACAGGTATCCTGAAATACAGGACTGAAGTAATAGAAAACAAAGAGAGGCTTTCCTTCATTTAAAGGTAACAGGTCAGATGAAGAGTGGAGTAACATCATGCATTATAAGTACTTTTAACTAATACACATTTAAATACAGGTTGATTATTCCTTGTCGGAAAAGCTTCGGACCAGAAGTGTTTCAGATTTGTTTTGTTTGTTTTCAGATTTTGGAATATTTGCCAGTTAGCAACTGGCTCATAAATTATTTTAAAAGCCATTCATTTGCTTATGAAAATTTTCAGAGAGCATGACAAACAAGGTCCCTCACAACATCCCAAGGAGAGGTGCCAGACTGGCATCCCTAATCTGAAAATCCAAAATCTAAAATGCTCAAATGAGCATTTCTTCTGAGTATCATGTCAGTGCTCAAAGTTTTGGATTTGGGAGCACTTCAGATTTTGGATTTTTGGATTAGGGATGCTCAACCTGTATTAAGAGTTAATCTAACAAAAACATAAGCAGGGGAGAGGCTGGTGGGAAGGGATAACTATTTAAATAGCAAAGGATGATTCTGCCCACCATTTCACTCAATGATTATATGCACTATAGTGATATCAATCTGCTGCCCCTGTAACTGTCTGTCTAGATCACTCTGTTGCAGAGTCTAATTTTTTAAAGTTATTTTTCATACAACATAATTCCTAAAGGTAAGCTTGTTACTTCATTCGATGTTCAGGGGAAAAAAAACAACAAAAAACAAACAAACCTGTATTGGACTTAATAAAACATATATTATGAAAAAAGTGATGAGATATCCAGTGTTAAGTATGGATGTATATACAAGTATATATACAAAGTCACTTTTCACAAACAACTTTCAGAAATCTCCAAGAAAGATGAGATCCTGTTATTTAAGTAGCAATACAGTTTTAAGATAAAACAATTTTATAACATTTAATAAACAACAGTAAAATGTTTCTTACTGGTTATTAGATCCTTCCCCATCACAATGAATACTTTCTGCTTCATTATTACACACCACACTTTGCTGTTGTAAATTCTTAAGATCATGATCTATGCTGCTCTGAAGATCAAAAAGGTGCTGTTCCACAGCTGCTCTAATTGTTCTTTCTAAAATACTACAAAACAACACGTTTTAGTAAGAAGCAGTCACTCTAACTGGATATCTGGTGACACAGACATAAATGCTAAAACCTATGACCAGTAAAACTATTATGGTACTTAAATGGGTAAACCAAAGTGTAAAAAGAAATACATAAAAGGAATACATGATACTGGCTTAAGTTTTAAAAGTAAAATTTACCCAAACAGACAATCATATACAAATCAACCATAATGTCACTATTATTACTGGGATGGGAAAGATCAGTTGTCCCTATAATTCACTCCTCACTACACAGAAAACCACTAAATAAGGCTTTTCAAAGCTATACTTATAAAGCAAAATAACCTACTAACAGCAAAATGAAAGAAACCATGAGTACTGCTCACACTTCTTATGTAAAGTCTACTTTTTTAAAACTTATATTCTATGAACATTTTTCAATTATTTCAGAGGATTCAAAAAAACCATCTGAAGAAAGCTCATCTTTATTTTGTATAGTAATGCAATGGGTTTCTTCTTCATTTGTTCCTATCACAGTACATAAAAAACTAGTTTACTGCCTGTGTACAGTCTTTCCTCTAAAGTGAGCACAAGTACATTATTTTCATTTCTACAGCTTAGTAGTATTTTAAAATCTTAAAAATTTGTCTTCTATAAATATACTACTTACTCTGTAGAGGCTGGTAGGATGCTGATGGGAGATATATGGGTGCTGCAATCAAAGAAAGAAATTAGCTATAAAAATGTTCAATACTTAATAACTACAAAATGTGCTGAAATCTGCCATATTTGCACTACCTTGACACAACCAGGAGAGCACATACTAAGTGTTGTATTCTTGTTTACATATCAAGTTGGAAATATTTTCTGAATCTGGTTGGTAAAGCTTTCAAATATTAACCAAAGAAAATAAATTTGGAAAAACGTATCACTAACAAGACCAAAAATTTTAAAGTTAGAATTCATTATGAGCTAGGACCATTACATGCATTTATCTCTCATTTAATAACTTTCAATACCCAAGGAGTTACAATTATTTCCCCCTTTCCACAAAAGTGAAGCTCAAAGATGTTAATTAACTTGGCCAAATGCATATGGCCATGGGTTGGGTACCCCAAAGCCCCTGCTATTAACAAAGATGCTCTACTGCCTTCTACAACAAAAAAAAGTGACTAAAAACAAAAACACACACCACAGCATGAGCACCTCTCACAGATGATGAACCTAATTTTCTAAAGAAACTATTTTTCACACAAAAAGACCCCCAAATATATATACTTGTGGGGGTGAGAGTGGGACAACTACTTTCTCTGGTGCTCAGGTGGAGAAAAACTGATCTATTTCCAAAGCTGGAGGGAAAATTAGTTGTACTGGATTTAGGTGAACAGTAGTATTAGCCATTGATGAATACAGGTAATTTTTAAAAAATCATTTATCAGATAAAAGATAAGGTATGTTTAAATGGCACTGTGTGCCTAAGCACATCATCACAGCCAACACTTAGCCATAGGGAGGAGTGACCCTGCCTTCTTGACCTGAACACCACATCTGTAGCTACCTTGTCATTTTTTAAACGTAAATTAGTTTTATGAAGATCCTCCAAAATGTGGCAATACAATCTCTAACCAAAATGCAGAACAAACGCTATGAAGTTAGTATTGTCAGGATCCACTGCAGGAAACCAAATGAGTATCATTTACCATTCATTCACTCAGCAATCTTCATGTCTCTCAGTAGCGAAGTGAACAAATGCTTTATCAAACAACAGTAAGCCCTCTTGGTCTGACACACATAACCCCTCCTACATATAAAAATATTTTTTGTTAACTGCCAGTATCATGCTAGTTTCCAATGAATGGATTATTTATGGTTCTAAAGGCCTTCATGCTGATCGTCTCCAGGGAAGTGTTTACCAATATTCACACTTAAAGATTTTTCTGACTAGGTGTAGTGGTTCATGCCTGTAATCCCAGCACTTTGGGAGACCGAAGCTGGAGGTTCACTTGAAACCAGGAATTCAAGACCAGCCTGGGCAACATAGCGAGATCCCATCTCTACAAAAAAAATAAAAATCAGCCAGGCATGATGATGGTGCATGCCTGTAGTCCTAGCTACTTAGGAGGCTGAGGCAGGAAGATCGCTTGAGCCCAGGGAGGTTGCAGTGAGCTGTGGTCGTGCCACTGCACTCCTGCCTGGGTGACAGAAAGACACCCTGTCTCAAAAAAAAGAAAGAAAAATAAAACAACTAAAGTTTTTTGGAACTTCATTTCTGAAATCCAAAAAAGCTGGGGGGAAAAAACCCCAAAACATGGTACAAAGAAGAGTGTAGCCATCATCAGTTTATTTCTAGCGGTTTCCTGTGAGCTAAAAGTTAAATATTTATTGATTTCTGTAGAAAAAAAACAAAAAGTAAAAAGATAAATGAGGCTTTCCCTGAAGAGTCTTAACATGAACTAGGATATTAAATCATTTTCTGATATTTTGCTCTAATACACTATTGCTTACATATTTACATTTCGGTGATCAGCTGCTATTAAATTACAAAAGTTAAATCTTTATGTGGTGCGATCTGTTTTATTTTCCTTGATAATATTTGCAATCTCTACTAAACTTAGATAATTCCTTGCCTATCGAGAAATATTCATTTTATTTTTAATATCTAATTATAATCCACTGACAATGTGGCATACTGAATGGTGTGGGGAAAAATCTATAAATTGAACACTCTTAGCCATTTAATTTGTGATCTCTGGTAAGCTTTTGCTTTATCTTATACCAAATCCTGAAGAAGCTCTCTAATTCTCAACTACTTACTTCATCAGTCTGTTACTAAAGCTTTATATAATGTTTTAATTCTTGGTAGGGCTTATATCCTCTCTGTTCTTTCTCAGATTTGCCCTTGTTAGTCATCTGCTCATTTTCCCAGAGGAATTTTCTCACCCTTTTTTGTCAGATTAGATTATCAATAAAATGTTAGTAGGTAAATGGATACAAGATATTTCATAAAGAATTAAATAACCAAAAAGAAAAATAATCAACCTAACTAGATATACAAGTTTAAAATAAGGAGCCAGGTGCCAGTGGCTCATGCCTCAAGTCCCAGCTACTCAGGAGGCTGAGTCAGGAGGATCACTTGAGCCCAGGAGTTTGAGGCCACCCTGGGCAACATAGCGAGACCCCCATCTCAAAAAAAATAAACAAATAAGGATTAAAATAAAATTTATATATATTTCTGCTGATGTCAATATAGTATATTGACAAAGGCTATGAAACTGGCATGCATGTTGCTAGTGGGAAGGTTAATGAGTAAAAATTTCTTATGGAAATCTATTTAGTAATGCATTTCAAAGAGCTCTAAAAATGTGCACACACTTTGACTCAGAAAGTCTGAGACTCTATCAAAAAGGGTTTATCAAATCTACCACAATTTATCCTAGATACAAAAGGGGAGGATGGATTTTATACCATAAAGTATTCTCTGTAGCATTTTTCCAATATTATAAAACTTCTCAAAAATACAGAAAAGTGAAAATAAACTGTATAAGAACACCTATAGCCCCAACATTTAAAGTCTATAATTAACATTTTACTATATTTGCAGAATTATTTTTAAGAAAGAAATATCAGCAAATGAATATATAAAATGGACCAGGATAAATACAATGGACTGTTGTGAAATCATTGGTGCTCATTAAGATTAGAAAATAATATCAGAAATTGTCTTTATATGTGTAAGCATAAACAACGTGTGCAACTATGTACCAAAATGGCTTCATTTAATAATGTGTTTTTATAACTATAAACAAAGGCAAATATACTAAGCCAGAATTTGGGAGCTCTCTTACAGCATCTCTAGAGCAGGGATGTCATCCATGGACCACTTGTATCAGAATCTCCTGAAGTGACAGTGTTATTTTGTTGGAGATCTATACTTTATCCCAAACCTCAAATACCATAAAGCCAAAGTAAATAAAATAGTATGGCACCCACACAAAAAAATAGGCAGACAGAAAAGAAAAACAACCATCATATGCACTTCATTTAGAACAAAAGGTTGTGTACAGAAAGCAGGGAAATGGCAGTGTTTTAAAAAATGAATGAGATACAATTTGGTATCCATATGGGAAAAGTTTACTTGGCCCCAACCTCACACATGAGAGATAAAATCAATTCTGGGTAGATTGTAGATCTAAACATGAAAGGTAAAATAATAAAGCTGTAAGAAGATAATGTGGAAATGTTTACTTAGGAAAAGATTTCTTAAACATGACACAAAAAGCATTAACCACAGGAGGAAAAGAGTGATAAATTTGATTAAAATTAGCAACTTTTTTTTGAGACAGGGTCTCACTTTGTCACCCAGGCTAGAGTGCAGTGGCACAAACAAAGCTCACTACAGCCTCCACGTCCGTCTCAAGGGATTCTCCTGCCTCAGACCGCCAAATAAGTGGGACTACAGGCACATGCCCAGCTAACTTTTGTAATTTTTGTAGAGGCAGGGTTTCATCATGTTGCCCAGGCTGGTCTCAAACTCCAGAGCTCAAGTGATCCTCCCGCCTCAGCTTCCCCAAGTGCTAGGATTACAGGTGTGAGCCATCGTGCTCAGCCAGGAACCATTTTTTATATAATAAAAAATAATAAAATTTTTAAAACCTATTTTTAATATAAATTTTTAAAGTCTCCTGACAAAGAATTGAAAAAAAAAAAAGGCCAGGTGCAGTGGCTCATGCCTGTAATCTCAGCACTTTGGGAGGCTAAGGCGGGCAGATCACCTGAGGTCGGGAGTTAGAGGCCAGCCTGACCAACATGGAGAAACCCCGTCTCTACTAAAAATACAAAAATTAGCCGCGCATGGTGACGCATGCCTGTAATCCCAGCTACTCGGGAGGCTGAGGCAGGGGAATCACTTGAACCCGGGAGGAAGAGGTTGTGGTGAGTCGAGATCATGTCATTGCACTCTAGCCTGGGCAACGAGAGCGAAATTCTGCCTCAAAAAATAAAAAATAAAAAAAAACCTCCAATGAACCACTAAAGTTCACAAAAGTAGGAATCAGCCAAAACACATATGAAAAGGGGGAGGGCTCTTATTAAAGTGACAATGAAATACTGTTATATGCTCACAAGATTAGTTAATGCCAAGTGTTGGCAAGGATGTGAAACAACTGTCACACACTGTTAGTAGGGATGTAAACTGGAATAAGTACGTTGAATAATTAGGGAATACTTACTAAAACTGAAGACAGGTGTTAATGTCTTCATCTGCATGCACATGTACACTAGAAGATGTGTATAAGAACGTATATAATACTACTATTAATAAGTCACAAAGTAAAAAAATTGAATTGTCCACCAACAGCAAAATGGATAATTGTGGTGTAATCATACAAGAGGATACTTTACAACGATATGAGCCACAGTGACATGCAGCAGCATGGATAAATCTCAAACTTACACAGTGAAAAAAATCACCGTTCAGTGAAAGAAACCAGATCAAGAATTTACATATAAGCTGATTTCATTTTCATAAAGCTCTAAAACATACAAGGAAGTGATTGCTATAATGTCCACATAGTAATCACCTTAGTAGGGAGGGAGGGGATGAGGATTTTGAGAGCCACTGGGGTGCTGTCAGTTTATTCACAGATGTGTGTGGTTACAAGGATATTTGCTTCTAACTTGTTTTGCTATACATTTACTTTATGCCCATTTCTGTAGTATGATTTACTTTCCAATACAAAATGAGGCCAGCCACGGCAGCTCATGCCTGTAATCCCAGCACTTCAGGAGGCCAGGGCAGAGGATAACTTGAGGCCAGGAGTTTGAGGCCAGCCTGGGCAACATAGCAAAACCGCATCTATTTTTTTAATTAAAAAATTAAGTTTTTAATAAAGCAAAGAGGCTGAGCATGGTGGCTCATGCCTATAACCAGCACTTTGGGAGGCTGAGGCGGGCAGATCACTTGAGGTCAAGAGTTCGAGAGCAGCCGGGCCTACAAGATGAAACCTCGTATCTACTAAAAAAAAATACAAAAAAATTAGCTAGGCATGGTGGTGTGCGCCTGTAGTTCCAGTTACTCGGGAGGCTGAGGCAGGAGAATCGCTTGAACCCAGGAGGCGGAGGTCGCAGTGAGCTGAGAT
Organism: Homo sapiens; assembly: GCF_000001405.40. Classification (NCBI taxonomy): domain Eukaryota; kingdom Metazoa; phylum Chordata; class Mammalia; order Primates; family Hominidae; genus Homo; species Homo sapiens. The sequence continues at coordinate 137,993,741 of NC_000005.10, forward strand.
CCCACGACTGCACTCCAGCCTGGGTGACAGAGCAAGACTCCGCCTCAAAATAAATAAATAAATAGAATAAAATAAAACAAGGAAAAAAGCTTTTTAAAAAGGTAGATTCCAAGTTCCCACTCCAAATCTCTAAAGTAGGGCCCAAGAGTCTACATTTTTAACAAATGCCAATGATGATTCTTATCCATAGTAGTAAGTTTGAGAAACACTGGCCTAGGTCTATATCCAGCCTCCAAAAAGAATAAAGTTTAATAAAATTTCCAGTTATTCAAAGGAGACAAAAAGAGGCAAAAGTTCCAGTGGCCTTAAATTGAATAGATCACAAGGTAGTTGATCTTTTTTGCTTCCTAACCCTTTTAATTGCTACTGAAAACTACAAGTATATATAAAAGTAGTGATCAGCAAGCTCGATTATTACTGCAAGAGTAAAGATTCTTTAGCCCTGAAGAATATGCTGGGACAATCAAATAAACAGCTCCTTTTAATAAGGAGCCTCCCACCAGCCATAGTAAACAAATCAAATAAATAGATTTTCTACTTTAAGAGTCAGGTTGTCACCCACAAGGCTACATACAAAATGAATTGTACAACTTTGTTCTCTGAGCTTCTGAAGGACAAAAAGGACTGACTTAGCTTTCAGATTTCACAGATTTTAATTATTCTTTATTTTCATACTTTAGTCAAATCCTGTGGGTAAAAAGCCCTGATATATCAGCCAGGGCTCACACACACCAATAGAAATAAAAAAGATATATCAATATAGTTATGCATCTGCAGCTAAAATATATAGATATCACAGGGATGTGAGAGCTAAAATAAAGACACAAGAAAAATAACTGCTGAGAAATTTCAGGTCAAGTTACATAGGTACTATAGGCAGATGCCATAAAGACCACATAAAAATGCTAATTGTATTCATTCAACCCCTAGACAAGGAAGCCTTGACTAGAAAGACAAACAATAAATCACAGGGGACATATATATTTTAAAGTCATCAGTCAAGCACAACATTGAAGACTATAGTCATTCCCTGACATTTTATCCCTTCTGCTATTAACTCTATTTTCAAATCTGCCTACGATGACATAATCATCTTGAGAACATAAGATCAATCTTGCAACCACTTACTCCAGTCACTAATATTTTGTATCCAAATAAAATAAGAAACTACTATTATTTTAATTTCCCAATTGTAAATATTTAATGCTACAAACGATATTTCAATAAAAGTATTGCAGTTCAGCCTCAACTGACTCTGGTAAAGATCACTTTACCAGTGCAACACAGCCTTGGAAACCATTCTGAATACCCTGGCACCTTCCAACAAAAACATCAGGTAAAGACTTCATTGAAAGCACAGTAAAGGAAGGTGATAGGCTTATAAAAACTGCTGAGCAATTATTAGTGCTGAGTCCTACACACAGTAGAGCTGTGCTACACTCTGCAGTTTAAACGGAAAAAGACTGCAACATGAGGTCACTACTGACAAGGAGGTACCCAATCAAGAGTCTACAATTTTTTTCCTCATTACTTTGCAACTTTTCAGGAGGTGGACAAAGAGGAACAAACTTTTTAATCTAGCTAGACTTCTCTCAAAAATATATAAGCCTAATCCAATATAAGTGGAGAAACCAATCTGTTTTCATTAATCAAACTACTATAACCAGGGACATAAATTATAAATATGAAATTACTAAAATATGCAAAATAGTGCTATTGTTCAATTATCCAATTTGAGAAAAGCATTTATGGTTAACGTTTCAAGTCTAAAAATTGGATAGCTTCCAGATGAGTCATGCTAGAACTATACCAAAATTACCATTTAAAAAACTATGGTTTTGAAAAATGAACATATAAAACAAAACAAAAATAATAACCTCATGCTCCTTTAAAACCAAAAGCAAAAATCCTTTCCTAACTTTCCCCATCAACTTAGGAGTATTTTATACCTATGACAAGAGTATATCAAAAGATTTCTCACTGTTACAAAGTTAGTCAATAAGTTATATATAACAAGTCTTTAAAATATCAAAGGCATCATTTACAGGAGACGGAAAAGAGGGAGAGAACCTGTCAATATTTATCATGTGCTAGTACTTAAAACATTTTTTTTAACTCTAATAAAATTTCCTCATGACCCAGAGCATAAATTCTACTTGTTACTGCCCAACATTTCTGGTACTTCCACCAAAGTATGACTTCCTTTTTACACTCAAGTGGAACCTGGATATTGAAAATGTGAACTGATAAAATCTGTCAACTGAAATATTTTGCAAACTGTATGACTCGATGAAAGAAAAGAAAAAAGATACTACTACAGTCCGCATACCCCTCTAGTCAACTGAAGGCATATTTTCTCAGTAGGGGATCCACAGAATGAAGTGGAAACCAGTTTTTTGTTTTTTGTTTTTTTGAGACAGAGTCTTGCACTCTCACCCAGGCTGGAGTGCAGTGGCACAATCTTGGCTCACTGCAAGCTCTGCCTCCCGGGTTCATGCCATTCTCCTGCCTCAGCCTCCCGAACAGCTGGGACTACAGGCGCCGGCCACCACGCCTGGCTAATTTTTTTTTTGTATTTTTAGTAGAGACGGGGTTTCACCACGTTAGCCAGGATGGTCTCGATCTCCTGACCTTGTGATCTGCCCATCTCAGCCTCCCAAAGTGCTGGGATTACAGGCGTGAGCCACGGCGCCTGGCCAGAAACCAGTCTTAAAACCCTAAACCCATGGCTCTTCCTAAATCACTTACACCTTCTTTCCTGCACCTTATCTAAAATTGAACCATCAGAAACCAATGAACTCACAAGAATGAAGCCCTAACATCAGCAACCCACAAAGAGAGTTTCAATTTTTCATCTTTCTTTTTTTTTGGAGATGGAGTCTCACCCTGTCGCCCAGACTGGAGTGCAATGTGCAATCTCAGCTCACTGAAACCTCCACCTTCCGCGTTCAAGCGATTCTCCTGCCTCACCCTCCCGAGTAGCTGGGATTACAGGCGCTCACCAACATGCTCAGCTAATTTTTTGTATCTTTAGTACAGACGGGGTTTCACTATGTTGGCCAGGCTGGTCTCGAACTCCTGATGACCTCGTGATCCACCCTCCTTGGCCTCACAAAGTGCTGGATTACTGGCATGAGCCACTGAGCCCAGCCCAATTTTTCATCTTTCTAAATTGAGTTTTAGGAAGGCATCAGAAGCACAACTTTAAATGAACTTTATAACACGAAGTAATTTTTTTTGGCTTGTGGTTTCTTAAGCATGAGCATAAATTAAAAATTACCTAAACCTCAAGCCAAAATAAACTTTCCCAATACAACACAGGAAAAAGATTACAAAGCACAGGGAAGAAAAGGTAAAAGCTCTTTTAGAACTCTCCTTTCTCTCTTCACATTTTTTAAAGGTAAAAATTCCCCTAAAATTTGTACATTTAAATATAAAGCTAAATGAGGCCAGATGCCGTGGCTCACACCCGTAATCCCAGCACTTTGGGAGGCCGAGGCAGGTGGATCACGAGGCCAGGAGTTCAAGGGCAGCCTGCCCAACATGGTGAAACCCCATCTCTACTAAAATTACAAAAAATTAGCTGGGCCTGGTGGCAGGCACCTGTAATCCCAGCTACTTGGGAGGCTGAGGCAGGAGAATCACTTGAACCCGGGAGGCGGAGGTTGCGGTGAGCTGAGATCGTGCCATTGCACTCCAGCCTGGACAACAAGAGCGAAACTCCATCTCAAAAAATATATATATATATAATATATATAAAGCTAAATGATAAACATGTGGATATAAAACAACAATTTAGAAACAATCTTGAGATTTCCATGGACTTCATGGATAAGAACCTCAGGATCAATCAAACAAAACTACTGCTTTTTCATGCACCCTAGGCTGCTCACACCCCAAACTCCACCATTTTTTCCACTCTGAAGACAGCTTAAATCTTAACAAAACATAGCTAATGACAACTGCAGAAATAACAGATACATGAACAGACCAATCAATACAACTCACAAGCAAACATTTAAACCACTGGTTCTCAAAAAGAGGTCTATAAACCTGAGAGTCTTCAAAACCGTCTATGAAAGAGTTAGAAGTACCTTCATACTGTATGCCTTTTTCACTGTGCTGACATTTGCATGTTTTCAAATTTCTTAAATTGGGAGGCCATCAGGCTGAGATGGCTCCAGTGCCTTGGCTTCCTACATAAGTGAACTGAAACCCAATGTCAACAGTAAGATGACTAATCAAAACCCACCAACTAACCTCTAACTAGGAACTTTCCACTGTATCATATCCAAATAAGGCAAATGCCTACCCAATCAAGTTATTTCTTTACTTCTGCTTTCAGCCTATAAAAGCCCCAATGCTCAGGCTGCTAAAGTGGAGCACTCTGAACCTCCTCTGGTTTTGACTGCTGCCTGATTCATGAATCCTTTAATGCTCAAATAAACTTAAAATTGTTGTTTAAAGTTTTCAACAATGATGATGCAAAATCAATGGTAGAAAAAGCTGCTTGGGGTCTTAGCATAAGTCCAGACAAGTAATACTGTGGCCACTGCATTCTTCCTCACCAGCCACTTGAAACTTTTTAAAAAGGGGCCAGTCCGTGACAGAGAAGCAGAAAACAATGATTAATTTCATCTTACTCCTTGAGTACATTTCTTTTTTAATATTCAGTGTAAAAGGGAAGTACTCATAAAGCACTTCTGCAGCATAACTTACCTTGTTGAGAGCTAAACTAATCACTTTTATTACGGAATACCATTTTTACTTGAAAGACTAACATCTAAACCATGGTTATTAGGACTTGAACACTGGCAGACATTTTCTCAGAAACGACTAAGACTCTAAGAAAAACTGACAATATAAAATTTGAATTTTCAAGCAAAAATCAAAATTCTGGAAAACCTGTATCCTCCTCCATAAGCTCAAAAACACCTGAATACTTAAAGATGCTTCTGATGCAATCAACAGTGATATTAAAGAATGTGAACTTTAACAAATGTGCCAACTATCTGGAAGATTACAGAACTCAGTGAAGCAATCTTTTCCAAATGACCAATATACCATATCCCATCCCCATCATGGTCCTCTTCCCTGGGTCACCGGGGCAGCCCCATCCTTTGAACGGTGGAGGTAGCCACCCCTAGGGCTCACACACTCTGTGCTCTGGTAGAGATGGTGCTGCCTGTTATCACACCAGAGCCATACCTAAAGTGGCAGAAGAGTATGGTACCAGGCATAATGGAATCTTGCCAAGGTCCCCAAGGTCCCCCATCATTGGTGGCCCCTCCTTTGCATTTAGGGCCTCCTCGCAGGCCCTTGCACTCAAGGCCTGTAATTGATTTCTGAATTGCCTTCAGGGTCTTTTTTTTTTTTTGTCTTTTTTTTTTTGAGACAGGGTCCCACTTAGTTGCCCAGGCTGGAGTGCAGTGGCACAATCATGGCTCACTGTAGCCTGGACCTCCCATGCTCAAGCAATCCTCCCACCTCAGCCTCTTGAGTCACTGGGACCACAGCACATGACACTATGCCCAGCTCATTTTAAAAAATTTTCTGGCCAGGCGCAGTGGCTCATGCCTGTAACCCCAGCACTTTGGGAGGCTGAAGTGGGCAGATCATGAGGTCAGGAGTTTGAGACCAGCCTGGCCAACATGGTGAAACCCCATCTCTACTAAAAATACAAAAATTAGCCAGGTGTGGTGGCACGCACCTGTAGTCCCAGCTACTCAGGAGGCTGAGGCAGAAGAATCGCTTGAACCCAGGAGGCGGAGGCTGCAGTGAGCCGAGATCACACCACTGCACTCCAGCCTGGGTGAGTGCAAGACCTTCCAGCCTCTATCCATTACCCAGTTCCAAAGCAACTTCCATATTTTAGGTATTTGTTACAGCAACACCCACTCCTCAGCACCAATTTTCTTAGTCCATTCACATTACTATAACAAAATGCCATACACTAGGAAACAACAGAAATGTATTTCTCACAGTTCTAGAGGCTGAGAAGTCTGAGATCAAGGCAGCAGCAGATTCAGTGTCTGATGAGGGCCCATTGATAGACTTTTCACTGTGTTACCACTGAGTGAAAGGGCTAAGGAGTCTTCTCTCAGGCTTTTTATAAGGGTTCCAGTCTAACTCATGAGGACCCCACCCCCATGGCCTAATAACCTCCCAAAGGCCCCACTTCCTAATACCAAAACTTCCAGATCATAGCAGCAACAGATTAAATGCAGAAGAAAATGTAAGAATCCTTCACGATAGAAATTCAAGAGGTTTGCAAAAATGTAAAACATTGCTACTAAAAAAGTTTAGGGAATTAGAAAACACAATTACTTTTCATTTAAAAAAAATTACACTAATATGTGATAGGTTTATTGTTACTTTAAAACACTAAATAAGGCCCAGTAATCCCAGCACTTTAAGGAGACTAAGGCTGGAGAATCACTTGCGCCTGGGAGCTTGAGACTGGCCTGGGCAACGTAACGAGACCTTGTATTTACAACAAATATAAAATATTAGTCAGGCATGGTGCTGCATGCCTGTAGTCCTAGCTATTCATCAAGCTGAGGTGGGAGGATTGCTTGAGCCTGAAAGGTCAAGGCTGTAGTGAGTCATGATCATGCCACTGCACTCCAGCCTGGGTGACACAGCAAGACCCTGTCTCAAAAAAATAAAAAATTAACTAAATAATTTTTTCTCAGTTTTAATTCCTAATATAAACACCAATAGATATAACAAACTGAAACAAAAGTTCTTTAGGGTGCCCAATAATTTTTAAGTGTGTAAGGGGATTGTATAACCAAAATATCTGAGAAGCATTAACTTAAAACTAATAAAGGAGAAAGACTTTATTAATAAAAATCCACGAGGTCATAAATAGTTACATTTTAGCTACAAACAGAAGCACCCAGGCCGGGAGAGGTGGCTTATGCCTATAATCAATCCCAACACTTTGGGAGGCCGAAGTAGGCAGATCACTTGAAGCCAGGAGTTCGAGACCAGCCTGGCCAACATGGTGAAACCCCATCCCTATTAAGATTACAAAAATTAGTCAGGTGTGGTGGCGCACATCTGTGGACCCAGCTACTTGGGTGGCTGAGGCGCAATAATCCCTTAACTCTGAAAGCAGAGGTTGCAGTGAGCCAAGATTGTGCCACTGCCCTCCAGCCTGGGCGACAGAGCAAGACACTGTCTCAAAAAACAAAAAACAAAAAAAAAAAAAACAGCATCTTTCCAAACTACAACTTGGCAAAGAAATACTCCCTGTAGTTAAATATTCTCAGTTTTTATTTCTAATATGGTAAATACCAATAAGTATAGTCCACATTAACATAAGCTCATTGGAGTCCTCAATAACTTTTTATAAGGGTACTAATGTTTGTGACCAAAAGTTTGAGAAATGCTAACTTAAATCATCCCCCAAGTGTTTATTTCTCTTAGGATTCCAACATACTTTCCTAGGCTACTTCTGAAGAGAAATACAAAGCAGGCTACCTAATATTTCCAATAAATGTTTGCAAATTACTTCATAGGAATACTCAAAAAGATGACATGTTAATTACGAAAAGTTCAATCTCCAGTTTCAAATTCATTAAGAGCTCCCTATATACTAGGCCCTATGCATTCTAGGGAAATTTCTCCCTGACTTTCCTTTCATCCAAGGTAGATAATCAAACAATATATTTTATATTTCTTCTGTCTCAGAACACTGACACATTTGCTATATATGTAATTTTAATCATATTAAATTGAACATTCAAGAAAATTCCATCTTCCTTCTAAAGCTCCATTTATTCAACAAGTAATACTTTACTGAGTGCCTATTCTGTAGCAGGCACTATCCTAAGTGTTATAAATACATAAGTAAACATAATCCTGCTGTCTCATGGTTTACTTTCTAGTGATGGAAGACAGACAATAACAATAATACATGTATGTTAGATGGTTATAACAGTTATGAACAAAACAGAACAGGGTAAGGGAGATCAAGAATGGAGGATGAGGAGGTTATCACTGATACAGTGACATTTGAGCAAAGAATTGAACATACTGAGAGAACCATGCAGCTATCTAGTGGCACATCTATCCATATAGAAGAACAGTCCAGTGCAAAGGCTCAAGTAGAACATGACTGGTGAATTAAAGAATTTTGTTATGGCCAAAGGAGAATGACCAAAGAGAGAGCAGGCAAGAGATAAAGGAAAAACGGGTACAGCAGTTAGAGGTGGGATGGGGCAGACTATGTATGCAGAACCTTACAGGCCATTTAAGAATTTTGGCTCCTTCAATAGAGAGACATTAAAGGGATTTAACCAAAGGAATGAAACGCTCTTACCTCTCTGAAGAGTTCAGAGAAAAATAATATAATAAATGATCTTAGTTTTTAAAACAACAGACATGTTATACTAATGAAATCAGCTAGACTCAGCAAAGTACTTTTATAATTTTTAAGAAACAAGAATAAAAAGCTTAAGTGGATTGCTGGGGATTAGAAATAATATACTTCAATGGAAGTTGGGTGCAGTGGCTCACACCTGTTATCCCAACACTTTGAAAGGCCGAGACGGGTGGATCACTAGAGATCAGGAGTTCAAGAGACCAGCCTGGCCAATGTGGTGAAACCTTGTCTCTACTAAAAATACAAAACTTAGCCAGGCATGGTGGTGGGCGCCTGTAATCCCAGCTACTCAGGAGACTGAGGCAGTAGAATTGAGAACCCAGGAGGCAGAGGTTGCAGTGAGCCGAGATCACGCTACTGCACTCCAGCCCAGCCTGGGCAACAGAGTGAAACTCCATGTGAAAACAAACAAAAAACAAACAGATATCCTTGTTTAGCAGAGAGACATGCAAAAATAAATATCTCTAAAAATATATTTAAAAACCCTAATCATTCTTTCTGAAAGGCTGATCAAACAAATCTGTTCCCTCTATTTTTTTTTTTTTTTTTTTGAGACAGAATCTCACTTTGTCACCCAGGCTGGAGTGCAGGGGCGACATCTCGGCTCACTGCAAGCTCTGCCTCCCGGGTTCACGCCATTCTCCTGCCTCAGCCTCCCGAGTAGCTGGGAATACAGGTGCCCGCCACCACACCCGGCTAATTTTTTTTTTTTTTTGTATTTTTAGTAGAGACGGGGTTTCACCATGTTAGCCAGGATGGTCTCGATCTCCTGACCTCGTGATCTGCCTGCCTCAGCCTCCCAAAGTGCTGGGATTACAGGTGTGAGCCACCGCGCCGGGCCTGTTCCCTCTAACTAGCTGTGTGCTTCATTCCACTTCAATTTTTCATTTGCTTATCTCTCATTAAGCACTTATGAAATGGCATGCATTTTTATTTACTTTTAATTTCATAGAGGACACACCTATAAACAACTTCAATCTTTAGCCTCTATCTCAAGCAGTAATAACAACCGTAAAAATAAGTTGCCAAATGAATGTAAAACTAGGTAATTTATAAAAATTTTTTAATATGAGCATCTTTAATAACAAATAGAATATAAATTGACCACAGTCTAGAAGGTACTACACACCGTGGATATTTTTACTTTCAAGAGAAGAGTTAAATTATTAACATTTTCATAAATAAATAAATGTCAACTAAAAAAACAGCAGGTACCTCTACTCTCATGACATGTAAAGGGTTTTATTTACCTGAAAAGTACTATAATGAAGCAATAGATACCACCAAAAAAGTAGTCATGGGTACTTTTTAATCTTTATACACTTTATCAGCCAAAACTAAAATAAAAAGGAAATGTATAGATATTAACCGAAACACATAAATATTACTAAATCTAGAAGACCACAATGGTAGACATATCTGTTTCTGCTGCCTAATATCCCTACCCCAACATTTTGGTAATAGCCCTGTTTTCCCATGGGAAACTAGCTCCTCCCTCCATCCCGCACCGTCCTCAGAGACACATAAATCACAATGACCAGTTCCACGCTGGCCATGGGAATAGAGACACCTAACTAAATTTAGGGCAGACCCTCTCCCGACCACCCCACAGCTATGTGCTCCAAAGCAGAATAACAGACAGACGGAGGCAGTCAGAACTCTCACAGCAATAGCCACATGCTGAAGAGATTATTACATGCCTCTGTGTTTCTAAATTTCACAGAGCTGCCCATGTTCTTATCTTTGCATTTCGATTTGACTGTAGCCCAGAATCCTTCTTATTAATAAACTGCTTTTTCTATACTTTAACCAGAATCTGTTCCTAGGAGCTGCAATTAAAGAATCCTAACAACTGGCCAGGCGTGGTAGCTCACACCTGTAATCCCAGCACTTTGGGAGGCTGAGGTGGGCAGATCACCTGAAGTCAGGAGTTTGAGACCAGCCTGGCCAACATGGTGAAATCCCGTCTCTACTAAAAATACAAAAATTAGCCAGCCACGGTGGTGCGGGCCTGTAATCCCAGCTAATCGGGAGGCTGAGGCCAGAGAATCGCTTGAACTCAGGAGGTGGAGGATGCAGTGAGCCGAGATCACACCACTGCACTCCAGCCTGGGCAACAGAGCGCAACTCCATCTCAAAAAAAAAAACAAAACTGACAACCACTAAATCTCCAATGACTGTGTTGGAGCAAAGGAGGATCCTCTACAAAACCAGACAGATGATCGAAGAGAAGCTATTAGTAATATGTATTTGAAACCATACTTAGCCTTGCTGGTAATTACATAAATAAAAATACTTAATGAATTCACTTGTCTAAATCAGCACTGTCCAAAAGAAATTCTACAATGATAGAAATGTTCTATATCTGCACTGCCCAACATGATAGTCACTTGCCACACGTGTGGCTACTGAGCACTTGAAATGTAGGTGGCACAAATATGGAAGGAATTTTAAAATTTTATTTAATTTCAGTTCGTTTAAGTTTACATTTAAATACACACAAGTGGCCGGGCACAGTGGCTCACACCTGTAAGCCCAGGAGCTCAAGGCCACCTTGGGTGACATGCCGAAACCCCATCTCTACAAAACATACAAAACCTAGCTGGGCATGGTAGCGAGCACCTGTGGTCCCAGCTACACAGGAGGCTGAGGCAGGACTGCTTGAGCCCAAGAGGTAGAGGCTATACATGAGCTGTGATTGTGCCACTGCACTCCAGACTGGATGACAGAGCGAGAGACCCTGTCATTAAATAATAATAAATACACAGAAGGAGCTAATGGCCACCTTATTGGAGAGCAGAGCTCTAAATTAACAAAATTAGAGGCCGGGTGCAGTGGCTCACTCCTGCAATCCCAGCACTCTGGGAGGCCAAGGCAAGCGGATCACTTGAGGCCAGGAGTTTGAGACCAGCCTGGGCAACATGGTGAAACTCCATCTCTCCTAAAATACAAAAGTTAGCTGGGCATGGTGATGCGTGCCTATAGTCTCAGCTACTTGGGAAGCTAAGGCATGAGAATCACTTGAACCCGGGAGACAGAGGTTGCAGTGAGCCGAGATTGTGCCATTGCACTCCTGCCTGGGTGACAGGGTGAGACTCTGGTCTCAAAAAATAGTAATAAATTAATTAATTAACAAAATTTAAAACACCCATTTAAATCTATTGCTGTAAGGTCCTCAAGAAAATACTGTTAATGACAGTGTAAACTGGGTCACGTCCTTTAAGCAGTCTGGAAATATTTATCAAAAGCCAGAGAAAGGTTCACTCTTCAATTCCAGTAAATGTATCCAAATAATTTAGAAGGAGGAAAAAAGGGCCAAACAACAAAGGTATTTTTTTTTTTTAGTAGCAGTACAGTACTGACAAGCTAGCTGAAACAACTCAAAATATCAAGAAAAAAGAATGTTAGAATACAGTTAAATATCTGAACATATAGATAATATTTTAATATATAATTAAAATACAGTTAAGAAACCATCAAAAAATAAATTAGAAGGTCATGTAAACACACATAAAAGCAAAAACAGAATGTTAAATCGGGCAACAGAGAGAATAAACATGTTAATATAACAGAATTATGATCCTGTTTGAAGAAACCATAGATAATATAAAGATCCAGAGGCCTACAGAGAAATGTAATAATTGTGTTTAGCAGCATTTAAAATTACTTCATAATTTTCCTAAATGGCAATAGATAGCTCTTCCCTTAGATATTACCAGTTACTTTTAAATGACATTTTGCTTTCTGACTCAAATTATTATTTCCTCTTCTTTTTTTTTTTTTTGAGACGGAGTTTTGCTCTGTCGCCCAGGCTGGAGTGCAGTGGCGCGATCTCGACTCACTGCAAGCTCCGCCTCCCGGGTTCATGCCATTCTCCTGCCTCAGCCTCCCGTGTAGCTGGGACTACAGGCGCGCGCCACCATGCCCGGCTAATTTTTGTATTTTTAGTAGAGACGGGGTTTCACCGTGTTAGCCAGGATGGTCTCGATCTCCTGACCTCATGATCTGCCCGTCTCGGCCTCCCAAAGTGCTGAGATTACAGGCGTCAGCCACCGCGCCCGGCCTATTTCCTCTTCTTTTTAACCACCCTTCCACTGAACACAAATTAAATGAAAAATATCTAGTGGACTAAATATATAGCTGGATCCTCCTAAGTAGAAAGGGTTAGTAAACCATGGAGCTTTACGGAGAACGAGCATAGAATTTAGCAGACCTAAAGATACATATGGGGAGTATGACAATGTAAACTGGGTTACATCCTTTAAGTAGTCTGGAAATATTTATCAAAAGCCACAGAAAGGTTCACTCTTTCTCTTGAGTTCTCTAAAGCTTCCTAAATAGTGTGCCCAGTGGTCCCAGCTATGTGCTGGGATAGGGTCTTCAGCCTACCACATTTATCGAATTTACCCAGCATGCCATGTAAATATTATCATTTTGTACATGAAAAGAATTGGAAAGCACTATCTTAATGGATCAGAGTTCCATCCTTACAGCCTAGTTACAACTAATTGTAGCCTGGAAACGGGATATACAAGTCAATTCAGTCACTGTATCCTTCTCTAACGATGCTACTTCCAGAGGTTCTGAAATTTTATCCAGCCCAATTAATAAGCTAATACAAAACCAACTTTAACAAGAAATATTTGTAAGAAGTTATGTTTTTGAAAAAAGGTATTAACACTAATAACTGAAAATTCCTTAGCAAGACTGCATCTTTAAATTTTACTTCTTGCTCTTTTTCACACACAAATGCCAAACTTTCACATATAGTTACAGTTTGTGTTTCTGAATGCTGGAGTGAGTTTACACTTAGAATGAAATACTCAAAAGCTAAAGTTCATTCAACTGAGCTATTACCTTGTTGCCGTAACACTATTTGATTCCAGGATGTTTTCAGTCATCCTTAATTGTACCACCTCTGGCATGTCATTTGATTTTTCTGCACCCTCTTCTGGAAGTTCTTCAATATGTTCCAGCTTTTCATCTTCCTCTTCTTCCTCAGAAAGTTCATTAACCTATATAAATAAAAAGAAATTCAGAATTAAAATGTAATGAAACCGTTAACACATCTAAGACATACTATTCTATGAAAATTTTAAACACAAACAACTCATTTTTATTTCCTCATTTCCTAGGACCAATCTCTCTTATGGAGTAAGTAACTGTCAACTTTTTCATATCAAAATAAAATTGCAACCAGACAAATGTAACATTTTGAAGCAGGATTAGTGTATCACTAGTTGCAAATTAGTATATTAGTATATTGCAAAATTAGTATATCTAGGAATATAAGTAAGCCTGTAAGGTATAGTTAACATTAAGAAAACTTAATTTTCTAACTAGTTTCGTAAATGTAACACTTACAACAGACTTTTAATTGATCTGATTTTCCAGGTGCCTTAAACAAGTCATTTTAATATAGTAAGTGTGAAAAAAGAAGCGCAAAAAAAATGTTGCCTTAAGATGTTAGCTACATTTTAGAAAATGTCAGCTAACTTCTAAGTGATTCAGATTGAATTATTCATGAAGAGATGGAATCCTATAACAAGGAAGAACTCATATTTTGACCAGTAAGCACAAGTCAAGGTTATAATTATCTTGCTAGCAGGAGCTCTAAAATGTCCTCCATTATGAAACTGGCTACGTAGGTAATCACTCTAATAAAAAGATACTGAAATATTAGAGAAGGAAAACCAGCAAAATATTTTCAAATGAGTTTTTAAGTTATCCCAAAGAAGAAACTATCTATAGAATTGCTTAATATAAACTAATACTAGTCATTAAAGACTCTGAGCAATGCAAGTATGCTTTTTCTCCATGCTAGAAAAATGCAATAGAAATATCTAGAATAAATGTGTTTACTACTACATGTAACAGTGGTGTTTTTCCTGATGGACAAATACAGTTACTAGAATACTATCAGAAAGTAAAACTGCAACCAAAAGAAAAGTCATTACACTGTGATATTCTATCACACTCCTAATCAACAAGTACAGAGTGCCTATTTTAAAGTATAATACAGGTTGGGTATGGTCGGTGGCTCACACCTATAATCCCAGCACTTTTGAGAGGCTGAGGGGGTTGGAACCCTTGAACCCAGGAGTTCCAGACCAGCCTGGGCAACGTGGTGAAACCTTGTCTCTACAAAAAAATACAAAAATTAGCCAGGCATGGTGGCATGTGCTTGTAGTCCCAGCTACTTGAGAGACTGAGGTAGGAGAATCACTTGGGCCCAGGAGGTCGGGGCTGCAGAGAGACGCGATTGTGACACTGCACTCCAACTTGGGTGACAGAGTAAGATTTGGTTTCGAAATTAAATAAAGTATAATACAGTAGTTAAAAGCTAGGCCTCAGAGGCAGAAATACCTATATTCACACATCCCTACTTGTCCCTAACTTTCTCTGGCAACTTACTTAACTTGTCCAAGTCTTAAGTATAAAATGGAGATGCTATACTAACTACCTCACAGAGCTGGTTGAAAGGATTAATATATGTAACCTCTTCAGCAATGTCTATACATAATAAGCAATAATGCCTATCATTATAACTGAAATTGTTGTCATTTCTTTAATAGCATAGATCCTAGCTTCTACATGTAACATCACTTTTTATATAAATGAAGAGAGTATCCACCATCCAAACTACCTAAAGCAGGAGGTCTCAACCACAGGTCTATCAAGCTCACTAGTCAGATGGGTCACTAAAAAGTCATTATTAACAATAGTTAGGCCAGGCGCGGTGGCCCATGCCTTTAATCCCAGAACTTTGGGAGGCCAAGGTGGGTGGATCACTTGAGGGCAGAAGATCGAGACCAGCCTGGCCAACATGGCAAAATCCAACCTATACTAAAAATACAAAAATTAGCCGGATGTGGTGGCATGTGCCCGTAATCCCAGCTACTTGGAAGGCTGAAACAGAATTGCCTGAACCCAGGAGGCAGAGGTTGCAGTGAGCCAAGATCGCACCACTGCACTCCAGCCTGGGAAACACAGCAAGACTTTGTCTCAAAAACAAAAACAAAAATAAAAACAAAACAGTTAGTGAACCATTAAGTTCACATGTAAAGTACATGCAGCAGATTCTGTATAATTCGTTGTGTTTATAAATGTCTTTCCTAGTCTATCCCACATCATGTATAATGCTAATGAAAAGGACTGAAAAATCACTGGCCTAAGTGATTAACTGAGAGGTAAGATTTCAACACAAAGGTGAAAATCTCAAATGATAGATCAGGTTTTAAAGTAGATCTAATGGGAAATTATCCTCTTTCCCCATCTACGTATTTTATTAACTAGTGAAAGTTGAGAGGATGTACTTAATATCCATCTGGTAATCTAAGCAAGGAAACACTGGCCAAAAAAAAAAAAAGTTTTCAGAAGTATAAAAGGGGACCAGGTGCAGTGGCTCATGCTTGTAACCCCAGCACTTTGGGAGGTAGAGGTGGGTGGATCACCCGAGGCCTGGAGTTCGAGACGAGTCTGGCCAACATGGCGAAAGCCTGTCTCTACTAAAAATACAAAAATTAGCCAGGCATGGTGGCGAGCGCCTGTCATCCCAGCTACTCGAGAGGCTGGGGCAGGAGAATTGCTTGAACCTGGGAGACAGGGGTTGCAGTGAGCCAAGATCACACCATTGCACTCCAGCTTGGGCGACAGAGCGAGACTGTCTCAAAAAAAAAAAAAAAAAAAGGGTTGGGGCAGGGGTGGGAATTATTGTGGTTGATTAATAAAAGCCTGGGCACAACAGCAAAATATCAAAAAAAATTTTTAAAGAAGGCTTTTAAAACTGAGAATAAAAACTTATTCAGTTCACACCTTTTTGGTACAGAGATACTATTATTTCAACATTTTTGTTTGTTTGTTTTTAAGATGGAGTCTTGCTCTGTCGGTCAGGCTGAAGTGCAGTGCTACGATCTTGGCTCACTGCAACCTCCGCCTCCCAGGTTCAAGCAATTCTCCTGCCTCAGCCTCTCCAGTAGCTGGGATTACAGGCACATGCCCCTATGCCTGGCTAATTTTTATATTTTTAGTACAGACAGTGTTTCACCATGTTGGCCGGGCTGGTCTCAAACCCCTGACCTCAGCTGATCCACCCACCTCAGCCTCCCACAGTGCTGGGATTACAGGCATGAGCCACCACGCCTGGCCTATTTTAACATGTTATATCACACTTTTTAAAATCATTTTGTGGGGCCAGGTGTGGTGGCTAACACCTGTAATACCAACACTTTGGAAGGCCAAGGCAGGAGGACTGCTTGAGGCCAAGAGTTCAAGACCAACCTGGGCGACATAAGAAGACCCTGTCTCTATAAATAATAAAACAATTTTTTAAAAGATTATAATGTAACCTCAGAAAGAGATTTTAATATTCTAGAGTCACCAGAATTTAAAAATTACCTGCCACTTAAACTATTAATATCCAGATGCTTCCCATTAGTGACAATTATACTATTGTGTTGATTTGCTCTATTATTGAAGAAAAACTTCAAATTTTTAAAAATGTGTACCGAATCTTTCCCTCTACTTTAAATTTCTCACCCCTTGCCTATATTCCTCTATGCTAGCAGTTTCTCTGCAAAAAACCAAAACACTGCATTATCCTTACAAAATAAACAATAGGAAAAGAAACAAAAAATCTCTACCATATACTCTAATTTTAATGCCTTTTCCTTATTAATCAAATTATGGAGGACAGGATGTTGTTCAGGAAAAAAATCATGAATGTGCCACCTACTGATTACATATAATAACCAAGATAATTACTTCCAGGTCAGATTTAAATTCCACTTATGTCTGTGGCAAGTCTTTAAGAGCATATTATTCTTAAAAAAAAAAAAAAAAAAAAAAATTATCCCTCCAAATAGAATATTCTCACCTGTTCAGTAATTGAACTCAAATCATTAGATGAAAAATCTTCCTCTTCATTCTCAAAAAACTCATAGTAGTTTTCCAGAAGTCCAGCCATTATCCTGCTCACTATTTCTTGCTCTTTCATGTCTTCCACATCTGTGTAAATGCTAAGAATAGAAGTCCAAATTGAATTGAGAGTTCTTAAATCAATCACAGGTAAAGGTAGAAGACAACCAATGAGATACTTTATGAACATGGGCAATTTATGTTACCATTCTGTGCTTCCATTCTCCCATCTGTAAAACCTACCTAATTTGTACCCTGTTCACAAAAATGCTGTAAGAATTAATCATATCTACTATAAAAAATAATTGTTCATCAAGCAACCTGCGATCCTTGGGAGACAATATAATGATTCCATTTCACATATCTAATTTTTCTTTTTTTTTTTTATGAGATGGAGTCTCGCTCTGTCACCCAGGCTGGAGTGCATTGGCGCGATCTCGGCTCACTGCAAGCTCCGCCTCCCCGGGTTCACGCCATTCTCCTGTCTCAGCCTCCCGAGCAGCTGGGACTACAGGCACCCGCCACCATGCCCAGCTAGTTTTTTTATTTTTAGTAGAGACGGGGTTTCACCGTGTTAGCCAGGATGGTCTCAATCTCCTGACCTTGTGATCCGCCCGCATCAGCCTCCCAAAGTGCTGGGATTACAGGCATGAGCCACCGTGCCCGGCCTCACATATCTAATTTTTAAAAATTAAACAAAAATTTTTTAAACAACTTACTGGAAGACATCTGGACCAAAGACAGCAGCCAAAGAATTTGCGGACCAAATTTCTTCATGATGTGATGCTACATTGGCTAAAAATCTACACAGAAACTTTAACAAACTATAATTAACAGGTGGAAGCTGTTGCAAGAGGAACCTCAACTTTCTTCCAAATTCATCTTCATTATTATAATCTATAAAACAATAATAACAGGTTTTTTTCAATAAAGGAAAAAGCAAAGCTCTGATATTTTGCCAGGTTCACATTACTCCACCCACATCACCTTTTTAATACAACAATTCAAAACCTCTTCACTTCCTCTACTGGGGCCAAATGCCTTAGGGCTTTGTATTTCACTTATGAAATGGAGAAGAGGTGGAGAAGAGGAGCTGGAAAAAAGGAACTCAATCCCTTAATTGCTGGAGGATGTTTTCCTCATCTATTACTCATTGGCCCCAATTCTCTTTTTTTTTTTTTTTTTTTTTTAATTCTCATCCTACTGTCTCCAGCATGACTGTACCTGTGTTTCCACACTAGTGCCAACTATAAGAAGTCAAAATGCACTGGCCATGCCAGACAATACAAACCACTAGTGAGCAAAGCAGAGATGCAATTTGAGGGGCTAATAGTATCAGTGATACCTTTCAGCTTAGATGAAAGTAAAAAGAAGGAAAGAAAAAGGTAACAGTGTGATTTTCTTCTCCTGGCGTCCTAAAATAAACAATTAACTTCAGCAATATCAGTATAACTAAATTAAAAGGTCTTTCATTTCTCGTCTGTTTTTCTCCTCTAAATTCATGTTGGTTTCTGCTTATCAAGTAAACTTTATCACACAAGTTAGGCCTTGTATTTATCGTGTCAATGAGTTTTCATTAACAGAAACTAGACCCGTATTCATTCCACTAATTGGTGAGGATCCCATTTGGGAGAAATAAGTGCTCAGAGGTCCTCTCGAAATGAAGTGATTTATTGTGCTACATGAGTAAAAATCAATTAAATTATGTTTCATTTTGTATTTTTCCGCAGGTTCTTAAAATTATTTTACTGAAAAACTCCTGGTAAAAGGTTACGGTCATGATATTAACTATCTCTGCAAAATAACACTAGTCTAAAAAGTTTATCAGGAAATAGGACTCCAGTACTATGTTGATTCAAAAAAAAAAAAATTTGGCCTTGTATGGTGGCTCATGCCTGTAATCCCAGCACTTTGAGAGGCTGAGACAGGCGCATCACCTGAGCTCAGGAGTTCGAGTCCAGCCTGGGCAACATCACGAAACCCCGTTCTACCAAAAATACAAAAATTAGCTGAGTGTACTGGCACACACATGTGCTCCCAGCTACTCAGGAGGCTGAGGTGAGAGGATGGCTTGAGCCTGGGAGGCAGTGGTTGCAGTAAGCCGAGATCGTGCCACTGCACTTCAGCCTGGGTGACAGAGTGAGACCCTGTCTCAAAAAGAAAAAAAAAAAGGCTGGGCGCGGTGGCTCACGCCTGTAATCCCAGCACTTTGGGAGGCCGAGACAGGTGGATCATAAGGTCAGGAGATCGAGACCATCCTGGCTAACACAGTGAAATCCCATCTCTACTAAAAATACAAAAAATTAGCTGGGTGTGTTGGCGGGTGCCTGTAGTCCCAGCTACTCAGGAGACTGAGGCAGGAGAATGGCGTGAACCCAGGAGGCAGAGCTTGCAGTGAGCCGAGATTGCACCACTGCACTCCAGCCTGGGGGACAGAGCAAGACTCCATCTCCAAAAAAAAAAAAAAAATTTTAAGTTTATCAGGAAAGGCTACAGTCACATGAGTTTTACTTAAAATTTAAAATGCAACCAATAACAACTCTTCTATACTTTGTAATATTACCAGCTGTCCATTCAAATGTACCAGTACTTCAATTTTAAAATCAGACAGAATAGTCCCTGGATTAATGTTTAAATCACTGGACCTATAACTGATGAGAAATTTTAACAACCTAAGCATTCAGCAGAAAATTATTATAGAAATCACATATCAAAAATGCAAGCACTTAATATTATCAATATAATGAAGATACCAACACTTGACAAATTCTACCTAACATTCTCTCCAGCTCTGTGGCACTTAATGTCTAGCATACCTATCCATATGTTTATTTTTATCATCTACTTTACCATCTTCCCTTATCCCCTATAGCATTTTAGTTCTGTGAGCGCAGAGATATTTTTTTCTTTGAGACAGGCTGTCGCTCCAGGCTGGAGTGCAGTGGCATGATCACTGAGGCCCACCACAGCCTCAACCTCCCAGGCCCAAGCGATCCTCCCACGTCAACTTCCTAGGTAACTAGAACCACAAGCAAATGCCACCACAGCTGGCTATTTTTTGAAGTTTCTGTAACAACAGGGTCTCCCTATGTTGCCCAGACTGGTCTAGAACTCCTAGGCTCAAGTGATCCTCCCGCCTCAGCCTCCCAAAGTGCTGGGATTACAGGCGTGAGTCCCCACGCCCAGCCATGAGGGCAGAGATTTTCATCTAGTTTTTTTCAGTGCTGAGTTCTCAGTATCTGGAGCAAGGGTCCCCAGCCGGGGCTGCAGACCAGTCTGTGGCCTGTTAGGAACTGGGCCATACAGCAGGAGGTGAGCAGCAAGTCAGATCAGTGGCGGCATTAGATTCTCATAGGAGCAAGAATGCTACTGTGAACTATGCATGCAAGGGATCTAGATGTACATTCTTTATGAGAATCTGATGCCTAATGATCTGAGTTGGAACAGTTTCATCCCAAAACCATTCCTCCTCTCCATCAGTGGAAAAACTGTCTTCCACAAAACCAGTCCCTGGTGTCAAAAAGGTTGGGGATTGCTGATCTAGAGCACTGCCTAGCACACAGCAGATGTTCAATAAACATTAGTTGAATTCACTGAATGAATACACAATAACTGAAAAAAGATGTTGAACATACTACACCATTTGACTTGAGGTGGTAAGCTTGTGGGCAATACTGTTTTTATTTGAAATACTATCCACATTATCCAAAGTTTTGTTTGGCTACATTTCCTCTACACATTTGTACCTATACTGGCCTGTGTCTGAAGTCTTCAAATAAGGCAGAGAAGCATTTCAAAATACATTAAATATATACATACTTGCTTAAATTTCTTTCCTTTGGAGTCTAATTTCTAGTTAAATCATATCCAAGGAAAATAATGTATGTATCAGAGAAGTTTCCCCTAACAATTCCTTCAAGTACTGTAACATTTTTTGGAAATGTTCTAACTAATCCACAAAACTGCTAGCTATGTTTTCTATCAAAACACAATGTATAAGCAGTTGGACTAACCATTATGGTCTAACCCAGAAGTTGTCAACATCTGACAATGAACGGTTGTCATGACTTTGGGGAAGACAGTGCCTTTGGTAGAGGTCAGGGATGCTGCTAAACATCCTAAGGTACACAACTCCCCATCACAAAAAATTATCAAGCCCAAAATCAACAGTACCAAGGCTGTGAAACCCTAGTCTAAATAAAAGGTTTAACCACACCAGTGGATGCACTGTCCAGCTACCACAGAAAAATGAAACCACTTTTTAAAAACAAAAGCTGAAATGCAACTGCAACAGTGCTTCTTCCATGATCTTAAAAGCAATTAACTGTCATGTATTTGTGAATATTAAAATATTATCATATTATTTATCTACAGCTGGGTGCCATGGCTCATGCCTGTAATTCCAGCACTCTGGGAGGCCAAGGTGGGCAGATCACTTGAGGTCAGGAGTT
Organism: Homo sapiens; assembly: GCF_000001405.40. NCBI lineage: Eukaryota > Metazoa > Chordata > Mammalia > Primates > Hominidae > Homo > Homo sapiens. Next base: position 138,015,500 of record NC_000005.10, read on the forward strand.
CGAGATCAGCCTGGCCAACATGGTGAAACCCCATCTCTACTAAAAATACAAAAAGTAGCTGGGTATGGTAGCACACACCTGTAGTCCCTGCTACTCAGGAGGCTGAAGCATGAGAATCACTTGAACCTGGGAGGCAGAGGTTGCAGTGGGCCAAGATGGTCCCACTGCACTCCAGCCTGGGTGACAGAGCAAGACTCTGTCTCAAAGAATAAAAGAAACAAACAAAATTATCTACAGTAAATGAAGAGAGGAAACTTTGTTCAGAGATCTAGACACCTTCCCAAAATAACTAAATGAATGAATGATCAGATGATATTACAACATAAATGCAAATATCACCCCAAATACTACCATACCTAGCTGCACAGCTATTAAAGAAACGGGTGTATATGTGCACACATACATACACATGCTAATGATTATCTATGTATAAGTGGAAAATAGAAGAAAACAGTGAATTTCTCATATTAAACATGAAAGCACTTATTGACCATAAGCATTTTTGCTTTTTTTTGCACATCTCTTTTGCAAATTTTTGCATATCTTAAATTCCTTCACAAGTGAATGTTAGCATAAGAATAAGTAACAAGATGCGTATTGTAATTCCATGAATATCAACACAGTACATGGTGCTGTCATAATTTTAAATGAAAACCAGGCCATGGCTAAGACTGAAACTTTTTCAAATAGGGTAAATGCGCAATTTTTGAAAGAAAAGAAGGGGTAGGATTGGTTTACAATTTATGACCAGAAAGTTGTGTCTTTGAAGAGGAACTTAGTTGTCCCAACAGTACATGATGCTGTCATAATTTTAAATGAAAACCAGGCCAGGTACAATGGCTCACTCCTATAATCCCAGTGCTTTGGGAAACTGAGACAGTTTGGGAAACTGAGACAGGAGGATCACTTGAGCTCAGGAGTTCAAGACCTGCTTGGGCAACATAGCAAGATCTTGTCTCTACAAAACATAAAAAATTTTAAAAAATTAGCCAGGCATGGTGGTGCGCGCCTGTAGTCCCAGCTACTCAAGAGGCTGAGGCGAGAGGATCACTTGAGCCCTGGAGATCAAGACTGTAGTGAACTAGGATCACACCACTGCACTCCAGCCTGGGCGACAGAGCAAGGACATTTCAAAAAAACAACAACAACGAATAAATGAAAACCAACTGAAATGACAATCCTAGTGAAAAATAAATAGCTTCTGATAGATTCTACCAGTGAGTCAATGACTTTGCTTCCATTAAATCTCACTGCAATTATTAATTTATAAATTTTCATTCAGGACTGAAAGATTATCTGACTCTTGGAACTTTAAATATGTGTCTGCAATTCAGCTAACAGAGGGAACATGGAAACCTATCACTATAAAGAGAATGGCTCTAGAGTTATTTTAAAAGGCTCAAAAAACCTTTACCATATTGGTTTCGGTTCATATTTAATAAATGCAAAATGCTTATTATGTGTCTCAACATAAACATTTGAAAAAATTCCTGTAATAATAAAATGGATTCAAAAATTCAAAACAAAAAAGCGTAATTTTGGGGGGAGAAAAATTAAAGTGATGCATTGAAAAAAGGGTAGCCTTACTAATAACATTTCGTTTTAAAACCTGTTTTTTGATCCAGATTATAGAGTAAAAGAACAGAACTGAATCAGGTTACCCCTTCCTGAATATAGCAAGTTCAAAGTAAGCCTTATGATTTAGCTGTACAGAAAACATGTGTAAGAGGGTCACAGAACGTCTTTGCATTGACCTTTATACATAAATCAAAGACATCCAACTAACTTAGGCTCACAGTTTAAAATTTAAGAAAAAGACGGATAAACACTTTCGAAAGAAAATATACCTTCTCTGACAACATAATACTTAAGGATATATACACACATATTATAGAATGCCCAGCTGTGATAGAGATAGGCATAAAGGAAGTAGTTATAATTTCTTAGCATAACTGAATTTCTTTAGAAGCCCCGATTCAAAAAATAAATGAACTCCATAATACCAAAAAAGCCTGAAAGGGTAATTTTAAAATTCAAGAAATATATAACTCTATATGCCAACTTTACACATTTTCCTATATAATGAAGCATGTCCCTCCATTACATATACATGAATACCATTTGGCTCTAGGAACAGAAGCATTTCCTCACTTCTTGGTTCTTTGACCTTTCTGCTGCCTCTACCATTATTTTTCCTGTTCCTGTTCCACTCTAGCTAAGCACTACTTTTTAGTCACCACCAAAAAAACCTAACAAAGATACATCTTTTTTTGTTTCTTTAGCTTAGAGTCTAATGTTCAATTTGATATTCATTTCCTTTAGCTAAGTGTTCAAGAACAAGTTTTAGGTATATTCAAAGCCTAGAATCAAAGTTGTCTTCTTCCTTTTGCTAGGAAATTCTATCAAACCAGGGATAAGTAACCCTAATAGTGGTAATATCACCACTAAGCAACACCTTTGGCTACTATTGGACATTGTGCCACCACACACATTACCTTACATAAATTTCTCTTCTTTCTTTTTGATGACCCCTCCTACTCCTTGTTCTTGTCTCCTCCCTTTCCTCTTCTTCACCCTGTTTCTTAGGCTAATAAAACCAATCACAAAAAGTAAATAGTACTAGAGGGATCCCGGAAGTTGCCTTTCCTATGACAAGATCATACAACCCCAAAAAGCAAATGAGAAAATAACAAATTAATCTCTAAAATACTATACTTACTGTTTACATGTCAAGATTTCTAAAAGGTAAAGACTAGGAAATTAACAACAAATGACCAATTGATAAGTATCAAATTATGTTACCTTGAGAAAGCTGCATCAAGTGAATATGTAAACTGCCAGGGATAACAGGTTCAGGAAGTTCTTGAAGAAAAAATCTAAGAAGGCTAATAGCTGAGGGAACATCTGCTTCCTTAACCAAATCCACCTCTTCTCCGCTGTCGTATCTCTGCCGAAGCCACTCCACTGTCTCAGCATTTCCATTGACTTGAAAAAGTCCTTGTTGCTCCAGACCTCCTACGTTAGTTCAAGGCAATCATTCAATAAGCTGCAATGTCAACTGCTTGACCATATATATTCATTCTCCAATTAACTTAAAATACTCATACTTTTGGAAAGCCTTTCTTGGCTCCCCTGACTTGTCTAAAAACCTTCAAATTATACATCTAGAAACATACTATCTCTGTTCTAAGGGATATTCTATTTTATCCCACCCCTTATATCCATTAAAAATATTCCTATCACCCCCACTAAAACTTGTTCTAGGCTGGGCAACTGTCATTTCTAAGTATATGAATTTAAGTAAAAATCACACTAAAACATTAAAAAGAATTTCTAGTTTTTCCTATGTTTTGGACTTTCCATATTAAAAAAAAAAATTAAAAATCCAAGGTCAAAAAGGTGTAAGTTGTGTTTATTAAAACAAAAGCTAGCCCTCAAAGTAAGGAAATGTATACCATGTTCCTCAATATAGTCCACAACGTGGCGGACTATGAATGGAACCTCATTGTCTGGATGTCCTCCCTGCTGCAGCTCATCAAGTGGAATTCCAAATATTTTGTTAGCAAGAACGGAGTTGCAGTTACTCAAGGAAGGGGAGGAGCTCTTCCTCATATCTTTTTTGCAGCCAGAAATCAAAGCTGTCTTTTCTGCCAAATGAAAGACAAAAAAAAAAGACTATAATGATTAACAGGTGGCAATATGACTAGATACATTAAAGAAAAATGCTTTACACCTGAATGTGTTCTCATCTATTTAAATGTTCCAGTTAGCAGGCCCATAGTGTGTTCTACAGATGAAGTTCAGTACAATTACCTAAACATATTCCCTATTACGAAGAGTTAGTGCTGAATGCTCCCTTTAGTGTTTGCATACTTATCAAACAATAGCAAAGTTAATCATCAAAGATTTAGCAAGAGGCATTAATGTCCCAAAGACAAATTAAGGAGCAAATTTGGCTCCAAGAAAACCTTTACTGAACAAGCTTATTAATGACACAGGTAAATCCAAACCCGTTCTGGACTGTGCCATATAAAGCTCATCTAACCCCTCAATTCATAAGCCCAAACAGGAGAGAATCCTTTTTAGAAAGTGCAGATCTAATAACCACTTTTTATAAATGATGGGCTAATAAGAACAAGATTAATGAGTTCTTATTTCTACATGATAAAGCAGCTGTAATAAATTTTTTTTTTTTTTTGAGACGGAGTCTCGCTCTGTTGCCCAGGCTGCAGTGCAGTGGCATGATCTCGGCTCACTGCAAGCTCTGCCTCCTAGGTTCATGCCATTCTCCTGCCTCAGCCTCCCAAGTAGCTGGGACTACAGGTGCCTGCCACCACGCCCGGCTAATTTTTTTGTATTTTTAGTAGAGATGGGGTTTCACCGTGTTAGCCAGGATGGTCTCCATCTCCTGACCTCGTGATCTGCCCGTCTCGGCCCCCAAAGTGCTGGGATTACAGGCGTTAGCCACCGCACCCGGCCTGTAATACATTTTTATAAAAAAGAAATTTTTCATTTCTGGACATCAACTTTCAATAAGAGATGTCCTTTTATCAACACTGTTATTTCTTTTTATTTTTTGAGACAGAGTTTCGCTCTTTTTGCCCAGGCTGGAGTGCAATGGTGCAATCTTGGCTCACTGCAACATTCACCGCCTGGGTTCAGGCGGTTCTCCTGCCTCAGCCTCCCATGTAGCTGGGATTACAGGTGTGCGCCACCACGCCCGGCTAATTTTGTATTTTTAGTAGAGACGGGGTTTCACCATGTTGGCCAGGCTGGTCTTGAACTCCTGACCTCATGTGATCAGCCAGCCTCAGCCTCCAAAGCGCTGGGATTATAGGCACAAGCCGTTGTGCCTGTCCTTAACACTGTTATTTCATAATTATCCAAAAGAAAAATTTTCAGAGCCATCTAGTTCAGAAGAAATAGTTATTTGTCCTAATTTTGTAGGAATTGTGATCAGTAAAGAAGTGGGAGAAAACAATGTCTCAGATGGCCATTTCCAATATCTGACACATCAGAGAACAAGTAATCCTAAGAAAAATTTATTTTCTAAAATAAACACATTACACATTTATTACTTTACGTAGGAAAAGAGTATTTGTAAAAGAAAGAAAAACTCAAAGGTTGATAATGAACAAAATGACACCAGCTGGTATTTTTTCCATCACCCTAGAAAAACAATTTCTTTCTCACTGCAAGAGAAAAAAAGCAAATCACAAAAATAAGTCTACTAAAATTCCTAAGTTTACAAAAATAAGGTCCACTGGATCAAGTGTATACCCACTGGATCAAGAATGTCACAACATGACTAGGAAACAATGCAGCCAACTTAAAAGAAAAAATTAACTTAAGGATAGCAAAATGCCATACATTTACATAGTCTCAGACAAGCAACATCCATTCTTCAATGTATCTGGTGCCAGCTAAGAACTATAAAACCTCAAGTTAAATCAAATAGCAGCTACAGGGGCAAGTTCCAAAATCTCTATGGATTTATAGAGCACGAGATAGTTACCATTTTGAAAACTTACCTTTCAGTACTTAAATACCTAAGTTTAAAAAATGGCTTCTGCACCAGCTACCCTCACTGAGCAAGCATTCTTTTGTCATTTATGGCTGTTTGAGATTATGGCAGAAGATCAGCCTGTAGTTCCTCATTGAAGAAATGCAGAACTCGATCAGTACTTCAGCAGTTAATCTACAAGACAAAAACAATTATTTCAATTTCCCACATCTTTAACTGTCAGAAGAGACTATTAATAGAAGCAGCAGTACAGTCCTCTTAAGAGGTTACCTATATTGAAAGGTATTCTTCTGTCTGAAAAATCTATCTGTAACCTAAAGGCAAAACCTTGCAACGGTTTCAGATGATGATGGAAAATTGGAGAAGAATCTTCCTGCTGAAGATAAATAAATAAACGAATTGCAAAGGAGGATATGTGACAGGACACATCTTCAAGGACTACACCATTCAAATAATCCATTTTCCTCAATTATGTGTGGACACCCTACCCCATCCCATTCCTTCCTCATTTCCTCACATACTCAGAACTAAACATGGAAGTATTTTCAAAAGATCAAAGAATCAAAGATATGATTTAAGCTTGCTACTATACTTAAGTACTTTCTTCTTTTTTTTGTATACAACATAGTGGTTGCCTGAGCTCCCTAATTTAGAGAAGCGATAGCATATGTTGGAAAAGAGCAAAAAGAACAGTCCCAGAAAGATTTAGATTCAATTAATAACTCCGTCATTTTGTAGACACATGATGGTGAACAACTTCCATGTCTCTGAGCCTAGGTTTCTTTATATAAAACAAGAAACTACCTGTACAGGCCAGGTGCATTGGCTCATGGCTATAATCCCAGCACTATGAGAGGCCAAGGTGGGAGGATCACTTGAGCCCAGGAGTTTGAGACCAGCCTGGGCAATATAGTGAGACCCCATCTCTACAAAAAAATTTAGAAATTAGCCAGGTATAGTAGTGCCTGTAGTCCCAGCTACTTGGAAGGCTGAGGCAGGAGGATCACTTCTGCCAGGAGGTGGAGGCTGCAATGGGTTGTGTTTGCACCACTGCACTCCAGCCCGGGCAACAAAGTGAGATCCTGTCTCAAAAAAAAAAAAAAAAAAAAAAGAATAATACCTGTACAGCTGTTAAGTTTAGTTTAACTGAGATAACATAGGTATGCAGTAGATAGAGAACCAGTCTCCTCTCTCTTCTTTGCATAATGCTAAAAGACCAGCAATTAGACTAGAGAGAGAGAGAAGAACTTGTTTGGCAAAGTGTTTAATATTTGGTCTCATCATCCTTTGTGAATTCTAATGGTATCATTATCCTCTGTGAATTCTAGTCATCTATTAACAAATCTTTTAATAAGCTCAGTAAACTACACTGCAGGACTCTGCCCAAGAAGCTTCAGGTAAGCAGAAGAGTAATATTAATCAGTGTGGTTTTCAAAGAAGTGTTATTAGTAACATACACCTCCAGGAGAAACATTAAAAACTGAAGGGAAGGAAAACCACATTCCCATAACAAATCTTTTAGTTGATTATTAGTTGCAAAACATCCTGAAATGCCTGCTAAGACATGTAGTTAATCTACCTATCTATCCATTTGAAAACAATTTCGAAGTTAACTTCAGAGATAAGTTATTTAACAGACTTACACTAAAAGTCAAGCTGATATCCTCATGACATAAAGGGGGATTTGCTTGATGTACTATAAATGAAAACTCACTACAAAAGTCTGTCAGGGAGCAAGTTTTATACATCACTAAAATGGCTACTCAGTGTTTAGAATGCCTTGTTAATGAAATCAAGAAGCTATTTTCTTTTTTTTTTTTTTCGAGACAGGGTCTCACTCTGTCACCCAGGCTGGAGTGCAGTGGTGCAATTATGGCTCACTGCAGCCTCAAACTCCTGGACCCAAGCAATCCCCTGCCTCAGCCTCCCAAATTGCTGGGCCTACATGTACACACCACCATACCCAGCTGTATTTTTAGTAGAGAGGAAGTCTCATGTTGCCCAGGTTGGTCTCAGACTCCTGGCCTCAAGCAATCCCTCCCACCTTGCTGGGATTACAGGTGTGAGCCACTGCTCCCAGTCAGGAGCCTATTATCTCATCTCATGACCTCTACTACCTGCAACCTCTAACTAGACAACCTGAAAGCATATTTTTCTAAGGTGAGGCTGGGTAGGAATCTATGAATTCATCAGTAAAAATTTACCCTTGATACTAGGAAAACAATCGGAGGCATCAACCTTTCTGACGACAAGTTTCTCTTTCTCCTGAGGATGTTGACGGATATAGCAGCAACAAACATTAAATGAGCAGTTATGATATGCCAGGCAGTTCCATGCACTTTACATGTATTAAGGTATTCTTTAACCCTTAATTAGACATTGCAAGGCTCACCAATTTACCCACAGTCCACCCAGATAATAAGGGTCAGAGGCAGAATATGAAACCAGAGAATGTGATTCTCAAAGTCCTTGAGCTCTTAATCACTATACTATTTTTTCATGTAAATTATCACAATTTATAGTATGATAGAATGTCACATTCTGGCGCTCAAACTGGCCATAGTCTTTTTCTTTTTTTGAGACAGGCTGGAGTACAGTGGCATATGCGATCACAGCTCACTGCAGCCTCAACCTCCCCAGACCTACGTGATCCTCCTACCTCAGCCTCTTGAGTAGCTAGGACTACAGGCGTGGGCCACCACACCCGGCTAATTTTTGTAAAAATGAGGTTTCACCACATTGCCCAGGCTGGTCTTGAACTCCTGGGCTCAGGCAATCCACCCACTTCAGCCTCCCAAGGTCCTGGGATTACAGGCATGATCCACCATGCCCGGCCTCAAAGTCTTATATACATTTTAGGTCATCACTTACTTCTAGCTTGCGAACAGGTACTTCCAGAGGGCAGGCCTATGGTCCAAACCCCAGGAGCCAATCTTTCACTTGGGACTTGTATCTAGAGCACATTGCTGAGAACTCTCAGACTGGAGAGTGGCCCAAGGTAACATTTCTGCAAACTGCAAAGTAGTTGACATTATTTAGTCCTGTTTCCTACCCCTTTTCAGAGCTTAAATCACATAAATATTCCCTTCACATCTGTGGTGGGTTGAATAGTGTCCCCCCCAAACCTCATGTCCACCAAGAACCTCATAATGTGACTTTATCTGGAAATAAGGTCTTTGCAGGTGTAATTAGTTAAGGATCTCAAGAGGAAATCATCCTAGATTTAGGGCAGGCCCTAAATCCAATGACTCATGCCCTTATAAGAAGAGGACAAGATACACAGAGACACACAGAGAGAAAGAAGAGCATGTGAAGACAGGGAGAAACTGGAGTTATGCTGCCAGAAGCCAAGAAATGCCAGGAACTACCAGAAGCTGGAAGAGGCAAAGAAAGATTCTCCCCTAGAATCTGCCCTGTGGACACTTCCTTTTGGGCTTCTACCCTCCTCAACTGTGAGAAAAAACTTCCTACTATTTTAGAGCCACCTAGTTTGTAGCAATTTGTCATGAAAGTCCTAGAAAATGAATGCAACACCTAAACTACAATATTACATTCTAAAAAAAAAAAAGAAAAAAAAGGAAAACAGCAGCAGGCACCGTACAAAAATATACCAAAAAGATCTAATAAAATGTCCTAGCAGATAGAATCAATAAAATGTCGAGAAAGCAGTTCAATAAAAGGATTGACACAAGAGAATACAATGTGTGGACTTTCAAAATAACCAAGTATTTCCAAAAGCATACTGTTATAAATCTAAACAGCAAAATTTATACACACACACACACACACAGAGAGAGAGAGAGAGAGAGAGAAAGAGAGAGAGAGAGAGTTTTTTGAGTTTGTTTTTTTTGTTTGTTTTTTTTTTGAGACAGAGTCTTACTCTGTCACCCAGGCTAGAGTGCAGTGGCATGATCTCAGCTCACTGCAACCTCTGTCTCCTGGGCTCAAGCGATTCTCGTGCCTCAGCCTCCTGAGTAGTAGAGATCATAGGCACGTGCCACCATGCACGGCTAATTTTTTTGTATTTTTTGGTAGAGATGGAGTTTCACCACGTTGGCCAGGCTGGTATCGAACTCCTGACCTCAGGTGATCTGCACACCTCGGCATTACAGGCATGAGCCACCACTCCCAGCCCCAAACAGCAAAATTATTTTAAATACAAGTGACAGTTGCCTAGCATGGTGTTATTGACAAGGAATAGGAAATTACATTGAATTTTACATCATATACCTCACCATGAGATAACAGTGATTACAAACAAAGCCATATATATATATATATATATATGTATTTTTTTTTTTTTTTTTTTTGAGTTGAGGTCTCACCCTGTTGCCCAGGCTGGAGTACAGTGGCCCAATCATGCAGCCTCAAACTCCTGGGCTCAAGCAAACCTCCCACCTCAGCCTCCTAAATCACTGGGATTACAGGCATGAGTCACTACTCCCGGCTCAGAAACAATGCAATTAAACACCAATTATCAATAAAGTTGGGTGACATTCAAGAAAGTGCATCTTCATACACCAGCTATCAACCTAAGTTCTACAGGGACTCAAGGTACTTTTGCATTCCATTCAATTTCATTTACATATACAAAAATACACATACATAGTAGCAGCACACACACCCCTTTTTCCCCCCATGGGCTGAAAAATTTAATATTGTTGAAATATCCATACAATCCAAAGTGGTCTACAGATTCAATGCACTCCCCATCAAAATTACAATGACATTCTTCAAAGAAACTGAAAAAGCAACCGTAAATTTTGTACAAAAGCATAAAAACCCTGATTAACACAAACAATCCTGAAGAAAATGAACAGAGCTGGAGGCATCACACTAGCCAACTTACAAATATACTACAGAGCTATATTAACCAAAACAGCATCTACAATCAACTGATTTTTGACAAATGAAACGTACCTTTCTTAATAGCACAGAATCTTTACACTTTAACTATCTACTAAAATTAGTAGTAAGGGGCTTTTAAAAAGGGGTAGAGCACCAATATCAATACTATAGATAATAATAGCAGACAGCATTTGCTGAGCTCTTACAATATGCCAGGCACTATTTCAAAGACTTTAACTATATCAACTCATTTAATCCTTACAACAACCCTAAAGGAGGCAAATACTTTCATTATATCCATTTTACTGATGAGAAAACTGAAACACAGAACTTTTTGAGGTGATGAAAATGTTCTATGTCATAACTGTGGCAGTGATAGTTACATATGAATATATTTATTAAAACGTATTGAGCTGGACATGCTGTTGTATATAAACCATACTTCAACAAAGCTGAAGAAAATGAAAAAAGAGGCCAGGCATGATGGTTCACACCCGTAATCCCAGCTCTTTGGGAGGCCGAGGTGGGCAGATCACTCGAGCTCCAGAGTTCGAGACCAGCCTGGGCAACATGGCAAAACCCCGTTTCTACAAAAAAGTACAAAAATTAGCTGGGCATGATGTCATGCGCCTGCAGTCCCAGCTACTCGGGAGGCTGAGGTGGAAGGATCACTGGAGCCCAGGGAGGTAGAGGCTTCCAGTGAGCTGTGATCATGCCACTGAACTCCAGCGTGGGCACCAGAGAGGGACCGTGTCTCAAAAAAAAAAAAAAAAAAAAAAAAAAATTGGTCAGGCACTGTGGCTCACACCTGTAATCCCAGCACTTTGGGAGGTCGAGACGGGTGGATCACCCAAGATCAGGAGTTCAAGACCAGCCTGGCCAACATGGTAAAACCCTATCTCTACTAAAAGTAAAAAATTAGCTGAGCATGGTGGCACACGCCTTTAATCACAGCTACTCAGGAGGCTGAGACAGGAGAATCGCTTGAACCCGGGAGGCGGAGGTTACAGTGAGCCGAGATCGCGCCATTGCACTCCAGCCTGGGCAACAAAGAAAGACTCCATCTCAAATAAATAAATAAATAAATAAATAAATAAATAAATAAATAAATAAATTAGCGAAGTGTGGTGGCACACACCTGTAGTCCCAGCTACTCAGGAGGCTGAGATGGAAGAATTTCTAGAGCCCAGGAGTTTGAGGCTGTAGCGAGCTGTGACTGCACCACTGCACTGGGCCTGGGCAACAGAATGACTCAAAAAGATGTGCCAAGAAAAAGTGCCACATTGAAGTAAAAAAGTTCTACCTTCAAATAGAATAGGAAGAAACAATAAAACTCACATTTGCCCAAATGCTTTGACAAAATAGGATACAATTCACATAGAAAGGTTTAAAAGAGCTATCTCACTACTTGTTAAAGCCAAAAAACTACATAAATACATCCCTATTATCACTGGTATACAAAGTCAGAAAAGCCAGCAGGAAGCTGGGTCTCAATAAAGATGATAGAGATTTATAAGTTTGTAGACTATTGCTAATTTGACTTTACATCATTAAACCAAAACTAAAAGAAAATAAACTTATGCCTGCTCTAGACATTCAGCTTCTTACTAGCTGGGGCTCCAAATAATTCACTGAAGCAAAAGGCACCTCTTTCATTCTAACTGAACAAGTATGGTACAACAAAAGTGGCAAATATGCTAACTTAGTGGTTCCCTCCTGGCCTGAGAAACTGACCAAAGCATAATTTGTCTGACATACTTAACAGAAAAGCTGAACGAATGTCTCAATAGTGCATAAACTTACCTATCAAATGTTCATAGACGCTACTTTGATCAGTGATACGGTTTGGCTCTGTGTCCCCACCTAAATCTCATCTAGAATTGTAATCCTCACGTGTGGAGAGAAGGAGGTGATTGGATCATGGAGGCAGTTTCTCCCATGCTGTTCTCGTGACAGTGAGTTCTCATGAGAGCTGATGGTTTTATAAGGGGCTCTTCCCCCTTCACTTCCTACAAAGGCTCTCTTGCCTGCTGCCATGTAAGACATGCCTGCGTCCCCTTCCACTATGATTGTAAGTTTCCTGGAGCCTCCCCAGCCATGTAGAACTGTGAAACAATTAAACCTCTTTTCTTTATTCTGGCAGTTCTTTATAGCAGTGTGAGAATGGACTAACACAATCAGGAAAACACCAAATCACTTAATCTGTTATTAAGTTCATACTGGCTTGGCCATTAAGTAATTTATCAGATACAAAGTATAACTAATACAGAATTCAGGACTAGAAAGTTTTTAAATTAAAGAGGGCTCTATTGCTTAAAAGATTGGGAATTTCACTGCTTTAAAAAATAAAACCAAAAAAAAGAGTAGAAGCTATTTCTTGCAACAACGTGGGAAATATTAATATACCTTTTCTCCACTGAAAACATGCACAGGCAAGGCCTACTAGACTGATAAGAGTAAGAAGACTAGTTTATCATTTTTCATAGCTCGTTAATACGAAACTACAATACACTTCATTTTTTCAGGTAAGGGGTATTATGCGTAATTCTACAACTTGGTCTAGCCAGATAGGTCCCCTGAGATTAAAACATTTCTCTTTTTGCACAGACTTGTATAAAAACTGAAAAAAAAAGGGAAGCTGGTACATGAACAAAAAAGCAGTGGTTAAACTTTTTTTGTATATCTTCCCCACTAGATTGTGAACTTTGACCATAAAATACGCAAAAAATGGCCAAGTGCAGTGGCTCCTGCCTATAATCCCAACACTTTGGGATGCTGAGGTGGGCAGATCACCAGAGGTCAGGAATTCAAGACCAGCCTGGCCAACATGATGAAACCCCATTTCTACTAAAAATACAAAATTAGGCCAGGTGCAGTGGCTCACGCCTATAAATGCCAGCACTTTGGGAGGCCAAGGCAGGCGGATCACCTGAGGTCAGGAGTTTGAGACCAGCGTGGCCAACATGGTGAAACCCCATCGCTACAAGAAATACAAAAATTAGCCAGGCATGGTGGCACATGCCTGTGGTCCCAGCTACTTGGGAGGATGAGGCAGGAGAATCGCTCGAAGCCAGGAGACGGAGGTTGCAGTGAGCCGAGATCGCCGCCATTGCACTCCAGCCAGGGGGACAAGAACGAGACTTCGTCTCAAAAAAAAGAAAAAAAAAATGACTTCATTTTTGTTTCCCCAGTTGAACACTAAATAGCAGAACCCCAATACTGAAACTGATGCTACCATTTCCAGTGTACTTTCCAGTTCACTCTCCAACTGAATCCTCCAACCATCCGGTGAAATAAGGAGAATGGATTACCCTTCCTTTTCTCAGAAGAGGAAGCAAGCTCAGAGAGCTGAAGAAACTGGTTCAAAGTTACTGAATTAGCAACTAGAACTCTAAGTCTACTATCTTACAAGTAGATGCCCCTTCTAGGCAACAACTACAATTCTCAGTGAAAATTTTGTTTAAAATGTCACTGAAATACATGAAGCCACACCAAGAGTAATTCATAAAGCACTTAAATACTTTGTAGTTGCTGGAAATGTTTTGCAGTTGCTGGCCAAAGATCATTATGGAAATACTACTAGAATATTTCCTCTCAATAGAAAAAGAGAATATTTTACAACAGTAATAGTTTCAAAGTGATTCTACAACCAATCATAATGCAGTCTGCTTTTGCTATTGAAAAAAACTCCCATCTTACCTAATTCTAAATTTCAGCTCCTTTACACCTTTCCAAACACTAAATCCAACGTGACCAGTGTTTGCTCCAAATTAGGACCATAGAGAACCTCCTCCACCTCCCTGCTCACCCCAATGCAAAATGATATTCAGCACCTACTATGTCAATCAACAAGCAGTTTTCAGTTTTATTTTTACTTTTACTTTTCAATTGTAAAGAGCAGCAGCTTGACACACAAAAGCAAAAAGTAGAGAAATATTTTCAAGAATAGGTAAACAAAACTGAACTTTTTCTATTCTGTTCCTGAAAAGGGCAATAATAGAAACTTGACAGACATCGCTCTTAAAATTAAAGCAAGAGATAAGAATCTTTATACATTATATATACAAGGAAAAGAAAATATACACTAGAAGCTAGGTAATAACTTGAAATAAAAGACTTGCAATATTTCCTTCTCTAGTAGAAATCTAGTAAATGTCATCAAATTATCTTGTCAGCTTACCACATTTTCCTCAGCCTAGGTCTTTTATACTTGCTAGTTCACTGACCTGGAACACTCTCCCACGCTTCCTCCTTCCTATCATCAGTTCAAGTCCCATCCTTGGAGAGGCTTTCTTCAACCCACTCAAACTAATGGTCTCATTTATTAATTTATCTAGGGTGTGGCGTTCCTTGGCTCCAAAATATTCATCACAGGTTTCTTGTTTTGTTTTTTGAGACAGGGTCTCACTCTGTCCCCCAGGCTGGAATGCAATGGCATCATCACAGCTCACTGCAGCCTCAAACTCCTGGGCTCAAGCAATCCTCCCACCTCAGCTCCCTGAGCAGCTGGGACAACAGGAGCATGCCACCATGCCTGGCTTTTTTTTTTTTTTTTTCTGTAAAGAGAGTCTCCCTATGTTGCCCAGGCTGGCCTCAAACTCCTAAGCTCAACTGATCCTCCAGCCTTAGCCTCCCAAAGTGCTGGGATTACAGGCGTGAGCCTGGCTTACCACAAGTTTTATTACATATTCATTTTGTGTTTGTTTAATGTCTGTTTCTACCAACAGAGTATAAGCTCTCCAAAGTCCACCAGTGGGTTTTTAAAAAAATACATTTATTAAGGTATAATTTACACACTAAAATTTGCACTTCAGCCTGGGCAACAAGAATGAAACTCCGTCCCCCCCCCCCAAAAAAAAAAATTGAACGTAAGGCTGGGCAAGGTGGCAAGGTGGCTCACACCTGTAATCCCAGCACTTTGGGAGGCAGAAGCAGGCAGATCATCTGAGGTCAGGAGTTTGAGACCAGCCTGGGCAACATGGCAAAACCCCGTCTTACAAAAAATACAAAAATTAGTCAGGCGCAGTGGCAAGCACCGGTAGTCCTAGCTACTCGGGAGGCTAAGTCAGAAGAATCGTTAGAACCTGGGAGGCAGAGGTTGCAGTCAGCCGAGATTGCACCACTGCACTCCAGCCTGGGCGACAGTGATGCCCTGTCTCAAAAAAAAAAACAAAACAGTAATTTACACTATTATAGTCCCCAAATTTAAAATTTGAATACGATGATGGAGGAGCTATGCAGCGATGGATTGAGGTTATTCATAACTGATTATAAAAGCAGTTATTTTATTGGTGGGGAAACACTGACAAGTCAACAGATTCATTTCAGCCATTTTCTCTCCTAAAACAATGACATTCTAATAAAAAAAACTAACATTTACACCACCCAATGAATTATGCCACTGCAATATGCCCTTCTACATTTTCCAAGAACTTAAGCTGTGTCACACACGTGTCTAAATTAGTAATAAAATTAAACTGGAGAAACTATTACTCCAATTTTAAAAGCAGCACGGATTAAAAAAGTAAGAAGGGGGCAAGGCACGGTGACTCACGCCTGTAATCCCAGAACTCTGGGAGGCTGAGGCAGGCGGATCACTTGAGGTCAGTTCAAGACCAGCCTGGCCAACTTAGTGAAATCTGATCTCTACCAAAAATACAAAAATTAGTCAGGCGTGGTGGCGGGCGCCTGTAGTCCCAGCTACTCAGGAGGCTGAGGCAGGAGAATCGCTTGAATCCGGGAGGAGGAGGTTGCAGTGAACCGAGATCGCTCCACTGCACTCCAGCCTGTACGACAGAGCGAAACTGTCTCAAGGAAAAAAAAAAAAAAGTAAGAAGGCGCTCCCAATGGATATACAAATAATTATCAGTCCATTCAATTCCATCAACAAGCACTTAGTAAATGCACAGTACCTGTGAGAAAACCAGGCCAACAAGCATTTCAAGGTTACCAAAAAAGGAAGGTTGAAAATAGCCTCACACTAACCCAGCTCTAAAAAGACAAATAATTCAAAACCACCCTTTAATGTCTGTCTCTCTAAACAGGTGCACCCCAGTTAATGTTAATAGTCTGCATTACTACTGGTAATGATTCTGGCTACCATTTTAGATTATCAGATCCTTCAAAGTAAATGCCCAACTTTTTTCACTGATTAGAAGGCGAAACGGGGAACCAAATGAAATAATCCACCGTCTTTCTAAAAGTCAGTTTGATTTTAACTGATTACAAACAAAAAGGGCTTAACAGTTTCCCACTGCGCAAATGTGCCAACCGATTCCTACAACCTCATCTAGGAAACCAGGCGTGCCACGCGAACCCTAATGCTATACAAAGTGTCCCCCTCCAGCCTGGCCTATGCAGAGCGCATTCTAGACAAGGCCCCAGTGCACCAACAGCCCAATTTTGGCTATATTCTCTGAGCGATTTAAGGAAGTCCGCAACCACTCATCTCACGTGACCTTAAAAAGGGGCGCAGTTGAGCCCAGAATAAAACACACTCCTTTTTCTTCTACATCAACTTCACTGCCCAGCATGAAGGAAGTGGGCGGGGAAGAGGCGCAGCGCCAGCGGGCAGGAGAGGTCAGCAAAGAAACGTGGGGTGTCGCGCCATCTACTCTGGAGGGGCTGGAGGTGAGGGGCACGCCCGCTCAACTGCACTGCAGCCGCTGCAAATCCAAGGCTGCCACACCCCCCGGCAGCCAGGGACACGGCTTCATCTTCCTCTTTCTCCAGCGGAAAGGGGGCCCTCTCCACGGAACGCCCCACCTGCTAGAGTCCTCCACATCCCGAAACGCAACGCCCGAGAGCAGGCGCGGGTGGCAGGCGGCGCTGGGGGGCAACAGGAGGGGAAGGGCCGCGGCGACCTGCAACCCGCGCATGCGCAGATCCGGGTACCCGCCCGTTTACCTACCGTTGGAACCGCGATGCCCCGTTCCCTGGCCGCGGCCGCTTCTCCAGGACCCGCGGCGACGGCAAGAGGGCGAGAACTGAGGCCCCAAGTGGCTCCGCGGCCGAGAAGCCTCTTCCTGGGGCGGCCGCTGACGGGAGGTTAAAGCTACGGCTGTGGCGCGGGGCCAGCCCGGTAAGCGACCCCCCGGATACCCCCGGCGGTGGTGGCGACGCAGACGCGGAACAGGGGGAGAGAGTGGCGACAGAGGCGGCGGCTGAGGTGCAGAGCCTCCCTAACGGCGAGCGGGAGGAGAGCGGCTGGCGGGCGGAGGCCGGGCCGGACGTGACGTGCGTGGGAGGGGGCGGGGCAGGCCGCTGGTGGGGGCGGGGCGGCGAGGGTCCCCACCCCCACAGCATTCCGGGCAGCGGCCCTGTGTCCTGCAAGCTTGAGGACCGCGGTTCCTCTCCCACCAATTGGGGTCCTGAATTAGGGTGCGAGCAGCCAGGCGCCATCCCGGGGCGGGTTGTGGGGTCCTCGGTATGGGGAGGTTGGGAAACAGAGAGGACACTGGGGAGAGGAAAGATAAAGGGAAAATCCGGAACACAGAGATCGCTTCTGGTCTCTGCGGAGGAAGCCAGGCCCCCAGGGCGCCCATATCCAGGTGAGGAGCACAGAGACCTGAACCGAAAACCGCTGGGGGAGACCTAAGCGGTGACTTCGGTTCCCATTCCCAGAGATGTGAGTTAGATCCGGGACCACGGGGCTGCACCTGCGTCCTGCCCGCCCCCACCCTACCCCTTCACCTCAGGACCTGACCTAGACTCCAGAGAGAACAGTAAGGCTTCGGTGCCTTAGTCTGGGACTGTGGAAGTCGATAGGCTGCGGGCTTACAGGGAGCTTCGTATACTAAAATCAGCCAGCTGCGGAGGCAGAGCTGAAAGGAGGCAGAAAGAATGAGCTCTCTGAACTTGCATGGCTACCCAGACCATCCCTACAACTCCCTTGAACTCACAAGGGTATGAATATTCAGCCAATCTCTTCTTTGTTATAGTCTGTTAAGGGCTTTGAGATCTTCCATTTGGACTCCTTGACAGCCGGTAGATCAACACCTGCACAAAAAATAGCAGCCACCACAATTCAGTTGTCCCTTACCTACCTGAGCTGGAAGTTAGTAACTTGGAAAATGTAAAACAAGAACCCTCATAGAACTTGGGACAAGATTTGAAAAAAATAAAGTTACCCTATGAAATGATCTGTAAATGGGCTACAGAGGCCACAGTGTCTCCCACATTTCATCAGAGAGAGTAAACCATGTGTAACCTAAGTGTCACATACCCAGTTAATGCTGTCATAACCGAAGGGTGGGGTCCACAAAGAGTCTAAAACCAGAAGAATCTGAATAAGAATGTTCTATGAGGCTCCCAGGAACTCTGTCCAGGAACGAGGCAACTGATTCTAATGACCAGAACCAACACTTACTCTCAGGGCAGTTAAATCTTAATTCAGATTCACTCACTCATTCAACAGATACTTAGTGAATGCTTACTATGTTCTAGTCTCTTAAGATACGTCAGTAAATCCCTGCCTTCGTGGAGTTTATATCCTAGCAAACCTAAATTCTGGATCTCCGTTAAGAGCATACAAAGGCCCATACTCTGATTCCAAACTCAGCTAGTAGCCTTTCCATCATTCAGGGAGTCTCTCAAATAAATCTACATACCCAATAAGAAGGGATTGTCCAAGGCATATAACTAGGACTAGTTATACTAGCTGTACAGTTTTTGTCAATAAATTCATATCATGGTTTACAAATCGGACACTGTTCACTGGGTTGAATTGTTTTATCCGAATTAATTTCTCAGAGCCTATTTAAACTTGAGCGAAGTGAAATAAAAGTTTCCAAATCTGCCAAACAGGATCAACAGAGCCTGATTTCAGAGCAGCCCAGTGAAGATGCAGTCTGTGCATTTAGCCTTGTATCTCTCTTTAAATATCTTAAATGAAAGCTTTACCTGTGATTCCATGCTTGGAGAACAGGAGCAATATGATTGCTTCAAAAGCTTTATCATAAGTGCGTAAAAGTCTTGAGAGTAAATCCGAAGAGAGTTAAAAACCTCCTCCGCCTGCCCCACATATGCAACACAGGCTCTTGTTGACATAACTGACTGTAATAAATACTTTGCTCTGAATATGAAACCTAAGATGTAAGCTCCCAGAGGGAAGGATTCCCTTGCCTTTTTTTTTTTTTTTTTTTTTTTTTTTTTTTTGGTGAGACAAGGTCTTGCTCTGTCACTCAGGCTGGGGTCCAGTGTCTGGATTATGGCTCAATACAGCCTCAACTTCCTGGCCTCCAGCAGCATTCCTACCCTAGTCTCCTGAGTAGCTGGGACTACAGGGACATGCCACCATGCCTGGCTAATTTTAAAATTTTTTTAGAGATGGGTTTCCCTATGTTGCCCAGGCCTCTCTTGAACTCCTGGCCTCAAGTGATCCTCCCACCTCAGCCTCCCAAAGTGCTGTGATTACAGGCGTGAGCCACCGTGCCCGGCCTCCCTTGCGTTTTTATACCCTACCCACAAAGTATGGGATCTCAAAAAACAAATGAATTGATCAATGACCATTTTCCCCCTCAAAAACTGCAGAACATATTCTTGGAAGATATATTCTCTAGATCCTACTTGATAATATAAAAACAGTATGTTCAACATAGGGGCCACATGGGCTATAATTCAAAACAAACACTTTTATTTTGTATCTTTTGCCATGCCTTTCAATTTGTGCAGTGGGAGTAGATCTGTCATGTACCTAATTGAAAACTCAGGCAGGTTCCATGAGTTTTTAGGGGTTCTGTGGTCTCCTTAGGAATAGAGTCCTGTTGTCATTGAGTCACAAAGAGTGAAATGTTTTCCTCTTTTTCAGCTGGGAACAGTTGTCTCATTGCTTGCCCTAAAGAGGGGACCATAGTCATCTTTAACCTGCCTAGTCTTTCTCCTCCCGGCTTAACTAATCATAACCAAATCTGGGGAAGGCAGGGAGAAAAAGGAGCAGGAAAGTTGTTAACTTTGTATGATGGTTTGACATTCCCTGGGCATGGTAGATGCTTAAAGCTGACTTATTTTTTCATGGATACCTCAGAGACTACCACCATCCCCCTTCTCTGGTGGTTTCTCCCCCATAATTCTATTGGTCTAAGCGTAAAGCTATTTTGGCAGTTATTTACTTCTTTCCACGCACCTCCAACTACTTGTCTGTTGAAACCTGGGCATCTCTGTAAAGGCCCTGTCAGATAGGATCTGAGATGACTCTCACACTCGTCCATTTGCAAGTGACCCTTTATTGTGGGACAAGGTTGTGCACTCCGTACCCTAGGGGGTGCCATTCACATCATTCTCACTGTAGTTCTGTATGTTATTTATTTTAATGTTTTTCCAGCAGGTGGCAGTAAAGTGTTTTGTCCAAACTAAATTACAACGACTGCTTCCCAATAGATGGAAGCAAAGCGTCTGGACGAAGGAGAGCTTTTTTCTCATGGTGCTGCTGTGTTAGCCTAGTGACAGCTCTGTATGGCCCACACCTGGTCCACAGGAAGCTCTCAGGCACCTCTTGCCCGAACAAACTTGGGAGTACAGGCTAATCCCAGTGCAGATTCAACATTCCTCTACTCTGCTGCCAAAACAGCCGCCAGCCTGTGGGAGTCAGACACAGGCCCACGGTGCCCCTCAGACTGCAGGAGGTACAAGTCAAGTGCTCTGAGCAGATCCATTGAAGGCCCACTCCCTCGACTTGAAGTAAAAGGCAGGCAGGCACCTGTGGTAAGAATCACAGCTCACCAGCAACAGTCTCCAAAGACATTGTCCTCAATAATTCTGGTTTGGCCTTTTATAACTAAATAACTGAGTATTTAATCTACCTGCTTTGTCTAAATCCTCTGAAATTTCTAGAGGGGGTCTATCTCAGAAATTACTTTAGTTTTTTGGTGGATGGAGGGAAGAAGATGGTTTCTTTTATAATAATCTTGTTGCTTCAGTTAAAACAGTGGTTCTCAACTGCGACAATTTTGGGGGACCATGTGTGCAGACATTTTTGGTTTTTTTTTAAACTTTTTTTTTCCTTCTGAATTCAGGATCTGCTGAATACAGACATTTTTGATTGTCACCACTGGAGAGGTGCTATTGGCTGGTGGGAGAAGGTCAAGGATGCTGGTAAACATCCTTTACGGCACAGGACAGCCCCTACAGCAAAGAACAGCAATTCTGTTTGTTACAGAGATGAGAGAATACCTCACTAAAAGAATACTTCAAAATTACATCACTTTTTCTTCTTTTTTTCCTACAAATTCTTTACCTGTAGATGGAAACGTCACATTTCAATATATCAATAGAGTCAAAAATAGCATTTGCAATAGCTATTTGGCCAGGATGAGAAGTGACTGGTATAGACCAATCCTTTGTGTTTCCAAGACTCCTTCTGGAGATGAGGCCATGCCAGGAAAATTACTACTTGAGATAAAATTGTTATTTATTTGCAAGATGACTTTTAAGCCTGGAAAACAAGCATTCTATCCCAGCTTATCTGAACAGAGGCATTATGCCTCTCAGAAGTAAGGTCATGAGTCACATCACTGTGGAAGGAATATATCTTTGCTACAACCTGGACTGCATTCTAGATGCCAGGGAGGACCTCAGCATATCTGCCTCCCCAAGGTCACCAGTGTCACTGGAATGAGACTTGAAGTCAGGAAGTAGCTGTCTCTGCAGTTACTTTACAGATGGCTAATAATGCCCTCATTATTCACAGAGAATGCAAATGGGTTCTTCCATCCTTTACATGAGTTTGACTGAATTCATCTCTTCCAGATGTAGCAGGATGTTGAGCCCTTCCCTTGCACCATCAGTAAGGAAACTTTTAATCAGGTGTTTTCCTTACCGTTACTGATCTCCCTGAGCAAGGCTGTTTGAGTACTGGGATATAGATTAACTTGAGTTCAGTCAAGGCTGCCTTGTCTTTCTTAATACGATGTTAATAAGAAACGAGCCACCCTAGCCAGAAAAGCCAAAAAGATATATTCTATCCCCACCAATTCTATCACTTAAAAGTAAAATAGATAAAACAAACATTCCAAGTTCCAGTTCTAGCCCTGTTACTAGCCTTTTGACTCTGGTCAAGTTACTTAACTTAGTTGTACCTTAGATTCCCCATTAGTCAAATAGGGAAACAGACTTAAATGAATTGGTATGCATAAAAGTGCTTTATTAGCCATATACAATTTTTTCAGTTCCCTCTCCTATACTGCATTCAGAGGCCTAGAGAACAACCTGAAAATGTCTTGCTTTCATATCTGGATTTATTGCCAGGAATGAGGCCCAGTGTGAACACCTTTCTTGACAGAAATTGCCAAATCTTTGTCTATCTATTTGTAAATGAAAACCAAGAACCACTAAGAATTCCCCCAAACTCTCGGTGCTGGTTTTAAGATCTTCTGAGCCTTGTAAGTTACAGTAAATACAAGCACATCTCTTCCCCAATTAGAAGCATATTTACACTGCCCATTTGTAGAACAAGACATGACTGTAAATACAGATAGGAAGCCATCATTACATGCAGTCTTGTGTGCAGGGAAAAACAAGTGCATATGGAGATGAGATTGTGACTACTCTTGATTCTCACAGAGCAGTAAAATGCTATCAAATTCAGTCAAACTCAGCTAATGAATTTTCTCCTTGAGGTAGTCTCCTCTACTGGGAAGAAAGGAAGAACTAAAAACACATCAAATTTAAATCCTCTGGTAAAAGAGAAGCAACTCACCATTAGAGAGATGTATTGCTGGCTCTTCCAAGAAATGGAGTGGAAATCTTTCTGTGCCACTTTGCCCAGGACCATTGTGCCAGTGTGCAAGAATGTGTGTTTTTCATAAACAGAAAAATATCACTAGCTGCAAAGAGAAGAAACTGTTCCAGGGTGTACAAATCCCACGCCAACCTCCAAAATAATGGCAAATACTGTTCTGATCTTAGCAACCCAGAATAACCTTTGTGCCATTTATTTATTCAACACATATTTCTTGGGCAGCTATTATGGGTCAGGCACTGTGCTAGGCGATATGATCATGATCTCTGCCCTGGAAAAGCTTCATCTTACATATCTCTGGAATAAAATATTTTGGTGGAATAGAACCAAAGTTAACATAATGTGGATTTCAGCTTCTATATTCACTCATATAGCCACTGGTGCCAGTCACATCCAGTTTGGAGAGCTGGAACAATTAACAGTAAGTCTCATCTTTGCCAAGTCCACATATTTGGCCTGATAACTCAGAATTCAGTGTATGACAATAATGTAGGCCAATACTATCATCAGCTATAAGACTAATTTGTTTTGGTTTCTTTATTAAATTCCTATAATCAGCTAGATATTTTTTCCACAATCAGAACTTTTATTGTTGAAAATAAATAAATAACAAAGAATAAATATCCCTTTCTCTTCTTCCCTCTGCCTGTATCCATATAGGGGAAAGAAAAAACTGCTCTGAGATTCAGTGAGATTATGACCTTCACAAAATCATGAACTTTCTGCTGCCTTTTTAACCAGAAATCTAGGCAGGAGGGTCTCACCATTTTGCATATCCTACCTGTTCCTTACAGGCTCTAGGCTTTTGAGCCTTCCTATCATTTGACCAGCCAAGTTGCTTCTCAGCACCTTTTTTTTCCCCTTTGAGTCAGGGTCTGGGTCCAGTGGCCCAATTATAGCTCACTGCAGCCTCAGTATCCCAGGCTCAAGCAATCCTCCCACCTCAGCCTCCCAAGTATCTGGGACTACAGGCATGTGCCACCATGCCCAGCTTTTTTTTTTTTTTTTCTTAGAGACGTATTATCACTACATTGCCCAGGGTGGCCTCTAACTCCTGGGCTCAAGAGATCCTCCCACCTCGGCCTCCCAAAGTGCTGGGATTACAGGCATGAGCCACCATGCCTAGCCTTCAGGCACCTTCCATTCAGACCACATTTTCTGTGGCAAACTGACAACGCCAATGTTTGCAGTTTGCAGTTTAACTACAGCTGTATTTTTTGCCAAACATTTACACCTAACTACTCTTTTCCACTAGAGTATATAACAATTTACAGAAGCATTTAATGTTTTCTGAATCCCCAAGCTCATCAGCAGAGAAGCTCCAAAACATGAAGGTGTACATCCCTATTTTAGGCCTTCATAGAAAGAAACCAACCTGGCCGGGCACGGTGGTTCAAGCCTGTAATCCCAGCACTTTGGGAGGCCGAGGAAGGCGGATCACGAGGTCAGGAGTTCAAGACCAGCCTGACCAACATAGTGAAACCCCATCTCTACTAAAAATACAAAGTTAGCTAGGCGTAGTGGCGCATGCCTGTAATCCCAGCTACTGGGGAGGCTGAGGCAGGAGAATCATTTGAACCCAGGAGGCAGAGGTTGCAGTGAGCCGAGATTGCACCACTGCACTTCAGCCTGGCGACAGAGCAAGACTCTGTCTCAAAAAAAAAAAAAAAAAAAAAAAAAGGCCGGGCACGGTGGCTCAAGCCTGTAATCCCAGCACTTTGGGAGGCCGAGGCGGGCCGATCACAAGGTCAGGAATTCCAGACCAGCCTGGCCAATATGGTGAAACGCTGTCTCTACTAAAAATATTAAAAAAAATTAGCTCGGCATGGTGGTGCATGCCTGTGATCCCAGCTACTCAGGAGGCTGAGGCAGGAGAATTGCTTGAATCTGGGAGGCGGAGATTACCGTGAGCCGAGATCGCGCCACTGCACTCCAGCCTGGGCGACGTAGACACCGTCTCAAAAACAAAACAAACAAAAAAGAAGGAGATAATAGAATGGAGGGAAGACAATATTCAAAGAAATAGTGGCTGAACATTTTCCAGAATTGAAGGTAAATATCCTAAATTCTGGAAGACCAAAACTTGCCATGCTGAAAAGTATAAAATGCACACATAAAATTTAGTACCCAGAGAGAAAGGGGATCTTAAAATTAGGCAGCAAGAAAAGACATTAGGCCGGGCACAGTGGCTCACGCCTGTAATCCCAGCACTCTGGGAGGCCAACATGAGCAGATTGCCTGAGGTCAGGAGTTCGAGACCAGCCTGACCAACATGGCAAAACCCTGCCTCTACTAAAATTACAAAAATTAGCTGGGTGTGGTGGCACACGCCTGTAATCCCAGCTACTCGAGAGGCTAAGGCAGGAGAATCACTTGAACCTGGGAGGCAGAGGTTGCAGTGAGCTGAGATTGCGCCACTGCACTCCAGCCTAGGCAACAGAGCAAGACTCCATCTCAAAAAAAAAAAAAAAAAAGAAAAGAAAAGACACTAATCTTCAAAGAAAAGATAATTTGGCTGACAGCTGACCTTTCAATAGTAACAATAGAAGCCAAATGATACTGCAGCGTATCTTCAAAATGTTAAGAGAAAATTACCATCTTCCAGAAGGAAGATCCAAAATGCGAGAAGTAATGGTGAACAAAGAAAATTGTTTGCATGTTTGCTGTAAATCTAAACACTATCCAAAATAATGGCAACAATATCTAAATTCTACTATTGTTCAATAATTTAACATATACTATTGTGAGAGGGTAAATTAAAGTATTAGAAGGCTTTGTATTGTTTAAGAGGAGGCTAAATAAGTCTATAATTTGTTGAGTTAAATATACATGTTAAAATTTCTACATAATCAGTACAAGAAATTAAACAGTATATATAACTTCCAGTTTATTAGGGGGATAAAATAAAATAGGAAGATCTTAATTTTAAAAATGGATAAAAAATGTTTAAGGAGGACAAATAGTAAAACATTAGATAGCAGAAATAAATTCAAATATGAGTAATTACAATCAGTGTAAATATATTAATTCCTAATTAAAAGTCAAAGAGCTGGGCATGGTGGTTCACACCCATAATCCCAGCACTTTGGGAGGCCAAGGCAGGAGGATTGCTTAAGGCCAGGAGTTTGAAACCAGCCTGGGCAACATAGCAAGACCCCATCTCAAAAAAAAAAATTGGGGGTGGGGGGTGGTACTGAGACAGGAGAATCACCTGAACCTGGTAATTCAAGCCTGCAGTAAGCACCACCGCACTCCAGCCTGGGTGGCAGAGCAAGACCCTGTCTCAAAAAAAAAAAAAATATTAATAGCCAGGCACAGTGGTTTGCACCTGTAATCCCAGCTAGTCAGGAGGCTGAGGCAGGAGGATTTTTTGAGCCCGGAAGTTCAAGGTTACAGTGAACTATGACTGCACCACTGCACTCCAGCCTGCACAACAGGGGAAGACCCTGAAGTTCATAGCTGCATTTTTTATATTGGTGAAAAAAATGGAAACTCAAGCTCAGGTAGATAGCAATGATAGAATGATGAATGATTAATACAGTATGGTATCTTCATACCATGTAAACAATGAAAATGAACAAACTACAGCTACAAACAACAATGTGATGAATCACAAAAATAAATGAAAGAAGCCAGACACAAACAAATACTGTATGAATCCGTTAAAAACAGTTCAAAAGCAGGGAAAACTAAACTATCATTTTAGAAGTCAGAATTGTGGTTAAGGAGGGAAGTCTTTTTGAGGAAGGAAGAAATCAATAATAAGGAGGGGTCATGAGAAGATATTCCATTTCTTAACCTAGGGGGAAGTTGCACATATATGTTCACCTAGGGACAATTCAGTGAGCTGTACTCATGATCTGTATACTTCTCCATATGTATTTTATATTTCAAAAAGTTTAAAAATAAAAACTAGCTCCTTAAGTTTTTAAGTTTTTTCTTTAATTGAAATTAAATATAACAGTGTTTCCCAAAAAAAGCAAAACTAAATCATCATGTTTAGGGATACAAATTAGGGGAAAAACTTAAAAGAAAAAAAAAAAAAGCCAGGAAGTGACTATCATAGACATCATGATACTGGTTCTGGTTCTTCTGGGAACGAGGGGCAAGAGTTCGTGGAGACACAAAAATAAGAATGCTCTTATTCTTGATATGAGCTGTGGTGGTTACATGGGTGTTTGCTTTGTATTAAATTGACCAGGGGCCAGGCGCGGTGGGTCATGCCTATAATCCCAGCACTTTGGGAGGCTGAGGAGGGTGGACCACCTGAAGCCAGGAGTTCAAGACCAGCCTGGCTAACATGGTGAAACCCTGTTTCTACTAAAAATACAAAAAGTAGCCGGGTGTGGTGGCGCATGCCTGTAGTCCCAGCTACTCGGGAGGCTGAGGCAGAAGAATCACTCGAACCCAGGAAGTGGAGGTTACAGTGAGCTGAGATCGTGCCACTTCATCCCAGCCTGGGCAACAGAGCCAGACTCCATCTCAAATAAAAAAGAACAACAACAAAAGAAGAAATTGACCAGGCCAGCAAGAATCACTTGAGGCCAGGAATTGGAGACCAGCCTGAGCACCATAGTGAGACCCTGTCTCTATAAAAAATAAAATTAAAAATTAGCCAGGCATGGTAACACACTTGTAGTCCCAGCTACTCAGGAGGCTGAGGTGGGAGGATTGCTTGAGGCCAGGTCAAAGCTGCAGTGATCCATGATTGTGCCACTGCACTCCACCCTGGATGACAGAGAGAGACCCTGTCTCAAAAAATAAATAATAAATAAGAATAAATTATTGACCTGTGTTTACCTTGTTCGGGCATTATTCTTTTTTTTCTTTCTTTCTTTTTTTTTTTTTTTTGAGACAGAGTCTTGCTCTGTCGCCAGGCCGAAGTGCAGTGGTGCGATCTCGGCTCACTGCAACCTCCACCTCTCAGGTTCAAGCAATTCCCCTGCCTCAGCCTCCCAAGTAGCTGGGACTACAGGCGCACGCCACCACGCCCGGCTGATTTTTTGTATTTTAGTAGAGACAGGGTTTCACCATGTTGGTCAGACTGGTCTCGAACTCCTGACCTCATGATCCGCCTGCCTCGGCCTCCCAAAGTGCTGAAATTATAGGCGTCAGCCACCGCACCCGGCCTCTTTTTTTTCTTTTTTTAACAGAAATGGGATCTCTCTCTGTTGCCCAGGCTGGTCTCAAACTCCTGGGCTCAAGCAATCCTTTTGCCTCACCTTCCCAAAGTGCTGGGATTACCAGGTATGAGCCACCATACCCAGCCAGGACATTTTCTATATGAATATTGCACAATGAAAAGGGGGGTATTTTGGTATTTTTATTAGAGAAAGTGTCTCACTCCATCTCCCAGGCTGGAGTACAGTGGCTCCATTATAGCTCATGGTAGCCCAGAACTCCTGGGCTCAAGTGATCCTCCCACCTCAACCTCCTATGTAGCTGGAACTATAGGCACATGCTGTCACACCTAGCTTTTTTTATGTATTTTTTATTTTTTTGGTAGAGACAAAGTCTTGCTATGTTGCCCAGGCTGGTCTTGAACTCCTGGCCTCAAGCGATCCTCCCACTTCAGCCTCCCAAAGTGCTAGGATTACAAGCATGAGCCACTGCACCAGCCTAAAAAAGATATTTTAAAGTAAGCTTTTAAAAAAAGATAATAGGCCGGGCGCTGTGGCTCATGCCTCTATTCCCAGCACTTTGGGAGGCCAAGGTGAGCGGATCACCTGAGGTCAGGAGTTCGAGACCAGCCTGACCAATGTGGTGAAACCCAGTCTCTAATAAAAATACAAAAATTAGCCAGGCATGGTGGCACACGCCTGTAATTCCAGCTACTCAGGAGGCTGAGGCAGGAGAATCACTTGAACCCAGGGGGCGGAGGTTGCAGTGACCCAAGATCACACCATTGCACTCCAGCCTGGGCGACAGAGCAAGACTCCATCTCGAAAAAAAAAAAAAAAACGGATAATATAAGACAATGTCTTCGTGATTCTTAAATAAAACACAACCTTTTCACGGTACAGTAAGGATTGATAAATTCAGCTATTTTACATTTGACACCATTAAAAAAGTGAAAGTTCAAGCCAAAAGACTGGAAAAGTTAGCTACAAAACATTCAACCCAAAAAGGACTACTATCTACATGATATAGAGAACTTCTGGAAATAAATTTTAAATTTTTTAAAAAGACAATCTAATATGAAATTACAAAAATAAACTTTTTATAGGGATTGCATCATAAAAGGAAATCCAAATGGCCAACACATGTATGAAAAATACTCAACCACATTAGTAATCAGGGAAACGCAAACTAAAAAATACAACTTTACATCCACCATAATAAACTCGCCAGCATGGCCAAAATTAGTAAGTCTGATAGTATCAAGTGATGTGGAAGAGCAGAATCTCTTTCACTGCTAGTAGCAGTGTAAATTCTAAAATTGAAAACATAATATCTCTAGAACTAAACAGTTCCACTCCTGAGTATATACTCTGGAGATCTGTGTGCACAAAGGTAGCAGAATATAGGTATAAAAATGTTCACATCTGCATTAATTCTAATAGTCCAAAAATGGAAACAAAACACTCCAGCCACAGAAGGATAGACCATACAAGGAAATACATACAAGAATGAGAAAAGAATGAGGCCAGGCATGGTGGCTCATACCTGTAATCCTAGCCCTTTGGGAGGCTGAGGCAGGCAGATCACTTGAGCTCAGGAGTTCGAGACAAGCCTGGGTAACATGGCAAAACCCTATCTCTACAAAAAATACAAAAATTAGCCAAGCACAGTGGCACACACCTGTAATCGCAGCTACTCAGGAGGCTGAGTGGGAGGATGGTTTGAGCCTGGGAGGCAGAGGCTGCAGTGAGCCAAGACTGTACCATTGCACTTCAGCCTGGGCAACAGAGCCAGACCCCATCTCAAAAACAAAAAAAGAAAAAAAGGATGAATAAACTTAGACCTACAGGTAACCGCATTGTTGAATCATAGCAATAAAGAAGGTAAATAAAATACAAAAGAAACCTACAGAATGGCTCTTTTATAAAGTTCAAAATCAGACAAAACTAGTCAGAGGTACGTACACAGGTGGTAAAATTACAAACAGTGGCCAGACACAGTGGCTCACACCTGTAATCCCAGCACTTTGGGAGGCTGAGGCAGGTGGAGGTACTAAAAATACAAAAATTAGCCAGGCGTGGTGGTAGGTGCCTGTAATCCCAGCTACTCTGGAGGCTGAGGCAGGAGAATCACTTGAACCCAGGAGGCAGAGGTTGCAGTGAGCCAAGATGGCACCACTGCACTCCCACTTGGGCAACAAGAGTGAAATTCCATCTCAAAAAAAAAAAAAAATTATAAAGAGTATGATGTGGTTTGGCTGTGTCCCCACCCAAATCTCATCTTGAATTCTCACATGTTGTGGGAGGGATGCAGTGGGAAGTAATTGAATCACGGGGGCAAGTCTTTCCCATGCTGTTCTCGTGATAGTGAATAAGGCTCACACGATCTGGTGGTTTTTATAAGGTGGAGTTTCTCTGCACAAGCTCTCTCTTTGCTTGCTGCCATCCACATAAGATGTGACTTGCTCCTCCTTCCTTCAACCATGATTGTGAGGCCTCCCCAGGCACGTGGAACTGTTAAGTCCAATAAACCTGTTTCTTTTGTAAATTGCCCAGTCTCTGGTATGTCTTTATCAGCAGTGTGAAAATGTACTAACACAGAGTAGTAACTGCCAAGCAACTGATTACTGTAAAAGTCAGGATGGTGGTTTATCTCTAAGAAGAGAGAGGTGGTATGTGACAGACAAGAGCCACAAGGCGAGCTTTGAGGAAGGGGCATTGTCTATTTTCTCTTTCCCTAATTGGATGGTGGCTACACAGGTGTTTCCTTTAGAATTTTTCTTTTTGTGCATTTCTGTTTTCTGTCTTTCTTGTATATGTTTTCATTTTGGAATTTTAAAAGTTGGAAACAACAGGAAGTGTAAGTGGTAGTCTCTGGCCTTAGTTTGCTCCTGAAACTCAATTTGGAGCTATTGATAAATGCTGAATTAATGTCCAGAAAATACATTTAATTCAGTAGTTTAATACTATTATGAGACATTATTACTATATCAGAATAAGGGTATTTCTTCTTTTCTTTTTTTCTTTTCTTTTTTTTGAAATGGAGTCCCACTCTGTCACCCAGGCTGGAGTACAGTGGCACAATCTCAGCTCACTGCAATCTCTGCCTCCCGGGTTCAAGGAATTCTCTGCCTCAGCCTCCCGAGTAGCTGGGATTACAGGCACCCACCACCACGCCCAGCTAATTTTTGTATTTTTAGTAGAGACGGGGTTTCACCATCTTGGCCAGGCTGGTCTTGAACTCCTGACCTTATGATCCACCTGCCTCGGCCTCCCAAAGGGCTGGGATTACAGGCGTGAGCCACCGTGCCCAGCCACTTCTTTTCACTTACTCAGAAAGCAACTCAAGCTTGACAGATATGGAGTGAGCTATCTGTAGAGAAGAAACAAAAGAACAATCATTTTTAGTTGGGGGGCAGAACAAGCATGTGGCAAAGTACTACATAAAGATGGCTAGTGTAGGCAGAATAATGATGTCCCAAAGATGTCCACATTCAGACCGGGCGCGGTGGCTCATACCTGTAATCTCAGCACTTTGGGAGGCCGAGGCGGGTGGATCATGAGGTCGGGATATCAAGACAATCCTGACTAACAGGGTGAAACCCCACCTCTACTAAAAAAAAAAAAAATTAGTAGGGCGTGGTAGCACACGCCTGTAGTCCCAGCTACTCAGGAGGCTGAGGCAGGAGAATTGCTTGAACCCAGGAGGCAGAGGTTGCAGTGAGCCGAGATCACACCACTGCACTCCAGCCTGGTGACAGAGCAAGACTCCATCTCAAAAAAAAAAAAATGAAGATGTCCACATTCTATTCCCTAGAACCTGTGAATATGTTACGGCACATAACAAATGGGAATAAAGGTTATAGGCAGAATTAAAGTTGCTCAACTGACCCAGAGATGGGGAAATTATCCCGGATTATCTGGGTGGGCCCAATGTAATCACACAGGCCTTTATAAATGGAAGAGGAAGGCAGAAGACACTGGAGTGACTGGGTATGAGAATAACTCAATCTGCCATTGCTGGCTTTGAAAGTGAATGGAGGCCATGAACCAGGGAATGTGGACCACCTCTAGAAGCTAGGAAAGGCAAGCAAACAGATTCTTTCCTATAGACCCCTAGATATTCCTCTAGGGGCCTGACTTTAGCCCAGTGAGACCCACGTCAGACTGCTGACCTACAGAACTATAAAATAATACATTTGTATTGTGTTTTTAAAAAATTTTAAATAACCTTTTTATTTTAGAATAACTTTAGGTTTACAGAAAAGTTGCAAAAGATAGTACAGAGAGTTCCAAGTTTCCCCTAATGCTAGTACCTAATGCCTTTTAAAATAGAAAGAAAGAAAAAAGAAAGAAAGAAATCCAAAAAAACAAAAAACAAAACTCTAGAGCAGTTTTAGGTTTACAGAAAAATAAAGCAGAAAGTACGATTTCCCATATACCCACTGCCCCACACATACAAATCTGTGTGTTTGAGCCACTAAGTTTGTGGTAATTTGTTATAGCAATTAAAAACAAAACAAAACACTAATACAACGCCAAATGGCACTTTGGAGTACAGGGAAAGAGAGGTAGGTAATTTAGAGATGCATATATACATGGTAAAACACTAAAGAAAAATAATAATCCAAAATTCAATATAATTGTTACTTATAGTGGAGGGTACAGAACTTATAGGTGTGACCCCGCACCCCTAGGACACAGTACACTAGCCTATAAGAGGCCTCTATGTGAACTAGAAAAAAGAATTGTTTTCTGAGCAGATAATTAGAAAAATGACATATCCACTGGGTAGGAACCAGCCTATGGACCCTCAGCCTAGCACCAGGTGGTGTCTTTGTACCCAAGGAAAAAGCTCCATTTTTTAGGAGGCAAATCCCTCTCCCCTTGGTAAGGCACCTTTTTGCAGTGGCCAAATTGTACCAGCATGCTGGCCGACCCCTAGGACCTTCAGAGCTTTTGTAACATTCTAATTCTCAAGCCAAGTAGAAGGTATATAGGGTTTGTTTTTCATAATTATTTTGCAAATTGTATATATGCATTACATGCTCTTTCTCATATATTCACAATATTTTTAAAAGTATTCAGCAATGTGATGAAATATAGCATCATTGTACCCCATGCAGACCTTTGCCACTACCTCAATGTCAGTCTCCTTCTGACTACAATCTAAAAATCAGAGAATTCTGAAGGACATTAGAGTGATACATTTCTTTTTTTTTTTTTTTTTTTTTAAGGCGAAGTCACTCCTTTGCTCAGGCTGGAGTGCAGTGGTGAGATCTTGGCTCACTGCAACCTCCTCCTCCCAGGTTCAAGTGATTCTCGTGCCTCAGCCACCCGACTAGCTGGAGTTACAGGCGTGCGCCACCGCGCCCAGCTAATTTTTGTATTTTTAGTAGAGACGGGATTTTACCACATTGGCCAGGCTGGTCTCGAACTCCTGGCCTTAAGCAATCTGCCTGCCTGGGCCTCCCAAAGTGCTGGGATTACAGGCGTGAGCCACTGTGCCTGGCTTCAGAGTGATACATTTCTTGTTTTGTTTTTGTTTTTGTTTTTTCCTCAAGATAGAGTTTTGCGCTGTTGTTGCCCAGGCTGGAATACAATGGCGTGATCTCGGCTCACTACAACCTCTGCCTCCCGGGTTCAAGCGATTCTCCTGCCTCAGCCTCCTGAGTAGCTGGGACTACAGGCGTGTGCTACCACGCCCTACTAATTTTTTTTTTTTAGTAGAGGTGGGGTTTCACCCTGTTGGTCAGGCTGGTCTTGAACTGCTGACCTCAGATGATCCACCCACCTCTTCCTCCCAAAGTGCTGGGATGACAGGCGTGAGCCACCGTGCCCGGCCTAGAGTGATACATTTCTTAACTCCATGAAACCTCTTTTCATTTGGAGTAAGTTACCAAGCAAAACAGGATTTTCCATCTGTCAGCCTCCATTCCTATCTTCAATAAGTAGTTCTGTCTGTTTTCTCACTCGGATATTGTCCACAGTGCTGGGAGCTAAATGTGCAAACTACAAAAAGTTTGTGGGCACTTATAACCCAAGAAAGCTTCCAAAACCTAAAGAAAAATTTCATTATTAGGGATCCAGAATATCTAATAAAATCCGACATGTTTGGCCAGGCACAGTGGCTCATGTCTGTTATCTCAGCACTTTGGGAGGCTGAAGTGGAAGGATTGCCTGAGACTAGGAGTTAGAGACCAACCTGGGCAACAAAGTGAGCCCTTTTCTCTACAAAATAAAATAAAATAAATTTAAACATTAGCCCGGTGTGGTGGTATGTGCCCATAGTCCCAGCTTCTTGGGAGGCTTAGGTGAGGGGATCGCTTGAGTCCACAAGTTCAAGGCTACAGTAAGCTATGATCACTCAACTGTACTCCAGCCTGAGTGACAGAGTGGAGACCCTGCCTCAAAACAAATAAAAAGAGGGCCAGGCATGGTGGCTCATGCCTGTAATCCTAGCACTTTGAGAGGCCGAGGCAGGCAGATCACCTGAGATGGGGAGTTCAAGACCAGCCTGACCAACATGGAGAAACCCTGTCCCTACTAAAAATAAAAAATTGGCCAGGCGTGGTGATGCACGCCTGTAATCCCAGCTACTTGGGAGGCTGAGGCAAGAGAATCCCTTGAACCCGGGAGGCGGAGGTTGCAGCAAGCTGAGATTGGGCCACTGCACTCCAGCCTAGGCAACAAGAATGAAACTCCGTCTCAAAACAAACAAACAAACAAACAAACAAACAGACAAAACATCTGACATGCCAACCTGAAAGGAAGCAAAGAGGCAGAAAGAACTTGGAAGGTTCTATGCCAGCCCCACCATCTTGGACTCGGAGATACTACAACTCAGAGATTGCCTTGCCTCTTCCAAAGAAGCCCAAGACCTTTCTTTTTTTAAAATAGAGGACCTTGGATAGGACAAGACTACAGAAACACCTGTTAACCTCTCCCATACTGTCTACTGTCTTCAGAAGGGGTCACTTGGGTTTATTGGTCCAAAAATTCAAGCCCCAGACCATGAAGTGAAAGTTTTGCTTCTTAAATATAAGCTCTTCCCACCCTTCCAGACCCAAGAACTGTCTCTACCCAACTATGATGTTGAGTCTAGACAAGTACTTACAGAGGGCCTTACAGATAGTCTAAATTCACATCTTCACCCTTCTGTTAAATTGTTTTTACAAATACAAAAATAATACATATTTGTTCCTGATTTTTGGCACCAAAAATTATAATACATAGTCTTTAGGAAAATTCAAAGATTTAGAAGAATAAAGAAAAGCATATGTAGCATATTAGTGGGGGGGGGAGAATGAAAAGCAAAACTCTCACTTCACCCTAATCTTCCTCTACTTCCCCCAAAAGTAAACCTTCTGAAATATATCCTCTCAGACCTCTTTTCATACATTTATAAAATGTACACACACAATTATCTTTTTCTTAACATAAATAGGATCATAGTATAATACTCTAATATGCTTTTTACACATATTATTCCTTAGAAATAGATCCATATTAGTAAATTTGTTTCTAGTTTTCACTATGAAAAACAGTGCTACAATATGTTTGTATACTCATGTATATTTGTGTAGAACAGATTCCTGGAAACAAAATTGTTTAGAATTAAAGAATAACACAGTTAAAATTTAATATATGTTACCAAACCTACCTCCAAAGAGGTGTTATAAAAATATATGAGAATGACTATTTGCTTAAACTTTCACCAAAAAGGGACTTTATGTATATTTTTAGCCAATCTAATGAGCAAAAACAATGGCACACGTTATTGAACTTGCATTTCTCTAATCACAAGTGCGGTTGAGTGTTATGCTTCCTGGCCAGTTGTATTACTTAGTCAGTGAATTCTCTGTCCATTTCCATTGCCTGTTTTTCTGATTGCAACGTCTTCATTTTCATCACAAAAGTAGCAACTATATATTGAGCATCTGACTGTGCTGGTCCCTACACTATGTATTTTTAAGTAAATTATTTCTTAAAACAACCCATTTTGCAGATGAGAAATGTGAGAACCATATAGAGAGGAAATTCAAACCCTGGTCTATTTTACTCTAAAACCTGCACATTCCCCACTATATCACTATACCAAAAAGCTTCATTTTACCTAAATGTGGTAGGACCAAAGGAAAATGACTCACCCAAACACTCAGCCCTGTAGATGTCCCTTTCAGTCGGCAAGTATGGTAGGCTTTTTACCACCCTCTTCTTCCCGTCCAGAAAACAAGGTTGAAAACTGCCAAAAAAGTCTGTTCAGGCAAACTTGGCTGCCTATTATCTGTGTCCTTAGAGATAAAGAACCAGCGTCGAAGATAAAGAAAGTAGAAACACCAAGAAACATGGAGACCTTGGACCCATTCCATCCAGTATCGCAGTCAAGGCAGCAGGCTGATGGCCTGACAAGTCAGCCAGGGTTTCCAGGCACCTCCCAACACCCTCCTGCTGTGCTATAATTAAAAAAAAAAAAAAAAACCTGAGGCATGGCAAACTTTTAATCACAGGCATGAGTAACAAAGTTTAAGGTCTGGGTTTTTATAAAATCAAAATGATGGCCGGGCACGGTGGCTCACGCCTGTAATGCCAGCACTTTGGGAGGCTGAGGTGGGCGCATCATGAGGTCAGGAGATCAACACCATCCTGGCTAACACAGTGAAACCCCGTCTCTACTGAAAATACAAAAACAAAATTAGCAGGGCGTGGTGGCGGGCACCTGTAGGCCCAGCTACTCGGGAGGCTGAGGCAGGAGAAGGGCGTGAACCAGGGAGGCAGAGCTTGCAGTGAGCCGAGATCGCGCCACTGCACTCCAGCCTGGGCGACAGAGCAAGACTCAAAAAAAAAAAAAAATCAAAATGATTATTTTATAATCCTTTTATTATATAATTCAGATTGAAAGGTGTTCCTAAGAATGTCACTTTTGGCCAGGCTTGGTGACTCAAGCCTGTAATTCCAGCACTTTGGGAGGCTGAGGTGGGTGGATCGCTTGAGCCCAGGAGCTTAAGGCCAGCCTGGGCAATATGGTGAAACCCTAGTCTCTACCCAAAAAATACAAAAATTAGCTGGGCATGGTGGCACACACCTATAGTCCCAGCTACTCAGGAGGCTGAGTTGAGAGGATCACTTGAGTGTGGGGAGTTAAGGCTTCAATGGGCCATGATTGTGCCACTGCACTCCAGCCTGGGCAACTGAGTGAGATCCTATCTCAAAAAACAGAATTTCTGGCCAGGCACAGTGGCTCATGCCTGTAATCCCAGCACTTTTGGGAGGCCAAAGCAGGTGGATCACCTGAGGTCAGGAGTTCAAGGCCAGCCTGACCAACATGGTGAAACTCTGTCTCTACTAGAAATACAAAATTAGCTGGGCGTGGTAGCACATGCCTGTAATCCCAGCTACTCAGGAGGCTGAGGCAGGAGAACAGCTTGAACCCGGGAGGCGGAGGTTGCAGTGAGCCAGGGTTGTGCCATTGCACTCCAGCCTGGGCGACAAGAGCGAAACTCCATCTCAAAAAAAAGATTTTCACTTTTGTTTTTCTCAAATGTGATTAACCTAATGTGAAGTACAGGAAATGTGATTTTTCTGATTTATTGTTCATATTGATCATAATGTTCCCAAGAAAGAAAGATGGGGTAAATTATGTCTAAGAAACTGCCAAACTCCCTTCTTTTCTCCCCAAAACATTAAGCACCTATGTGATGGGTTGATAATAGTCTGAAGCTGGGATGGATATATGGAGTCACATTAAACTAGCCTTTCTACCTTCATATAATTAAAATTTTCCACCAGCTGGACACAGTGGCTCAAGCCTGGCCTGTAATCCCAACACTTTGGCCAGGAGAATCGCTTGAGTCCAGCAATTGAAGACCAGCCTGGGCAACATAGTGAGACCCCATCTCTAAAAAAAAAAAAAAAAATCCAATAAAAAATCACCCCAAAAAAAGTGCCAGGCACTGGGGTAGAACACAATGAGTAAAACAGTTTCTATTCTTTTGAGGAGCATAATCCATTTTGTTATCATGGTAACAGCTGACAAAGCACTTTCTCAAATGTATTAACTGATCATCCTGTAAACACATATTATGATTCCACGTTGATGTGGGAGCCTCCTACTTTTTGCTATGCCCTTTCTTCCTGGTCTTTCTTGTTTTCTGTGATAAATCTGTTCTAGGGAGGGTCAGATCCCTGTCAGTTGGGGGTGGGAGGGGTAGAGCGAGACCAGGATGGAAAGAAGACCTTTATCCTGTGGGTGGAGACCTGAATGGGGTTAGTTTCAGGATATCTCAGACAATATCATCAGAATCTTAAATGCCGTAGCCAACCTTTTAAACACTTAGAGTGAGCCTTTCACTTACAGATTCTTCCTTTGAATTCAGGGTGATTTTTTTTATTTTTAGACAGCTAAACTGGGTCACAGAAAAAGAGCTCCTTTCCCAGAATTACACAGAAAAATAGCATAAAATGTTATTCCCTTCGACTCCCAGAATCTCCTTCTGTGAAGTTCAACCATGAAAAGCAGGACTGATGCTTCCAGCTAAATTTTGTTTCAAATTGGTTTGATCATCTACTCTACAGAGCAACCCAGGCAGCCCATTCACCTCTGCAATGCTGTCTCCCTCAGCTCTCAGAGCCCACAGAATCTGTTCTGCTTCAGTTCTCTCTTAGAAGCCTCTACTAATTTTCCCCCACGTGGTTGTAAAGTCCTATTCATGTGTACAATGTCCACTTCTTCTTTATAAGTCAGACCTGAAAAACTTCAGAGAGTTCAACCATACTGAATATACCCTGTTGCTTCTTTGTTGTCTAATTCTCAAACGTGTAAAAAGAAGCATGAGTTTACGGCCAAAAATCAGGCTGGTTGTCAGAGACAAGCACTTGTCTATTATCCCCACTTCATCCACAATTACTTCATCCTCCCAGCCTCAGTTTCCCTGTTTACACACAGCCTAGAATCTGGTGCTTTCTCCCTCCTTGCCAGGAAGTTGATACAGATCTTGATGTAAAAGCAGGGCAAAAAGAGAGAGAGAAAAAAAAGCAGGGCCGAGGGCTCTCCAAGTTCTTTCAGAGACATAGTAAACAGTTGTTTGCTTGTCAAAGGACCTATATGGGCCACTACAGTGCAGACAACACAATTTCCCACAATGGAGGTAAGCAAAATAAAAGACCATGGACAGAGGAAAGATGACTGGAAGGAAGCCCCAGTTTTCCTTATCACCCCTCAAGCTTTGTAGGGGAGGTATAGAGGCAGTCAGCCTGACTCACAGCCAGCGCTACTGCTCCCCGGCCAAAGAGGGTTCAGAAGCGAAGGGCTGCTGGATTCAAAGGTCCTAGGCTGACAAACGTAATGGGATGTATTCATCCGAGGACTGGCAGGCTTTCCTTTCAGCTCCGGCTCCTCAGGGTATAAGTCAACTTCCTCTCACTCGTTCTCATTCCTGAGAACCCTGGGAGCTGACAGACGAATGGGGATAAGGGCCAGACTAGGAGATGCCCTTACAGCCCCAGGTAGAAGAACTGGTTCAAGATGCAGGACATCTGAGAAGAGGAAACAGATTTCCCCCCGTGGCTCCAAGCATTTCTGTAAGCACCACCTGTACCTGTCACGAGGAAAAAGCTCCTATTAGCCCTAAAACTAGCCCTCTCCACTTCCCAGCCTCTGAGAGAACGCCAAGTAATGAGAAGGGAAACCAATGAAACATGGGCTGAAAGCATTACCTCATCAGAGTGAACCCCCATTGGCTGCAATGACTCTGGACGAGGCTTGCACGCTAGTAAATTAACCCTTGTCAGGAACATAGACCTCCATGTGGGACCCCTTCCCTCCCCTACTGCTCCTTGTTTTCAAATTAGGAAAAGGGGTAGATGGGGAACAATAGACCTTTCCCTAACATTTTTCTTAGGCATAGGTAGCTATACAATGGTTATGAGGAAGTTTGTATCTCCTCTCCCCAAAATTGTTCAGTGCCTTTTGAACCAAAATGGAGCCACCTGCAACAGACTGATAAATATGGGTTACGTAGGAAGAGGCAGAGTGAATTATCAGTCGTTTTCTAAACCTACCTACCATGGAATTGTCAGAGGGGCAAAGACCAAAAAGAATAATAAAAATTAAAACACCTTGGGAAAGATTGGCAATAAATTGATCTTGTTTTTTGCAACTTATTTTTTAAGGTTATCCTCATAGGTACAGCCTCTATTTTTAATGCAAACTGCCAAAAGATATGCTAATTTTTTAAAAAAGGCAAATAGCAGACAAAAGTTTGAATTTATTACTTGAATTGCTTCATGAATAAAGTGTTCAATAAACCTGTCTTCCTACTATCAAAACTCTGTATTTGACAGAACCAAGACAAAAGATTGTTGTATGCTTCAAAAACTATGCGGCAGGCATGGTGGCTTACACCTGTAATCCCAACACTTTGGGAGTCCAGGACTGGAAGATCGCTTGAACTCAGGAGTTCGAGACCAGCCTGGGCAACATGGCAAAACTCTGTCTCTACAAAAAATACAAAACAATTCGCTGTGTGTGGTGGCACACACCTGTAGTCCCAGCTACCCGGGAGGCTGAGGTAGGAGGATCACCTGAGGCCAGGAAATTGAGGCTACAGTGAGCTGTGACTGCCCCACTGCACTCCAACCTGGGTGACAGAGTGAGACCCTTTCTATTAAAAAAAAAAAAAATTGCACTTGGTGACTAAAGTCAAGGGAGAGAAGACATCTAAGACTGACTTGATTCCCTCAAGTAAAAGTTATTAGCTCTGAGCTAAGAGCTAATTTGCAAACAAGGCGTGAAGATAACTGTAGTTGTGAATACTGAGAGCTGAGTATTTGAGAAAGAGGTCCTATGCCCATACTATAGGCAGAGGCTTTCTGGGAACATTATTATGTCTTTTATTCTAAATTGATTTAAACTTAAAATTGACCAAAATATTGTGGGGTGGTGGGGGTTGTGGTTTGTTGTTGGTGGTGATTTTTTAAAAGCTTAAAAGCACCGTTGTTTTTTTTTTTTTTGAAATGGAGTTTTGCTCTTGTTGATCAGGGTGGAGTGCAATGGCACAACCTCAGCTCACTGCAACCACCACTTCCTAGGTTCAATAGATTCTCCTGCCTCAGCCTCCCAAGTAGCTGGAATTACAGGCGCCCACCACCACACCCGGCTATTTTTTTGTATTTTTATAGTAGACATGGGGTTTCACCATGTTGGCCAGGCTGGTCTCAAACTCCTGACCAAAGATTTGTTTGTTTTTTTTTTTGAGATGGAGTCTCGCTCTGTCGCCCAGGCTGGAGTGCAGTGGCATGATCTCGGCTCACTGCAAGCTCTGCCTCCCAGCTTCACGCCATTCTCCTGCCTCAGCCTCCTGAGTAGCTGGGACTACAGGCGCCCACCACCATGCCCGGCTAATTTTTTTTGTATTCTTAGTAGAGACGGGGTTTCACCGTGTTAGCCAGGCTGGTCTCAATCTCCTGACCTTGTGATCCGCCCGCCTCTGCCTCCCAAAGTGCTGAGATTACAGGCGTAAGCCACCGCACCCGGCCTGTTTTGTTTTTTAGTGAAGTACAGTAAGTCCTCACTTAACATCAGTGATAGTTTCTTGGAAACTGTGACTTTAAGTGAAATGATGTATAACAAAACCAATTTTACCACAGGCTAATTGGTATAAACAAGAGTTAAGGCTGGGCACTTTGGCTCATGCCTGTAATCCCAACACTTTGGGAGGCTGAGGCTGTAAGATCACTTGAGCCCAGGAGTTGAAGACCAGCCTGGGCAACATAGTGAAACCCCAGCTCTACAAAAAATTAGCCAGGCATGATGGTGCACACCTATAGCACCAGCTACTTCAGAGGCTGAGGTGGGAGGATTGCTTGAGCCTGGGAGGTCAAGGCTGCAGTGAGCCATGATTGCGCTACTGCACTGAAGCCTGGGTGTAAGAGGAAGAACCTGTCTAAAAAAAAACAAAAAAGAGGTAAGTTCCTGTGGCATATTTCTTGTCACAAAAACATCACCAAACTTCGAAATAAAGACCAAAACACTTTTAATATAAAAAATTAAGATAGGCTGGGCATGGTGGCTCATGCCTGTAATCCCAGCACTTTGGGAGGCCAAGGCAGGTGGATCACTTGAGGTCAGGAGTTCAAGACCAGCCTGGCCAACATGGAGAAACCCCATCTCCACTAAAAATACAGAAATTAGCAGGGCGTGATGGTGCATGCCTGTAATCCCAGCTACTCGGGAGGCTGAGGCAGGAGAATGAGGCAGAGGTTGCAGTGAGCTGAGATCACTGCATTCCAGCCTGGGTGACTGAGAAAGACTCCATCTCAAAAAAAAAAAAAAAAGGAAGAAAAAGAAAATTTAAGATAGATATGAGCTCTACCTACATTTAAGAAAGACTCATCAAAACAAGTGAGATAATTATTACCCAGTTATTCCAGTTCAAGGTCTTGAGTAGCCAGAGCCTATCCTGGCAGCTCAGGGCACCAGGCAGGAACCAGCTCGGGACAGGATGCCATCCTGTTGCAGGGTACATTCACACACATGCTGATACTCACGCAGACTGGGTCTATGAACCTAACAGGCATGTCTTTGGGATGTAGGTAGAGACTGAGCACCTGGGGAAAACCCACACAGACATGGGGAGAATGAGCAGACTCCACACAGACAATGGCCCTGGCTGGGAACCAATATTTTTTTCCATGAACAGTAAAGGAAACATTGAAGGAAATGACATTCTGCGAGGACCTCCTATAGATTAAGACAATGACTGATTCACTTTTGCTACAGTGAAAGTCATACTCAAGTGGCCGGGCACAGTGGCTCACACCTGTAATCCCAGCGTTTTTGGAGGCCGAGGCGGGCAGATCACGAGGTCAGGAGTTCGAGACCAGCCTGATCAACATGGTGAAACCCTGTGTCTACTAAAAATACAAAAATTAGCCAGGCGTGGTGGTGTGCACCTGTAATCCCAGCTACTCAGGAGACTGAGGCAGGAGAATTGCTTGAACCTGGGAGGCGGAGCTTGCAGTGAGCTGAGATCATGTCACTGCACTCCAGCCTGGGCTATAGAGTGAGACTCCATCTCAAAAAAAAAAAAAAAAAGAAAGTCACACTCTTTCGTGGCCAGGGCTGTGTTTTAAGCCCAGCCCTGACTGCAACCAGTGGATTCCGAACCTGTTGGAGTTGTGGTAAACCCTTCCAACTGGAATTCTACAACAGAGTAATTCAATGACATTAAAATAGGACAAAAGACCAAAATCCTCTGGAAAGAACAGATTCTGACTTGAGGATATCTTGGGAAGTAAACCGTGCAGCATATAGGCCATAAGAAAGAGATAAAGGGGCTGGGCACAGTGGCTCACGCCTGTAATCCCATCTCTTTGGGAGGCCAAGGCGGGCGGATCACCTGAGGTTGGGAGTTTGAGACCAGCCTGACCAACATGGAGAAACCCCATTTCTCCTAAAAATACAAAATCTGCCAGGCATGGTGGCACATGCCTGTAATCCCAGCTACTCGGGAGGCTGAGGCAGGAGAATCACTTAAACCTGGGAGGCGGAAGTTGTGGTGAGCAGAGATCACACCATTGCACTCCAGCCTGGGCAACGAGAGCGAAAGTCCGTCCCAAAGACAAAAAAAAAAGAAAGAGACAAAGGGACCCTGAAAAAGTGATTATTCACTTTGGCAGTCACGTCCCCGGTGATCTCGGCTCTCCGGTTCAAGTGATTCTCCTGCCTCAGCCTCCTGAGTAGCTGGAGCTACAGGCGTGCGCCACCACGCCCAGCTAATTTTTGTATGTTTAGT
Organism: Homo sapiens; assembly: GCF_000001405.40. Classification (NCBI taxonomy): domain Eukaryota; kingdom Metazoa; phylum Chordata; class Mammalia; order Primates; family Hominidae; genus Homo; species Homo sapiens. Next base: position 138,059,522 of record NC_000005.10, read on the forward strand.
AGAGACGGGGTTTTGCCATGTTGGCCAGGCTGGTCTCGAACTCCTGACCTCGTGATCCGTCCACCTCAGCCTCCCAAAGTGCTGGGATTACAGGCGTGAGCCACCGTGCCCAGCCGTCCCAGTTACTTATTAATGAGATATGTACACCTATTACACACTGCTCAACTTTTTACACCTTGGAATCAGATTGGACACCACCACCCTCATTTTGTGTTCCATCTTGATTTTTACAAGGTACTTGCCTTTTGTCACATCAAAACCCTGGCTTTTTGAAGATACAACATCAGGGCATAAAGGAATGTGCACAATCTAATGTTCAAATGAAATATGTTTGGTACTCAACATACGTCACCATGGTTCCCTCAAAATTTTGAAATATGCCATGGTTGTACTCATGTGAGTTCCCTGCCAAGCCTTAGGGTGCCTTGACACACAGTCTGGGAAACAGGGACATGCACTGTTTCATTTCATCCTCACAACAGACCTGCATTGTAGGTACTACACCAATTTCTTTTTTTTTTTTTTTTTGAGACAGAGTTTTGTTCTTGTTGCCCAGGCTGGAGTGCAATGGCACAATCTCGGCTCACTACAAACTCCGCCTCCCAGGTTCAAGCGATTCTCCTGCCTCAGCCTCCCAAGTAGCTGGGATTATAGGCATGCGCCACCACGCCCGGATAATTTTGCATTTTTAGTACAGATGGAGTTTCTCCATGTTGGTCAGGCTGGTCTTGAACTCCCTACCTAGGGTGATCCGCCCGCCTCGGCCTCCCAAAGTGCTGGGATTATAGGCGTGAGCCACCATGCCTGGCAAATACTACACCAGTTTTATAGATCTGGGAATTCAGGCTGAGACCAGTGAAATGGTTTTTGTTTGTTTGTTTGTTTGTTTGTTTTTTGAGACGGAGTCTCCCTCTGTCACCCAGGCTGGAGTGCAGTGGTGCGATCTCGGCTCACTGCAAGGTCTGCCTCCCAGGTGCACGCCATTCTCCTGCCTCAGCCTCCCGAGTAGCTGGGACTACAGGCGCCCGCCAATACACCCAGCTAATTTTTTGTATTTTTAGTAGAGACGGGGTTTCACCATATTAGCCAGGATAGTCTCAATCTCCTGACTTCATGTTCCGCCCATCTCGGCCTCCCAAAGTGCTGGGATTACAGGCATGAGCCACTGTGCCTGGCCGAGACCAGTGAAATAATTGTCACAGTTCACACACCTAGTAAGAGCTGGCACTGGATGTAAACTCAGGTCTACCTGACTCAGCACCCACATGCTCCTTTTGGTAGCCATGCAACTTCTTCCACCACTTTTTCAGGATATTAGACTCACAGACCGTCAGAGCTGGATGGGATCTCAGGGATGATCTGGTTCCAGCAATCTGGTTTGACAGATTAAAAAAAAAAAAAAAAAAAAAGATGCCTGAGAAGGGAAATGATTTGACCAAGATATTCAACTGTCTAAAGGCAGAGCTGAGCCTGGGCCTCCAGACTCCTGGTCTAGATCGCTTTCCCTTCCGCCAGGCTGATTCCCTATTAAATGAGAATAAGAGAAGACAGAAAGTATTCCCAAGAAGTATCTGCTCCTTAAGATGTTTTCGTGTTAGGGTTCATGTGGTTCTCAGAGGCAAATGATAGCTGTCCTTGAAGGTCAGAGGCTGTCCTCAGGGCACAACAGGTGACTCTGCTGTCCTCCCTGTAGCATCTTCCACTTGGAACCAGCTCTCCCCAAACCAACCACATTCCCACTACTGTTCTTGAGCATCCTGTCTCCATCAAGTAAAGCCCTCCCCCATCCTGAGTCCTCTCTCCTTTTAACCTCTACCCACCAGTCCAAGGCAGGGTGTTTAAAACACCTAGCAGAGGCCAGGCGCCGTGGCTCATGCCTCCCAGCACTTTGGGAGGCCAAGGCGGGTGGATCGCCTGAGGTCAGGAGTTTGAGACCAGCCTGGCCAACAAGGCAAAACCTGTCTCTACTAAAAATACAAAAATTAGCCAGGCATGTTGTTGGGCACCTGTAATCCCAGCTACTCGGGAGGCTGAGGCAGGAGAATCACTTGAACCTGGGAGGCAGAGGTTGCAGCAAGCCAAGGTTGCACCACTGCACTCCAGGCTGGGCGGCAGAGTAAAACTCTGTCACAAAAAAATAAATAAAATAAACACCTAGGAGAATGATAGCTCTGCTTCTCATTGGTCTTCCTTGCCATACTGTTGCAATAAGGAATCATTTTTGCAATAAGGAATCATTTATGCAATAAGTATATCCACAGTTTCAATATCACTGAGAACAAGCAAACTGCCAACACACCAGGCCATGCAAAGCTATATATGAAATTTCTTTTTTTTTTTTTTTTGAGACAGAGTCATGCTCTGTCACCCAGGCTGGAGTGCAGTGGCGCAATCTTGGCTCACTGCAACCTCCGCCTCCCGGGTTCAAGCAGTTCTTCTGCCTCAGCCTCCTGATTAGCTGGGATTACAGGTGCACGCCACCTTGGCCTCCCAAAGTACCAGGATTATGGGCGTGAGCCACCATGCCCGGACTCTACATCAGAAATTTCAAAAGGAATTTCATAGTTACAAGTTCTTCATGAGAACAATAGCTCCCAGAAAACACCTTCCTTGGTTCCAGGTTTACACTGAAGTTTTTCTTTTTTTTTTATTTCACAACACAGATTCTAGGATACACTGAAGTATTAAGAAAAATCGGGGCCAGGTGCGGTGGCTCACGCCTGTAATCCCAGCACTTTGGGAGGCCTAGGTGGGCAGATCACCTGAGGTCAGGAGTTCGAGACCAGCCTGACCAACATGGAGAAACCCCGTCTCTACTAAAAATACAAAAAAAAATTAGCCAGGCGTGGTGGCGCATGCCTGTAATCCCAGCGACTCGGGAGGCTGAGGCAGAAGAATTGCTTGAACCTGGGAGGCAGAGGTTGTGGTTAGCCAAGATCACGCCACTGCACTCCAGCCTGGGCAACAAGAGCAAAACTCTGTCTCAAAAAAAAAAGAGGAAAAAAAAGAAAGAAAAATCAGGCCGGGCTTGGTGGCTCATGCCTGTAATCTCAGCACTTTGGGAGGCTGAGGCAGATGGATCACCTGAAGTCAGGCATTCAAGACCACCCTGGCCAACATGGCGAAACCCTGTCTCTACTAAAAATACAAAAATTAGCTGGGCGTACTGGCCAGGGCCTGTAATCCCAGCTACTCAGGAGGCTGAGGCAGGAGAATCGCTTGAACCCAGAAGGCGGGGAGGTTGTAGTGAGCTAAGATCACGGCACTGCGCTCCAGCCTGGGCAGCAGAGTGAGACTCCATCTCAAAAAAACAAAAAAGAAAAAGAAAAATCAGCTTCAGGCTAGATGCAGTAGCTCACACCTGTAATCCCAACACTTTGGGAGGCTGAGGTGGGAGGATCACTTGAACTCGGGAGCAACATTGTGAGAACTCATCTTTACTTAAAAAAAAAAAAAAATTTAGCTGGGTGCAGTGGCTCATGCCTGTAGTCCTACCTACTTAGGAGGCTGAGGTGGGAGTATCGCTTGAGCCCAGGGGATGGAGGCTGCAGTGAACCTGACCACACCACTGCCCTCCAGCCTGAGTAACAGAACAAGACCCTGTCCCCACCACCAAAAAAAAAAAAAAAATCAACACATAAGAAAGGAGACATAGGATAGCAGATTTTCCCATCCTACCACTCACTTGGCAGCTATAAAAGAACCAGAGAAAATAGAAAATGTCTTCCTTTTCTTTCTGGTGGTGATATGTGTTCAGAACAGAAGCTCTGGATTAAATTTTTTTGTCAGTGCAAACGTAAAACTATTTCCTGGCCAAGCATTAATCCTTTCCCTTTTTGCATGCTACTCTGGAATATATCTCACATGATTTTTTTTTTTTACAAGGAGAACACCAAACATACTTTATTAGCACAAAAAAAGCAGCCATAACAAGGCACAGCAAGCAGAAACATACATTAGCAGTCAAAAGTTTAGTGTTGCATACAAATATAGCTTTTCTTTTTTGTAGCCTTGGCAATAGCCATAGGGATGTAAAATAACATGCTGTAGCAGCAGGTAAGGAAACTATGGAGCACTCACCAGTGGTACAGAGCACATTAACGAAAAGACACGCGAGTGGATTCGGCTACTTTAGTGCAAAATGTCTAGGACAGAACTGTAAATTCAGTTCAGTTACTAAGAAGCAAACACTAGAACTTGATATAACTTCCAAAAGAGCTCACTCAAGTAGTAGTACATATTATTCTAAGTGACAAAAAGGTGCTAAGTAAAGTTATTTACAGATATAATGGTTGTACAGTACCTTTTAAATCTGCAATTTAGGTTTCAGATTTTCCATTAAGAATTAACTGCACTGAAATTCTATAAATTATACTTAAGCAATTCAGCTACTCACATGAATCTTAAAGAGGCCTACATCGAAACCAAGAGCTGAAAGCACTTATTCAACAGTGGATAGCAGGACAGGCACGGTGGCTCACACCTGTAATCCCAGCACTTTGGGAGGCTGAGGCAGGCAGATCACCTGAGGCCAGGAATTCAAGACCAGCCTGGCCAACATGGGGAAACCCCGTCTCTACTAAAAATACAAAAATTAGCCAGGCATAGTGGCAGGCACCTATAGTCCCAGCTACTTGGGAGGCTGAGGCACGAGAATCACTTAAACCCTGGAGATGGCACCATGATGTCAGGATCTGGAAGAGAGAGAGGAGGAGGAGGAGGAGGAGAAGAAGAATATTCAAATAATGCTTATTGAACATGTACTATATGCCAGGCCAGGCACTGTGTTGAGGGCTTTCCATTTGTTATTTATTTTATTTGAATTTATGTTAAAAATAATGTATTTAAAAATATATGCATAGAAAACAGAATGTGTGTTTGTGTATACATGTGTATATATATAGAGAGAGAAAGGAAGTTACAAATAGTTATACAGCAAACATTCATGTTTTGAAACAAACTCAGGTCACAAAATAAAACATTGTCAGCACCTCAGAAGCTCCTGCCCCATTACAGTCCACACCTCCTTTTTAGAGGTAATCTGTATCCTGACTTTTAAATCACCTTTTCATTTTTCTTTATAATTTCACTATTGATATACTCATAAACATTCTACTGCTGAAACAGGAGACACCTTCCCTCCAGGGCCCTCCAGCCTTCATTCCAGGCTCCCTGCTGCTCTCAGGGCTGCTGCTCACACTTCCCTGTGGCCTTCTTGGCACATCCTCTGCTTTCTGGATCCCTTGCTCAATCACTTCTTGAGAAACAGGGCATGGAAAGTAAAAAGAAAAAGAAGTCAAAACTGCATCTCTGAAATGTCTTTATTGTATCCTCACATTGATTGATAGTTTGGCTCAGAATAGAATTCTAGGTTAGAAATCACTTTCCATGGGACTTTTGAAGGCATTTCTCTATTGCCTTTTAGCTTCCAATGGCACTTGTGAGAATTCTGATTTCATTCTTATTCCTGTCCGTTTGTGCATGCTCTGTTTATCCCCTCTGGATGTTTTCAGGATCAGTTCTTTCTTTCTGGTTCTGGAGTTTCAGAGTGATGACAGCTATGCTGCACTACCCATCCCCCTTTGGGAATATGGGACTTATTCCCCTAGCTTCTGTCAATGCTGCTGTAACCCGCAGCTGACAACCCTCTTTAGAGAATGCCTTGGCTGAAGAAAACTTCCAGAGCCAGCCTGCATCCAGCTACCAGCAGCATGCGGACATGAAGGCCCAGCTCCCTCATCTCAACTGGCAACAACTCTGAAGGGTCCTCCTTGCTCTAGAGCTCCCCCTGGGAGGCAGGCTGAGATCCCCCACTGGCCCTGCATCACAGCCCAACTTTTTCCTCTGCTCAGACCTGTTCCCATCCCCTTTCTTACACAGGTGATTTTCCCAAGAGTACTTTCTTATAAATGTCCTGCCTGCTACTCTCCAGCTTGAGTCTGCCTCCCGGAGAACCCAACCGGCAACTTACAACGTGCCTTGCTGGGGTCTTGTTTATATGCATCATGTGGACAAACACTAGGCTTCGTACTATTGCTAATGTTTACCTACACTGTGAGTGTGGTGGCATTATGCCCATTTTATTAGATATAGAAACTGAGGCTATCAAAGAGAATAACTGGCATAACAAGGTCACATAGTAAGTAGCTAAAATAGGATTTGAAACAAGATCTCTCTTACTACAAAACAAGTACAGTGTTCATCTCTGGAGTGGCAATGGGAGTTTTGGCCACACACTGAGTCCCAGGCTTGAGGAAGGGAAGAAGAGCAGACTGCAGAATAAGTAAAAACACAGGAGCCAAGGCCATAGCATGAACACAGTTCTCCACATTCTCTCAGTGTAAGCCACTTTGTTCCCAGAGGAGGAAAGTGCTGCTGCTGCTGCAATAGATTTGTCCCTTCAGATACCATGGCATCCACTCAAATGCAAGCTGAGTTTACTACATGAGAAGTTCTGACAAATATTGGGACAGGAGCAACTGGGAAAAAAAAAAGAAAGAAAGAAAAGAAAGATACTCGCCGGACGTGGTGGTTCAGGCCTGTAATCCCAGCACTTTTAAGAGGATGAGAAGGGCGGATCATCTGAGGTCAGGAGATGGAGACCAGCCTGGCCAACATGGTGAAACCCTGTCTCTACTAAAAATACAAAAATTAGCCGGGCATAGTGGCATGTACCTGTAGTCCCAACTACTTGGGAGGCTGAAGCAGGAGAATCACTTGAACCTAGGAGGTGGCAGTTGCAGTGAGCCGAGACCGTACCATTGCACTACAGCCTGGGTGACAAAAGTGAAACTCTGTCTCAAAAAAAAAAAAAAGGAAAAAAAAAAAGAAAGAAAAGAAAAAGAAAGATGAAGTATAGAAACAGAGGTTCTGTCTAGAGCTTTCCCCTTCTGACAAATATTTGATATTTAATTTTATTGCCAGCAAAGCTCATGGGATATTGGAAAGATTCCTTCTCTGTGGGCCTCCATTTTTCCTTTATAAAAATAAAAATGTGGCCGGGCGCGGTGGCTCACGCCTGTAATCCCAGCACTTTGGGAGGCCGAGGCGGGCGGATCACGAGGTCAGGAGATCGAGACCATCCTGGGTAACACGGTGAAACCCCGTCTCTACTAAAAATACAAAAAATTAGCCGGGCGTGGTAGCGGGCGCCTGTAGTCCCAGCTACTCGGGAGGCTGAGGCAGGAGAATGGCGTGAACCCGGGAGGCGGAGCTTGCAGTGAGCCGAGATCGCGCCACTGCACTCCAGCCTGGGCGACAGAGCGAGACTCCGTCTCAAAAAAAAAATAAAAATAAAAAAATAAAAAATAAAAATGTTAGATAAATCCTATGGGCTTTAAAAACATCCATATCGCATTGAACCTCTATTCCCAAGCCACAAGCCACAGACTTTTTTTTTTTTTTTGAGACAAGGTCTTGCTCTGTCACCCAGGCTGGAGTGCAGTAGCATGATCTAGGTTGGCATGTGGCATGATCTAGGTTGCTCACTGCAACCTCTGCCTCCTGGGTTCAAACAATTCTCATGTCTCAGCCTCCCAAGGAGCTGGAATTACAGGCATGCACCACCACGCCCAGCTAATTTTTGTGTTTTTAGTAGAGATGGGGTTTCATCATGTTGACCAGGCTGGTTTCAAACTCCTGACCTCAAGTGATCTGCCCGCCTCGGCCTCCCAAAGTGCTAGGATTACAGTCATGAGCCACCACGCCTGGCCCAAAAAATTCTTATATGAGCAATTTAGAAGGGAGCAAAGACATCGCTTCTCGGCCTTTTGGCTAAGATCAAGTGTAGAAGGGAGCAAAGACCACCTGGTGACCATCAAACAGGCTATCTGGCGGCAAAACTCCTTATCTGGGGAATTTAGAGGTAATCAAACTTCCCTAGTATCTAAAGTCAATATCTGATTCTAGGCCTCTTTCAACTTTTATAAGTAATTAAAATTTCTATACATTTCCGGAATGCCATGCTGAGACTAATTTTACAACCCTAAGCTCCCACCTTAAGGTCCATAAATGCCCCTAAGGAAAATCCACCACGCATGCTCAGTCCTCTCGCTGAGGCCCGCGCTACACCCTTTTGCGGCGTTCTTCCTTTCTATTTTTTTTTTTTTTTTTTTTTTTTGAGACGGAGTCTTGCTCTTTCACCCAGGCTGGAGTGCAGTGGCGCGATCTCGGCTCACTGCAGGCTCTGCCCCCCGGGGTTCACGCCATTCTCCTGCCTCGGCCTCCCGCGTAGCTGTGACTACAGGCGCCCGCCACCTAACCCGGCTAATTTTTTTTTTGTATTTTTAGTAGAGACGGGGTTTCACGGTGTTAGCCAGGATGGTCTCAATCTCCTGACCTCGTGATCCGCCAGTCTCGGCCTCCCAAAGTGCTGGGATTACAGGCGTGAGCCACCGCGCCCGGCCGACGTTCTTCCTTTCTAATGAACTTTCCCTTTTCAAACCTATACTGTTATAGGTAAATTCTTAACCAACCCGCGAGTCGACCACTTCCGGTGCCAGAGCTCTGGAACCTCGCCTGACAATCTGCATTTTACAGAGAAAGACACAGACACACAGAAACGTTAAATCATACTAATGAAACAGAGCTGAGACGTGAAGCTAGGCAGTCTGGCTTCAAGATTCACTCTGGGAAAGTGCAATGGAACAACTTTCCAAATTTTTTGGTTTTGATAATCTTGCCAAAAGATGGAGACCTTATAAAGCTGGCAAAAAAGCACACTTTTGGAACAGTATGTACTTAGATTTGCAACAGAGAGAAACATTTTATATTTGATGTTAATAGAAATCGAGAGATGGAAATCCTTCCTCTGGAATCCAAGTAAAATTCTTTTTTTTTTTTTTTTTTTTTGAGACTGAGTCTCGCTTCGTCCCCCAGGCTAGAGTCAGTGGCGCGATGTCGGCTCACTGCAACCTCCTTCTCCCGGGTTCAAGAGATTCTCTTGCCTCAGCCTCCCGGGTAGCTGGGACCACAGGTGCTTGCCACCACGCCCGGCTAATTTTTGTATTTTTTAGTAGAGACGGGGTTTCGCCATGTTGGTCAGGCTGCTCTCCAACTCCTGACCTCAGGTGATCCGCCCGCCTCGCCCTCCCAAAGTGCTGGGATTACAGGTGTGAGCCACCGCGCCTGGCACAAGTAAAATTCTAAATAGAAACGATAACCACGTATCATTCCAATATGACTGTATAATTAAATGGATATAATGCCAGCTGGGAGCATTGTGAAATTGTTTTTTTCTACATTTGTTATTTTGGGTTTACATACTCCTTGAAACAATCTGACAACTAGGAATAATCATCTTCAGTCTATTTTGTAGTGACAACTAATGATTATAATACACTGCTGGTATTAACTACGTCACTCACAGGAATCAGTAAGAGCGGAGGATCTGTATAGGAAAACATGCGGGTCCCTGAACCTTCAGGTGCGCCCCCTGGTGATGAGATTGGTTCTGCCCACGCTCCTGGCAAGTTCCTTGAGGGTTTCTGGATATTAGGGCAGCCAAGGCAACTTTCCAGTTTGTTCCAGCAGGGCTGGAAGTACCCTTAGATATCATCTTGTCCAGGTATACTACTTTACAATTGAGGAGGAAACTCAGGCTATGAGGAGAAGGGAGTTAATGGCAGATGCAGAGCTGAAGACTAGGCCTCCTGATGGGGTGACAGCCATCCCAGTTTTCCTGGAACGCAGGACTTTGTCCAGGGGAAAACAAGATGAGCTGGTCACTCTGCCTGTTGGTTCTGGCTGTCCAGTGCTCTTTTAAATGTCTCCAGGGAGTTGCATGGTCCCAGGTTTGGGAAGAACCTTTGTCTGTTTCCCATGACTTTCAAAATTTACACTTAAGAAGCTTCATAAATTTGCATATCATCCTTATGCAGGAGTTATGCTAATCTCTATATCATTCCAATTTTAGTATATGCACTGTCACAGCAAGCACTCCTCACAGGATTGTTAAGGGTGCCTACTGCCCATTTCCCTGCATCCCCTCTCCCTTGTTTTCTCTAGGAAAGCTGAGTTTGCAGAGGAAGGCAGGGTGATAATCACTTAGGAGTTAAGAGGGAATGTCCTCAGTTCTGGAAAATCAAGAACTCCTGCTTCCATTTCTGAGTGGAGAAAATGATGTCCAGAGAGTGAAGCAGTATCCCTCACATCACATGGAAGGTCAGAGCTGGCCTCTGAGGTGGACAGCTCCTAAAAAGAGGTGATTTCAGGGATGGCCCTGACTGCCCCTCTACACCAAACCCCTCTTCTTCCTACTGACTCAAGCCAATGATTTCATCATCAGAGTTTCATTCCTGCAGCTTAAACCAAACAAAGGCTATACTTTTATTAAATGTAAATTCTCTGTGAAAAGATTAAGAAGTTTTCCATCTCTCGGCTGGGCACAGTGGCTCACACCTGTAATCCCAGCACTTTGGGAGGCCAAGGCAGGCAGATCACCTGAGGTCGGGAGTTTGAGATCAGCCTGACCAACATGGAGAAACCCTGTCTCTACTAAAAATACAAAAAATGAGTCTGGAAAGTGAGGAGCGTCTCTGCCCGGCCGCCATCCCATCTAGGAAGTGAGGAGGGTCTCTGCCAGGCCGCCCATCGTCTGAGATGTGGGGAGCGCCTCTGCCCTGCCGCCCCGTCTGGGATGCGAGGAGCGTCTCTGCCCGGCCGCCCCGTCTGAGAAGTGAGGAGACACTCTGCCTGGCAACCGCCCCGTCTGAGAAGTGAGGAGCCCCTCCGCCCGGCAGCCACCACGTCTGGGAAGTGAGGAGCGTCTCCGCCCGGCAGGCACCCCGTCCGGGAGGGAGGTGGGGGTCAGCCCCCCGCCCGGCCAGCCGCCCCGTCCGGAAGGGAGGTGGGGGGGTTAGCCCCCCGCCCGGCCAGCCGCCCTGTCCGGGAGGGAGGTGGGGGGGTCAGCCCCCCGCCTGGCCAGCCGCCCCGTCCGGGAGGTGAGGGGCGCCTCTGCCCGGCCGCCCCTACTGGGAAGAGAGGAGCCCCTCTGCCCGGCCAGCCGCCCCGTCCGGGAGGGAGGTGGGGGGGTCAGCCCCCCACCCGGCCAGCCGCCCCGTCCAGGAGGGAGGTGGGGGGGTCAGCCCCCCGCCCGGCCAGCCGCCCCATCGGGAGGTGAGGGTTGCCTCTGCCCGGCCACCCCTACTGGGAAGTGAGGAGCCCCTCTGCCCGGCCAGCCGCCCTGTCCGGGAGGGAGGTGGGGGGGTCAGCCCCCCGCCCAGCCAGCCGCCCCGACCGGGAGGTGAGGGGCGCCTCTGCCCGGCCGCCCCTACTGGGAAGTGAGGAGCCCCTCTGCCCGGCCACCACCCCGTCTGGGAGGTGTACCCAACAGCTCATTGAGAACGGGACATGATGACAATGGCGGTTTTGTGGAATAGAAAGGGGGGAAAGGCGGGGAAAAGATTGAGAAATCGGATGGTTGCCGTGTCTGTGTGGAAAGAGGTAGACATGAGAGACTTTTCATTTTGTTCTGTACTAAGAAAAATTCTTCTGCCTTGGGATCCTGTTGATCTGTGACCTTACCCCCAACCCTGTGCTCTCTAAAACATGTGCTGTGTCCACTCAGGGTTGAATGGATTAAGGGCGGTGCAAGATGTGCTTTGTTAAACAGATGCTTGAAGGCAGCATGCTCGTTAAGAGTCATCACCACTCCCTAATCTCAAGTACCCAGGGACACAAACACTGCGGAAGGCCGCAGGGTCCTCTGCCTAGGAAAACCAGAGACCTTTGTTCACTTGTTTATCTGCTGACCTTCCCTCCACTATTGTCCTGAGACCCTGCCAAATCCCCCTCTGCGAGAAACATCCAAGAATGATCAATAAAAAAAAAAAAAAAGTTTAAAAAAAAATACAAAAAATTAGCTGGGCATGGTGGCACATGCCTGTAATCCCAGCTACTCGGGAGGCTGAGGCAGGAGAATCGCTTGAACCCAGGAGGCGAAGGTTGCAGTGAGCCAAGGTCGCGCCATTGCACTCCAGGCTGGGCAACAAGAGCGAAACTCCGTCTTAAGAAAAAAAAAGAAGTTTTCCATCTCTCTGAATGAATGACTTTCTCAGAAACTCTGACCACTTCCCTGCCTCTGCAGTGCATTCATTCTAGTCTGCGGTTCATAGCTGAGGCTCACATGCTGTTGTTGGAGACCTAGCTCTTCAACACTTTGCATTTCCTCTGCATATCCCGCTTCCATGTCATTCACAGGCTGAGGACATCTCTCCATCCGCTCCCATTATAGGGCCACATGAGTGCAGTGTCTCACAGGGTATGTCTAAACTCCTCTGCTTACTCAGGAAGACCTTCTATTGCCTGATTTGCTAAAGGATATGCTCTGGAGGGCAGGGTGCTGGTCAGCCGGTTAATAGATACATTCCCGGCATCTAACCTGGTGCCTGGTACTTAAAATACATATTTTTTGGCCGGGTGTGGTGGCTGATGCCTGTAATCTCAGCACTCTGGGAGGCTGAGGTGGACGGATCACTTGAGGTCAGGCGTTCAAGATCAGCCTGGCCAACATGGTGAAACCCTGTCTCTACTAAAAATACAAAAATTAGTTGGGTGTGATGGCAGGTGCCTGTAATCCCAGCTACTTGGGAGGCTGAGGCAGGAGAATCACTTGAACCCAGGAGGCAGAGGTTGCAGTGAGTCGAGACCATGCCATTGCACTCCAGTCTGGGCAACAAGAGTGAAACTCTGTCTCAAAAAATAATAATAATAATAAATAATAATGATATTGTTATCTTTTTCATTTTCATTTTTCTAATGATTAGTGACATTGAACATCTTTTCATATGCTTGTTGGCCATTTGTACATCACCTTTGGAGAGATGTCTATTCAAGTCATTGCCCATTTTTAAATTGTATTTTTTGTTGTTGTTGTTGAGCTGGAGGAGTAATTCCTCTCTTACATAAACTGTTCTAGATCACAGAAGAAAATTGAAAATGTATCTTTCAGTTTATGGGACTAGCAAAATCCTTTTACTAAAACCTGACAAAACTAGTTTGAAGAGAAAAAAAGCATAGACCAATCTCACTTGTGAGTAAAGAGCATAAATCCTAAATAGGATATTAGCAAAGAGAATCTAAAAATATATTAAAGGAAAAACACATGATCCATTAGGATTTAGCTCAAGATTCAAAGATTTTTCAATCTTAGGAAATGTATTAATTCATTACATTGCTGGCATTAATGGCAATAACCAGCTAGAAAATAAATCAGAAATAAAGATTCTTTATATGAAAAAGACTATAAAGGTTTTCTGAAAGACATAGAAAAAATCTGAATAAAGGGAAAGGCCTACTGTGCTACTGGATGGAAAGATTAAATATTATAAAAATGTCAATTTTCTCCTCAAATTTATCAATAAATTTAGAATAATTCCAATTATAATCTCAATGATTTTTATTTGACAATTTGATTATAAAGTTTATCTAAAAGATATAAATGTATTACACAAGAAAATTCTGGAAAAGAATAAGGAGGCACTTGTTTTATTAAATAGTAAAATATGCTATGACAAAAAAGCAAAAAAAATGCTATGATTACATAGTAGTAAAATGTGCATTTTTTTTTTATTTTTATTTTTTTGAGACTGAGTCTTACTCTGTCATCCAGCCGCTGGAGTGCTCAATCTCGGCTCACAGCAACCTCTGCTGCCTGGCTTCAGGCGATTCTCCTGCCTCAGCTTCCCAAGTAGCTGGGATTACAGATGCCTGCCACCACACCTGGCTAATTTTTGTAATTTTAGCAGAGATGGGGTTTCACCATCTTGACCAGGCTGGTCTTGAACTCCTGACCTCGTGATCCACCCGCCTTGGCCTCCTAAAGTGCTGGGATTACAGGCGTGAGCCACTGCGCCTGGTCTATTATTGTTATTGTGTTTTTTTTTTTTTGAGAGAGAGTCTCACTATGTTGCCCTGGTTGGAGTACAGTGGCACGATCTCTGCTCACTGCAACCGCCGCCTCCTGGGTTCAAGCGATTCTCATGCCTCAGCCTCCCAAGTAGCTGGGATTACAGGCATGTACCACCATGCCTGGTTAACTTTTTGCGTTTTTAGTAGAGACAGGGTTTCACCATGTTGGCCAGGCTGGTCTCGAACTCCTGGCCTCAAGTGATCCACCTGCCTCAGCTTTCTAAAATGCTGGGATTGTAAGTGCTGGGTGAGCCACCATGCCTGGCAAAAGTGTATTATTAGCAAAAGAAAAGACAAAGATACATGAAATAGAATAGCGATTCCATGGCTAAATCTATGGATGTATGAGAATTTAATAGGTGGCATTTCTCATTTTTAAAAAAATTTTAATTGTTTTTTTTTTTTTTTAAGTAGAGATGAGGTCAGCCGGGCGCAGTGGCTCACACTTGTAATCCCAGCACTTTGGGAGGCTGAGACAGGCAGATCATGAGGTCAGGAGTTTGAGACCAGCCTGGCCAACATGGGGAAACCCCGTCTCTACTAAAAATACAAAAACTAGTTGGGCGTGGTGGTATGCGCCTGTATTCCCAGCTACTCAGGAGGCTGAGGCAGGAGAATGGCTTGAACTCAGGAGGCGGAGGTTGCAGTGAGCTGAAATCGTGCCACTGCACTCCAGCCTGAGTGACAAAGCAAGACTCCATCTCAAAAAAAAAAAAAAAAAAAAAAAAGGTAGAGATGAGGTCTCGTTATGTTGACTGCGCTGGTCTTGAACTCCTGGCCTCAAGCAATCCTCCCATCTCGACCTCTCAAAGTGCTGGGATTACAGGTGTGAGCCACCATGCCCGGTCTGCAGGTAGCGTTTCAAATCAGTGGGGAAATTATAAATTATTCAATAAATTGGGTGGCAATTGCCTGCCTATATGAGGTGCAGGGGATAGACGAAAGGCAAGCCCCATATAATATACAAAAGTTAGTTACATATATAAAAGGTCTATAATTAGAGAATAAAATCACAACAAAAGAAAAAGAAAATACAGAACATTTTTATCGTATTTAAATGAGGTAGTTTGTTCTATTCATGACTCAAAACCTAGAATACTTAAAGGAATAAGTTAACCAAAACAGAAAAAAAATTTTAATTTCTTTAGAGAAAAAGACAACATATTCAAAATTAAAAGTTGGGCTGGACACAGTGGCTCATGACTGTAATACCAGCACTTTGGGAGGCTGAGGCAGGAGGATCAATTAAACTCAGGAATTTGAGATCAGCGTTGGCAACATAGTGAGACCCTATCTCTAAAAATTAGCCAGGCATAGTGGCATATGCCTATAATCCCAGCAACTTGGGAGGTTAAAGTGGGAGGATTCATTGAGCCTATGAGCTTGAGGCTACAGTGAGCTATGATCACACCACTGCACTCCAGCCAAGGTGATAGAGCATGACCCCGTCTCCAAAAAAAGAAAAAAAAAGGCAAACAATACAAAGGAAAAAAAATTTTGCAACATATTCTAATATGTTAATAATTGGCTTCCACAAATCTGTAAGAAAAATAAGTGTAAAATAAAAGTGGTCAAAAAAAAATGTGCATAATCATTCCATAGAAGAAGAAATATAAACAGATAATTAACATATAAAAAGGTGCTCCACCTCACTAATAATAAAAAAATACAAGTTAAAATTAAATATTTTTCACCTATTGAGTTATAGACTAAAAGACCTAAAAGACCTCTCTGGCAAAACTAACTAACCCTGGAAAAAAGGCTTAAAGATACTGATGCTTAGGATTCCCCAGTGAACTGGCTAGGAGCCTATCTTATGCCTCTGGAGTGAAGCACGCTATTCAACAAGCCCCATCCAGATACAAAGAGCTTTTAGTCCCTCATTATTAAGCCTGAATGCACAGCCAAGCATCACTAGACTTTTGAGAAAAGGCTCTAAGATTATAGATAAAAAGGAATTTGGAAGAAGAAATAAAACAGGAAACAAAAGTTTTAAAAATTGTATCCTTAGAGATTTAAGAGAAGATATTGCAATCATGAAATAAGAACATACTATGATAAAAAAGAAATATTCAGGCCGGGTATGGTGGTTCACACCTGTAATCCCAGTACTTTGGGAGGCCAAGGCAGGCAGATCACCTGAGGTCAGGAATTCGAGAGCAGCCTGGGCAACATGGTGAAACCCCATCTCTACTAAAAATACAAAAACTAGCCAGGTGTGGTGGTGCAGGCCTGTAATCCCAGCTATTTGAGAGGCTGAGGCAGGAGAATTGCTTGAACCCACCAGGCGGAGGTTGCAGTGAACCAAGACTGCACCACCACATCCCAGCCTGGGCGACAGAGTGAGACTCCATCTCAAAAAAAAAAAAAAAAAGAAAAAAAGAAAAAAAAGAAAGGAATATTCAGAGAGTAAGGGAAAAGGCTTAGGTATTAAGTATTTGATACAGAAATTTTTAGAAATTCAGCATAATGGTGGGAAGATAAAATTGAGGCACTCTCCTAAACAATAGAACAAAAAAATGGAAAACAGGAAATAAAAGATAAGAAACTCTCCTAAACAATAGAACAAAAAAATGGAAAACAGGAAATAAAAGTTAAGAAAATGAGAAAATTAGTGCAGGAGGTCCAATATCCCCTCCCCCTTACACATCCAGAAATAACTGTAGAGAAAGAGAACATAGAAAATTAAGGCCAGGCATGGTGGCTCACGCCTGTAATCCCAGCACTTTGAGAGGCCAAGGCAGGTGGCTCACTTGAGGTCAGGAGTTCAAGAGCTGCCAGGCTAACATGGTGAAACCCCATCTCTACTAAAAATACAAAAAATTAGCTGAGCATGGTGGCGGGCTCCTGTAATCCCAGCTACTCAGGAGGCTGAGGCACAAGAATCGCTTGAACCCCAGAGGTGGAGGTTGCAATGAGCCAAGATTGCACCACTGCACTCCAGCCTGGGTGACAGAGCAAGACCCCATCTCAAATAATAATATAATATATTAATATGTATATAGCTTGGCACACTGGTGCATACATGTAGTCCTAGCTAGTCAGAAGGCTGAGGTGGGAAGATTGCTTGAGCCCAGGAGTTTGAAGCCAGCCTGAGCAACATAGCAAGACCCCATCTTTAAAAAGAAAAAAAAATTATATATGTATATATAAACATTTATATATGCAGAGAAAAAAAATCCACACTAAACTGTTCATAATTATTACTTACAGGGAGTTGGATGTCAGAGACTCCTATTTTTTACATTACATATTTCCATGTTTTATTTAATTTTTTTGGTAACAAGCATGAATTACATTTTTTTTTTCTCGAGACGGAGTCTTGCTCCATCACTCAGGCTGGAGTGCAATGGTGTGATCTCGACTCACTGCAACCTCTGCCTCCTCAGTTCAAGCAATTCTCCTGCCTCAGCCTCCTGAGTAGCTGGGATTACAGGTGCGCACCACCACACCTGGCTAATTTTTTGTATTTTTAGTAGAGACGGGGTTTCACCATATTGGCCAGGCTGGTCTTGAACTCATGACCTCATGATCCTCCTGCCTCAGCCTCCCAAAGTGCTGGATTACAAGGGTGAGCCACCGTGCCTGGCCTATGCTTTTTTTAAAAGCGTATTTTTTGTGTGTGCACATTCAAATATGTGTTGCTTGGTTGATTGATGACTTTTTCGATTATATCTTACATCCATAAGCATAGTGCAAGTTTTTCAAAGACAAAGATCCCTTTACAAGGTTTACAGCTCAGTGCCAATCACTGGGCTGGCTATCCATTAGGCAGGTACTGGATAATGGCTAAAATTCCAGTACTGAACGCACATTATGGCAACAAAAGAGCCTGTTGTACTATTCACTGCCAGCAGATGGCAGGCCTTCATCAGAAGTCCCTTCTATGGCATTTCCTTATTTATCCCTTTCATCCTTCCAACCTTTCCAACGTTCCTTATTTCACTGTACTATTAAAAATAATTTAAACTTCTCTCTCTCTCAGACCAGAATGAGAGCTTCTACAGGATGAAAATATCTCCTAATTCATCTTGGACTCATAAGTATTGAGTATTGGCCTGAACCGAGTAGGTAAATATTTTTGGAATGAATAAATGCATATTTCTCTGAAAACTAGTAAAATCCTACAACCAGCTCCAAACCTTCTTCTTTGACAATTAATCAAGAAACATTAATTGATAACTTCTGTGTCCTATCCAGAGATGGATAGGACAGAGATGGAGGTTTAAAACAATGAGGGAATAAAAAACAAGCGGTTTTAGCCAACTGAAACCTTGTATTGGGTGAGCCCCTCCAACTCTAACTCTTCCTAGGCTAATGGTGAAGATGAGGCCTCTGCCATTTGGGTACCTCAGTCTGATGGGAGAAACACGTCCCTATCCTTGGGCGATCGCTGTGTGGCTGGGATTGGCAGGGCCCAGCCTTAGGCAGCTCCCAGATTGATGAAAGAAACATACTTGGCAACACAAAACAGATCTAGTCATGGCTTTCAGACTGATCCCCCCTCATATGCCTCTGTCCTCACAGGCCCATGCATCCAACAGACCACCAACTGATGCCATTTTCACACAGGAGGACCTCATTTCCCTCCCCACACCTGGAACCCTGAATCTGAAAGGGAAAACAGAAGTATTCCACTTTTTTTCCCAGAGCATATTGTTGGGGAACTTGGCAAGTTACTGAGGCTAAATTGAAGGGGCCAAAGGGAGGGTCAGGAGCTCAAGCAGCTGTGGCATTTGGACTGGGAGTCAAGTATCCTCAGGGGGTGAGAAGCTTCCAGGGAGGAGGGGTGGAGACCAGGGGTAGAAAATCCCTAAACTCTGCTCCCTGTCACAGCTCAGAAGAATATGCATGGAGGCTCATTCTCCCCCTGCCCCAATCCTTTATCTAATTAGCAGAGAAGTGTAAAAAGTCAGAAATCCTATCTCTTTGTCTTTTGGCATTCTCCAGTCACCTCCACCCCCTCTCTACTCCCTCTCAGCTCTTCTGCAACTTGCTCCTACAGTCTAATCAGCCCCTGTAGGCTCAGAGCCCTGCAAGGAGCCTGAGAAAGAAATGCTGAGGATCGAAGGATTTGGGAAGTTCAGTGAAAGTGCACTTTTAGAAAGAAGCACTGGCCTAGGATGTATACCTTTGCTGTTGGGTGACCAGCTATCCTGGTTTGCTCAAAACCCTCCTGGCCTTAACATTGAAAGCCTTAAACTATAGGAGACCTCTCAGTCCTGGGCAAACCAGGATGCTGGAATCCAGGCTCTCTTGGCCCCAAAACACTGTGTAACCCTCAATAAGTTCTCTCTCTATGGGACTCAGTTGCCTCCTTGTCAAATGGGACTCTCTAGTTCAGACACTCTAAGGTTCCACGAATGGCCTCTGAATTTCCTGAAACTAGGCACAGCTAGGGTGACGTTGTTATATCCTTTATTGATAATAGTCCTCAATGCTTCCCTAGGACTCCTGGAATCTCATCATCATCCTGGAACATTAGAGGTGGAAGGGGTCTTCAGGATTACCTGGTAATACCTTTCCAGAAGTGTGAATGCTTATTCATCGTATCTATTTACGTGTTCTACCTGACATTATAGATAGATACATACCTTATCTCCTGTTACTAGACAGTAAGCTCCATGAAGGCGGGTAGTAAGAGGAAAAATTAAAGCCCTGCACATCACTGAAACAATTATTGGGTGTTAAATTCCACACTTTCCACTTTACCTCCCTGTGGCCTAGAGGGAGGACACTGGGCTCCAGCGGTGTGCTGAAGGCAGCTTATACCCACTCCTGAGAGCGACTGTTGCATTTTTAGGAATTTTGCAAACTGGTTGTTAAATAAAGCCAATATTCAAAATTAAATTATATAAACTTATAATTATATTATAATTATTATTAATTATATATTAATTATATAATAATTATATAATAATTATATATTAATTATAATTATATTAAAAACAAAGGTAACAAATACTCAAAATTCATCACTTCCTAATTAGTTTGCTAAATTTCACTATCATTTATGCTGAAGGCTATTTATACCCATTATATCTATATGACAGAAATATTATATAATGATATACTACATCTCTTCCCAAGTCTACATTGGCAGTTTGCAATTCACTATGCTCTAGTATTTATACCATGAAAATTAGCAAATATTACCAATCAGGCTCCTGCCACACCCAAGCCAGTTGTTAATCATTTACCAGCACACCAGGGCTTTAGAGATACTACTATTCAATCTATCTTGTCACAGGCTCATCTGTCCCTACCATCATCTTCTGTTCTAGTCTTCAGCTCTAGATTTCCATTCCTGCAAGAGAGAAACCAAGAGTTGGATCATTACTTAAAAGCTAATGAGACAATAGAGCTGGGATTAAGGAAATTGATACACAGGTTGACTAGAAATGATTTGTAGACTTGATGTGGAATGCCTCTCACTATTCTCTCCAGGAAACCTCTGTCTGCAGTGAAAAATTTAGTCAGTCCAGCACAGGGGTCTTATGTAGATACACTCCAAAGGACTCTGAAGAAGGCATTGGTTATCCTCCAGGTATCCATCTTAAAGGCTCATCTAATCGTCAACTACAGGATTCAAAGATGTATAAGATAATTCTGGCCGGGCACAGTGGCTCACGTCTGTAATCCCAGCACTTTGGGAGGCCGAGGTGAGCAAATCCCTTGAAGCCAGGAGTTTGAGACCATCCTGTCCAACACGGTGAAACCCAGTCTCTTCTAAAAATGCAAAAATTAGCCAAGCGTGGAGGCGAGCACCTGTAATCCCAGCTACTTGGGTGGCTGAGGCATGAGAATGGCTTTGAACCCAGGAGGCAGAGGTTGTGGTGAGCTGAGATTGCACCACTGCACTCTAGCCTGGGTGACAGAGACTCCTTCTCAAAAAAAAAAAAAACAAAAAACCGCACACACAAACAAAAAAAGATAATTCCAACGCTCGCAACTGAAGAAGATAAGATTTCTGGCCTACAATCACCTCTGGGATTCATAAACTCTGTAAATCTTGTTTTTTTTTTTTTTTTTTTTTTTTGGCTAATTTTTATATTTTTAGTAGAGATGAGGTTTCTCCATGTTGGTCAGGCTGGTCTCAAACTCCTAAACTCAGGTGATTTGCCTGCCTTGGCCTCCCAAAGTGCTGGGATTACAGAATTACAGGAGTGAGCCCTGGACTTTTTTTTTAGAGACAGGGTCTCATTCTGCCATCTAGGCTAGAGTACAGTGGCGCAATCATGGCTCACTGTAGCCTCAAAGTCCTGAGCTCAGGCGATCCTCCCCACTCAGCCTCCCAAAGGGCTGGGATTATAGATGTGAGCTACCATGCCCAGCCCAGCTGGGAAAGTCTTTAGTGGTCATTCAACCTTCAACATTTTCCTCACTCCCTCATTTTGGAGATGAAGAATCTAAGTCCAGATGGTGGTAAATATCTTGCCCAAGGTCACACAACAAGCCCAGGGCTCCTGATACCTGGAGCAGAGGCCTCTCTATAAATTCTCACTTCCATTTAGAAAAACTATATGATCTTGCCGGGCGCAGTGGCTCACGCCTGTAATCCCAGCACTTTGGGAGGCCGAGACGGGTGGATCACGAGGTCAGGAGATCGAGACCATCCTGGCGAACACAGTGAAACCCTGTCTCTACTAAAAATTCAATACAGGCGGGCGCCTGTAGTCCCAGCTACTCGGGAGGCTGAGGCAGGAGAATGGCGTGAACAAGGGAGGCGGAGCTTGCAGTGAGCGGAGATCGCGCCACTGCACTGCAGCCTGGGCGACAGAGCGAGACTCTGTCTCAAAAAAAAAAAAAAAAAGAAAAACTATATGATCTTTATAGAATCTGAGCAGGAGCGAGCACAGTTTGCATACAAAAAACTATCTTCCCCTCTGCTTCCTAGAAAAAAAAGAGTATTTTTTTGTAGAGTACCAATTAAATGCCAGGTGCAGCGGAGAACACAGAAGCATAAGACCCAGTCACTCACACACAGGAAGTGAAAGCGGAGTCACTCCTAAAACTCTTTCGAGGTGGCAGGGGACTTCCTCGGAGCTATCACTAACCCAGTTCTGACCCCAGAGTGAATGCCATGGAAATCAACCCTGCTGTCTTAAGAAGTGAAAGTTAAATTAGATTCTTGATTGGGAAAAGTAGGAGACAGAGAAAAGGCCGCTGAGGCTAACTCAGTGGGCTTTTCTCGCTTAACTCAAGTCTGGGACACCTATTTTCCCCAAGCAGAGAGGCCCACAAGCAATCAAAGGAAGAGAGCTTGCGGGGGGCTGGGAGGCAGAGCTTTAGTCCATTAGGACTTTTTGTCCTCATCCTTCTGAAGAAATGAAACAAAAAACTACATACAAAATAAGAGCCCAAATTTCCTCCTAGGTTTAGCATATCTAAAATTGCTCCAAATTGCTATAAAAATTTCTAAACACTTCTATTTTTGTAATTATCTTATGTCAGAAGGACAACAGTCAGTTTGCAGACCGACGCCAAGCCTGGCCCATACTTGGAGTATGCCCTAAAGACACCTGGGGACTCTTTGGCCCCTGGAACTCCTTTGGTGGGGGGATCTCTGAGCTCCACTTCCCACCCAAACCAGGTCCAAAGTTCTGGGAAGTGATCTGGATGTTGTAATGGTCACAGGATGGAGTCAGAACTGTGACTTTCCATCTATGCTTTCCTCTGAACTTCTCTAGACTTCCTTCTCCAGCCTTAGGAAAGAGCTTCAGCAACCAAGAAGGACTTTCCCACCTTTTGTTCTAGTCCCCAAGCATACCTAATGGTGCCCACTAGGGGTCACAGGGTCTTTCGTTTGTTCATCCAGGTGCCTTCTTAAGCTCTAAGAACCGAAAGTGAACCTAAAAGACATTCCTGGCTGGGTGCGGTGGCTCATGCCTGTAATCCCAGCACTTCAGGAGGCCAAAGGCGTGTGGATCACCTGATGTCAGGAGTTTGAGACCAGCCTGGCCAACATAGGGAAACCCTGTCTCTACTAAAAGTACAAAATTAGCTGGACATGGTGGCACATGCCTGTAATCTCAGCTACTGGGGAGGCTGAGGCAGGAGAATCACTTGAACACAGAGGTGGAGGTTGCAGTAAGTTGAGATGGCACACTTGCACTCCAGCCCGGGTGACAAGAGTGAAACTCTGCCTCAAAAAATAAAATAAAATAAGGCTGGGTATGGTGGCTCACGCCTGTAATCCCAGCACTTTGGGAGGCCGAGGCAGGTGGATCACGAGATTAAGAGATCGAGACCATCCCGGCCAACATGGTGAAACCCGTCTCTACTAAAAATACAAAAATTAGCTGGGCATGGTGGCGCACACCTGTAATCCCAGCTACTCCGGAGGCTGAGGCAGGAGAATTGCTCGATCCCAGGAAGTGGAGGTTGCAGTGAGCCGAGATCATGCCACTGCACTCCAGCCTGGCGACAGAGTGAGACTCCATCTCAAAATAAATAAATAAATAAATAAATAAATAAATAAATAAATAAATAAAATAAAATAAAAGACAGATTCCCACCTAAGGAGCTGAAGTCCTAGTAACAAAGTAGTATCAGAAAGAAAGGCATCAGGGCCACGCCCAGTGGCTCATGCCTATAATCCCAGCATTTTGGGAGGCCAAGGTGGGCAGATCACTTGAGCCCAGGAGTTCAAGACCAGGCTGGCCAACTGGCGAAACCCCTTCTCTACTAAAAATACAAAATTTAGCTGGGTGTGGTGGCTGGCACCTGTAGTCTCAGATACTTGGGAGGCTGAGGTAGGAGAATCACTTGAACCCAGGAGGCAGAGGTTGTAGTGAGCTGAGATTGCACCACTGCACTCCAGCCTGGGCGACAGAGCGAGAGACTCTGTCTCAAAAAAAAAAAAAAAAGAGAAAGGCATCAGTCTTCCCAAATATAACCCTGGGTGGCCCTAAGGTTGGTTCTCAGATATATAAAAAATCAACTAACTGGAGTTGTAACCCTCAGATATAAAAGGATAGATTTGCTAGGAATTAAGGAAATTTCCCAGCAGTTGCTAGAATGTGGTGGAAGGGACTGTTGCAGAGATGGACTCTGAAGTGTTCCTGCTCCATAGTCCCACAGCTCCATCACCTCACAGCCTTGAAGGAAGTGGTAGGGATGGCGCACTCACTGGTTTAGGTAAATGAGTAGGAAGCAGCCCCAGATGGAGTTGCTTTATGATTATTAACACCTTGGGGAGGATGGCAGGACAGAGAGTGGGCTCTCACTGACAGATGAGGACACTGTAGCTCCAAGAATAGGTGACCTGCCTTCAGGGTTAAGGACCCAGCCTGCTCTGGCCTACATGATTCTGAGAAATGGGCCAAAGAAGCAGGAAGAGACAAAATTGACATATAGAAGAAAGAAATCTCACGTATAGGAGAAAAGCAGCCTCCTTCTCATTCTGGGAGGGAAGAAGGGCTGGAGGGGCTGGGCAGGGCGGGGCTTTTGGCGAAAACTGAGTCCCTCCTCCCAGATCCCCCACTGGGCCGGTGGCTCCTGCAGCCCTGCCAGTTAGGAACAAATGAGAAGAGCTGCTGATTTCCTCCCTTGGACATTCAGAATTTTCTCACATAAATACTGAGGAAGACCCTGCCCTCTCCTCACTTCTCTGGACTTGGCCCTGAGCTGGACCTGGTCCACTGGGGTAGGCAGGGCGATGGGGAACCTGTTTATGCTCTGGGCAGCTCTGGGCATATGCTGTGCTGCATTCAGTGCCTCTGCCTGGTAAGTCCTTTCCCAACCCTCACTCCTTGCCAAGGAGGCCCCCATTGTCTCATCCCCATTCACCTCTGCCTCACTTTTTCTCTTTTTGGTAGGTCAGTGAACAATTTCCTGATAACAGGTCCCAAGGTAGGATGATCTCCAGCTTCTGTTTTTACCCACTGAGGGCCCTAAGGGGACTCTTCTGGAGAAAAGAGGGGCGGGGACAGTGCCAGAGCCCCTCACCCAGAGGAACCCATGGTTGATTCTTAATGGAGAGCTGGCCCATCTGAGTCCTGCCTGCTCCCCCAACCACAGATGACCCATACCGGGCAGAAGCTCACAGCCCTTTTCCCTTTGCCAGGCCTATCTGACCTACACGACTAGTGTGGCCTTGGGTGCCCAGAGTGGCATCGAGGAGTGCAAGTTCCAGTTTGCTTGGGAACGCTGGAACTGCCCTGAAAATGCTCTTCAGCTCTCCACCCACAACAGGCTGAGAAGTGGTAAGTTTGTGTGGGACTCACCTGTACAAGGGGTATATATGTGAATGGAGTGGGGCTTGCAGTATGTGTATATGTGTGACATGTATTGCACAGTGAAATAAAAATGCTGCCAGTGACCTGCTGACCTGCCATTTCCTTGCTGTGTGGCCTTGAGTAAATTACCTACCCTCTCTCAGCCCCAGATTTGTCATTTGGGTCAGTAAGGCCAGTTCTGTTTAGTTCATCAGAAGTATCCTATGGGTTGAATGAGGTGGGTATGAGGTGTCTCTATGTATGAGATAAATGTAGGAAATTACTCTTTTTTTTTTTTCTTTTTTTGAGACGGAGTCTCACTCTGTTGCCCAGGCTGGAGTGCAATGGCGCAATCTCGGCTTACCGCAACTTCCGCCTCCGGAGTTCAAGTGATTCTCCTGCCTCAGCCTCCCGAGTAGCTGGGATTACAGGCATGCAACATGCCTGGCTAATTTTTTGTATTTTTAGTAGAGATGGGGTTTCACCATGTTGGCCAGGCTGGTCTCAAACTCCTGACCTCAGGTGATCCACCCACCTCAGCCTCCAAAAGTGCTGGGATTACAGGCGTAAGCCACCGTGCCCAGCGGAAATTACTCTATTTTTTAAATGCATGCCTATATTTGTGCGTTTGTACACACTGATCTTGCACTGAGTTGCATGAAATAAAAATGGGGAAAGGGCTGTGTGTTTGCAGCTCCTGAGGAAGTTTCACATGGCTAACTGCCATAAAATCTCAACAGAAAAGCTGAGACGTCACATTGAGTTGTGCCTCAGGTGGGGTGTGTGTCTATGTGTGTGTATGGGTGTGCACGTGCACCCATTTGTAACTGTGTGCCGTAGTTTGCATGTCATTTTTGAAGATAACATTCACCTGAGAATAGTTAGGGGAACGAGAGTAAAGAAGACGGAGAAAGTGGCTAAGCACGTGTTGGAACCATGCCTATAATCCCAGCACTTTGGAAGGCTAAGGCAGGAGGATCGCTTGAGTTCAGGAGTTCGAGACCAGCCTGGGCAACATAGCAAGACCTCGTCTCTACTAAAAATAAAAGTAAAAATATTAGCCGGCATGGTAGCATGTGCCTGTAGTCCCAGAGACCTGGAAGGCTGAGTTGGGAGGATTTCTGGAACCCAGGAGTTCAAGGATATAGTGAGCTATGATCACACCACTACACTCCTGCCTGGGTGACAGAGCAAGACCTTGTCTCAAAAAAAAAAAAAAAAAAAAAAGATGAGGTTCAAAAGAAATGTCTCCCCATGGGGTATACAGATAGAATAGGGAGTATGTAGAAATAAAATGTGACAATGTTTGTAAAGAGTTTAGTAAGATAAGAGTTCAGTAGGTGGCAGTCAGGATGATTATGATTATTACATGGCCCAAACTTCCCAGTCAGAAGCAGCAAAGGTCCTCCTCTCTCTCCTAGGCCAGCATCAAGCCCTGAGTCTCACTGCCTAAAGACTAGCAGCAGTGGCTAGTGGACAGAGGTCTAGGCTGGACTCTAAGAGGGCAAGGTCCCGATCCCAACACCACAATTGGAAAGTGGTCTTGTTCTCATCATTCTTTATTTCTTTCTTTCTTTATTTATTTTTGAGACAGGGTTTCACTTTTTTACCCAAGCTAGTTTGCAGTGGCGCGATCTTGGCTCAATGCAGCCTCTGCCTCCCAGGCTCAGGCAATTCTCCCACTTCAGCCTCCTGAGTAGCTGGGACTATAGGCATGCACCCCCATGCCCGGCTAATTTTTGTATTTTTTGTAGAGACAGGGTTTCGTCATGTTGCCCAGGCTGGTCTCGAACTCCTGAGCTCAAGCAATCCACCCAACTTAACCTCCCAAAGTGCTGGGATTACATTGGCCTCATCATTCTATCTCTGGTTTTTACTTTCCCCATTGGTTAACATAGGGATGTTCATTCCTGCCTGGATGAAGGAAGGAGGCTGAAAAAATATGCATTGTTCTTTCAAATAGAAGAGCATTGGCTGGATGCAGTGGCTCACACCTGTAATCCCAGCACTTTGGGAGGCTGAGACGGGAGGATTGCTTGCGCCCAGGAGTTCAAGTCCAGCCTGGGCAACATAGTGAGACCCTATTTCTAATACAATAATAATAGGCCAGGTGCGGTGGCTCATGCCTGTAATCCCAGCACTTTGGGAGGCCAAGGTGAGTGGATCACTTGAGCCCAGGAGTTCTAGACCACTCTGGCCAACATGGTGAAACCCCATATGTACTAAAGACCAAAAAAAAAAAAAAAAAATAGCCGGGTGTGGTAGCATGCACCTATAGTCCCAGCTACTCAGGAGGCTGAGGCACGAGAATTGCTTGAACCTGGAAGGCGGAGGTTACAGTGAGCCAAGATCGCGCTACTGCACTCCAGCCTGGACAACAGAGTAAGAGCCTATCTCAAAAAATAAAATAATAATTAAAAAAAAATAGGCCAGGCACAGTGGCTCACGCCTGTAATCCCAGCACTTTGGGAGGCCAGGCAGGTGGGTCACCTGAGATCAGGAGTTCAAGACCAGCCTGGCCAACATGGTGAAACCCCATCTCTACTAAAAATACAAAAATTAGCTGGGGGTGGTGGCATGTACCTGCTACTCAGGAGGCTGAGGCAGGAGAATCGCTTGAACCTGGGAGGCGGAGGTTGCAGAGAGCCGAGATCATGCCACTGCACCCCAGCCTGGGCAACAGAGTGAGACTCTGTCTCAAAACAAAAACAAAAACAAAAAAATGACCAGCCACAGTGGTTCACGCCTGTAATCCCAGCACTTTGGGAGGCCAAGGAGGGCAGATCATGTGGTCAAGAGATCGAGACCATCCTGGTCAACAAGGTGAAACCCCATCTCTACTAGAAATACAAAAATTAGCTGGGCATGGTGGCACGCACCTGTAGTCCCAGCCAGCTACTCAGGAGGCTGGGGCAGGAGAATTGCTTGAACCTGGGAGGCAGAGGTTGCAGTGAGCCAAGATCATGCCACTGCACTCCAGCCTGGTGACAGAGCGAGTCTCAAAAAAAAAAAAAAAAAAAAAAAAAGAAAGAAAAGCATCCTCTTAAACCCAAAGGAAGTGGGGGATAAGGGAGATAAACAGTATTATTTTTCCAAAGCCTCTGCTTTGGGTAATCAGGGTCCAGGTTTCCAGTCAGTTCCCTCTCTCTCTCCAAAGCTACCAGAGAGACTTCCTTCATACATGCTATCAGCTCTGCTGGAGTCATGTACATCATCACCAAGAACTGTAGCATGGGTGACTTCGAAAACTGTGGCTGTGATGGGTCAAACAATGGAAAAACAGGTAAGTTGAGCTTTCTAATGGGGGTGGGAAGAGGTGAGGGGCTACAGAGCTGAGTGCAGACTAAAGTCTTCCAGAGAAAGGCTGAGGGACACAGCTCCCTTAAACCTCAAGACTCCAGCAACTCCTTCAATTGTAGGATCTCCTAGCCTTACACTCTCAGAGTTGAGCCTGGGTCCATGAGTCTAGGTGTTAGCAAGTAGCTCTAAAAGCAACAAGGCAATTAGAAATGAGAAAGCCGAAGAGACTTAAAGCTAGCCCTGGTATTTCAGGCTTGGAATGGTTCATCCATAATCTAGAGCTACTCAGCAATTTACAGATTACCTAAGACACTTACTCAGATTTATCACTAATGAAGGAGGTAGTAGCCTTTACGAGATGATTGTAGAATAATGGTGCAGAATTCCAGAATGTTTGAGCTGCAGTGAACCTTTTTTTTTTTTTTTGAGATGGAGTCTCGCTCTGTCGACTAGGCTGGAGTGCAGTGGCGCGATCTCAGCTCACTGCAAACTCCACCTCCCAGGTTCACGCCATTCTCCTGCCTCAGCCTCCCGAGTAGCTGGGACTACAGGTGCCCGCCACCACACTCGGCTAATTTTTTGTATTTTTAGTAGAGATGGGGTTTCACCGTGTTAGCCAGGATGGTCTTGATCTCCTGACCTCGTGATCCGCCTGCCTTGGCCTCCCAAAGTGCTGGGATTACAGACGTGAGCCACCACGCCTGGCCAAGCTGCAGTGAACCTTTGAGAGCATCTGTTAGCCCCCAGTGTACCTACTTTTACTGTGGGTATAGAAGACTAATTGCTTATGGCTGGGAAGTGTCTGAAGGGTGGGCAGTTGGCTTTGGCAACAGGACTCCCACCCACCCCAAGCACCTCCATTTCCCTGTCTCACCTTCAGCCATAGCTTTACACTCTAGGGCTCTTGGGGGTGGTTTGGCGGGTGACTGGGACTGAGCATGGAGCTACACGGAGAACTTATTCTGTCCTTGTATATAGGAGGCCATGGCTGGATCTGGGGAGGCTGCAGCGACAATGTGGAATTTGGGGAAAGGATCTCCAAACTCTTTGTGGACAGTTTGGAGAAGGGGAAGGATGCCAGAGCCCTGATGAATCTTCACAACAACAGGGCCGGCAGACTGGTGGGTATAGGCATTGTGGCCAGTATTTCTACAGCTTCACATCTGCCCGGCCCTTCACAATTTACCAAGAGCTGTCTTATACGTTCTTTCCTCATACTACCCAGCCAGATTGAGATGGCTACCCGCATTCTCTGGATGACAAAACCAATTAAATCTGAGCCAAGTGGCTTGTCCAAGGCAACTAATAAGTGTCAGAGACAGGCAGTGAACTCAGATCTTCTCACTGAGTCCTCTTGTCATTGTATGTTCTGCTCTGCCCCTCCACACGCGGGCTTCTGAGAACACAGAACCGAGGCCTTGCTTCTATGACTTAAATTTTTATCACTTCAACTGCATGTTCTAGTAAATTAACAGGGCCTTGTTGTCCAGCCTTGTGTCCTAAAGTCTGTCTGGGCTGTGGGGAATTGGGATTGATCTAGGCTTCTCTGGAGTGTCAAACTCTCCCCCAAGACTTCTAGTGGGGTGGCAGTCTCTGGAGTATTCTGAACACAAATCTGGAAACAAGTTGGATTTAGAGCCAAAAGCATAGAAATTTCCTGTGAACCTATACCTAGATATCCTGGTTGCCCAGGGAAAGGGGGAAAGGGGTTTTTGGGCTTGGGGTTTTTTTGAGACAGGGTCTTACTCTGTCTCCCAGGCTGAAGTGCAGTGGTGCCATCTCGGCTCACTGCAGCCTCCACCTCCCAGGCTGAAGCCATCCTCCCACCTCAGCCTCCTGAGAACCTGGGACTACAGGTGCTTGCCACTATGCCCAGCTAGTTTTTGTGGGTTTTGTAGAGATGAGGTTTCCCCATATTGCCCAGGCTGGTCTTGGCCTCCTGGGCTCAAGCGATCCTCTTGCCTCAGCCTCCCAACGTCTTGGAATTATAGGCATGAGCCACCACATCCAGCCAGGAAGAGGTTTTTTAAGCAAGTACAACCATGGGTAATTCATTGCCTTGGGGGTATAAGTGTTCAGACTCAAGGAGCTCCCTCCCCTCTCAGAGAAGACCCAGAGGACAAATCCAAACCCCCCAAAATACTCTCATGCCCAGCCTCAAGACAGTAACTGTGGCTATTATCATAGTTTCCTTTATAATTTACATAGTACTTCCTTGATTATTATTATATCCAATTCTTATTCCAGCTGGGCAGATAGAGAAAAGCTTGACAAGTGATACAGTTGAGCCTGGAGCAGAGGTTTCTGGACTCTAGTAACCTTCTCAGCTCTTGCCTGGCTCTCCATCAGAATCACCCAGGGAAGCTTTAAAATCACCAGTACCAGCCCCTTCCCCACTGAATATCCTCATTGAGAAGATCTGAGGTAGGGTCGAGGAATAAATATTTTTCGTGAGCTTCCCCAAATAATTCTGATGCTCCTTTAAAGTCAAGAAACACAGCTCTAAAACATTCCCTTTAATCACTAACCTTTGGTCTTCCCTACTCAGAGCCATTCTCTTTTGTGTTCTCTCTATGAAGGCAGTGAGAGCCACCATGAAAAGGACATGCAAATGTCATGGCATCTCTGGGAGCTGCAGCATACAGACATGCTGGCTGCAGCTGGCTGAATTCCGGGAGATGGGAGACTACCTAAAGGCCAAGTATGACCAGGCGCTGAAAATTGAAATGGATAAGCGGCAGCTGAGAGCTGGGAACAGCGCCGAGGGCCACTGGGTGCCCGCTGAGGCCTTCCTTCCTAGCGCAGAGGCGGAACTGATCTTTTTAGAGGAATCACCAGATTACTGTACCTGCAATTCCAGCCTGGGCATCTATGGCACAGAGGGTCGTGAGTGCCTACAGAACAGCCACAACACATCCAGGTGGGAGCGACGTAGCTGTGGGCGCCTGTGCACTGAGTGTGGGCTGCAGGTGGAAGAGAGGAAAACTGAGGTCATAAGCAGCTGTAACTGCAAATTCCAGTGGTGCTGTACGGTCAAGTGTGACCAGTGTAGGCATGTGGTGAGCAAGTATTACTGCGCACGCTCCCCAGGCAGTGCCCAGTCCCTGGGTAAGGGCAGTGCCTGATAATACCCCACACAAGTTCACTTGATTAATTGCATCAGTGGAAGGGGACATAGCTTCTCTCTTAGAGAGAACAGATTGGAAAGCAATCGGAAAATTGCAGTTTTGGTCTGTAGTCCTCATGATATCTGCTATCAGTGGGGAAAATGGAGGCCCAAGATTCTACAGCATATTCCTGGCGGGGCTGAAATTGGAACCTGGGCCTCCTGACTTTGGCAGACCCCCATTTCATCTTTCCTGCAAACTACTTTCCCATCTTTGTGCCTGTACTTATGCAGCTTTCTACAGGGAGAGTTTGGTTTGGGGTCTATATCTAGAGGGACCTTCAAAGTATTTGTTCCTTTAAATTTCAGACCATGTCCAACCCAGCTGTGCTGCTGGGAATCAGGAGAATAGAAGCAAAAAACGAAAGAGTTCTGTTCAGACTTCTGAAGAGCAGCCTGTGGCTACAAATCTATGCTGATAAATGAGGTAAAGACCACATATCTGCCTACTGGAAAGTTTTAGAGTGTTGGATTTTTTATCCCCCAAGTATGCACTTTTGAAAAGCTCTTCCTCCAGCCTGGACAACATAGAAAGACACCATCTCTACACAAAATTTAAAAATTAGCTAGGTGTGGTGGCACTTGCCTGTAGTCCTAGATACTTGGGAGGCTGAAGTGAGAGGATCACTGGAGCCCAGGAGCTCGAGACTACAGTGAGGTGTGATTGTGCCATTGCACTCCAACCTGGGCAACAGAACTGAGACCCTGACTAAAAAATAAATAAATAAATAAATAAATAAATAAATAAATAAATAAATAAATAATAAAGAGAAAAGAAAATAAATTCTTCCCACCCACGCCTGGGGAAACCAGCACCCAGTATAACCTGGGGGTTTTTGCAGCTCATAAACCGTCTCTGGAGCCATGGAAAGGCAATCATGGCAGTCAGTGGACAGGTGACTATGACCTACCCAGACAAGGTCCCACAAGAGCGATGCTCCTCAGAGAGCTGGGGACTCTTCTGTTGTTTTCCCAGATTGAGAACTCAACTGTATTTTGCCATAAATGCTTCTAAGATATATCCAGCTGGGACTTCTATTACTCCCTTTGGAAACCTTAAGATCAAAAAGGGAATAAGAAACCCTTCTTCTGTATCCCAATAATCCACCAGGATAAAGGAGAAACTAGAAATATGCAACTCCCTTGATTTCAGTGTTTGGCAGGTAACAAAAAATTGAGACCCAGACACTGGTCAACAGGAAAACAATACAGACTCCCAGAATTAGAAAGTGTTATTTTAATGCAACCTAGGTAACTTGGGGAGTAAGGAAGCCCTTTGAACTTGGGCCATATTCAAAGTGTGTTTGCCCTCTTAACTTGGGCATCCTGGGGTGTCTGTACACCAAGACCTGGGCCCCAGGGCAAGAGACAAAAAGAGTTGTGGATTCTACCTACCTGCATTTGCACTTCCACATCTTCCAATGGTAATCTTTGGAGGAGGGGTAGTTTCCCATAAGGAGAGCCCTGGGAGCTTAGCCGCTGGTTTCCTAAATCTGAATATCTCAGCCTTGGGAATCTCTGCTGTCTGCACAGGCTTGCACCCTGCCTGGAGGAGATATTTTGAATATGTTGAATAAAAAGCAAAAATGATCACCAAAAATGGGAAAAAAACCCTAGCTTATTGTTTTAAATTAGAAAACAATTTAAGTGTTCAAAGTAGGATAAACAAGTAAATCATAACCTTACAGTAGACTATTAGCCACTAAAATATTCTTGAGAAATACTTAGTAATATGGAAAGCACGCATGATAGAATTAACTGAACAAAGTTGATTGCAAAATGGCATGTTCAGGATGAATCCAATTTTGTTTTTGTGGCAATGTGCAAATATTTGCCACTATGTGATACCAAAATAGAGTGGTTTGTTTTCCTTTTGTGTTTTTCTGTATTTTTACGTTTGCCTACAATAAATATTTTTTGTCATCAGAAAGAATTAATGTGTTATTTATTTTAATGCCAAAAAGGAATAACCAATCTTGTTTTTTAGTGAAAAGGAAGGTGAAATGTTCATGAAGGAAGCTGGCATCTCAAGAGAAACATTTAAAACTACCACAGATGTCAGAGAATAGATATAAGGACAGATACATAAAAGCGAAGCCTATGTCAAGGAAATGACAGATTTCCTCTCTGTCTCTCCTTCAATGGAAAGTTAAAAAGCACACTGCAGTAGTGACAGAGAAAGAAAATGTGTGTGGTGTGTGCTGCTTGGTGGTCATGGAAGGAGGAATGGAAATAGGCAACCAAAAGAAGATTATTTCCCTGAGGCTCAGAGAAAAAGCAAAAATAAAATTATCTAGCACAGAGGTTAAACCCTCAATAAATATAGATGTCAAAGCGTCCCACCCGAAACCTGAGTTGCGACCCTGTGCTAGAGAAATGAACACACTAGATTTCCCCCCCCCACACTAGATTCCTAACTGAATCTCCATCCAAAGAACCCAGGCACCTGAGGCTTTGACATCTTCCCCAGGACCTTACTGACATACCCCAATAATCTTGGCAGGGATTTTCAGAAGCAAAACCATCCCTGCTGCCCTGTTCAAAAGGTCATTCCAGGAGAACAAGCCTTTTGTTTACTGCGGGCTTATATCAGAGGTTTTCACCAAGAAATCTCAGGCAATGGGAATTCCTTGAAGTTTGTCTGCTGCCCCAAAAAACTCATAGTCTCCTAGTCTCTTCTCCTTCCAAGCCTTTCCCACCCTCATCCATCTTACCTTCAGAGCTATCAGTCACACCAACCAATCTTCCCACATGGACCCTGTGCCAGAAACAACAGGAATTTGGATTTCTCTACATCCATCGCCTTCCTGCCAAGGATTCATTCCAAGGCAACACAGCCTCATTCAGATTTGTCAGTTACAGCCCTATATCCCTTCCCTTTTGGTTCATCCTTAACAAGCTGGCTATCATTAAGGTGACAGAACAGTAAAACCCCGTTTCCATAGATTAAGGGCCCAAGACAGGCAGATTGGCCACGATCTGATGATGGATCTTGTAAACCTGCTGAAAAAGTGATCAATTCAATGAGGGAAACCTGTCCATGAGCCTATTCCCCTAGTTCAGTAAATCCAAGCACAGCATCACTTCGCCTGGACAATGGAATTCTGTATTTGCTCAGTCTAGATTAAAAGGAAAATATGCTTTTGGGAGGCCAAGGCGGGAGAATCACTTGAGGCCAGGAAGTTTGAGACCAGCCTGGGTAACACAGCGAGACTCGATCTCTACAACAACAACAAAAAAAAAAAAAAAAGAGGAAAGAAAGAAAAAGAGGCCAAGTGTGGTGGCTCACACCTGTAATCCCAACACTTTGGGAGGCCGAGGCAGGCAGATCACTTGAGTCCAGGAGTTAGAGACCAGCCTGGGCAACATGGCAAAACCCCTTCTCTACAAAAAATACCAAAAAGTTAGCCAGGCATGGTGGCATGCACCTGTAGTCACAACTACTCCAGAGGCTGAGGTAGCGGGATCCACTGAGCCTGGGAGGTCGAAGCTGCAGTGAGCTGTGATCACACCACTGCACTCCAGCCTGGGTGACAGAATGAGATCCTGTCTCAAAAAAAAAAAAAAAAAAGTTTTAAAACAAGAAAGAAAAAGAGAAAAAGAGAAGGAAGGAAAGAAAGAAAATAAATATGCTTATGCTTGCCAGACCCCTACAAATCTTTATCTCTTTTGTCTTTTTCTTTTCTTCCTTCTTTTCCTTCCCATCTGCTCTCTGATGTGGGCAGAATTAGGAGCTCCTAAGAAAACCCTGAGTCCTGTTCCCCGGGTCTCCTTTGGTTCACTGCCAATCTACTCAGGCTTGCTGGCAGGTGAGTAAGTGGTTAGGGAAACTAGAGTGGAAAGGAAGTAATTGATCACCTACTAAATGTCAGGTGCTTAACAGATATCGTCTCCTTCAATCCTCAGGCCAATCCAATTAAAGAGTTACAATTATTCCTTTCCAACTACTGAGGAAACTGGCTCAGAGAGAGGTTAAGCACCCCAACCTAAAATTAAATGCAGGGAGGTGAATTTAAATTCAGGCTACTACTGCCTCATAAATCCATACTCTTTCTTTTACACCACTTACACTATAGCAGTCCAGGGATCCCTGGCCACATTCTTAACCATCATGACAGTTTTGTAGAATGACTACCATTCATATGCAATGAAAGGTGTCCTCTCCTCCCTCTTCACCAAGCAAGGGAATCATATTTCTCAGCCTTTCTCCAGAATGAAGAAACCTAACTTTTGATTTGCAAAGGCCTTCCTTAGAATGATAAAGCAGAAAGCCTGGCTCCTGCTGATTTGTGGGGGCAGAATCCTGGTTCTCCAGGGGGTACCCAAAGAAAAAACTAACCATTATGGTCTACATTACAGGTCAAAGTTTCAAGAGGGAATGTCAAAGGAGGGCTGTTTATTTTAGAAGATAGAGAAAGGAAAAACAGGCTTCAGAGAAAAACGAACGTTTCTAGCCCCACATCACAAACTACTCATAATCCTATTGATGACAAAAGGCAGTGACCCTGGACCTAGATAAAGATGTTCAGATTGGGGGAAAATGAAAGCAAGGGCCAGATCAAAGGCTTCTAGAAGAGGTTAAAGACCTTTGGGTAGGAATAGAGCTCTAAACCACCCAATCCTGCAGCATTCCCTACCACTGAAGGCAAGCAGAGCCTGGAGGAGGAAAGTATCCTGCCCCTATCAGCACGTGAGATCGCAGAGGAGCAAAGAGTAGACTCCAGGGCCCTGGACAGCCTCCAAGGTTGGTGCTCTGCCTGCCCTGCTAGGCTGCCCTTCTCATGGAGCATCATCAGGAAAAGGATATGTGATGATCCAAGGAAAGAACTGAAGGAATTAGGCCAGGCGTCTGGGAGGCCTCCCACTACACTTGGTCAGCAAGCGACCAGTGAAACGATGGGCAGGGGAAGTGAGGATGTGGGTAGGAAGTGGGTGGGGAAGGCCCAGTGGTGCACCAGGTACCCAAACTCATTCCCACATTCCTCTCAGACTCTCAGGTACCCATGCATATCTGTGATGGGACTCAGTGATCTTGAGAAGGTCCCTTGTCATTTAATTGCCATCGGCTTCTTGCAGTCTATAAGAGATCACTTAATTCAGCCACCTGCTTCTTAACAGGAGAGCTCCTAAAGCCAAAAAAAAAGAGGCACACACTGTACATCCTGTTTTGAAAGACTGTCAGGAAGGGGAAAGCCAGTCCTTCCCTACCCAGGACAAAGTGCTTACCAGAGCATTTGCTCACGTCTACCCTGAATTAATACTATTACATCTTAAACTGGCGTCTCCTAGGACTTCATATTATGGATTTGAGGCCTTCAAACAGACCCATTCGCCAAAAGAAATAAGCCAATTACTTCAGTTTTTCACCAGTTGTCTCTTTTTCCCAGACTGTCTTCAGATACATGAACTTGAGTTTCTGTGAGGAGTTAGGTGGGGTATGAGTCAGACATCCTTTTCAAGCCTCAACTGCCTTCACCTCTTTCCCTCATGTGTCTGAAGAATCTATTTATTCTTGGTCTCACAGAGCTCTGATTGCCCCACTTGCATTTCTCCATGGCCAAAGTTCATTTCTTTCTTTTTTTGTTTTTGAGACAGGTTCTCACTCTGTTGCCCAGGCTGGAGTACAGTGGCATGATCATGGCTGACTGCAACCTCAAGCTTCCGGGCTCAAGGGATCCTCCCACCTCAGCCTCCTAAGTAGCTGAGACTGTAGGCATACACCACCATGCCCAGGTAAAATTTTATTTTTAATGTTCTGTAGCGATTAGGTCTCACTATGTTGCCCCAGCTGGTCTCGAACTCCTGGGCTCAAGTGATCCTCCTGCCTCAGCCTCTCAAAGTGCTTGGATTACAGGCGTGAACCACCACACCCAGCCCCAAAGTTCATTTCTAACCCCTTCCATCCCGACAAAATAACATTGATTCCCTGCTCTGTCCACTGGGATTGGGCCAGCAGAGTGGCCTCATTAGAGTCCTCCTGTGCTGGGGCTTGTGGTGGTGTGGGGACAAGAACAGGAAACTGACAATCAGGGCATCCAATCCCATGATTCACAACTGAGTACCTGAGATTTACAAATGGAGCATTGTTCTCCTGCCCACCTTACCTCTAAGCTGCTGTTGTCTGACTCATCTGCCATCTAGCCCTCCTTTATCAGTGAGGGTCTGGCCTGGCATAGTGCCTTATTTTCTCTTTTGGAATCTGGATATGCCCGACTCCAGAGTCCCCCAGACCTCTGCTTTCTCTGCCTTCCTCCAGGTGTAGCCTGCTCTCAGTTTCATCTATCCTAGTTCTTCCAATGGTAGCTCCTTACTGTGTTCACGAAAAGCTGTTGTTACAGCCCCACATCCTCAGCACTGACCACAATGTGTCAGTTAGTCTTTTATCCTCCTGACTTTGCTCAATTGTCTACTTAGGTTGGACTATGTTCAGTAATTTCACTACTCCTGGAGACTTCCTCACCCTTCTGATCACTCATTAAGGGTACCTTGACTTTTTCTCTTTTCTTTTCCTTTTCTTTGTCCTTTCCTTTCCCTTTCCCTTTTCCTTTCTTTTCTTTTCTGAGGCGGATTTTCGCTTTTGTTGCCTAGGTTGGAGTGCAATGGCAAGATCTCGGCTCACCGAAACCTCCACCTCCCGGGTTCAAGCGATTCTACTGCCTCAGCCTCCCAAGTTGCTGGGATTACAGGCATGTGCCACCGCGCCTGGCTAATTTTGTATTTTTAGTAGAGACGGGGTTTCTCCATGTTGGCCAGGCTGGTCTCAAACTCCCGACCTCAGGTTATCCTCCCGCCTCAGCCTCCCAAAGTGCTGAGATTATAGGCGTGAGCCACCGCACCCGGCTACCTTGACATTTTCTAACCTAGAGTCACCTTAACCACTGTCGTCTCCCTCTGGAATCCCCTCTAGAAGATCCCCTTAATTTATACCACTCTGTCTCCTGGCATTGGCCACATTCCTGTCTTCAGATATCCCAGGGACTCACCAATAAAAAAGAGAGAAGGCTGGGCGCGGTGGCTCACGCCTGTCATCCCAGCACTTCATGAGGCCAAGGTGGGTGGATAACCTGAGGTCAGGAGTTCAAGACCAGGCTGGCCAACACAGTGAAATCCTATCTCTACTAAAAATACAAAACTTAGGCAGGCAGCTGTAATCCCAGCTACTTGGGAGGCTGAGGCAGGAGAATCTCTTGGACCCAGGAGGCGGAGGTTGCAGTGAGCCGAGATTGTGCCACTTCACTCCAGCCTGGGTGACAGAGCGATACTCCGTCTCAAAAAAAAAAAAAAAAAATTTGCCCAGCCTGGTGGGACATACCTGTTGTCCCAGATACTCAAGAGGCTGAGGCAGGAGAATCGCTTGAACCCGGGAGGCGGAGGTTGCAGTGAGCCAAGATCACGCCACTGCACTCCAGACTAGGTGATAGAGCGAGACTCCATCTCAAAATTACAACAACAACAACAACAACAAAAATAAATAAATAAAATAAAAAAGAGATAGAAGGGCCCAGCACAATGGCTCACATCTGTAAACCCAGCACTTTGGGAGGCCAGGGTGGGCAGATTGCTTGAACCCAAGAGTTTGAGACTAGCCTGGGCAACACAGCAAAACTTTATCTCTACAAAAAACACAAAAATTAGCCAAGAAGGTCGAGCATGGTGGCTCACGCCTATAATCCCAGCAATTTGGGAGGCCGAGGCGGGTGGGTCACAAGGTCAGGAGTTCAAGACCAGCCTGGCCAAGATGGTGAAACCCCATCTCTACTAAAAATACAAAAATTAGCCAGGCATGGTGGCGGGCGCCTGTAGTCCCCAGCTGCTCGGGAGGCTGAGGCAGAGAATTGCTTGAATGCCGGAGGCGGAGATTGCAGTGAGCGAAGATTGCGCCACTGCACTCCAGCCTGGGTGACAGAGTAAGACTCCATCTCAAAAAAAAAAAAAAAAAAAATTAGCCAAGTGTGGTGGTGTGTGCCTGTAGTACCAGCTACTCAGGAGGCTGAGGCAGGAGGATTGAGCCCAGAAGGTCAAGGCTACAGTGAGCTGTGATCATGCCACAGCACTCCAACCTGGGCAACAGAATAAGACCCTGTCTCAAAAAAAAAAAAAAAAAAAAAAAAAAGAGAGAGAGAGAGAAGAAAAAGAACTCTTTTTGACCTGCTGTCTTTCCAAACTCATATTTTATTTCTTTCACCACCTAATCTCTTAAGTATGGAACCCATAACCAGGGTTCTGATTTCATTACCCATCTTTTTTTTTTTTTTTTTTTTTTTTTTCCAAATGGAGTTTCACCTTTGTTGCCCAGGCTGGAGTGCAATGGTGCAATCTTGACTCACTACAACCTCTGCCTCCTGGGTTCAAGTTATTTTCCTGCCTCTGCCTCCCAAGTAGCTGGGATTACAGGCACACACCACCACGCCCGACTAATTTTGTATTTTTTTTTTAGTAGAAACAAGGTTTCACCATGTTGGTCAGGCTGGTCTCGAACTCCTGACCTCAACTGATCCACCCACCTCAGCCTCCCAAAGTGCTGGGATTACAGGTGTGAGCCACCGTGCCCGGCCTCATTACCTACCTTTAATTGCTTGTCTTCTGTATCCCTCTCCCTCTATCCTACAGACATAGTTCTCTCTAAGTGCATCAGTGACCACTGGCTATAAATCCTCCTGCGTTTCAGACAATTCTTTCGAGCTACTCTTCTTTCTTGATCCTTAATATGAACATCACCCTCAGGTTCAGGTTGGGGTCCACTTTTTTCTCTGCTCTCACCGTGGAGAACTTATCTATTCTCAAATTCCAGTCTTATTTCTGTGCTGATGACTCCTAAATTTCCATCTCTGTGTGAGCTCTAGGCATTGCAGCTCTAATGCTTGACTGGCCGTTCTAGTTGGATGTCACAACTGATTTTCTCTCATGACTTCTATGTTTCCATCAGTGAGCTAATGAAACTTGGAGTAACTGAGGCTTACTTTTCTGAGTCGTTCCTGACTCCTCCCTTTGCTCAACTTTTCACATTTAGTCTTCTTCCTTTGGTTCGTCCTCCAAATCTATCCCTTCCCTCTATTACCTTTGCTTCCACACTGTGCTAAGATCATACCTTGTATCTGAATTTTGAACCAAGAACTGATATTCTACTTTTCAACTCTCCACCTAACACATTACTACCATATTTACTTTACTAATTCATCACATTCAATTCATTATTCACCTGATCAAAAAACAAAGCAAAACAAAAACTTCAAGTCACTAGAGAATAAAATCTAAATTCTATGGCATTTCTTTCTTGTCTTATTTTATTATTATTATTATATTTTTGTGAGAGGGAATCTCAGTCTGTTGCCCAGCCTGGAGTGCAGTGGCACAATCTCAGCTCACTGCAACCTCCACCTCCTGGGTTCAAGCGATTCTCCTGCCTCAGCCTCCCAAGTAGCTGGGACTACAGGCGCCAGCCACCATGCCCAGCTAATTTTTTTTGTATTTTTAGTAGAGAGGGGGTTTCACTATGTTGGCCAGTCTGGTCTCAAACTCCAGACCTCGTGATCCACCCGCCTCGGCCTCCCAAAGTGCTGGGATTACAGGCATGAGCCACCGTGCCTGGCCTATTCCTGCAATCTTATGCGACTATTGATACAATTTAATTTTCAGAAAATCAAGGAAGATAATTTAGCACTTTAGGAAGCCAAGGCAGTGGATCTTTTGTGGCCAGGAGCTTGAGACAAGTCTAGCCAACTTAATGAAACCCTATCTCTACTTAAAAAAAAAAAAAAAAAATACCTGGGCATGGTAGCATGTGCCTGTAGTCCCATCTACTTGGGAGGCTGAGGCACAAAAATCACTTGGCTGGGAGGTGGAGGTTGCAGGGAGCCGAGATCGTGCTACTATACTCCAGCAGCC
Organism: Homo sapiens; assembly: GCF_000001405.40. Classification (NCBI taxonomy): domain Eukaryota; kingdom Metazoa; phylum Chordata; class Mammalia; order Primates; family Hominidae; genus Homo; species Homo sapiens. The sequence continues at coordinate 138,101,000 of NC_000005.10, forward strand.
TGGATGACAGAATGAGATTCTGTCTCAAAACCCAAACAACACATACACAAAAAAAGCCATAAAAAAACCCATACTAGATGTTATATGAAAATGGACTGGAAGGGGCAAGAGTGGAACCCTGAAGAAAAGGCAATTGTATTAGTTCAGGCAAGAGCTAATGGTGGCTTGAACTAGGATAGGAACAGAGGGAGCAGAGAGAAGGAAGGTGAGCAGTACGTTAAAAAGAGGAAGAATCAGCCAGGTGTGGTGGCTCACACCTGTAATTCCAGCACTTTGGTAGACCGAGGTAGGCAGATCATGAGGTCAGGAGTTCGAGACCAGCCTGGCCAACATGGCGAAACCCCATCTCTACTAAAAATACAAAAATTAGCTGGGTGTGGTGGTGTGCGCCTGTAATCCCAGCTACTCAGGAGGCTGAGGCAGGAGAATCACTTGAACCTGGGAGGCGGAGGTTGCAGTGAGCTGAGAACGTGCCACTGCACTCCAACCTAGGTGACAAGAGCAAGGCTCGGTCTTAAAAAAAAAAATGAGGAAGAATCAATGCAATTGCTGATAGATTAGATATGGTGGTTGAGAGAAGGTGAGGAAGCTAGATGACTCCCAGTCTTTCCAACTTTAGTAACTTGAGTGGCAGGTGTTACCAATTATGGACATAGGTGAAATGAGAGAAAACCAGATTAGGACTAACAGGAAGATGAGAATTAAGAGTTCCATTTTGGCCAGGTGTGGTGGCTCACACCTGTAATCTCAGCACTTTGGGAGGCTAAGGTGGGTGGATCACTTAAGGCCAGGAGTCCGAGTCCAAGACCAGCCTGGCCAAAATGATGAAACCCCTTCTCTACTAAAAATACAAAAATGAGCCAGGCGTGATGCTGTGTGCTTGTAATCCCAGCTATTTGGGAGGCTGAGGCAGGAGAATCACTTGAATCTGGGAGGCAGAGGTTGCAGTGAGCTGATATTGTGCCACTGCACTGCAGCCTGGGCAACAGAGTGAGACTGTTTCAAAAAAAAAAAAAGTTCCATTTTAAGCGTATCAACTTTGTAATTTTCCTGAGACATTCAAATGAAGATATCAAGCAGGTGATAGGCTAATAAGTATAGGAAATCTTGCTAAATAAACTAGAAATTTGAGAAGGAGATGCAAATTTGGGAGTCATCAATAAAGAGATATTTTCTGAAGCCATGGAAGTAAATGAGATAAGTGAAGAGTGAAGAGGGTGCAGGTTCAAGTCCTAAGAAACATCACATCTTCCCCCATCGATGCCCACAAGTGTCCATTGAAGGAGCTGAGCTGCTGAACCTCTTTCTGATTCTGAGTCTAGGTAGGTAGAGACTTGCCGGCAGGTAGGGGGAAAGATGAGCTAACCTTTGTGGGAGGCTCCCTGTCAGTTTATTCTTTCACTGAATGCCTTCTATGGGGTCAAGGATATGCTAGGCAACTGCTTAGGGACATAAAAATGAAAGTACATAATCCCTCCCAATCAAGAAATGCTCACCTGTTCTCATAACAATGTAGTATGCCAGCCTAAGCAACATAGCAAGATCTTGTCTCTACAAAAATACAAAAATCAGGCAGGTGTGGTGGTGCGCACCTGCAGTCCTAGCTACTCAGGAGGCTGAGGCAGGAGGATCACTTGAGATGGGAGATTGAGGCTGCAGTGAGCTATGATTGTACCACTGCACTCCAGCATGGGCAACAGAGCAAGATCCTGTCTCAAACAACCCAATGTAGTGTGATAAACATTCTAACAGAGGTGTGTATAGGGGCAGTGGAAACTCCGGGATGAAAGCAACCAACATCATCTGCCTGGCCTAGAACTGAAGCAAAACTCACCCAAGTGGTTAGAGCTGATGACTATTACAACGGTGCTCTGAAGCCAGAATGGCTTTCCCCACCTCTGTTTACTTCTGTGTTGTTCTAAAACAAACCCTGTACTTCCTAGGATAGAGATAAAATGATAACAGTTTGGTGAGGGCAAAAAGGAGGCTTTGGTTCTCTGACCATTGACAACAGAGAACAGACCTTTCCAATGAGTTTTAATCCGTCAGGTGTGGGGCAGGCGTGGGGGTTAGAGGAAAAACTAGAAGAGAGTGGTTTATTGCTGTTCACAAAAAAAAGCAGTAAAATACTTTGCCCTGAGCTGCGTAAGGGTCATACTCTGTATGATAAGCTATCATTTAACATGAGGAGGAAATTGAAGTTTCACTTCCTTGCTTTTGTGGCACCCCTTGAATTGGGTTGATGACTCCATTCAGTCAGCATGAGGCCTGCCTTACCAATTTTGTTTTGCAAAACAAAGCCAGTCACGGTCAAACTCAGTTGGTTAATTTCATAGATTAACATGTGAAGCCCCAGGAAAGCAAGGCAGCTGGGACTGCTCTGGCTGGGAAACCATGGGTTAATTCTGGGCCAGCATGGCAGGGAGCTTCATAAGATCTTTTAGCCCCTTGGCACCCGCCCACACCTCACCCCTCCAAAAGCTTCCCTCATTCACCAGTGTCCTGGGGTTGAATTGAAATAATCTCCAGAGTGTGAAGGACAGGGCAGGGTTGAGTGTATTGGATACATTTCCCCAGTGTGTTATGTAATTCTTCTCAGCCTGATTTCTTTAGAACCGGGCTGGGTAGCACGTGTGGTAAAAGAAGCCTGGCTGGAATCTATATGAGCGCAAACTGGGGAAAGCAAAATTAAAAAAAAAAAAAAAAGACAATAATACAAAATTTCTTTCAAATCTTGGGCTCCAATAGGGATACCTACACAACCTAAAGAAAACAGTGAAGATGAAAATATTGTTAGAGCTTTACTAAACAGCCAGACATTTCATGTTGCCTCTATGGCTAAGATACTAGAAAAGAATTGTTGACTCTCTTAAGAGGATGATCCAAGCCGAGTTCTGACTCCTTTCTAACTCTAAAATTTGCTGAAAAACTGAGGCTACTTTGGAATATATCATAATCTGGAGTTCTTCAAACTTCTTATTTAGCTAAGATAAATTCCATTGTTTCTGTCTTTCTGAATTCCGATGCTTCTGGTGAGAAACGATTCTGCCAATAATACATAAGGACTATCCAAAAGCCAAGAAAATTTGTACCTGCAAATAAAACTGCCCAAAAAATGAGGTTCATGTTCCAAAAAGAGAGTAAGGTAATATATAATTTTAGTTCCCTGAAGGTTGTCTTGCATTTTTCCAAAAGGACTTATTCCTGAAATCTTTATTTTATTTATTTAATATTATTATTATTTTTTGAGACGGAGTCTCACTCTGTCACCCAGGCTGGAGTGCAATGGCACGGTCTTGGCTCACTGCAACTTTCACCTCCCGGATGCAAGCAATTCTCCTGCCTCAGCCTCCCAAGTGGCCAAGATTACAGGCACGTGCCACCACACCCGGCTAATTTTCGTATTTTTAGTAGAGATGGGGTTTCACTATGTTGGCCAAGCTGGTCTCAAACTCCTGACCTCGTGATCCGCCTGCCTCAACCTCCCAAAGTGCTGGGATTACAGGCATGAGCCACCGTGCCTGGCCTATTCCTGCAATCTTATGTGACTATTGATACAATTTAATTTTCAGAAAATCAAGGAAGGTAATTTAGTATTGCAGGAAAAATGTTGCTGATGTTGCCACAGATTTTACTATAATGCTATGCTAATTACTTCTTGAGCCTCAAAATCATTGTTATACAAAGAGGGGATTGGATTAGATTGCATGATACATTCCCCCAATTTTTTTTTCAAATTCTAAAATTCTATTCTGAGCTTCTAAGTTTCTCTATCCTGACAGTTTTGGTCTTCAGATGATGCCTTGTGCCAATTGCCATACAGAAAAAGTTAGAATAAGTTACTTCTGCTTCCTAGAAATATATAGCCTATAAAAAAGCAATAGTCGGTCGGGTGCAGTGGCTCATGCCTGTAATCCCAGCACTTTGGGAGGCCAAGGAGGTTGGATCATGAGGTCGGGAGTTTGAGACCAGCCTGACCAATATGGTGAAACTGTCTCTACTAAAAATACAAAAAAATTAACCAGGCGTGGTGGCGGCACCTGTACTCCCAGCTACTCGGGAGGCTGAGGCAGAGAATTGCTTGAACCCAGGAGGCAGAAGTTGCAGTGAGCCGAGATTGCGCCACTGCACTCCAGCCTGGGCAACAGAGCGAGACTCCGTCTCAGAAAAAAAAAAAAGCAACGGTCAGGCCCAGCATGGTGGCTTACGCCTATAATCCCAGCACTTTGGGAGGCCAAGGAGGGTGGATCACGAGGTGGGGAGTTTGAGACCAGCCTGACCAATATGGTGAAACTCTGTCTCTACTAAAAATACAAAAAAATTAACCAGGCGTGGTGGCGGCACCTGTACTCCCAGCTACTCGGGAGGCTGAGGCAGAGAATTGCTTGAACCCGAGAGGCAGAAGTTGCAGTGAGCCGAGATTGCGCCACTGCACTCCAGCCTGGGCAACAGAGCGAGACTCCGTCTCAGAAAAAAAAAAAAAGCAACGGTCAGGCCCAGCATGGTGGCTTACGCCTATAATCCCAGAACTTTGGGAGGCCAAGGCAAGTGGATCACTTGAGCTCAGGAGTTGGAGACCAGCCTGGGCAATATGGTGAAACCCCGTCTCTACTAAAAACTCAAACATTAGCCGGCATGGTGGTGCACACCTGTAATTCCAGGTACTCAGGAGTCTGAGGCAGGAGAATCACTTGAACCCAGGAAGCAGAGGTTGCAGTGAGCCAAGATCGCTCTACTGCACTCCAGCCAGGGCGACAGAGTGAGACTCCGTCTCATTTTAAAAAAAAAGCAACAGTCACATGTTCTTGATGTACACATAGTCTAATGGTTAGATTTCACTTATTTGGGCTGGGCGCTGTGGCTCATGCCTGTAATCCCAGCATTTAGGGAGACCGAGGCAGGTGGACTGCTTGAGTCCATGAGTTCCAGACCAGCCTGGGCAACATAGTGAGACCCCATCTCTACATTAAAAAAATTTTTTTTTTAAGATTTCATTCACTTGAATTTTGTGCTGGAGGAAGTTTGTTTGTATATTATATTTTAAAGGGAGGTGCTATTAAATTAACGCCACAAATAAGACTACAGGTGGAGGTTTTGAACTACTTAGGACAATAACCTTGTTGAGTGCTGGTTTTCAAGGGGATCCTGGCATAATGAGTGGCATTCTGGACATGAGCCAGAAACCTGGATTGAGAACCAATTGAGGTACAGCCATTAGCTTGACCTTGGGCACATCTCTTAGCCACCTTGAGCCTTATTTGCTTCAACTATAAATTAAGGGGTTAAATTAGGTGGTTTTAAATTAACTGGCAAACCTTCTTTTCAAGCAGATATATGAGCAAGAGCAAGTAGTAGTTAGGTGTAAATAACAGCATTAGTGCCTTTAGTAATACAGTGAATGAAAAGAGATTTGGAGGTGCCTTCTGAGTGATAAGGGAAGAGAACCTGTGATTTTCAGCCACAAAGAACAATAGCATAAACTAAATAAAGCCCCCAATTCCACTCTATTGATTTAAATACAATAAATCCATTAAATGAAGGAACTTGTTTTGTACACAACACTTAGGTAGCCCCATGAGAAAAACAAAAAGCTTCCCATGTCTGTGAAAAAGCACCATGAAGCAGTGGAAAGGCTTCAGAGGTAGATATAATTGAGTTCAGCAGGGGATAAAAATACATTTTCCCTACTCATCCTAGGTTCATGGCTGAGGCCCCTATAACAAAAGACAGTTCAAAATCCTGGCTCTATTAATTCCTAGGTAAGGCATTAGTAGGATCTTTTAATTTCCAGATAAAATCACTTTAACCTCAGGATTGCTGCTGTGAGAATTAAATAACGTAAGTATTAATAAGAGTGCCAGGCCAGGCGTGGTGGCTCACACCTGTAATCCCAGCACTTTCGGAGGCTGAGGCAGGCAGATCACCTGAGGTCAGGAGTTCGAGACCAGCCTGACCTACATGATGAAACCCCATTTCTACTAAAAATACAAAATTAGCCGGGCGTGGTGGCGTATGCCTGTAATCCCACCTACTTGGGAGGCTGAGGCAGGAGAATGGCGTGAACCCAGAAGGCGGAGATTGTGGTGAGCCGAGATCACCCCATTGCACTCCAGCCTGGGCAACAAGAGAAAAACTCCAACTCAAAAAAAAAAAAAAAGTGCCTAGTACAGTGCTTGGCATATAATGAATAACAGCAAATAGTAATCTTTCCATTAATGATGGGAACATAATCCATATATAAATAAGCTAAGTAAAAATACTAAAGGGAAATAATAACAGCTAATGTTGACTGAATGTTTCCTCTTTGCCAGTAGGAACTGTTATATACTTTTACATATATTATCACATTTAGTACTCACAACAGCTCTGTGAGATGGGAACTACCATTATCCCCATTTTATAGATGAAGAAACTGAGACTCAGCAAGATTAAGCAAACTTCCCCATTGTCACAGAGCTAGGAAGTCATGGAGTCATGATAAAAACTGCTTTGTTGGGAGACTGAACGAACCTATTCTTGTTTGGGAGGTTACCAGATAATTCACTTTAAAAATACATAAATGTTTGTAAAAACTGCTTTGCTGTCTCCAAAGGCCAAATGTTAAACTACTTCATAATGTACTGTCCAGCACATTATGTCAAGGAAATATATTAACTACAAGCCAAGTCAGAATTTAAGTATGAGTAGTTCACAGGCATAAGAGATAAGCATGTATTAGAGCAAAATTACAGGAAATTATCTTATAGGCTTGAAATTGTATAAACAGAAAGAGGAGGGTCGTCCAGTGTTTGTGATGTTGGGGAGCAAGGGCAAAGGAAGAGAATGGCTTTAGCAAATGTAGACGGGAATGAGCAAGGGAGCAAACAGACCACTCTAGCTAGAGCAGAGTCCATAAAGGCAGGTACGGGGGAGATTAGTTTAGAAAAATAAGCATTAGAAAGATAAGCACTGGCCAGTCTGTGGGAGCCCTGAATATCAGACTAACATAAATATAATTTTTTTAACCATATCAGCTACACACTAGATACTCAATAAGTAATTGTTGATTGTCACAAAGTAGAGAGAATTAATTTCAAACCTAGTTACTCAACGGACATAGGATGTAGGATCTGTTTTCAGTATCAGTACAGGAAGTGTCCATTCAACTTGAGTCCCATGGCCAACTGGAACAGCAACAAATCGCGTTAGTACACTGTTGGTTTTTTTTGTTTTGTTTTGTTTTTTTGAGATGGAGTCTGGCTCTGTCTCCCAGGCTGGAGTGCAGTGGCGCGATCTCGGCTCACTGCAAGCTCCGCCTCCTGGGTTCACGCCATTCTCCTGCCTCAGCCTCCCGAGTAGCTGGGACTACAGGTGTCCGCCATGACGCCCGGCTAATTTTTTTGCATTTTTTTTTATTTGTTTTTTTTTTTTTTTTTTTTTTTTTTTTTTTTTTTTTTTTTTTTGAGACGGAGTCTTGCCCTTTCACCCAGGCTGGAGTGCAGTGGTGCAATCTCTGCTCACTGCAAGCTCTGCCTCCCGGTTTCACGCCATTCTCCTGCCTCAGCCTCCCGAGTAGCTGGGACTACAGGCGTCCGCCACCACGCCCAGCTAATTTTTTGTATTTTTAGTAGAGACAGGGTTTCACCCTGTTAGCCAGGATGGTCTCGATCTCCTGACCTCGTGATCCACCCACCGCGGCCTCCTGAAGTGCTGGGATTACAGGCGTGAGCCACCGCGCCCGGCCAGTATACTGTTTTAAATCCCTCCACTTGGCCGCATGCAATGGCTCACGCCTGTAATCCCAGCACTTTGGGAGGCTGAGGTGGGCGGATCACCTAAGGTCAGGAGTTCAAGACCAGCCTGGCCAATATAGTGAAACCCCATCTCCACTAAAAATACAAAAATTAGCCGGGTGTGGTGGCAGGTGCCTGTAATCCCAGCTACTCGGGAGGCTGAGGCAGGAGAATTGCTTGAACCCCAGGGACAGAGGTTGCAGTGAGCTGAGATTGTGCCATTGCACTCCAGTCTGGGCGACAAAGCAAGACTCCGTCCCCCCGGCCCACAAAAAAAAAATTCCTCTACTTTGTGACATGCTTCATCATTTCAAAATCTTTATAGCAGTTATGTGGAGGTCAGAAGCATTCTAAATATAAAGGGAAATGATCAAGATAAGGGCAGGAAAAAAGATGAAGAGGCTTTAAAAAGAATAGAGCTATAAAGAGGAAGAAGAGAAAAGTACTACATGAAGAGAAAAAGGGAGGGAATCCAGTGAAAAGGCCAGCTCAGATGGCTTAGGAGAACTTAAAGCCAGGCCTTAGAGCCAGGTAGCTACCGAAGAATTGAAGGAGGAGGGCACGGGGGCACCCAGAATCTACAGGAAGCTAAACAAAGTCTGACTTCCTACACACAATAGTGTGTTCGGGTTGGCACCTTCCATTTTAGCAACAGAGAGATATAATAATATGATTTCACCAAGGGGACAATACCCTAATAATATTACATTTTAATTTAATTTAGGATACATATTTGTTTCTCACCACAAAGATGACAACAGTTTCAAATATTACATTTTCTTAAATCATCCCTGAGAAGCATGAAGGAATTGATAATGGTTTGCCATTTACATGTTGAACCTGTATCTATAAAAGTTGCAAACAGGCTAAGTTAAACTAGAACTTAAATTAGATATAGTACTTTATTTTAATTGAGCTTTGAAAGACTGAAGGCTTAAAGTCTAAACATTTTCATCTGAGATGTTTAGTCCATATCCAGTCATCAGATGGTTAGGAGTTTGGCATGACTAATTCTTCACAGTCCATTTGCTAAATGACACATTATAAAAGCAAGCACCACTGAAAAGGATGTGCTTATCTCTAAAGCTCCAACCTCATTGCAGACTGACTGCTTTATATTGGTCCTTGTCTAACCATTTTATGGTACAAGAAGACTCTAACCACATATATATGTTAAAGACTCCTTGAAATGTTCTCACAGTGGCAAGGACCAGAAACACTAAAGTTCAGAGAGGCTGTCCTTCTGGCCCCAACATAAAGGCCGCCCAGAAGGATCAGGATTTTATAATCCTGATTAAGATGTGTTATCCTCCCCCTCAAGATGGAGATGCTTATTCTTATAAAATAGCTTAACCCTCTCCATCCCACAATTAGATAACTTGTATTGAGAAGTAACCAGCTCCTAGCAGAACAGTTGAGAATGCTAATTAAGTAAGCTCAGTAAGGCTGCTTTAAAATGAAAAATCCTGAAAATTGAGAGAGATCCAAACTTTGCAAAGAGTTTAAAAGGAAGACCCAGAAATTGTGCTTCAGGTTGACACACTGTTGGTAGTTTGCATTTTTCAAAGGCTTTGTCTATTTCATCTAATTTGTTCGATTTATTGGCATAAAGTTGTTCATAATATTCCCCAATTGTCCTTTTAGTATTTGTAAGGTCTGTAGTGATTTGACAACTATTCGGCTGAATAAGCACAATTGGCTTGAGAAAGAATAAGGTGTGGGGGGCAGTAATTTGAGCCTGCTTTGATAGATCTTATGAAGCATAACTTTTCAAGGAGCATTCTCCCCACCTTGGCCAAAAAAATGCAGATGAGGTTAGTGGAGGTGGGGAATGGAATTTTTTTATGGGTCTAGTGATTGGGCTGTTGGTCTGATTAGCTGCCCATTTGTCTGCAAGTTGCTTTCTCCTCCCATTCTGTGCTCCCTGCCATCACCCTGCAGCTGCTGCCCAGGACGCCTGAGGAAGGGATTCCCTCTGGAGCTGATGGCAGTGGTGCTTTGGAAAGTGCCGGCAGGGGGTAGGCAATAAAAACAATTTGGTCTGGGAACAAAAGGCATCAGTCACAGCAGTGTCATCAACTCTTGATTTGGATGGGGAGAGAGAAATTTCTTGGATCACCCTGGAAGCAGGAAAGGAAGAGGTATCATTTTATTTAGTCATCTCCACTTTCTCCTATGTACTAGAGGCTCTAATTAAATTAATGAGAAAGCTAATGCAAGACTGCTTCACAAAGATTTTTTTCTTTAGTCATGTCCTTTGGTGAGGTGGAAGAAAGCTATATAAAATTGCCAGAAATCATTGGACTCTATCTTTAGAAATAACTTCTCTGTTAAGTAAATTTCTCTCGTAAGCCTGGGAGTTTCTGAGATTTAATTAACTTTTGGAACATAATTATGGATCTCAAATGAAAGGTGTAAAGATAATATAGAGAATGTTACTAGTAAAGGGACTAACAAAAACAACCCAAGAAAAGCAATTGAAGTCACAGAAATAGCAAACTGAGAAGAACTGGACCATCTCTGAATCAAAAATCAAATCTTAGACCAGGTGCAGTGGCTCACGCCTATAATCTGAACACTTCGAGAGGCCAAAGCAGAAGAATAGCTGGAGCCCAGGAGTAAAAGACCAGCCTGGGCAACGTAGTGAGACCCCGTCTCTACAAAAAAAAATTTTTAATTAGCTGGGTGTGGTGGCTCATGCCTGTAGTCCCAGCTACTCAAGAGGTTGAGGTGGGAGGACCACTTGAGCCCAGGAGGTCAAGGCTGCAGTGAGCTATGACAGTGTTACTGCACTCCAGCCTGGGTGACAGAATAAGACCCTATATCAAAAAGAAAAAAATAATAAAAGCATCATCTGAATAGTTCTTATAAAGAGTTAACTGCATAAGAGAAGTGGCAGTATTTCCGAGCTGGGAGAGTACTTCTCAAATACTACATAAGTTTCAAATCAAGCTTATCCATGACACCCTTAACACAGGACAGACAAGTTATTGCCCTGGGCTCCTTCCTCCAAGCACTATCTCATGCTCCAAAATCCCACACCCACACCCCCCATGCCCATGCCACACACATGCACACAAATAGAAACTTAAGTAGGAATGTCCAGGTTAGACATGTACCTTTTATTCTGGCTAAGTACAGGAAGATTGGCAAGAGACCTGGGAAGAGGGGGCTTCTAGATGCCATCCCAGATCTAAACTTCTAAAGAAAAAAAAGAGGAATCTAAACTTCTGTTTAGTTTCAAGTTGTAAGAGAGCTGCATGCCTGCATCCTTTTTTGGCTCTCTTTAGTTCGAGTCCTGGAGAAAGGAACCAAACAAAGTGACATATCATGCTTAACAAGGATGCCATACTATGATTCAGTGTGATAAAAATGCATTAAGGCACCAGTACTTAACAACCACAAATGCATGCACAGTACTTTGGTAACACCTAACAGGTTATGTTGGAAGACAGACTTCTCCTCTTCTAGTTATTTTGGAAGTAAACAAGAAGGCAGACTTCTCATTTTCCTACTCACCCTATGCTACACTTCCCAGTTCCTGGCCCATGAAGTAAGGAAATCAAATGTGTGCAAAATTAAAGAATTCCATGATAACTATGTTATTTTCCATTTGCATGTGCATTTGTCTATCGATCCCTAAAATATATCTTAAATTAGTCTGCTTTTCTCCACTTTTCCCCCTCCATTTTATTTTTATTTATTTATTTATTTTGAGACAAGGTCTAGCACTGTCGCCCAGGCTGGAGTGCAGTAACACAATCATGGCTCTCTGCAGCCTTGACCTTCCAGGCTTAAATGATCCTCCTGCCTTAGCCTCACGAGTAGCTGGGACTACAGGTGTGCACCACTATGTCCGGCTAATTTTTGTATTTTTACTAGAGACGTGGTTTCCCCATGTTGCCCAGGCTGGTCTCAAACTACTGGGCTCAAGCAATTGGCCCACCTCAGTCTCCCAAAGCGTTGGAATTACAGGCATGAGCCACCGCACTCAGCTCCTGCTCCATTAAAAAAAATAAAACAAACAAACAAAAAAAAACGAATGGCAGGTCTCGATTGGAGGTGACTACCAGCATGGATTTTTTCTCTCTTTTCTCTTTCTTTCTTTCTTTCTTTTTCTTTCTTTCTTTCTTTCTCTTTCTCTCTCTCTCTCTTTCCTCCCTCCCTCCCTCTCTCTCTCTCTCTTTCTTTCTTTCTTTCTTTTTTTAGATGGAGTCTCACTCTGTCACCCAGGCTGGAGTGCAGTGGCGTGATCTCAGATCACTGCAACCTCCGCCTGCTGGGTTCAAGCAATTCTCCTGCCTCAGCCTCCCGAGTAGCTGGGACTACAGGTACCCGCCACCACGCCCAGCTAATTTTTTGTATTTTTAGTAGAGACGGGGTTTCACCATGCTGCCCAGGCTCGTCTCAAACTCCTGACCTCGTGATCCACCCGCCTTGGCCTCCCAAAGTGCTGGGATTACAGGTGTGAGCCACCGAGCCCGGCCATCTTTTTTGTTTGTTTGTTTGATATTTTTAGACAGGCTGGAGAGCACTGGTGTGATTATGGCTTACCGCAGCCTTGACCTCCTGGGCTCAAGCAATCCTCCCGCCTCAGCTTCCAAAGTGGCTGGGAACAGAAGTGCAGGCCACTACACCTAGCTAATTTTTATACTTTTTGTGGAGACGTGGTTTTGCTATGTTGCCCAGGCTGGTCTTGAACTCCTGGCCTCAAGTGATCCTCCTGCTTTGGCCTCCCAAAGTGCTGGGAGTATAGGCGTGAGCCACCACACCCAGTTGGAATTTTTTGCTATACACAGTGCTGCCTTTTTTTTTCTTTCTTTTTTTTCTTTCCTCCATGACAGAGGCTTTGAATGTGGAAATGACCTCCTAAAGCTGTCACACTGGAATCCTACTGTAAAAATGATTTGCTTTTTCCTATATGTCCTTGGTCATTGCTAAAAAATATAACAATTTATTATTTATCTTTATTTTTAAGATTTTGGTTTGTTCTCCCAACACTGATGCTAAAGGTGTTTTGAAATACAGTGGGCACACAGTCTCAGAAGGAATATGTCCAAAACTTCAGAAAAATACCAACAGTGAGAACTTGCAAAACATCTTAGCCACTGACAGCTTAAACACAGTCTATTAATAAGGAAGTGTTGCCAGCCCTTTAAAGCTGACATTTGTTACAACATTTATTTTTCGTAATCTTTTTTTTTTTTTTTTTTGAGACGTAGTCTCGCTCTGTCGCCCTGGCTAGAGTGCAGTGGCGCGATCTCGGCTCACTGCAAGCTCTGCCTCCCGGGTTCACGCCATTCTCCTGCCTCAGCCTCCCGAATAGCTGGGACTACAGGCGCCTCTGCCACCGCGCCCAGCTAATTTTTTTTGTATTTTTAGTAGAGACCGGGTTTCACCGTGTTAGCCAGGATGGTCTCGATCTCCTGACCTCGTGATCCGCCCGCCTTGGCCTTCCAAAGTGCTGGGATTACAGGCTTGAGCCACCGCGCCCGGCTTATTTTTCGTAATCTTAATGTTTCTTTTAATCACAAAAGTAGTTACATAAATGCTGTAGAAAAATTTAAAATACAGCTAAGCAAAAGAAGAAAAATAAAATATTTCTACCATCCAGAGATTATAGATAAAAACACTTGAGTGGGTATCCTTCTACATGTTATTCTATACACATTTATTTATTCATTTTTTAATCTAAATGAGAACACATGGCTGGGCACAATGGCTCATGCCTATAAACCTAACACTTTGGGAGGGCGAAGCAGGAGGATTGCTTGAGCCCAGGAGTTTGAGACCAGCCTGGGCAACATAGCGGGACCCTATCTTATTAAAACAAACAAAAAAAACCAAAACCAAACCAAAACCAAATGGGCGTACACTGTGCATATTGCTTTGTAACATACTTTTTTTCAGCTAACAATCTTTCTGTTTTCACATTTTCTTACATTATACTTTCTTTTCTCTTTTTTTTTTTTTTTTTTTTTGAGACAGAGTCTCGCTCTGTCACCCAGGCTGGAGGGCAGTGGTGCGATCTCGGCTCACTGCAAGCTCCGCCCCCTGGGTTCACGCCATTCTCCTGCCTCAGCCTCCCGAGTAGCTGGGAATACAGGCGCCGCCACTACGCCCGGCTAATTGTTTGTATATTTAGTAGAGACGGGGTTTCACCGTGTTAGCCAGGATGGTCTCGATCTCCTGACCTCGTGATCCACCCGCCTCGGCCTCCCAAAGTGCTGGGATTAGAGGCGTGAGCCACCAAGACCGGCCGTGATTGTGGTTTTTGCCATTGTTTTTTAATGACAAAAACCATAATTGCTTTTGCACCAGCCTAATAGTTATCCAAGTGATTAGTTTAAGATCATCCCCTGGTTCTGGCCATTTTCATTGTACCAAAAAATTACTTATATACTTACACCTTTCTATTTTTTATTTTTTACATCAAACAGGTAATGTGATGATGCTGTAACAAGGTTTGAGGGAAGCATATCTGACACATGAGCATGAAACCAAATCACCATGCTTATGGACTACAAAAGGACCTAAGCCTTTTAAACTAGACTGTCTCAACTGTGCATTAATTATGTATTTAGATATAGGATATGTGCTTGGGAAAATGTATAACTAAACTTTATGTCTTACTTCTCAAACTTAAGAAAAACAAAAACATCTAGCAACATCTTACATGAGTTTTCCATTACCTAGTGTTACATCATTGTTAAAATCATACTCTAAGCCTATATTTTACCTTAATGTTATCTGCTTCATAGAATAGTTATTCCTTTAACACTTATTTTTAAGAAATAAATTTATTTTACTTGTAGTTACTTAAACCCTAGAAATAATTTTTTCAAACAGTAGAAGTACAGCCTTTTATAATAAGATAGTTCATGATTTGTTCTTTCGAGGATTTTTTTTTTAATAAGGTTCTTCTACAATTGGATGGTGACAAAGTTTGGGTTTGTTAGGATTATTTTTCAGCAGCCAATCAGCTAGCCAAATCTATGGGAAAAAAAAAAACAACCTAAGTTAAGAAACAGTTACATATTTCCTTTCAATATATACTATATCAATTGGAAACTTAAACAGTTTTCAAAATCACTTTAAGAAAATGACCATTAAAAATGGAAACATTTGGATTTACATTATGCAAGATTGTCAAGAATAGATCCAAACTGGCAAGAAAGAAGTAAAACTATCTCTTTTCACAGATGGCATAAACCTACATGTGGAAAACCCTAAGGAATTTACAAGGAAGCCACTACAGCTAATAAATTCAGCGAAGATGTAGGTTACAATACACAAAAATCAACTGTATTTCTATACATCAGCAATGACAGTCCAAAAAAAAATTTTAAATCACTTTCATTTACAGTAGCATAAAGACAAATAAAATGCCAAGGGATAAATTTAACCCAAGAAGCGAAAGGCTTATACATTAAGAACTGTAGAACATTGCTGAAAGAAATTAAAGAATACCTAAATAAATGAGAAGACATTATTTTTCATGGATACGGAGATTTGATATTGTTAAGATGTCAATACTTCCCAAAGCAATCTACAGATTCAGTGCAGCTCTTGCCAAATGTCCAACAAGTTTTTTTGCAGAAATGGAAAGCCAATCCTCAAATTCATATGAAATTGCAAGGGGCTCTGAGGAGCCAAAACAATCATGAAAAAGAACAAAGTTGGAGGACTGATTTGTACTCTC
The DNA here is from genome assembly GCF_000001405.40 of Homo sapiens. Taxonomy (NCBI): domain Eukaryota; kingdom Metazoa; phylum Chordata; class Mammalia; order Primates; family Hominidae; genus Homo; species Homo sapiens. The sequence continues at coordinate 138,116,474 of NC_000005.10, forward strand.
AATTTCAAAACCTTCTACAAAGCTACAGTAGTCAGCACAGTGTGGTAATGACATCCTTATGCCAGACATGCAGACCAATAGAATGGACCTGAGAGTCCAGTGCTCTCTTCGGCAGCACATATACCAAAACTGGAATGATACAGAGAGATTATTAGCATGGCTCCTGTGCAAGGATGATGCACAATTTATTAAGCATTTCATATTTTAAAAAAAGAATGAGAATCCAGGAATAAACCCACGCATCTATGGTCAACAAATTTTTGACAATGGTACCAAGCCCATTGGTACCACTGGACTTGGAGAAAGAACAGTCTCTTCAACAGATGGTACTAGGACAATTGGATTTCCACATGCAAATGAATAAAGTTGGACCCCTATACCACACCATATACAAAAATGAACTCACAATGGACCAATGACCTAAATATAAGAGCTTAAACAATAAACATCTTAAAAGAGGCCAGTGACTCACACCTGTGATCCCAATACTTTTGGAGGCCGAGGTAGGAAGATCACTTGAGACCAGGAGTTCAAGACCAGCCTGGGCAACATAGGGAGACCCCATCTCTACAAAAAATTTTAAAAATTAGCTGGGTGTGGTAGTGTGCTCCTGTGGTCCCAGCTACTTGGCAGCCTGGTGCACAAGAATCACTTGAACTCAGGAGGCAGAGGTTGAAGTGAGCCGAGATGGCGCCACCAGACTCCAGCATGGGGAACAAAGACCCTGTCTCAAAAAAAAAAAAAAAAAAAAAAGGAAAGAAAAAAAATCTTAAAAGAAAACATAAAACACAGGGGTAAATTTTCATGACCTTGGATTTGGATTTCACAATGGATTCTTAGACATGACATCAAAAGCACAAGAAATAAAAGAAAAAATAAATAAATTGGATTTCATCAAATGAAAAATGTTTATACATTAAAGGACATTATCAAGAAAGTGAAAAGACAACCTACAAAATGGAAGACAATATTTGCAAATCATATATCTAATAAGGGTTTAACATCTAGAAATACAAAGAACTTTAACTCAACAAAAAGACAACCCAGTTTAAAAATGGGCAAAGGACTTCAATTTGAATAGACATTTCTTCAAAGAAGGTATACAAATGGCCAAGAAGCTCATGAAAAGATGTTCAACATTAGCCATTAGGGAAATGCAGATCAAAACCACCGTGAGAAACCATTTTGTGTTATCTACTAGCATGGCTACAAAAAAAAAGAAAGATAGGTCGGGCGCGGTGGCTCACACCTGCAATCCCAGCACTTTGGGAGGCCAAGGCAGGTGGATCACCTGAGGTCAGGAGTTCGAGACCAGCCTGGCCAACATGAAGAAACCCTGTCTCTACTAAAAATACAAAAATTACCCGGGCGTGGTGGTGTTCGCCTGTAAATCCCAGCTACTCAGGAGGCTGAGGCAGGAGAATCACTTGAACCTGGGGGGCGGAGGTTGCAGTGAGCCCAGATTGCGCCTCTGCATTCCAGCCTGGGCAACAGAGTGAGACTCCGTCTCAAAAAATAATAATAATAAATAAATAAAACACAGCAAGAAAATAATAAGTAATCAATAATTATACATATCTAACATGTATATGAAATACCTTCTAGAAATGTTTATTTTAAAAAGGTTCTCAATATTTGCAGTATTTCATTTATTTACTTATTTATTTTTTGAGATGGAGTCTCGCTCTGTTGCCCAGGCTGGAGTGCAGTGGCACAATCTCGGCTCACTGCAAGCTCCGCCTCCTGGGTTCACGCCATTCTCCTGCCTCAGCCTCCCAAGTAGCTGGGACTACAGGCACCCACCACCACGCCCGGCTAATTTTTTATATTTTTAGTAGAGATGGGGTTTCACCGTGTTAGCCAGGATGGTCTTGATCTCCTGACCTAGTGATCCACCCACCTCGGCCTCCCAAAGTGCTGGGATAATAGGCGTGAGCCACTGCGCCCAGCTATATTCGCAGTATTTCAAAGACACAATGTCTTAAACGTGAAAACTACAGACAATTTATAGAAAAAAAAATTTTTTTTTTGAGATGGAGTCTTGCTCTGTCACCCAGGCTGGAGTGCAGTGGCACAATCTCGGCTCACTGCAACCTCTGCCTCTGGGTTCAAGTGATTCTCCTGCCTCAGCCTCCTGAGTAGCTGGGATTACAGGCACATGCCACCACGCCCAGCTAATTTTTGTATTTTTAGTACAGACGGGGTTTCACCATGTTAGTCAGGCTGGTCTCAAACTCCTGACCTCGGATCCGCCCGCCTTGGCCTCCCAAAGTGCTGGGATTACAGGCATGAGCCACCACGCCTGGTGACAATATTCTTAAGTGTGAATAAAAATATTTCTTACCAAAGGATCTGCTGGTTTTTGCTTACAAAGCTCTGTGAGTCCTTCAAGCAGAGTTGGCATTATATGTAAATTTAAATAGTCCTTAGCAGCTTGTCCAATTGGAATGGGCTCAACAATCACTGCAAATACAAATGTATTCTCATTGATGCAAACATAATGATTAAATACTATACAATCATTAAAAAGGTTCTTTTTAAAGAACTTTTCTCTATTTTTTTATATGTTTTTTTGAGATGGAGTCTTACTCTGTTGCCTGGGCTGGAGTGCAATGATGCAATCTCAGATCACTGCAACCTCCTCCTGGGTTCATGTGATTCTCCCACCTCAGCCTTCCGAGTAGCTGGGACTACAGGTCCGCATCACCACACCCTGCTAATTTTTGTATTTTTATTTATTTTTATTTTTTGAGACAGAGTCTCGCTTTGTTGCCCAGGCTGGAATGCAGTGGCACAATCTCAGCTCACTGCAACCTCCAACTCCTGAGTTCAAGTGATTCTCCTGCCTCAGCCTCCTAAGTAGACAGGAGTGTGCCACCATGCCTGGCTAATTTTTGTACGTTGAGTAGAGGCAGGGTTTCACCATGTCGGCCAGGCTGGTCTCAAACTCCTGATCTAAGGTAATCCTCCTGTCTCGGCCTCCCAAAGTGCTAGGATTGCGGGCATGAGCCACCATGCTCGGCCCTAATTTCTGTATTTTTAGTAGAGATGGGGTTTCACCATGTTGGCCAGGCTGGTCTTGAACTCCTAACGTCAAATAATCTGCCTGCCTCAGCCTGCCAAAGTGCTGAGATTACAGGCATGAGCCACTGCAACCAGCCTGTTTTCTTTTTCTTTTCTTTTCTTTATTTTTTTTTTTTTGAGACAGAGTTTCACTCTTGTCACCCAGGCTGGAGTGCAGCAGCACAATCTCAGTTCACTGCAACCCCGTCTCCCAGGTTGAAGCAATTCTCCTGCCTCAGCCTCCTGAGTAGAACCAGCCTCAGTTTTCAGTTGGGATGTTTCTCTTATTATTTAGACATAGGAGTTCTTTATATATTCTAGTTACAAGTTCTTTATATTATTTGGTGATATTTTTTCCCAGTCTGTTGCCTACCTATCTTTTCATATTTTTAAAAATTTAACTTCTATTTTTTTTTTTGACACAGGGTCTTGCTCCGTTGCCCAGTCTGGAGTGTGGTGGTGTGAGCACAGCTCACTGCAGCCTCGAACTCCTGGGCTGAAGCATCCTCTGGCTTCAGCCTTCCAAGTAGCTGGGCCTGCAAGTGTGTGCCACCACACCCAGCTTTTTTTTTCTTTAAGTGTTTAGAGACAGGGTGTCACTCACGCTGGTCTCAAACTCCTGGCCTCAAGCAATCCTCCCACCTCAGCCTCCTGAATAGCTGGATTTACAGGTGCAAACCACTGCTCCCAGCTCTTTTTTTTTTTTTTTTTTTTTTGAGACAGAGTCTTTCTCTGTCGCCAGGCTGGAGTGCAGTGCCGCGATCTTGGCTCACTGCAAGCTCCGCCTCCTGGGTTCACGCCATTCTCCTGCCTCAGCCTTCTGAGTAGCTGGGACTACAGGTGCCCGCCACTAATTAGTCCGGCTAATTTTTTTGTATTTTTTAGTAGAGACGGGGTTTCACCATGTTAGCCAGGATGGTCTTGATATCCTGACCTTGTGAGCCGCCTGCCTCGGCCTCCCAAAGTGCTGGGATTACAGGCATGAGCCACCGCGCCCAGCCTCTTTTCACATTCTTAATGATGTCCTTTGAAGCACAAAAGCTTTTAATTTGATTTAGTCCAATTTATCAATATTTTCTTTTATGGATCTTGCTTTTGATGTCATTTTAAGAAGTCTTTGTCCAACTCCAGTTACAAAGATTTTCTTGTTTTCTTTTAGATGTTTTTACATTGAAGTCTGTGATCCATTTTGAGTTAATTTTTGTGTATGCTATGAAACAAGGGTCTAAGTTCTTTTTGTTTTTATGTGACTATCATGCTGTCCTAGCACCATATACAGACTTTCCTCAATTTACATGGGTTACATCCCAATAAACCCATCATAAGTTGAAAGTATCAGTAAGTCAAAAACACATTTAATACACCTAGCCTATTGAACATCATAGCATAGCATAGCCTACTTTAAATGTGCTCAGAACACTTACATTAGCCTACAGTTGGGCAAAATCATCTAACACAAAGCAAATTTTATATAAATAACATTTTCTATATAATATACATATATTATGAGCTGGGCACAGTGGTTCACACTTGTAGTCCTAGCTCCTTGAGAGGCTGAGGCAGTAGGATTACCTGAAGCCATGAGTTTGAGACCATCTGGGCAACAAAGCAAGACTCTGTCTCTTAAAAAAAAAAGATATATATATATATCATTTTTGGGGGAGGATCTCTTGAGGCCAGGAGTTCAATACCAGCCTGGGCAATATGGCGAGACTGCCTTTCTACAACAAAAAAATTCAAAAAGTAGCCAGGCATGGTGGTCTATGCCTCTAGTCTCAGCTACTCAGGAGGCTAAGGTGGGAGAATGCTTGAGCCCAGGAGGTCAGGCTGTAGTGGGCACCACTGCACTTCAGCCTGGGTGACAGAGAGACACCCTGTCTCAAAAAAAAAGGAAACCAAAATAGAATGGTTGTATGGATACTCGCCATTAATGTACACAGCTGAAAGCACCATAGTAAAGTCAAAAAACTGTAACTTGAACCATGGTAAGTTGGGGACTGTATTGGCAAGACCATCCTTTTCTCACTGAATTGTCTAGGCACCTTTGTTGAAAGTGAATTGACCATAAGTGTAAAAGTTTACTTCTAGATCCTCAATTCTGTTCCAATAATCTATATGTGTATCTTTATATCACTGTCATACCGTCTTATAATTGTGGCTTTGCAGTAAGTTTCAAAATCAGATAGTGGAAGTCTTCCAACTTTGTTCTTCTTTTCTAAAATTGAATTATTTGCAATTTTGCTAAATTTTAAACTCAGCTTGTCAATGTCTACGTAAAAGTATGCATGGACTTTTAAAAGGATTACATTAAAATTTTCTTTAAATTTTTTTTTTCTTGTAGAGATGAGGTCTCACTTTGTTGCCCAGGCTGGTCTCCTACTCCTAGACTGAAGCAATCCTTCTGCCTCAGCCTCCCAAAGTGTTGAGATTACAGGAATGAGCCACTGCACCCAACCCAAAACTGTTAATTAATTTAGAAAGAATTGCCATCTTAACAATATTGAGTCTTCCAATCCATTAATATGGAATATCTATTATTTATTTTAAAATTTATCTCAGCAATGTTCTTTGTTTTTCAGTGTACAAGAATTGCACTTTCATTAAATTTATGCTTAAATATGGCCGGGCGTGGTGGCTCACACCTGTAATCCCAGCACTTTGGGAGGCCAAGGCGGGTGGATCACCTGAAGTCAGGAGTTTGAGACCAGCCTGCCCAACGTGGCGAAACCCTGTCTCTACTAAAAATACAAAAAATTAGCTGGGCGTGGTGGTGGGCGCCTGTAATCCCAGCTACTCGGGAGGCTGAAGCAGGAGAATCGCTTGAACCCAGGAGGCAGAGGTTGCAGTGAGTTGAGATCGGGCCACTGCACTCCAGCCTGGGTGACAAGAGCGAAACTCTGTCTCTAAAAAAAAAAAAAAAAAAAAAAAAAAAATTGTGCCTAAATATTATATTATTTTTAATGTCATTGTGAATGGAATTTTCCTTTTTACAGCTTTATTGAAGTATTACTCATGTACACAAAATTGCACACAATTAATGTATACAATTTTTTCTCAATATGGGCAAATGTTTTATTCATATATTATATAAAGTTCATTATGCCAATTTATCAGGTACTAATCATTAAACAAAAATTTTTTTAATTTTTTTTTTTTTTTGAGACATGGTCTTGCTCTGTTGCCCAGGCTGGAGTGCAGTGGTGCGATCTCGGTTCACTGCAACCTCTGCCTCCTGGGTTCAAGCAATTCTCCTGCCTCAGCCTCCTGAGTAGCTGGGATTACAGATGCATGCCACTATGCCAGGCTAATTTTTTTTTATTTTTAGCAGAGATGGGGTTTCACTATGTTGGCTAGTCTGGTCTCGAACTCCTGACCTCAAGTGATCTGCCCATGTCAGGCTCCCAAAGTGCTGGGATTACAGGCATGAGCCACCACCCCTGGTCCCCCAAATTTTTTTTAACTTATAAGTGTACTTAAAATTTCTTTTTATTTTAAAAGCATGTCATCCTTGCATAGGGGCCAAGCTAATCTTCTCTGTATCGTTCCAATTTTAGCATATGTGCTGAAGTGAGCACAACAAATTTTTTAATAGATAAGAAATATTGTATACATTTATTGTGTACATGTTGTTTTGAAATATGTAAACACTATGGAAAGACAAATCAAGCTAATTAATATATGCATTACCTCAAATACTTATCTTTTTTTGTGGTGAGAACACTTAAAATCTACTGTCTTAGCAATTTTCAACAACACATTATTATTAACTATAGTCACCATGTTGAACTTATTCCTACTATCACAGGAATAAGTATCCTTTGATCAACATTTCCATCCCCTACTCTCTCTTGCAAGCTCCTGGTGGCCACCATTCTACTCTCCGAGTTCAAGTTTTTTTAGATTCCACATATAAGTGAGATCATGTGATATCTGTCTTTCTGTGCCTGGCTTATTTCACTTAATATAATGTCCTCCAGGTTCATCCATGTTGTCAAAAATGACAGAATCTCTTCCTTTTTAAGGCTGAATAGTATTACATTGTGTATATACACCACATTTTCTTTATCCATTAACCCACTGATGGACACTTAGGTTGATTCCATATCTTGGTTATTGTGAATAATGCCACAATGAACATTATTGTGGTTCATTGGTGCAGGTATCTCTTCAAGATCCTGATTCAATTCTTTCAGATATATATATCCAGCAGTGGGATTGTTAGATCATGTAACAGTTTTATTTTTAGTTTCTTGAGGAACTTCCATACTGTCTTCCATAGTGGCAGCACCATTTTTAATCTCCACCAAATGTGTACAAGCATTCCAATTTCCCTATATGCTTGCCAATATTTACCTTTTTTTCTTTTGATAATAGCCATCCTAACGTGTGAGGTGATATCTCACCGTGGTTTTGATCTGTATTTCCCTGATGATTAGTGATTTTGAGCACTTTTTTTTTTTTTTTTTTTTTTTTTTTTGAGATGGAGTCTTGTTCTTGTTGCCCAGGCTGGGGTGCAATGGCGCGATCTTGGCTCACTGCAACCTCCACCTCCTGGGTTCAAGTGGTTATCCTGCCTCAGCCTCCCGAGTAGCTGGGATTATAGGCACGTGCCACCACACCTGGCTAATTTTTTGTATTTTTTTTTTAGTAGAGACAGGGCTTCACTTTGTTGACCAGGTTGGTCTTGAATTCCTGACCTCAGGTGATCTGCCAGCCTCGGCCTCCCAAAGAGCTGGGATTACAGGCGTGAGCCACCACACCCGGCCTTAAGCACCTTTTCATATACTTGTTGGTTATTTGTATGTCTTCTTTAGAAAAATATCTATTCAAGTCCTTTGCCCATTTTTTAATTGGGTTATTTAGGGGTTTTTTGGATATTGATTTGTAAGAGTTCCTTATATATTTTAGACATTAACCCCTTATCAGATACATGGTTTGCAAATATTTTCTTCCCTGGAATTGTTTTCTTAATTTCATTAGTGAATTATTCATTTATTTATTTATTGAGAGGGTCTCACTCTGTCACCCAAGTGAAGTACAGCAGCGCAAATGCAGCTCACTGCGGCCTCGACCTGCTGGGCTCAAGTGAATCTCCCACCTCAGCCTCCCAAGTAGCTGGGACCACAGGTGTACACCACCACCCCCAGCTAATTTTTTTATTTTTGGTAGAGACAGGGTCTTGCCATATTGCCCAGGCTGCTCTCAAACTTCTGGGCTCAAGCAATCCTCCTGCCTCTGCCTCCCAAAGTGTTGGGATTACAAGTGTTAGCCACCATGCCAGGCTAGGGCTGAATAAATTAATGAGAGAATAAAAAGAGTGTTTTCATGTTTCTTACATGGATGAACTTTAAGTTTTTTAAGTTTTCTCTCATCCTTGTTTTATTTATTTATTTGTTTGTTTGTTTGAGACAGGGTCTCACTCTGTTGTCCAGGCTGGAGCACTCTGGTGCCATCACAGCTCAAACAGCCTTAACCTCCTAGGCTCCAGTGATCCTCCCACTTTAGCCTCCAGAGTAGCTGGGACTACAGACATGGGCCACCATGCCCAGCTAATTTTTTATTTTTTGTAGAGATGAGATCTTGCTATGTTGCCCAGGCTGGTCTCCAACTCCTGGACTCAAGTGATTCTCCCGCCTCAGCCTCACAAAGTGTTGGAATCACAGGTGTGAGCCACCACACCCAGACTGTATATTTATTTTCAAATATAATCATTTTGATAGCAGGGATATCTTCTTATTCAGCTTTGCATTTATGGCAAATAGTAGGCAACTTAATAAATTTGTTGAAGAAATGGAATATAGCAAAACTTTGAATTAGCCATTTATATTAAAAGGGAAAAGAGACCAGCCTGGGTAATGTAGTGAGACCCCATCTCTACAAAAAAATTAAAAAATTAGCCGAGCATGGTGGTACACACCTGTAGTCCCAGCTACTCAAGGGGCTGAGGTAGGAGGATTGCTTGAGGACAAGAGTTTAAGGTTGTAGTGAGCTATGATTGCACCATTGCATTCCATCTGGAGTGACATGGAGAGACCCTGTGACCACCCCCCAGAAAAAAGGGAAAGAAGAGAGCATTACTTTTTTCTTTTCTTTTCTTTCAGACAGTCTCACTCTGTCACCCAGGCTGGAGTACAGTGGTACAATCTCGGCTCACTGTAACCTCTGCCTCCCAGGTTCAAGTAATTCTCCTGCCTCAGCCTTCTGAGTAGCTGAGATTACAAGCGTGCGCCACCACGCCTGGCTAATTTTGTATTTTTAGTAGAGACAGGGTTTTACCATGCTGGCCAGGCTGGTCTTGAACTCCCAACTTCAAGTGATCCATCCGCTTCAGCCTCCCAAAGTGTTGTGATCACAGTTGTGAGCCACCACGTCCAGCCAGCATTACTTTTTTCAAGGGTTAAGAACATGCCTTTAAATATCTTGATAACTTGCTTGAGTGAATCATCGTATAAAGTTTTGCACATAGTTGTTCATCAACTGCTAAGTAAGAGGACGCTCATACCACAAACTCTGAGTACTTGCTCCAAAGAACTTCACAGCAAAAGAGCTACAATGTGCTAAGTAATTAATGATTTTATATTTATCCTACAACTTGCTGCTTCTCAAATGTCTAACTATATCTCTAAACTCATGCCTAGCGGATTAATTTAATGAGTAAAATCAAAGGCAACTGAAAATAACAGTTGGCTGGGCACAGTGGCACAGTGGCTCATGCCTGTAATCCCAACACTTTGGAAGGCAGGTGGGAGTATTGCTTGAGCCCAAGAGTTCGAGACTGGCCTGGGAAACATGGCAAAACTCCGCTTCTACAAAAAACTTGAAAAACTAGCCAGGTGTGGTGGTGCACACCTGGGGTTCCACCTACTCCAAAGGCTGAGGTGGGAAGATTACTTGAGTCTGCGTGGTCAAGGCTGCGGTGAGCTGTGATTGTGCCACTGCACTCTAGCCTGGGCAACAGAGTGAGAATCTATCTCAAAAAAAAAAAAAAAAAAAAAAAAAAGAAAGAAAGCGAAAAGAAAGAAAATTACAGTTTAGGAATATAATCCTATGAGTAAGAAGAGCTTCCAAATATACCTTCTATTTAAGATAAAATGAAATTTTATCCTGTTTTATTTAAAAGCTAAAGAGAAGTCAGGCATGATGGTTCATGCCTATAATCCCAACATTTTGGGAGGTAGAGGCAGCAGTATTGCTTGAGCCCAGGAGTTCAAGACCAGCCTGGGCAACGTAGTGAGATTTCATGTCTATAGAAAATATAAAAATTAGCCGGGCGTGGTGATATGCGCCTGTGGTTCCAGCTACTCAAAGGCTGAGGTGGGAGGATCACTTGAGCCCAGAAGGTCGAGGCTGCCATGAGTCGTGATCATGCTACTGCACTCCAGCCTGGGTGACAGACTGAGACTCCATCTCAAATAGATAAATAAATAATAAAAGCTAACGAGCAAAAGTCTAATTCACTTGTAAGACTAATATAAAGTGCTACCATATTAAAAAGACCTCTCGCTGGGCACGGTAGCTCACTCATGTAATCCCAGTGTTTGGGGAGGCTGAGGCAGGAGGACTGCTTTGAGAAAAAATATATATTTCTAAAAGTGGTTTTTGTTTGTTTGTTTAAGAATCAGGGACTTTTCAGACTGTACAGAAAGGAGGGAAGCAGGTCTTCCCCTGGGAGGATGACTGAAAGGCCAGTGGAGAAAAGTTGTCAGCCCATTGTCAGGTCAGCATCAGGCCGTTACCGACCCTGTTGGCACTAAAAAGTAACAGATCAAGTATTCAAAATGTGAAATGTATTTATTTTGAATTCAGAAATTCAAACAACAGTGATACTGTTGTATCACATCAGTTATTCAAAACATGTGAAATCTCCAAAAAAAAGAAAAAAAATATATCAGGAACTTTTAAATCTCCAAGACAGTTTTCTGTTTTATTTGAATGAATATCCAGTGGAAAATACTGAGGAACAGATCTAAATGACTTAGGGAAAAATAAGTCATAACAGGAAAAATAACATACTAAAAAAATCCAAAATTTTGCTCAATGCTTTGCATTTTTTTCCTTATAACAAAAATCACCAAATTTTATTTCTGCTCTAAAAATATTAAAAACAAACCAAAAACTTCAGTGTTCTTCCTCGTATGTCCACTTCTCAAAGGTTTACAACTTCTCTAACAGTAAGGAAACAAAAAAAGGGACTAGTTATTAATTTCTCAATTGCATGAGACTTTGTTAGGCAAACAGTAAATTGTTACAGAAGACGGTAAATCAAATGTAGTTTCCTAGAGAGACTATTTTTCTCATGTGTCACAAACTCTACTGAACCTTTCAGGATAACTAGAAAGAACTGTTACACAGAAGAATATGTCTAATGCAAGAGAAAAGAAAGAAAAAAGAATTAAGCTGGGTGTGGTGGCTCACACCTGCAATCCCAGCACTTTGAGAGGCCAAGGCAGGCAGATTACTTGAGCACAGGCATCTGAGAGTATGCTGGGCAATACGGAGAGACCCCATCTCTCCAAAAGATAAAAGAAAATTAGCTGGGCATGGTGGCATGCACCTATAGTCTCAGCTACCCGGGAGGCTAAAGTGGGAGGATCACCGGAGCCCAGGAGTTTGAGGCTGCAATGAATCAAGATTGTGCCACTGCACTTCAGCGTCGGCGACAGTGAGACACTGTCTTAAATTTTTTTAATGTTAAAAATAGATAAATAAATAAAAATTAAACACTTCTCAAAAGACTCCCTAAAGGGCACAATTTAGTTGTTAGGGAAATGTCAAGTTTTCCATTTGTGGCTTCAAGTTTTTAAGTAACTACAACTTGAAAACATAACAAAATATACTGGAAAAAAAATTATTTTATCTTCCTTCCCAGCTATATCCGCAAAATAAAAGAAAAAGCAAACAATAAGGAGATGCAGTTGACAAGTTAGTCATCTGTAACTCACCTTCAGGAAACATAAAACGTATTTCTCTTTCCGCAGCAGCAAAGTCATTACTCCCATGAAGTGCATTCCTTAGGTCATCTGTGCCATAAATTGCCCTCAGACTAAAAACAAGTTAGAGATGACGTCCATCCAATCTAACGTCTATTCCTTACTTTATATGCATGCATTCCACTTAAGAATTTTACAAAAGCATTGCCACTTCTTACATATGAAAGCTTCACAATTTATGTCAAATTTAAGCTTAAATTTAAGCTTATCTATCTAGATAAGGATCAAATATATTTACGTCTGCAGGAGGAATACACTGAGAAAATAGGAGTTCTCTGGATAAAAACGTGGTGTTGTTTTGTGAGAAGTAAAAAAGCAATGCACATTCAAAAGTGCAAGAACTCAATATCTTCTTGTTTCCATACATTAGCAATAATGCTGAAAATTTGAATTTCTGTTCCTGTATTACCATTATTCTTTTAAAATACCATTCCAATTTTTCCATCTAAAAATCCTACTTCAGTGGCAGTTTAAAGGTTGAGAGAATAAGGGTAATCAACTATAAATCAGACATTCTCTGTTGCTTTTTCTGGTAGGTAGTATTAAAATAGACATTTAACACTTTAAAATGTAAAATGGACCCCCCAGGCCCTGCCACCCTCTGCCCCCCAAAAAAGTTGATTTTGGAAAACTTCCAAATAAAAAAAAAATTCCCATTACAATGAAATCAGATTTTTTTTTTTCATTTTCACAGATGGATTCCATTCCCTGCCATCCCCCAAACCCTGAAAATTACCTGTCTGGATGTGTCTCCTTCGCTACTAAGCTATTATTTGGTCCCAAAAGTTCTAACCAATAAGAGATGGCTTTATGTCTAGCTAATATCATGGCGACAAGTGGTCCAGAACTCATGTAAGCTGTTAAGTTGGGGAAAAACATTTTTCCATACTTTTCCACATAAAAGTTACTACATTGCTCAGGGCTGAGGCGTAGTTTTCTTCTCTATAAAAGACACAAAGTCAACAAAAGCATTTAAAATGACAGTTCAATGATAGCTCATTAAAATCATTAGTAACTTGAAACTAGTACCAATCTGATTATAACTTCAAGGTTTATCTTTGTATTATGAAGAAAGAAAAGGATATAATTAAATGTATGCTGTAAATAAGATAGTAAGAGGAATTACTTAGCCTACTTAAGAAAAATTATGGCCGGGTGCGGTGGCTCATGCCTGTAGTCCTAGCACTTTGGAAGGCCGAGGTCGGTGGATTGCCTGAGCTCAGGAGTTCGAGACCAGCCTAGGCAACACAGTGAAACCCCGTCTCTACTAAAATTCAAAAAATTAGCCGGGCGGGCGGCATGCGCCTGTAGTCCCAGCTACTCGGGAGGCTGAGGCAGAAGATTTGCTTGAACCCGGGAGGCGGAGGTTGCAGGGAGCCAAGACTGCACCACTGCACTCCAGCCCGGGCGACAGAGAAAAAGAAAAATTATTCCAGTTAGGAAGCCTCCCTCAGCATATGTTTTGTCAGTAACAAATTTATCGCATCTCCTTCTTAAAGTAAATAACACTTCAATTAACAAAACTGGACTTAAAAATATTCCAAATTCATGTTTCTCTATTTGTGTTACTATTTTGGGAGCTGGTCTCATTTTAGTACTTAGAAATAACAGCTAGGCACAGTGGCCCATGCCTATAATCCCAGCATTTTGGGAGGCCAAGGCGGAAGGATCGCTTCATCCCAGCCAGGAGTTAGAGACCAGCCTAAGCAACGCAGGAAGACTTTGTTTCTATGAAAAATTTTAAAATCAGTCGGGTGTGGTGGTGTGCGCCTGTAGTCCCCACTACATTAGAGGTGGTGAGCCATGATAACACGACTGCACTCCAGCCTGGGCGATAAAGCAGACCCTGTATCAAACAAACTAACAAAAAAAGTAACATGTAGTATAATGATGCAGTAAAAAGTTTTTCATTTGAACGTGTGTTCTTTATTCTGGTTCTGTCATAAATATCTTGATTCACTGTAACATTAAGAAAAATTAGGCCAGGCATGGTGGCTCAGGCTTGTAATCCCAACACTCTGGGAGGCCAAGACAGGCAGATCACTTGAGGTCAGGGGTTCGAGAACAGTCTGGCCAACATAGTGAAACCCCATCTCTACTAAAAATACAAAAATCAGGCCAGGCGCGGTAGCTCACGCCTGTAATCCCAGCACTTTGGGAGGCCGAGGTGGGTGGATCACCTGAGGTCAGGAGTTCGAGACTAGCCTGGTGAACATGGTGAAATCTCGTCTCTACCGAAAATACAAAAAATTAGCCAGGTGTGGTGGCACGCGCCTGTAGTCCCAGCTACTCGGAAGGCTGAGGCAGGCCAACAGCTTGAACCCGGGAGGCAGAGGTTGCAGGGAGCCAAGATTGCACCTCTCCACTCCAGCCTGGGTGACAGAGCGAGACTCCGTCTAAAAAAAAGAAAAAAGAAAAATTAGGTCGGGTGTGGTGGCTCATTCCTGTAATCCCAGCACTTTGAGAGGACAAGGCAGGTGGATCACCTGAGGTCAGGAGTTTGAGACCAGCCTAGCCAACATGGTGAAACCCCATCTTTACTAAAAATACAAAAATTAGGCCAGGCGCAGTGACTCACGCCTGTAATCCCAGCACTTTGGGAGGCCGAGGTGGGTGGATCACCTGAGGTCGGGAGTTCAAGACCAGCCTGGCCAACATGATGAAACCCCGTCTCTGCTAAAAAAAAAAAAAAAAAAAAAAAAAAATTAGCCAGCCGTGGTGGCGGGCACCTATAATCCCAGGTGCTTGGGAGGCTGAGGCAGGAGAATCACTTGAACCCGGGAGGCAGAGGTTGCAGTGAGCCAAGATCGTGTCACTGCACTCCAGCCTGGGCAACAAGAGTGAAACTCCGTCAAAAAAAAAAAATACAAAAATTAGTAAGGCGTGGTGGTGCATGTCTGTAATCCCAGCTACTCAGGAGGCTGAAGCATGAGAATTGCTTGAACCCAGGAGGCAGAAGTTGTGGTGAGCCAAGATTGAGATAGCACCATTGCACTCCAGCCTGGGTAACAGGATGAGACTCTGTCTAAAAAAAAAAAAAATTAGATGCTAGTATGTTTCTCAATCTGAAAGAGTATGAAACACTCTGGACAAATAGATGTTATTTCCTTCACAAATGAGACTATAAAAATTAATCAGGTTTAAAAAATCATGGTAGCTCAGTCTAATTTGAAACTCATGCTTTCTCTAGAAGCAGCTATTTTGAGTGCTTTTTTTTTTTTTTATTTTTTTGAAACGGAGTTTTGCTCTGTCACCCAGGCTAGATAGAGTGCAGTGGTGTGATCTTGGCTCACTGCAACCTCCACTTCCTGGATTCAAGTGATTCTCCTGCCGCAGCCTCCTGAGTAGCTGGGATTATAGGTGCCTGCCACCATGCCTGGCTAATTTTTGTATTTTTAGTAGAGACAGGTTTTTCGCTTTGTTGGCCAGGCTGCTCTTGAACTCCTGACCTCAGATGATCTGCCCACCTTGGCCTCCCAAAGTGCTGGGATTACAGGTGTGAGCCACCGCGCCCGGCCTTGAGAGCTTTTAAAAAATTATTTATTACTGCTGGCCAGGCTCGGTGGCTCATGCCTCTAATCCCAGCACTCTGGGAGACCGAGGCAGGCGGACTGCTTGAGTCCAGGAGTTCAACACCAGCCTGGGCCACACGCAGAAACCCCGTCTCTACAAAAAATACAAAAATTGGTGGTGCACACCTGTAGTCTCAGTTAATCGGGAGGCTGAGGCACGAGAATTGCTTGAACCCAGGAGGCAGAGGTTGCAGTGAGCCGAAATCATGCCATTGCACTCCAGCCTGGGCAACAGAGTGAGACTTGGTCTCAAAAGAAAAAAAAAATTATTTATTACTGCTGTTTTTTCAATTCCACTAAAGGTGGGTGAGGAGAGAAAATGCTCAAAATATAACAGAGGGATTCAAAGTAGAAATCAAAGAACCTCTGCCTGCAGTAAGGATGATGAAAAATGGAGATATGTCACTAAGTGAAGGCTAAAAATCTCCATGATTATGGCAGAAATCTGTCTTTCTAAAATGTCTTAGATTTTCCTGAGAGTAAGTGTGAATTTTACCAAGTAACTCACCTCTTAAAGCCCTTTCCAAAATTCCGTGTCTCCGCAGGCTTCAGAAACTTGGTAAAATTGCTTGGTTTGTAGCAAGGGACCAAACCGCCCAGAGCAAGAAGTTTAGGAACACGCTTACCTAGGTGGCATAGCTCTGCTATGAATAGGACCCACTGGATTCTCACCAGTGAAGGGCCAGTTACTATGAAAAAGGTGCTGACATTTGTTCTCAAATTGAAATTCATACAGCGATTAAATAAAAGATGTGAGAAATTACAAGAGCACCTGATTTAGCATAATCCTCCATTCTATTATCTAAAATTAAGACATGAAACTATGATTATGCGTATTAGCGTTTTTTTTTTTTGTTTTTTCTTGCTGAGTTTAAAAATAAAATCTCATCTGTTGTAATGTAAGCCCTTATCTGCCACTTGCCCCTTAAAAAGCAGGGGAACCTACCTTCTGCAGGTATGCCAGCCAATGTAGCACAATTTTTAAAATTAAGGGTTCATCTTTTTTTTTTTTTTTGAGACGGAGTCTCATCTCACTCTGTCCTCCAGGCTTGAGTGCAGTGGCGCGATCTCGGCTCACTGCGAGCTCCGCCTACTGGGTTCACGCCATTCTCCTGCTTCAGCCTCCGGAGTAGCTGAGACTACAGGAGCCTGCTACCACGCCCGGCTAATTTTTTTTTTTTGTATTTTTAGTAGAGACGGGGTTTCACCGTGTTAGCCAGGATGGTCTTGATCTCCTGACCTCATGATCTGCCGCCTCGGCCTCTCAAAGTGCTGGGATTACAGGCGTGAGCCACCGCGCCCGGCCTTAAGGGTTCATCTTTAAATAAAATTGATACTAAATCAATTATTCCATTGGTTGCTTTAAAACTGGATCAGGTGAAATTTTTTGAAATTAGGTTGAATAGTCTACAGCCATACCACCCTGAACACACCCGATCTCATCTGAAATTAGGTTGAATATTTTCACAGAGAAGCAGTGATACCAAGTACTATCAGAACAGAACTCTTAGTTTGTAACAAAGGCAACACTGCCATCTACTGAAATGACATATCATTTTTCAGCTTTTCCCTTAAGTGGGACAGGAAAGCCTCAAGTTCATTGGACTCCCAAGCCTATTTTAAAAGCATACAGTGCAAAGGACAAAACTTGCATAATTTCACTTAAATTAGATAGCTTGAATAGTCAAATTCCTACAGACAGCAAGTAGAATAGTGGTTATCGGGGATGGGGAAGAGGGAAGCAACGAGTTAGCATTAGGTAGAGTGTTTCAGTTTAAGATGAAAAGGTTCTAGAAATGGACAGTAGTGATGGTTGTACAACAATGTGAATGTACTTAATGCAACTGAAATGTACACTTAAAAACGGTTAAAATGGTAAATTTTATGTTGTGTATATTTTACCGCAATTAAAGCAAAAAATGAAGGATGTACCATGGCTGCCTTTGCTCTGAAAGTTACTAACTAGGGAAAGTGTCATATATATTTACATTAAATTTTTTTGTTTGTTTGTTTTTTCTGGTCTCAGTACATTGCCCAGACAATCTCAGTTCACTGCAACCTCCGCCTCCCGGGTTCAAGTGATTCTCCAGCCTTGCCTCCTGAGTAGCTGGGATTACAGGCATGCGCCACCACGCCCAGCTGATTTTTGTTTGTTTGTTTTTTGAGATGGAGTCTTGCTTTGTTGCCCAGGCTGGAGTGCAGTGGTGAAATCTCAGCTCACTGCAACCTCCGCCTCCCAGATTCAAGCGATTCTCCTGCCTCAGCCTCCTGAGTAGCTGGGATTACAGGCTCCCACCACCACGCCCGGCTAATTTTTGTGTTTTTAGTAGAAATGGGGCTTCACCATGTTGGCCAGGCTGGTCTCGAACTCCTGACCTCAGGTAATCCACCCACCTCGGCCTCTGAAAGTGCTGGGATTACAGGCATGAGCCACCGCACCCAGCCCTAATTTTGGATTTTTAGTAGAGATAAGGTTTCACCACATTGGCCAGGGTGGTCTTGAACTTTTGACCTCAGGTGATCCACCCGCCTCATCCTCCCAAAGTGCTGTGATTACAGGATTGAGCCACCACGGCCGGCTAATTTTTAATTTATAATTAACACTAGCCACTTAATTATTAAGTTTGTCACTTTTTTTTTTTTTTGAGACGGAGTCTCGCTCTGTCACCCAGGCTGGAGTGCAGTGGCGCGATCTCAGCTCACTGGAAGCTCCACCTCCCGGGTTCACGCCATTCTCCTGCCTCGTAGCTGGGACTACAGGTGCCCGCCACTGCGCCCGGCTAATTTTTTGTAGTTTTAGTAGAGACGGGGTTTCGCTGTGGTCTCAATCTCCTGACCTTGTGATCTGCCCGCCTCGGCCTCCCAAAGAGCTGGGATTACAGGCGTGAGCCACCGCGCCCGGCCGTCACTAAATATTTTTTAAAATATGGACTTTTTTGGCCGGGCATAGTGGCTCACGCCTGTAATCCCAGCATTTTGGGAGGCCGAGGCAGGTGGATCACAAGGTCAGGAGATCGAGACCATCCGGGCTAACACAGTGAAACCCCGTCTCTACTAAAAATACAAAAAGTTAGCTGGGCGTGGTGGAGGGTGCCTGTAGTCCCAGCTACTCGGGAGGCTGAGGCAGGAGAATGGCGTGAACCTGGGTGGCGGAGCTTGCCGTGAGCCGAGATTGCGCCACTGCACTCCAGCCTGGGCGACACAGAGCGAGACTCCGTCTCAAAAAAAAAAAAAAGGACTTTTTTTTCTTTTTCAAGACAGAGTCTCCCTCTGTCGCCCAGGCTGGAGTGCAATGGCACGATCTTGACTCACTGCAACCTCCGCCTCCCGGGTTCACGCCATTCTCCTGCCCCAGCCTCCCCAGTAGCTGAGATTACAGGCACGTGCCACCACACCCAGGTAATTTTCATATTTTTAGTAGAGACGGGGTTTCACCATGTTGGTCAGGCTGGTCTCCAACTCCTGACCTCAGGTGATCCACCCGCCTTGGCCTCCCAAAGTGCTGGGTTTACAGGCATGAGCCACTGCACCCGGGCAAAATACGGACTTTTAAAAAACTTAAATGGGACGCCTTTATCTGTATACTTCATTTATTTTTTCTAAAGTTAATGGGTAATATAATTACAGGATTCAAAAATTCAAAGCAAGACAAAAAGGTATATACTGAAAAATCTTATTCCTATCCATTTCCTAATCTACTCAGTTCTTCCTTGCCCTCAATAGGCAACCCTTTTTAAATGTTTATTTCCCCAGAATTCCATTTTTCAAATATTGGCAAACATGAATATATTACTTTGTCTCTATCACAAAAGGTTGGTACACATGATTTTGTGTTTTTTTTGCTATTTTGTTCTTTTTGCTACACACTTTGCTTTCTTCCGTTAACAGTACAGACAGGTTCCTCATTCTTCTATTTACAATTAGTTGCATATTATGCAATTTGATGGGTTTTCCAGAGTTTATTTAGTCCTGTCTCCCAATCTCCCAACCTGGGTTATTTTCAATCTTTTGTTGATAAGTAAACAATGCTGCAAAAAATAACCTGCATATATATCACTTCATATTAATACAGGCACCTACTGATGGGACTAAACAGGGCTCTGCGCATGACAGGTAGTAAGAGCACAAGGAATTCTATAGGACAGATTTCCAAGAGCAGAACTGCTGGATCAAATGGTAAGTCCATCTGTTGTATTGGTAGATAACTGCCAGATTCCCTTTGATAGGGGTTGTGCCATTTACTTTTATATTTTTGCCAAATGGAATCTCAGTGTAGTTTTAACTTGCTTTTTTTCCCACCTAAAGATTGAGCATCTTTTCATATATTTAAAAAATGTTTTTCCTTTTCTGTGACCATCCATCTGTTCTGCCCATTTTTCTACTAATTTATTTTTATCTTTTTCTAGGAGCTCTTTATGTATTAAGAAGACAAGCCCTTTGTCTATGAGTTGCAAATCTTTTTCCCAAGTTTGTTGTGTTTTGACTTTGCTTATGGTGTTTATTTCATTGTGCAGAAATTTTTTGTTTATATAATCTTTTTTTAAATTAAAAAAATTTTTTTTTTCGAGAGTTTCGCTCTTGTTGCCCAGGCTGGAGCACAATGGCACGATCTCGGCTCACGGCAACCTCCGCCTCCCATGTTCAAGCGATTCTCCTGCCTCAGCCTGCTGAGTAGCTGGGATTACAGGCATGCGCCCCCACGCCTGGCTAATTTTGTATTTTTTAGTAGAGATGGGGTTTCTCCATGTTGGTCAGGCTGGTCTCAAACTCCTGACCTCAGGTGATCAACTCACCTTGGCCTCCCAAAGTTTTGGGATTACAGGCATGAGCCACCGTGCCTGGCCTTGTTGATATAATCTTATCAATCTTTTCTTCCATGGCTCCTAGACCTTAAGTCATAACAAAAAAAAAAAAGGCTGTCCTACTCCAACAACAAAATAAATCCATTATCTTTTCTTCCTGAACTTACATGGTTTAATTTTTTTAATATGTAGATCTCAGGTTTATTTGGAGTTTATCCTGGTATATAATACTTGATCCAAATTTTTCAGTGGCTACCAGTTTTCCTAACATTTACTAAAAAGTTATTTACCTGAGTCTTTAATCATATTAAATACTTCCTAACACTTTCTTGTGCCATCCCTACTCTCGGACTCCACCTGTCCTTTGAAGCTCAACTGAAATTCCGTATCTTTTCTGAAGATTGATATTTTCTCTTTATTTATTTATTTATTTTTTGAGACAGATCTCCCTCTATTGCCCAGGCTGGAGTACAATGGCGTAGTCTTGGCTTACTGCAACCTCTGCCTCCTGAGTTCAAGCGATTCTCCTGCCTCAGCTTCCCAAGTAGCTGGGACTACAGGTGCACGCCACCACGCCCAGCTAATTTTTGTATTTTTCATAGAGATGGGGTTTCACCACATTGGCCAGGCTGGTCTCAAACTCCTGACCTTATGATCCACCCATCTCGGCCTCCCAAAGTGCTGGGATTACAGGCGTGAGCCACCGTACCCGCCATTTTCTCTTTATTTTTAAAAATACTGACTGAATAAGCAATATGACACTGTATAAATGGGAGAAAATAAAAAATTGGAAGTTCGAATGAGAATACTGTAAAAGAGGCGGGGTGCAGTGGCTCACACCTGTAATCCCAGCACTTTGGGAGGCCGAGGCGGGTGGATCACGAGGTCAGGAGTTCAAGACCACCCTGGCCAACATGGTAAAACCCCGTCTCTACTAAAAATACAAACATTAGCTGGACATGGTGGTGCATGCCTGTAATCCCAGCTACTCAGGAGGCTGAGGCAGGAGAATTGCTTGAACCGGGACCTGGAAGGCAGAGGTTGCAGTGAGCCGAGATCGTACCACTGCACTCCAGTCTGGGCTACAGAGGGAGACTCTGTCTCAAAAAAAAGAAAAAAAAACTATAAAAGAGGAAGATTAAAAATATTCAATTCTATTTGATTTATCCTTAACAATGCTATTTATATTCACTTTCAAACCCCTAGAATGACAATGTTTACTAATTGCAGAACATAAGGCTTAAAACATTAAATGTTATGCCATAACTGAAAAAAGTACCAATAGCCTAAAATTCCATCAATAGAAGATCAAGTAAATAAATTGTAGTTCTAATACACAGGGAAATATTACACAGAAATTAGGAAGAGTGAGATCAATTCAGATGCAATGATCTGGAATCCTATCTGAGGGACTCTGTAAAGGGGTCAAGGGAAAGGGACTGTTCTGTTTTATGGGGGGAAAATGTTTATAAATGCATAGAAAACTCCTGGAAGAACAGAAAGTGTTAAGTGGTTGCCTCTCTCTGGAGCCTGGGACTTGGGGTAAAAGAGGACAGGTGAAGGAAAAGTCCATTTTATTTCTCATTTTACATCCTTTTAAAAACTATCACATATAACTTTTATACTTAGAAGAATAAACTTAAATTTAATGCTGAACACTAAGGGTTTAAATGGGTAGGCACATTTACATAAGCATTTTTTTTTTAAGGGCAGAGAGGAAAAAAGCATGAATCATCATACCCAGAAGTTACCTGAACAATGGTGAATCCGGATCTAAGAATAATATCTTGTATCTCCTCCTCTTTGTCAACAATATCTGGTTTGATAATGGCCAGAGTTTTTTCTACATATATCTGAGGTGGAGGCATTGATATCTCCATTATGGCTTTTCAGGGCACAAATTAAGAGTTTCTTAACAGGTATCAACTGCAATGACATGCATTTCCCCCCACCCCCATCGCAAATTCAATGTAATTATGATTAAGAATAGCAATAGTAGGTACTTGATTTTATTAACTGATGAAGGTAGAAACTGCCATGTTTTTCTATATACAGGGTCTCAATAATAGGATTCCTACTATGTCCAAATCGAGCCCCGGCTTTTCGTATACGATGTCACCAAGGCAGGAAGGACTATGGGCTCACATAACCAGAGGCCAAGGGGCGACCCGAAGGCCTGGAACCAGCAACAGCCCCAGGCAGCAGAGGGCGGTGGGGCGGGTGGTGGGGGCTCGAGGGGGCGGTAGAGCGGGTGGTGGGGGCTCGAGGGGACGGTGGCTGGTGGGCAACCACACACCATTACAGCGGCGGGTGAGCGGCCTCGGCCAGCTGCCTCTGTGAAGCGACCCTGTCCCGCAGGGACCTCTCTGTGCATAGGGTCAGGCTAATTGAAAAGCAGGGCCTCTAGGTCCGCGGGGACTTTCCGGGTTGCACCTGCAAATTCTGAATTTGACCCTCTCTAAGTACTCACCTCAGCGGCCGTCCTCATATGGTACAACTTGTTGCTAGGAGACCTGAAGCCCCAGCGTGGGGACGGTGGCTGCAGAGAGCCAATCCCAGCAAGGAACCTTGCAGCTTCTGGCCAGTTCGTTTTAACCAAAGGGAGCCAGCCAGTCACTTTTATTCTCCTTGTGAATCTTAGAGCACTAGATGTTTTCTGACATTTTACTCATAATTTATCTTATTTCATCCTTCTTCCCGTTTGAAGGATGCTTCAATTATCCCTACTCTATAAATGATAAGAACCCCTCCCCCAACCATTCCTTTCCAGGCGGTATATGTAAATGACCCGTGTCAGATACCTTCGTTTCACCAGATGATGCTGTGCCCTCTATGCCCAGCTTATCTAGTCATTAAAAAGCAATATTCCTATTGTGTAAATACATTTATTTATAGAGTAAAAGGCTTAGAAAAGATCTAATGGAATTGTCTTTAAATCAAGCCGATGGAACAAAGATGTGGGCAACATTTATGGCATAAATCCAAACCTCAGCTTCCCCTTTTTTTCTTTATATTATGTCCACATGCATCTTTGACTCGTTGGTTGTGAGTTAAGGTATTATTCTTGTTGGAAAAGAAAATGAGGACATGGCAAAGAAGTACCAGGATCCTCTCTAGGTCAGAGTTCCGGGAGAGATTCAAACTCTAGAAAAAGTCAGGATAGCAGCTCCAGGTTAGAAAACAGGTTTTCCATCATCCACTGGGTTAGCTGGTTCTCCTTCCAGACTACTTGAGCCTTTTCTTTTGTCTAACCAGATATTCAGTACCTAAAGGGTTAAGGAACACATAGCAAGCTATTATGAACCTTAAACACTAAAGTATTGCAAGTTTATTTTTTTGGCAAATAGACTCAACTATACTTTTTTCTTTAAAGTATGATGCTACCCAGAAAAGAAACCCACAAATGTCTTCTAGCTACTATATCTTATCCCCTAAAGATGGGAAAGTGTGAACGTACATTAATAACAACAGATGAAGCAACCAAAAAATACACAGTGACTCCAGCCTCTTTGGAGTTTAGCCCTTGACTTGAGGCTCTGGAAGCGGGAATTCCCATTACTTGTCTATCCTCAGCTCTCTTGAGAGCTCTTCACTGCTGCCTGCATTCCTAGACTACTTCACTATCAGAGCTGGACTTACTGAGGCTCAGGGTTTTCCAAACCAGCAGGCACATTATCAATCCTTCAGGGCCTTAATCACCTTTAAAAATAAACTCTGAGAACACAGTCACCTCGAAATCACCTTTATTCTCATAGGCGTTCTGAAATCAAGATTCCAGAGGCTACAGGTATCTGCATACAGTACCTGAATCTGCTCCAGGACTTCTTGCCGCATCTCCACAGCCATATGGTATACATGATGATCAGAGTCATTGTACATTACAGCATTTTGGAACATCAGCATCAGGTCTCGCAGGAATTGGGCCATGGTGCGAATCCGACCCTTAGAGAGATTTCTCTTCAGGCTAGTTAAGTCCATGGGTCTGCAGGTGGCCAAGAAAAAACAAAGAAAATCAAACCTTCATGTGGAACATATGATAACCTAACACGTTCTCTTGAAGAACTAACCAGTTCTTAATGAAAACAGTAGCAAAGATAACAACCCTCATCAGATAATAAAATAGCAACAGCAGTTAATATTTGCCTGTTTACAATGGGCCAAACACTGTATTTCTATACTAACTCACTTAATCCTCTCAATAAACCTGTAAGGTAGGTATCATTAATATCTCATTTTTTTTTTTTTTGAGTCGGAGTTTCACTCTTGTTGCCCAGGCCGGAGTGCAATGGAGCAATCTCAGCTCACTGCAACTTCCACCTTCCAGGTTCAAGCAATTCCCCTGTCTCAGCCTCCAGAATAGCTGGGATTACAGGCGTGCGCCATCATGCCCAGCTAATTTTTGTATTTTTAGTAGAGATAGGGTTTCACCATGTTGGTCAGGCTAGTCTCGAACTCCTAGCCTCAGGGGATCCACCTTCCTTGGCCTCCCAAAGTACTGGGATTACAAGTGTGAGCCACCGCCCCCGGCCTTATTATCTCCATTTCACAGATGAAGAAATTGAAATCTAAAGAGGTTAAGTACTCACTGAAAGGCACACAGCCTGAATTCCAATTCAGAGGCAGCCTGACTCCAGAGCCCACAGGTCAAGCCACTATATTCTACTATCAGAGGAGGAGTGCTGGCCCCAGGTATCAAAGTTGTAAAGAGCACCAATCATCAGTTTATCACACAGTAGTTATTTGCTGTTTACAATGTATAGTCATATATTATTTCATCTACTTCTCTTACTGCACAAATAAAAAGCTAAGAATAATTTTTTTCTCCTTTCATGGAGATGAAAAAAGGATCAAGTGAATATTAAGACAATATTAATGAGACACAGAAAGTAGATATATAAGAGAAGGCACAGCAGTGTAGAAAGAAGACTGAACTGCAGGTAAGAATCTGGGGCTTAGTTCTAGCTCTGCTATTAACTGTTGGTTGATCACGAGCAAGTCATGACCAAGCACCTCTGAGCTTTAGTTTCCTCATTCCTAAAGAAGTTTGTCTCTGCTGTTTGAATGATGGTATCATTGTCTCTGCTGTTTGAATGATGGTATCCCCTCCAAAATTCATGTTGAAACTTAATCCCAAGTGCAACAGTATTAAGAGGTGGAGCCTTTGGGAGGTAATTAATTCATGAGTGCTCTGCCTTCATGAATGGGATTAGCATCCTTATAAAAGGGCTCCATATCGAAGAGAGTGCCCTCTTATCCTTCTGTCCCTTCTGCCATGTGAGGATACAGCATTCGTCCCCTCTGCAGAATACAACAACAAGGCATCATCTTAGAAGCAGAAGCAGAGAGTAACCCACCTCACACACCAAAACTACCAATGCCTTGATCTTGCACTTCCCAGCCTCCAGAACCAAAACAAAGAAACATAGATTTCTATTATTTATAAATTATCCAGCCTGTGGTATTGTGCTATAGCAGCACAGACTAGTGACTCTCCAAAGGTCCTATCATGATCTTTTACATTCTATTACCATACAGGTTTATGACAGCATTTTAGATGACCTATGCTATAAAAACCCAAAATAGGCCGAGCACAGTGGTTCAAGCCTGTAATCCCAGCACTTTGGGAGGCCGAGGCAGGCGGATCACGAGGTCAAGAGATTGAGACCATCCTGGCCAACATAGTGAAACCCTGTCTCTACTAAAAATACAAAAATTAGCTGGGCGTGGTGACGTGTGCCTGTGGTTCCAGCTACTCAGGAGGCTGAGGCAGGAGAATCACTTGAACCCGGGAGGCGGAGGTTGCAGTGAGCCGAGATCTCATCACTGCACTCCAGCCTGGTGACAGAGCAAGACTGTCTCAAAAAAAAAAAAAAAAAAAAATCCAAAATAGGCTAGGATTACCTGCCTGTAATCCCAGCATTTTGGAAGGCTGAGGTGGGAGGATTGCTTGAGACTACGAGCTTAAGACCAACCTGGGCAATCTAGTGAGACCCCATATCTACAAAAAATTTAAAAATTCCTCCTCAGTGATATTCTGAAGAAAAATAAAGTTATTAATAACATTTCAAACAAAGAAAATATTTTATTATAATAAAAATATCAGGCCAGGCACAGTGGCTCACACCTGTAATCCCAGCACTTTGGGAGGCTGAGGTGGGTGAACTGCATGAGCCCAGGAGTCTGAGACAAGCCTGGGCACCATGGTGAAACTCTATCTCTATAAAAAATACAAAAATTAGCCGGGCATGGTGGCACACACCTCTAGACCCAGTTATTAGGGAGGCTGAGGTGGAAGGATTGCTTGAACCTGGGCAGTTGAGGCTCAGTTATCCAAGAAATGTGCCACTGCACTCCAGCCTGAGCAACAGAGTGAGACCTGTCTCAAAAAATAATAGTAAGTAAAAATTTAAAAAATAATAAATTTAAAAATTAGCTAAGTGCAGTGGCACATGCCTGTAGTCCCAGCTACTCCGGAGGCTGAAGTGGGAAGATTGCTTGAGCCCAGGAGGTCAAGGCTGCAGTGAACCATGATTGCACCACTGCACTCCAGCAACAGAGTGAGACCCTGTCTCAAAAAAATTTTTTTAAATAAAAAATAAAAATAAAATCCCAAAATACTGAGAGGTGAAGCTGGCTGGGCTTCTGGGTTGGGTGGGACTTGGAGAACTTTTCTGTCTAGCTAAAGGATTGTAAACACACCAATCAGTGCTCTGTATCTAGCTAAAGGTTTGTAAACACACCAATCAGCACTCTGTAAAAACGCACCAATCAGCGCTCTGTGTCTAGCTAAACATTTGTAAATGCACCAATCAGCGCTCTGTGTCTAGCTAAAGCTTTGTAAATGCACCAATCAGCACTCTGTAAAAACGCACCAAAAAAGGTTTGTAAACGCACCAATCAGCACTCTATAAAAATGGACCAATCAGCACTCTGTAAAATGGACCAATCAGTACTATGTAAAATGGACAAATCAGCAGGATGTGGAGGAGGCCAAATAAGGGAATAAAAGCTGGCCCCTCAAGGCAGCAGTGGCAACCCGCTGGAGTCCCCTTCCACACTGTGGAGGCTTTGTTCTTTCACTCCGCAATAAATCTTGCTGCTCCTCACTCTTTGGGTCCGCACTACCTTTATGAACTGTAACACTCACCGTGAAGGTCAGCCGCTTCGCTCCTGAAGCCAGCAAGACCACGAACCCAACAAGAGGAATAAACAACTCCGGATGTACCACCTTTAAGAGCTGTAACACTCACCGCCAAGGTCTGCAGCTTCACTCCTGAAGCCAGCGAGACCACCAACCCACTGGGAGGAACGAACAACTCCAGAGGCGCCACCTTTAAGAGCTGTAACACTCGCTGTGAAGGTCTGCAGCTTCACTCCTGAACTCAGCGAGACCACAAACCCACCGGGAGGAAGAAACTCCGGACACATCTGAACATCCGAAGGAACAAACTCTGGACACACCATCTTTAAGAACTGTAACACCACGAGAGTCTGCAGCTTCATTCCTGAAGTCAGCGAGACCAAGAACCCACCGGAAGGAACCAATTCCGGACACAATACTACAATCAACCAATGTTCATAACTTCCATTTGGATCGACATCTGTGCCTTACTATACCTATAACTAACTGAATAAATACAGGGTTCCTTTTAAAGTTTTGCTCCAAAAGAATAGTGTCAAAAACAACCAAAGGCTAATTTAAGATTATAATTAATGATCAGGCTGGACACCAAGGCTCACACCTATAATCCCAGCCTTTGGAAGGCCTAGGCAGGTGGATTGCTTGAGCTCAGGAGTTCAAGACCAGCCTGGGCAACATGGCAAAGCTCCGTTTCTACAAAAAATACAAATATTAGCCGGACGTGATGGCTCATGCTTGTAGTCTTAGCTACTTGGGAGGCTGAGGCTGGAGAATAGCTGAGCCTGGGAAGAGGATGTTGCAGTGAGCCAAGACTGTACCACTGCACTCCAGCCTGGGCAACAGAGTGAGACCCTGTCAAAAAAAAAAAAAAAAAAAAATATATATATATATAGAATGGATCATATTACTTAAAAGTCAATAGTACAAAATAAAAAGCCTATATCATCCTTTTGTTCCCTGCATTCCTTCTTAAATGAAGATATGATACTGAGCTCATCATAACTTTATAAACTTGTTTGGCTATGAAACATATCTTGAGTTTGTAAGTTATAAAAATAATCTAACAGATGGGAAATAAAAAATGAAAAGGCAGATATAAAAGCAACCAACCTTTCTTGACCCCTTTTTCACTGACCTTTTCACCACATCCTTGTACCCTGGGGCCTGCCTTTCTGACACAGGCTTCAGAAATGGACTGCTGAACCTGTTAAGGGACAAACCCAGAGAGGATAAAGAAACCCTGGCAAGGCACTCTGAAGGAGAAGAGTAGCTCAGTTCTTAGTAGACTTCCTTTAGGGGAATGCAGACTGTCAGCACCATTAGGAAAAAATCTATTTGTTCCCTCTTGCCAGAGAGTTAAAAAAAACACAAAACTATAAAATATTTCACTATTATTACAATATACTGATTTAGGGCTCAGAAATTTGTTCAAAGTTCCCAAGGCCCTGTCTCTGTGAAAAAAGAGAATCCACCAGATTGAAAAGAAGAATATACATTTTAAATATAAATTTTATCATGTAGTAGGAACCAATTTCTAGAGGCAACTCAAATGGCACAGCAACTATTTCTTGTACAGACTTGTGAAAGCAGCTGTGGGTACTTTGGGATAAATCGGGCTTAGATACAGAATCTACCTTTCAACTATGGCTCATTTGAGGGATGAACATATCTCCTTTTATGCTTAAACCCCAATATGTATTACTGCTTCAGCTCTGAACATAATCCTATTACCACTTTGGAGACCTACCTGTGACTGGCAATCATCTTCCAGACTGGCAGGAGAGTCTTCTTAAATAGCAAATGATCCTGAACAGGGTCATCCTGGCTTAGATCAGTCCTATGAGGATAAAACATGAAGAAAAGAGACAGTAACTTCACAAATAATATTCTATCTCCCCCAGGTGGGTAATGAGGTTTTCTTAAGACATGCTCCTAATTAATATCTGAAGCTTTTTATCTCCCCTTATCTGGCCAAGCAGACTTAGTTATTAATATCTATTGTTTTCTCTTTTAATTTTTTAATTTTATTTTTCTGAGACAGAGTCTTGCTCTGTTGCCCAGGCTGGAGTGCAGTGGCATGATCTCAGCTCACTGCAACCTCTGCCTCCCGGGTTCCAGCGATTCTCCTGCCTCAGCCTCCCAAGTAGCTGGGACTAAAGTTGCATACCACCACACCCAACTAATTTTTGTATTTTCCATAGAGACGGGGTTTTGCCATGTTGGCCAGGCTGGTCTCAAACTCCTGGCCTTAAGTGATCCACCCGCCTCAGCCTCCCAAAGTGCTGGGATTACAGGCATGAACCACCATGCCCAGCCAATTTTTTTTTTTTTTGAGACAGGGTCTTGCTCTGTTGCCCAGGCTGGAGTGCAGTAGTGTGATCGTGGCTTACTGCAGCCTCAACCTGCTGGGCTCAAGCGATCCTCCTGCCTCAGCCTCCCAAGTAGCTGGGACTCCAGGCACATGCCACCACGCCCTGCAGCTAATTTCTGTATTTGTTGTAGAGACAAGGTCCCACTACGTTGCCCAGGCTGGATATCTACTGCTTTCTAATAAAGATTTCATATTTAATCTAAATTGTAAGGTAAGAATGTGGAATTTACCATCCAAGACTATGAACTGTCATGAGATAAGATGTCTCAGATTGGGCCCGGTGTGGTGGCTCACGCCTGTAATCCCAGCACTTTGGGAGGCCGAGGCAGGCGGATCACAAGGTCAGGAGATTGAGACCATCCTGGCTAACACGGTGAAACCCCGTTTCTACTAAAAATACACAAAAAATTAGCTGGGCGTGGTGGCGGGTGCCTGTAGTCCCAGCTACTTGGGAGGCTGAGGCAGGAGAATGGTGTGAACCTAGGAGGCAGAGCTTGCAGTGAGCCGAGATCACGCCACTGCACTGCAGCCTGGGCGACCGAGCGAAACTCCGTCTCAAAAAAAAAAAAAAAAAAAAAAAGTCTCAGATTGCAGATTTCCTGCTGTTTGTACAGTCACAGTATGTCATCTCTGCACTCTATTGCTCATACTTAAGGAGTTAAAGAAAAGCAAATGAAGGCATTCCTCACCAATCTACATTTTAAACTGTATCCTATTTGTGTACCAAAAATTGAAATCTAGGCTGGGCACAGTGGCTCAGGCTTATAATCCCAGTACTTTGGGAGGCTGAGGTGGGATTGCTTGAAGCCAGGAGTTCAAGACCCAGCTTGGGCAACAAAGCAAGACCCTGTCTCTATGAGAAAAAAAAGAAATCTGCTCTTCAAAAAATATATATATATATATATTCATATATAAATATATGCATGGTTCAGCTGTATATCTTAAACAAAAAAACACTAGAATAATTATTAGTTTTACCTTTCCACAGACAACTGGGTGGATCTGGGATATACTGAAGAAAAAAAAAACAGTTCATACTATATTCTCTCAACAGATGGATCTGACACAGGCTGGAAAAAGAACAATTTATTTATTACCATAACAAAAATAACTTTGCTGGACGTAGTGGCTCATGCCTATAATCTCAGCACTTTGAAAGGCTGAGGCAGGAGAATCACTTGAGGCCAGGAGTCACAGATAAAAACAACTTTGTTTTTCTGCTTTAAAAAGTAATTCACTTCATGCCAGATGCAGTAGTTCATGCCTATAATCCCAGGACTTTGGGAGGCCAAGGCAGGGGATCGCTTGAGTCCAGGAGTTTGAGACCAGTCTGGTCAATGTGATGAAACCCTGTCTCTAACAAAAATACAAAAAAATCAGCTGGTTGTGGTGGTGCACATCTGTGTTCCCAGCTATTCATGAGGCTGAGGTGAGAGGATCACCTGAGCCCAGGAGGCGGAGGCTGAAGTGAGCCAAGATCATGCCATTGCACTCTAACTTGGGCAACAGAGTGAGATCCTATCTCAAAAAAAAAAATTAATATTTTTTTGGTTTCCTGTTAAAAAAAAACAGCCCCCATTAAGATTTGAAAATGTGTTATTTAGTCCTATAATTATCTATACAAAGATGAGACAATTGCATAAACCAGGGGTGTCCAATCTTTTGGCTTCCCTGGGCCACACTGGAGGAAGAAGAAGAATTGTCTTGGACCACACATAAAATACACTAACAATAGCTGATGAGCTGGAAAAAAAAAAAAAAAAAGAAAAAAAAAAGGGAAAAAAAAAGGGTCAGTGCATAAATCTCATAATGTTTTAAGAATTTGTGTTTGGCCACATTCAAAGCTGTCCTGGGCTGCAGGCTAGGGATTAGACAAGCTTGACATAAACAATCCCCTAAGAGATGTGAAAAAGAAACAAAGATCACAAACTTCAAAATAATTTTTTTCTTCTCTTTTATTTCTTGTTTTGTTTTCTGAGACAGGGTCTTGCTCTGTCACCCAGGCTGTGTAGTGACATGATCATAGCTCACTGTAACCTTCACCTCCCAAGTTCAAGCAGTCCTCCTGCCTTGGCCTCCTGTGTAGCTAGGACTACAGGTGCATGCCCCCACACCCAATAAATTTTGTTTATTTTTTGTAAAGATGAGGTTTCACTATATTGCCCAGGCTAGTCTCAAAATCCTGAGCTCAAGCAATCCTCCTGCCTCTGCCTCCCAAAGTGCTGAGATTACAGGTGTGAGCCACTGCGCCTGGCCTAATTTTTTCTTTAAAAAAAAATTTTTTTATCCTCTTCCTTGTCTCCATCAAAATAATTTTCCATTTCAAGTTCATAAAATCTATTTTAATATTTTTAAAAGAGGTATAGTTTGGGCCAGGCACAGTGGCTCAAGCCTGTAATCCCAACACTTTAGGAGGCTGAGGTAGGAGGATCACTTGAAACCAGGAGTTCAAGACAAGCCTGGGCAATATAGCAAGGCCAGCCCTGTCTACAAAAAATAAAAAATCAGCTGGGTGTGGTGGCCCATGGCTGTATTCCCAGCTACTTGGAAGCCTGAGGTGGGAGGATCCCTTGAGTTCAGGAAGTCAAGCTGCAGTGAGTCATGATCGTGCCCATTGCACTCCAGCCTGGGTGATGGAGCTAGACCCTGTCTCTATTAAAGAAAAAAAAAGCACCATAGTTTGTATATTAGGCATAGTTTGTATAATATTAGCTCCATCACCCAGGCTGGAGTGATACAGACTTGGCTAGAGTACAGTGGCACAATCATGGCTCACTGCAGCTTGACCTCCTGGGCTCAGGTGATCCTCCCACCTCAGCTTCCGGAGTACCTGAGACTATAGACAAGTGACACCATACCTGGCTAATTTTTTTTTAATTTTTATTTTGTAGAGGCATGGTCTCCCTATGTTGCCCAGGCTGGTCTCAAAGTCCTGGGATCAAGGGATCCTCCTGCCTTGGCCTCCCAAAGTGCTGGAATTACAGGTGTGAGCCACCACACCTAGCCTTGAAAGACAGTCCTAATATTGATTAAACATATTTGTTTTATAACAGGAGAGCATATAGACTTCTATTTATATGATGTTAAAATTATACTTAATTAATTATATTTTTTGTGTTTTCCAACTCTAATTTTCTTTAACTTATAAAAGTAATCCATTTCATGATTCAAATAGGCATAAACAGAAGTACGAATCTTAACAAACTTGGATGAAAGTCTACGCTTACAGCTTTGAGGAGGTAGCATGGCTGAAAAGTGTATCCACCAAGGGAGTCTCCTTAATGTTAAAGGCATCATCACACTCGCCTGAAGGGGGCTGGTCTTCCATCTCTGACACATATACTTCACCCTGGTCCTCCCCTTTGGATTCTTGCTGAGCCTCCCCCTAGGAATGCCAGGAAACAGGAAACTTTAGAAGGAGATTTACTTTCTGCATAGTAATTTTACTTGCATAGAGTAAATGAAGGCTGCCCTTAAGGTGAGAAGAGGTCAATTACATAAAGCTACAAAAGAAATTAAAGAAAGCTGACTTAACTAGATTTAAGTTAATGAGTTCTTGGTAACAATCTTGCTGGAGGACTTTGACTCTGTGCCACTCACCTCCAGCAAAATGGAAAAGCATTATTTGCCCAATTCTCATTGGATTCTTTAAAAACCATCATGATCACCTGTGGCCCTGGAGTTAACTACTCTAGCTGGCCAGATAATTTTTTTTTTTTTTTTGAGACAGGGTCTCACTCTGTTGCCCAGGCTGGAGTGCAGTAGCATCATCATGGCTCACTGCAGCCTTGCACTCC
This sequence comes from Homo sapiens, assembly GCF_000001405.40. Taxonomy (NCBI): domain Eukaryota; kingdom Metazoa; phylum Chordata; class Mammalia; order Primates; family Hominidae; genus Homo; species Homo sapiens. The sequence continues at coordinate 138,150,210 of NC_000005.10, forward strand.
TGGGCTCCCCCGAGACCCCTAAGTAGCTGGAACTACAGGAACATGCCACCATACCTGGCTAATTTGTTTTTTGTTTTTTGTAGAGATGGTGTCTCCCTGTATTGCCCAGACTGGTCTTGAACTCCTGAGCTCAAGAGATCCTACTGCCTCTGCCTCCCAAAGCACTGGGATTACAGGCATGAGCCATTGCACCCCACCTGCCAGATAATATTAATAATGATGACGGTATTCTAAATTTTACTGATTGCTTACTATAAGCCAGGCACTGTGCTAAGTGCTTTACATGAATTATCTCATTTAAACCTCACAGCAATCCCACAAAATAGGGTGCTATTATTGCATTTCTGCAGAGAAAACTGAAGTTCTAAAATGTTCACTAACATGCTAAAGGTAACACAGCTAAAACTGGTGCTAAATCCAGGATTTGGATCCAGGTAGTTTAACTTTCTGGAGTTAGCCTATGTGCTCTAACTACTCTGTTCTGCTTCCCTAGGCAGAAGACCAACAAGACAGCTGATTTAAGTTACTTTCTTACCTCTTCACTCTCTGTGAGTAGTCCCTGAACTGTACAAATAACTGAGGGAGCTGAAGCCACCTCTGGCTTTCCATTTTCTCCCAGTGGCTTTTCAGCTACTAAGGGGTCTCCTTTAGCTGAAAGCTCTTCAGTCTCTCTGCAGAGCTCCCTTTCTCCTTCGCTAGCTTTAATTTCCCTTCCTTCTTGTCTGGTACCAGATGGAGGGCAGCAGCCTTCACTTGATTCGTTGCTGCTGATGCACAAGGGCTCCATTAAATAAGCTACCTGCAATCAAAGTTTATTATTAGATGCACAGGAACACCACTGAAAATCATCATCCACATATCAACAATGCCACATGCTAACACTGTCACAGTGACTAAGTCTGAGAGGACAAAATGGTTTAATTAATACAATCATCTAAAATCTGCCAAAATATCTTATATACACAGGCACTGGGCTGGTTGGTGGGGACACTACAGTGAACAAGAAAGATATGGTTCTTGCCTCTTCCAGGAGTTTATGTTCTACTTTTTCATCTCAGCTGTCAACTCTGATCAATTGGGAGTGGCTGTCTAGAATAAAGTGTTGAAAATTTTGTCTACCACAGACACTTGTAGAGAGAAGTGGCAACATTTGAAATGGATGCTTGCTGATCTTGATCTAGGGTCTTCTAAATGTGTTCAATAACAGCATACATATAACTCTCTGTCCAATTCTGTTTATTTCTGGTCCTCAGCCCTTAACCAAGGTAATGACACTTAAAAATACTACCTTAAAGTTACAGCATTTTAAGCTTCAAGGAAAATTTGGGCAAGTATAACTTCCCACAACTCCAAAAGCATGAATTACAAGGATACTCATAAAGCAGTCCTTATGACCCAGGCCCCTAATGACTGAAGTATTAGAAATTCAGTCAAAAAGCATGTATTTTTTTATTTTTAATTTTTTTACTTTTGAGACGGAGTCTCGCTCTGTTACCTAGGCTGGAGTCCAATGGCACGATCTCAGCTCACTGCAACTTCCGCCTCCCGGGTTCAAGCGATTCTCCTGCCTCAGCCTCCCAGGTAGCTGGGATTACAGGCACATGCCACCAAGCCCGGCTAATTTTTTAATTTTAATTTTAATTTTAATTAATTTATTTATTTAGAGACAGAGTTTCGCTCTGTCGCCCAGGCTGGAGTGCAATGGTGTGATCTCAGCTCACTGCAACCTCCGCCTCTCAGGTTCAAGTGATTCTCCTGCCTCAGCCTCCCGAGCAGCTGGGATTACAGGCGCCCGCCACCACGCCCGGCTAATTTTTTGTATTTTTAGTAGAGATGGGGTTTCACCATGTTGGCCAGGCTGGTCTTGAACTCCTGACCTCAAGTGATCCGCCCGCCTCGGCCTCCTAAAGTGCTGGGATTACAGGCATGAGCCACTGCGCCCGGCCATTTTTGTATTTTTAGTAGAGATGGGGTTTCACCATGTTGGCCAGGCTGGTCTCGAACTCCCAACCTCAAGTGATCCACTGGCCTCAGCCTCCCAAAGTGCTGGGATTACAGGCGTGAGCCACTGCACCCGGCCCAAAAAGCATGTATTTGGTGCATATTCTGTATCAGCACCAAGTGCTGAGGACATAGCAATGAACTTAATCCCTGCCACTGTGGAGCTTATATTTTAGTAAACAATATTAAGAGTGGTAGAAGCATGTAAGGATAAGCATTCTCTTAGAAAGTTGAGGCTTTTCCAGCTTTGGAAATAAGAGCTCACTGTTACCTCAGAGAGAAAGTGGAGGAGGTTCTGGTGGCTGGCTTTCCTTGCCGCTTCCTGAGATTCCTCACTGCCTCCATCCCCAACAAGCAGTTCACTAGGTTCTCTCTCCGGGCTGCTTTCCTCTAGTTCCTCAGCCTCTGGATCCTCAGTTTCCCTCCAGTTGCCCACATCAAGATCCAGACTGGAGTCCCATGAGCTGAAGAGGGACCTGCAGTCATTGCTCAACTCAGAGTCATTGGGATGATCTTGTTCAGAATCCAGCCAAACCCACTCGTGTCCCATCTGTAAATACACAGGAAAACATGCATTAAATTCATTCAAATAAATATTCCTGAGGCATCTCCATCTCCCGAGTTCAGTAGAAAAATAAGGGGCCAGAAATTTATTTGTATTCAAGTATTCATCATTAGGAAGAATTAAAATCTTGCTGAAGGGAGACATGAGATGAAATTATATTTGTCTTTGGGAATAAAGAAAGCCCCATGTCAGTATAACAGAGATATTGCACCATACAATACAGTATAATAGAGACATTAATATTACCTAATAATTATTTTTACTTGGAATTCCTCATATTCACACCAAAAGAAGGGAAAGAACTGGAGCATAGCTAGCTCAATTATTTTCCTCTAGCCCAAATCATCCATAACTAAACCGTAAGGCAAACAAATTGAGGGGGCAGGGGATATTTTCCTCAGTGTATAAACATTTTTAACCTATGAACCATTAAACCTTCAAAACACACTTTAGGATTGCCTTTGGCATCCTTCTGGTCATATCCAAATTGATGTTGAGAAACATTAAGCTTAAAATATATCTTCCCTTGCTCTCATTACACCACTATCTTGGTTTTTTTATATCTTTCTTTGTCCTCTCCCTTTTACAACTTTCAATAAATCCCTACCTTCTATGTTCATGCTTGGTCCTCTGCTTTCTTATTAATGTATTTTAAAAAAATGTATATATACTTTGAGGTTTCAACTTTGACCTCTATTCAGGTGGCTCCCAAATCTCTCTACCTTTACTTCTTATATGAATTCTGGTGTCATTTCTCCATGCATCCAAAAGTCAATTCCCTTTAGATGCTCTACCACCTGCTGTAACATTTCTAAAATAAAAATCACATTTCCTTTATCTCCAAAATCACTGCTTCTTCCCAATTTCCTTATCCCCATCACCATTTTCTTTTCTTTTCTTTTTTTTTTTTTTTTTTTTTGAACGAACTTTCACTCTTGTTGCCCAGGCTGGAGCACAATGGCCCAATCTCGGCTCACTGCAACCTCTGCTTCCTGGGTTCAAGCAATTCTCCTGCCTCAGCCTCCTGAGTAGCTGAGATTACAGGTGCCCACCACCATGCCCGGCTAATTTTTGTATATTTATAGAGACGGGGTTTCACCATGTTGACTAGGCTGGTCTTGAACTTCTGACCTCAGGGGATCCACCCACCTTTGCCTCCCAAAGTGCTGGGATTACAGGCGTGAGCCACCACACCCGACCCCATCACCATTTTCTTAGTCTACAGAACCCACAATTCTGTTTTGACCCTTCCTTCTCTTATATTCAGTAAGCAAGTCCTCTTCCCAGTTTTCTCCCACAATAAGTTTTCTCAGTGTCCATCCTTTCCTGAATAAATGCCATAGTCTCCTAGTCAGCTTTTCTATCTTTAATCCTATCTGCTCTCAACAAATATAGTTATTCTACTCAAGGCTTTATAACAGCTATCACCTCAAATATAAATTTCTCAATCTGCCAAAGTCCTCCACAAATTTAGCCTTATTTTGTTCCCTTCACTCACATGTACACCTCCTTATTCCTTAGTATAATCCCTGTTCTAATTACATTTTTCTCCGTATTGCCACCCACCACCCCCACCAGATGCCTACACCTTCCATTCGGTTTGCTAGTCTCATTTATCACCTTCTCTACCAACTCAAAACGTATGTCCTTTAATGGACCTTTTCCACACACTTCTCCCAGCTTTTAGAGCTTGTGTTTGTATCTCATGCCTGTTTGCAGACTGCTTTGGGACTACAATGTTATTTTTTATTTTCCTTTCTTGTTTGCAACATGTCCATGTAACAAGGAATTTCATGTTCTAACTCCTGGACTAATTGAATACCTTTCCATTGCCTCACAAAGACTGTATCTTCTCTTCCTTAGCATCCTAATATAGTTCTATTAAAGGCAAAAAGATCTGTGACTTCTAATCGTATCCTCTTAAAC